>NC_000005.10:66984807-67609807 GCF_000001405.40 Homo sapiens
CTAGATTGTCCACTGGATGAACAGAAGATCACGGTTCTGTTTACACAGGTGGGGAAGACTTGAGAGGGCGGGGAGCAGGATCGTGGAAGAAAATTAAAAGTTTTGTTTTGTTTGTGTTGAATTTGAGATCTTTATATGATACTCATGTGGAATCTGGAATTCTAAGGAGAAGTTAGGTCTGGAGAAGTAAATTTGGGACTTTTAGGAAAGTAGGTGGTGTACAGGGCCAGGGGACTGGATGAAGTCAACTAGTGAGAAGTAGCTTCAGGACAGATTCCTGAGACACTGCAGATTGAAATATCATGCTGAGGATCTGGAGGAGGCATGACCAGAGATTAGGAGGAAGACCAGCCAGGTGATTTCAAAGAAGCGGAATGAAGGAGGAGTTTCACACAGGAGAGTGGTCTTCTGTGTGGAGTGATGCTGATCCTTCATTAGGAGGATATGAAATGTCAGATGCTGAAAGGTCTCTGCCCATCTGTGCACAGACCATGGAATTAAAGGACCATTTTGGGGAGGGTTCAGGAGAGGTAGGTGAGTAGAAGGTAGAATGCAGGTGCTGGAAGAAATGTTCAATCAAAGACAAAGGCCCTTAACATGCCAGCAGCTTGAGGGGCCCTAGATTTTCCTGCTGGGCAAATTGGAGTTCTGGATCTTTGAAAGGTACGGAAGAACTTTCCTTTTTGATGCCTTTCCCTTCTTTGTTACCAAATCAGGTTTATTTTTAGTGCCTGCCTTATCTGAGCAGTAGGCCTGGAATGATTTTATAACCTACCTATTTATTTTCCTTTAACCTGTAGCCTGCTTGTGTGTGTCTGTATAGCTGAAAGAGACTTTGAAGTAGGTAAGATACGAGGTTGGGCTTAGAGGAAAGATTAGGTTTTGGGGTAAGTGGAACAAGGGTGTATGGGGTGGGAAAGGGAATCAAAACAAAGGCAGAGAAGGTAAAAATAACTTTCATATGTGGGGCTGCTTCCTATGTCGTTGAATTAGAAAAAATAAAATGGCAATGTATTTAGCATAGTAGTGAAAACTCCAGCAGGTGGTATAGCAACAAGGGAAACCTGAGCTTCATTGACTCCTTGCATCTCACCTACTTCTAAAAAAGACTCAAGTCATCTACATGTAGACAGCACAGTGTGTAGAACTACTCATTCATCCTGTAAACATATATTGATTGCCAATAATGATCCCACGGTAGAGGCTGGGATACCAAGATGGGTGACCCATGACCTTCCCTCAAGGAAAACAGACAAAAACAGCTGTAATATAATAACAGACCAGAGGAAAGAGGATTAATTCTGTCTAATTCCATTTCACCAGGATGTAGAAGTTTGAAAAGTTGTCTATGAGGAAGAGAGGAGGAGGTAGCGAGGCATCCCTTGCTGGGGAGGGCAGGGTCACAGTGGGAGCAGAGTGCAGGGCAGGTCCCTGGGGAGCACAGAGCTGGGAAGGGCAAGGAAGAAGTGTTAAGTGCAGAGTCTGGAAAGGGAAACTGAGCCCAAGCGGGACTTGACTTTTATAGAAAGTATGGATCCATATGTTGTTACACAGAGAAATACTTGCTCTTTATTTTAGAAAGAAAATCTGTAAATGTGCATCATATCACTCTGTCTTTTTCTCTGTTTATTTTTAGCCCTGTGTGTCCAAATGCTGGGAGAACATCACCCCTTGGATGAATTGCCACCACATTAAATAAAACATATCCAAAGCTCATATTGTTTCCTTTCCAGTACTTTCTCTCTGTCTTTCCATATAGACATATATATATTAAAAATATATATGTATGAATTTATATATATATATATATATTTATTTATTTATTTATTTTGAGACAGGGTCTCACTCTGTTGCTCAGGCTGGAGGGCAGTAACACGATCATAGCTCACTGCAGCCTCAAGCTCCTGGGTTCAGTTGATCCTCCCACTTCCTGAGTAGCTGGGACTACAGGTGCACATCACCATGCCTGGCTAATTTTTTATTTTTTAGAGATAGGGTCTCGCTATGTTGGTCAGACTGGTCTTGACCTCCTGGCCTCAAGCAATGCTCCCACCTCAGCCACCTGAGAAGCCAGGATTATAGGCATAAGCCACCACGTCCAGCTAAACGTGTCTATATTTTGTTTCAAACAAATATGCATGTACATGTGTATGCTCTTATCTCTCAAAATCTTAAAGAAGTGTAAGATTATATAAACTTACTAGATTCTTCATGGTGTTGCATGTGCTAGAGCAAATCTTCCTCAATGCTTGTATATTTAATAGCCTGAAAGAATAAATGTTTTTCTAATGGGCATATTTTAGCTGAGGTTTTTTTTTAAGTCAAATATGTATATAAGTATGTGTAAAGTTTATGTGAAAGAAACGAGAGCCTTGTTTTCAGAAGCTCTTCTGTGTCTTGAAGGTGACATGTTTTTGCTTTCTTAAGTGACTTTACAGACGAAAAAGGAGTCACACTTTTACAGTTGATTTGGTGTAACCCTCCTTCATCAGTATCTAGCATATAGAGTATGCTGATGAGTCATGTGCAATGTGTTTTGAAAATCAGAAGTTTTCAGATGAGCTGGAGGCCTGGATGCCTGAAATGGCTTAGGACATAAACTGCTCAAAAATAATTATAATACCCTTTTTTTTGTAATTTTTTTCTACTTTTTTTTTTAGGTGCTCTGCAGGTTCAGAGAAACTTCTCTAGTAACAGACTGAGAAATGGTCCCTAAAGTATGGTGTTTAATTTCAATACTCCTAAAGAAAATCCAGTTTCCTTTGTAAAATGTTCCTTATGTAACAAAACTGTACTGAAAAAATGTGGTATTTTTCTTTCTCTTTATTTTGTCTCCCTATACCACTGAGAAGTTAATGGTTTAAGGAAAATATTTCAAGCCGTACAGATCATGTCAAATATTTGGTTTGGTAGGATTAATATTTTACTGCAGAGTGACAGTGCTAGTGCTGTCCTAGTTTTAGGGATGATTATATAAACTAATGAGCCCCATCCATTAAAAAACTTAGGGAAACAAAAAGCTATTTATTATGTGGATTACACTGACTGTAGTTAGGATTACACTGACTATAGTTAGGACATGGAAGTGTGAAATAGTTACAACGTGGTTGCGTTTAATTAAAGTTGCTCTTTTTGTGATGCTGAGGTTAATAATTATGACGCTGTGCAAATGTTTAATACTGCTTTATTTTAAAAAAAACTCAATGTTTTGTTGTTTTGTGCCTAGCTCTCCACTGGCCTAAAGCTGACTTTTCACTTAAGTTTACCATCCTCTGAATTATTTCCATTACAACAGATTTTAAGAATGACAGTTGGCTGGGGGCATTGTAATTGTATACTTCAGCCACTAGAGGGAAGAGACTCTAGTATTTATTCTGGGGAAAGAAAACGTGCTTCATCTCTCTGATTCTGTCACTGACCTTTAATCTGAAGGGGGTTATCCTTAGCATTGGGATTACCCTTCTTCCTCTTTTAGAGAAAAAACTTTGGGAAGGAAAAGGTAGAATTAAGGATATTGGACCAGGGCTTGATATATGGGTGTATCTGCCTGAAATTTGGGGTTCAACCAGTTCCTTCAAGACAGCTTCCAATGGGCAAGCAGCTTTGTTGGGGGAAGTGAGTGATTCTTCCAGAACTATTTTATCTGTTAGTATAAAATAACAGTAACATGACTAACATTTCTGGAATATTAGACACTGTTTTAAATACTTTAAAAATACTAACTATCCTAGCAACAGTCCTATGAGGTAAGTACTATTATCCCCATTTTACAGAATAGGAAACTAAGGTACTTAGAGGTTAAGTAACTTATCCAAGATCACAGAACTAGAAACTACTGATATTGTGGTTAAAAACATGGGCAGTGGCTCCAGGATTTATGTTCTCAAGCACTGTACAATACTGCCTTTCCACTTATGCCCAGTTTCTCAAGCACGAAGAGACATTCACAGAATTTTGACAAGTTTGAGTCTACAAAGATGAGAGATATTTTGGTTGAAAACTACAACAGGAAAACTGTAGAATCAAAATTTATACCATAATTTACCCAGGAACACATACATGGTTCACATTTTAACGTTTCTAGAATCAGATTGTGGCTTACAGCTTTATTCAGGGAAATAAGACATATTTGTAAACATAATATACCAACTTCATTAATTGTTAAATTTAATGCTCACAAAAACGTATTTGAAAATAATTTCTATTTTAGATCTTTGTACTTCATGAGAATTCCCCAGTGTGTGTGAGGATTACTGAGATTTGAAGTGAAAATATAAAATACTTATATTTTAGAGGAAAAAAAGGTAATGTGGGATGTTGGTGTGTTTTAATTTGTTTGGTAGTATGTCAGATGGGGCTTCCAAAGGTAAGTTTCTAGGACCTTCACGTTGTTAAATGGCCTTGGATCCTGCCTCTTCTCTAGGATTCACAGAAGCATTTTTCAAACCGCACCTGCCCCTCCTTATACCTCCTTGCTCATAATCAGGTTTAGGCTCCTTACTTTCCCTTCAGGAAGTCAGTTATTCTCATCAAGGCTTCAGAAATAGTCCTAGTGTTGAGCACGTGGGAGAGCTGCTTGTCTTCAGAGTGGTTTGACCCAGTCATTGATGAGTTGAAGTTTTCACTGTCTCACTGAGGCATGTGGCAGCTCAGAATTCATTCAAGCAAACTGGGCAGAGTCTGTGGTATTCAGGAATGGAGGCACAGCAGGAATGCAGGTCTGTGGCTTTGATCAAAACCCCTATCCACAAACAAGCAGAGCCCTGTGAATATGGTGAAGCATAATTTTTTCCCCACTGACATTTTGAAACCAGCTCCCTTACAGAAAGAAATATAGTTTTGGACAAACTTCAGGGAGTTTCCAAGAATTTTCAATAAACAACACAGTCACACTAAGCAAAATTTTTTTTCAATCCAAGAAGAATAAAACATTTTTCTAGAATATATAAAATATGGTAGTTTTATTTAGTAAAAATATAAAGGAACTTTAAAACTATCTTAAATCTCTGTTTTAAAGGATTTTTATTTCATCTCATTCTTTAAATTTTAAAATTTGTAATCAATGGCAGAATATTCAGAGACCAGACACATAAATAAATGAGCTGAGAAATGTGCTTTTGTAGCTTTATTCTTGATCTCCACCTTAGGGCATTTCTGTGCTCTCCGGCAAGCCCTCACAGGTTTCACAGGGAGACACAGAGGATTGAGACTTAGAATTTGCCAGCTGTTGACAGATCTATGGAAGAGTCAGTGTGGTAAGAAGTTAATTTTATAAAATAAAATTTATGAATTATCGATGGATTTCTATTATTCATGCTTGTTTTCTTTTAAAGACCTCTTTAAAAATGTATATGGCCTTAGAAACTATTGATTTTGTTTGGAAATTTTAAATACTTAAAAAATACTAACTATCCTAGCAACAGTCCTATGAGGTAAGTACTACTATTCCCATTTTACAGAATAGGAAACTAAGGTACTTAGAGGTTAAGTAACTTATCCAAGATCACAGAACTAGAAACTATAATAAACCTCAGAAATATAGTCTAGGTTGGGTGTGGTGGCTCACACCCATAATCCTAACACTTTGGGAGGCTGAGGCAGAAGGATTACTTGAGCCCAGGAGGTCAAGACCACCCTGGGAAAACATAGGGAGACCTCGTCTCTACATAGAATTTTTTAAAATTAATCAGATGTGGTGGCATATGCCTGTGGTGCCAGCTACCAAAGAGGGTGAGGTGGGAAGATCACTTGATCCAGGGAGATCGAGGCTGTAGTGAGCTACGATCATGCCACTGCACTCCAGCCTGGGAGACAGAAGCCTTGTCTCCCCATCACAAAAAAGCTATGTATTAAGTTAGTTTATATTCAAATTTAAAGAGTCATATGAGCATTCTGTATTACTTGTCTCAGTTGTTGATAAACTTACCTGGTCATGTTTCTCTATGAGACTTTTTCTTAAGTTACTTGACTTGTAAGCTTATAGGTGTAAATATGTTCTAGAGTTTCCTGGAATCTGACAGATAGAGTACATGTGATTTCTTTGGGGAAACAGATATAGTTTTATTTATTGGACTATTTCTTAGAGAAATAGTTATGAATTTAGTTATTCCCTATGAAAGGCTGATTCTTTGGATTAAAAAAATAGGTTCAGAATTATTTGAGTGAAAGCTTCTCAAAAATAATGACTCTGAAATTTAGGACCTTAAATTGCTACCACACTCAAAGAAGAAATTCTGTCCTAAACTGCTCTGAAGTATCAGTGGTTTGAGAGAAGGGATGTTACAGAGACTACAGGCATGAAACAGTCTGCTGATACTTTGCCATTAGAAAAACTGGCTGGCTGGTTTGCATATTCTGGTCTATTCATTTGTTCACTGTTTCCCACTTGTTCTTTCATTTGCTTCCCTTGGAGAGTAGCAAGTTGAAAAAAATTCAGTAGTTTTGGTATGGCTCATATTTACGAAATGCCAAAAAAGAACCAAGAGTTCTTTTTCCTTTCTCCTCGAAAATTGCCCTTGTTTGGATACTTACATGTTATATGATGGGCATAACCCCTGGGTCCCATGTTGATAGATGAGTGTTAGACTCACCCAGAATATTACCTGTCTTATATCTTTGAAGCACATACGAAATAGCCTTTGTGATTTGAGTGACTGGGCCAGTGTTCTCCATTATGTGCAGCAGGCTTCACTCCACAATAAAGCTGAAAGAACTTCACTCCCCAGTAAAGCTGAAAGTAACAGACAATACCTCAAGTTTTAGGTGCTTTACAGATACCTGGCAGCTCACTGAAGTATATCCAATCCTGTTTCTGGGACAAAATCACTGGATGGATCTTTCCGAGCCATGATTTTTGCAGTAATGTTTCTGAAGCTATAGCACTAGATACAAAGGATAAATAGAAAAATGATTATTTTGAAAGGGGAGAGAAAGGACTCTGGCAGTATCTGATGCCACTCTAGATGTTAAATGTGGTTATGTTTATCTTTTAGCCCCAGGCAGTTTATGGTTTAGGATTTTTGAACGATTGAAGGATGTGCCTCCATGAGCCCTCACCAGAGACAGCCTGGGCCTTCCTGCTTTTTTCTGTGTGTTTTGCATCAAGCAGTGTTATTTGAAGGTAGCTGCAGTTCCTTCAGGGAAGATGAGTTGGCAGCAAGGCAGACAGATACAGTCATGGAGCAAGTTACTAAAGACTTGTAAATCACTCTCAAGTTATATAATGTGATTTAATATATATTAAAACAATGATAGCAGAAATAAATAACTCATGTAGGATGAACTGTTTTCAGTTTTCCATGATGCCTGCAAATCTTTTTCTGTATGCATGCGTGATTTTATGATTGCAATCGTAATACAGGTGCACTTTTTTCTGTTGTTTTTTCATGTAATGCATTACCATGCTGCTATATAATCTTCATAATGATCATTTTTGGTGTCTGCATAATTAGTAAATAAGTCATCTACTCTTGATAACTATGAGGAAAATAAAAGAGATAGTGTCTATATCAAGAACTGATGTCCTTTTCAGTGTTTCGCATCTTCACTTCCGGTTTTCTCTAATGAAAAGAATTAGGGAGATGGAGTGATAGCTACCACTCCTTGGGAAGCCTGTCTCTAAATTCTGATGGGTAGCATCATCTACTAAACTCAGACTTCCGAAGTCATGGGCAGACTTTCCCCATCACCTATACCTTGCACTTTCATCTTAAAGTTTCAGTCCCCTTTAAACTGTAAAGCCAGCTAGATGGTCACATCTTCTAAGTTATCAACTAAACGTTAATTCTTACTTATCAATCTCATCTAAAGCCTTAGGTGAGATTGATTGTCTGTGCAATACAGGCAAGAACAAGATGTAGGAACGGGCAGTTGTGAAAGAGGAAGAAATGTGCTAGGAGAGGAGATGAACAGAGGGAACTGATTGTGAAACATTACTCAGATGAGCTGATCTGAAGTCTGTTCAACTTTGTAACTCCTCCTAAGTGCGACGGAAGGTTTCACTGGGTAAGCTGACATTTGTGAGCCAGGAGCCCCAGACTGTGAGGTGGTGGCCAGCAGATTGCAAACCTTGAGCACTGTTGATGTAGCACTCTTGATTCTCATCTTTTCTCTGCTATGGCTGTGTGTGTTGATCATGTTTCCAGCAGGATTGAGTTACTACCTTGGAAAAAGGTCACCCTGCTCAAGTTCATGTTTTTATTCATCTTTTTAGAGAAGACAAACTACACTTTACTTCAGCCATACTTATTGGGAAGGAAAGTAAAAACCCAATAGTGGCGTTTGGTTCATTTATTAATAAACCTTTTAAATATGCCTGAATATCATGGACTTTTTATTGATCATTTTATTACTCATTACGAAGATTGTCAATAATGACAGTGCTTTAAAAGAAAAATCATCCAGCCAATTGACAAAGGCAACCTGATTTTGGAAGCATCCCTCAGGGCTTATCTGTAGAAGTTGGAAAAATAGAAAAATAACTGTTTTTGTTTTTAGTTAACCTTAGAAAAATGTGTGTGCAACCATTCATTCCGCTGAGTGTCTGGTGTGTACTTTGAGACATACACAGATGAATAGAAACGGTCCTTGTACTTGGAGAGCTTTAAGCATAGTAGGGCATTAGACCTGTAAACACATAATTGTGCTGCAGTGGAATGACTGGTAAAAAAGAGGCATGCATATGAATAAAATTCATTGGGGAGCCAGGAGAAAAACCATTTATGTCTGCAGGAAAAGGTCAGGACCACTTTGCTGGAGAGGTGACCTTACAGCTCATGCTTGAAAGATGTGCAGGTTTCCAAGCAGAGGAGCTGGAAATTCTAGGAAGAGGAACAGGATGTGCAAAGGCAGTGAGGTGTGGCAGAGCTTACTGTGTCTGAGGAGCTTAAAGTAATCCAGTATTTCTGACAGGCACATAAACAACAGAGGGCACTTGTTAAGGGATGAGGCAGGAGAAATAACAAGGGATTATAGCATAAAATATTCCATTAAAAGAGGTTTTGATATTTTTGTGGAGTACCTCTCAAACTTTAAGAATCACCTGGACATTTTAGTAGAATGCAGATTTCTGGGCTGTACTTCCAGAATTATAGAATCAATGGGTGTGCAGAAGACCCCCCCCCCCACCCCACCAAATCTGCATTTCTAACAAGCACTCCAGATGATTCAATGATGATAAGACAGAAACCATGTGTGGAGAAATACTGCTGTAGAACAATGGGGACCCATTCAACTTTGTTTCATGGGAGAGTGATATGACTGCGTGCACCTGTTTGAGCTGAGCAGTTTTGGAAGAATGGTTTCACATTGACAGTGAGGAGCACCAAGAGGAAGGAACGGTACCGCATTAATCTACACAAGAGATCGTGGAAGCCATGACCAGGGTCATGGCAAGTGAGGAGAAGACATGAAAATCTATTGTTCCTTTATCATTTTATACAGAGTGAAAACTTTTACCCAATTTTCTTTTATTTTCCAATTTTCCAATCTGGTGTATTTTTCAGCCACTTTTAAATGGGATTTGCTTTTCTTTTCAGTTTTCTATTGCTGCTGTTTACATGTCCTCTGGCCTTGTTTTTCTTTCTCCTTCGTATATTAGCATTCTTAATAATTCTGTACGTACTTCATTTCCTAAAAGCTACTTATAAAGACAATTCTTGTTTCACATTCATTCATTTGTCACTCACCTGTCACTATATTGAGTAACTTGACTGGCTGTTGTTCTCATTCCTATTAACTGGAGTAACTTCTCTTTGAAAGTTTTTTGATCACCAGGAACTTTAATATGGTTGTCTTCTATAACATGTATGACAGTACATTGAATACAAGAATATTTCTATGGTTGGCAGCAGAAACGTCGTCTTTACCTTTCAGTACTCTCAGTCTAACTATATACAGACAGTTTAAACTGAATTACCTAGTCTCATGGGAAATAACAAGTTAGGGTGTTTTGGAGAAAGGAGGAAGTAATCCCAAATTATAGCTATTTAATTCTTTGAAATGAAGAGCATTATTTTTATTATATTCATGTCTAGATAATGTTAAAAGTAAGTTTGCTTCTCAAGAGTTCATGTTTTTTTTGAGCAGTGAAAGAAAGCTTTTTCATTGTACAACATGACAGAGGGAAGCAGGTCTGGAATTCAAAACTGTTCACATAAATGCACAGCCTCACCAATCTGCAAATAATGACACATATATTCAAACAAAAGCAAAGCACTGCATGGATTTAAAGCCCAGTCGGCTTTGAAAATACCCGTTTGCCCAGTTGCCATAGACAAGGTAGTAAGGATTTATATCTAGAAATCAGAGATATTTTTCATTTTTATATTATAGAATTCCTGAGAGTAGGAAAGACTTCTTTTTAAAAGCAATTTTAGTATTTATTTCCAAGACTCATAGAGCTTTTATTAATGCATATGCATTATTTCGTGTGTCAAAAAATATCAATCAAATTTTATTAAAATACCAGAGTAAAAGTGTGTATTGTTTTCTTAAGTTTGTAAACTCTTCAAAGTATTCTAAAATTCTCAGGAACTTGAACTTTCAGGTCATGATAATAGGACTGTCAAATGTGTGGCTCCTGGAAATCAGAAATTTTTTTGTCTGTTTGTTTTTGAGACAGAGTCTCACTCTGTCTCCCAGGTTGGAGTGCAGTGGTGTGATCTTTGCTCACTGCAAAATCCACCTCCGGTTTCAAGTGATTCTCCTGCCTCAGCCTTCCAAGTAGCTGGGACTATCGGCACCCGCCACCATACCCAGCTAATTTTTGTATTTTTAGTAGAGACGGGGTTTCACCATGTTGGCCAGGATGGTCTCAATCTCTTGACCTTTTGATCCACCTGCCTCGGCCTCCCAAAGTGCTGGGATTACAGGCGTGAGCCACCATGCCCAGACGAAAATTTTTTAAATTTAAAACAACCTAGGCATAGCACAGTGGCTCATATGTGTAATCCCAACACTTTGGGAGGCTGAGACAGGAGGATCACATGAGCCCTGGAGTTGGAGGTTGCAGTGAGCCATGATTTCACCACTATACTCCAGCCTGAGAGACAGCAAGATGCTCTCTCAAAACACACTCACATACACACACACACACACACACACACAAACTTGTAAAAAAACATGAGAAGTATAAAAGAGGATAAATCATAATTCTGTACTGACAGATGTTCATTAAAAATACTTTGTTGGCCAGGCATGGTGGCTCACGCCTATAATCCCAACACTTTGGGAGGCTGCGGTGGGTGGATTGCCTAAGGTCAGGAGTTTGAGACCAGCCTGGCCAACATAGTGAAATCCTGTCTCTACTAAAAATACACAAAATTAGCTGCGCATGGTGGCAGGCACGTGTAATCCCGGCTACTCGGGAGGCTGAGGCAGGAGAGTTGCTTGAACCCCGGAGGCAGAGGTTGCAGTGAGTCGAGATCGTGCCATTGCACTCCAGCCTGGGCAACAAGAGTGAAACTCCATCTCAAAAAAATATATATATATATACTTTGTTGATTTCCATCGTTTTTATTCGTATATAACCATATATATAATATCTTAATGTAGATCATAGAACTTCATTTTTTTCTGATTTTAAAATATTACTTCAGGAGCATTTCCCATTTATTACATATTTTTTAAAAATATCATTGTTTTAGTTTCTTCTGGTTACTATAACAAATTATAACAAACTAGCTTAAAACTAGCTTATATTTATTTATTCTCTTAGAATTTTAAAGGTCAGAAGTCCGAAATCAATTTCTGTGCGCTGAAATCAAGGTGTCGGCTGGGCTGAGCTCCCTCTAGAAGCGCTGAGGTGGAATCTGTTTCCCTGCCTTCTCCAGCTCCTAGAGCTGCATTCCTTGCAGTTTTTTGGCTCTTGTCCCCTTCCTCCATCTTCAGGCCCAGCAGCCTAGCATCTCATTTCAGTGCCACATTGCTGCCTTCTTCAAGTATCCCTCTGCCTCACTTTCATAGAGACACTTGTGATTATATTTAAGGCCCACCTGGATAACCTAGGACCAACTCCTCATCTCAAGATTCTTAATTACATCTGCAAAACTCTTCTTGCTATATAAGGTAACATATTCACAGGTTCCAGAGATTAGAACCTGGATATCTTTGGAATCTATTATTCAGCCTACTGTAATTCTAATTCTTTACTGGTTTTCTAAAATTCTATTTTGTGGCTGTTTTAGGATGTATTAACAATTGCCCTCATCTTGTACCTTTGGCTTTTTCCCAACATTATGCTATTATAAGCAATTCTGAGATTAATTTCCATATCCACAAATCTGTGTGCATACTTGATTGTATCTTTTGTATAAATATTGCATATTAAATTATAATTCAAATATATCTATGTATATATTATATGTACATGTATATATGGACACATACATTTATATATGTGTTTGGACATGTACACATATGTGCCTACTACATGTATATATATGTATGTGACCATATATGGGTCTATGTATGTATATGTTTTCCTTCTCCAAATTGCCTTCCAGAAAGTTAGTAGAGAGTACTTATCTTCCCCATGTCCTTACCAACATTGAGTATTATCTTTTTTTAATCTTTACCAGTGAAACAGGTAAATTGATACCTAATTAATGTGTTTTTTTTCTTTTCTCTTTTTTTTTTTTTTTTGAGATAGAGTTTCACTCTATTGCCCAGGCTGGAGTGCAGTGGCATGATCTCGGCTCACTGCAACCTCCATCTCTGGGGTTCAAGCAATTCTCCTGTCTCAGCCTCCCAACTAGCTGGGATTACAGGCACCTGCCACCATGCCCAGCTAATTTTTTGTATTTTTAGTAGAGACGGGGTTTCGCCACGTTGGCCAGGCTGGTTTTGAACTCCTGACCTCAGGTGCACCACCTGCCTCCCAAAGTGCTGGGATTATAGGTGTGAGCCACCATGCCCAGCCTGATTGATGTTTTAATTACATTTTATGATAACTAGTAAGAGTTAACACTTGTCATGCCTGACATTATATTTATACCCCTATGAATTAACGTTTCTTTTAAACTTTTTGTTGGTATAGAAGTGATATAACTTAATAGAACTCCTTGACTAAATAACTTCATGTCCTCCCTGACATATCTTCCGATGTGTGGAATAATTGGAATTGATCTTAGCAATGGAAGGAAATTCCGATTGTTACAGAAGCATGTGATTTCTACCTCTGTATATGCTCCCTGTTTGGTACTTTGATGAAAACTCATACTTCTCATTTTAATGGCATAATTTTCCATAACTTTAGATGTATGACCTGGAAAAAATATTCAAGAAAAGAAGAACGGATAAATTAACCTTAATCTTAAATTACAGAAAGGTCTTAGTGTCAGCTACGAAAGGGCTAAATATAACCATGCTGACCCACTTAAACCAAATTGACACTTCTTATAATTGCACTATAATTCATGCTCAAGAGCTGTATAAGAAATGATGCACCTTAGACCCAAGTTTCTGGATCAAGAAGCACCTTGTCCTTGAAGTTAATTCCAGATTGAGCATCTAATGCAATGATTAGTAGCCATGGTTCACTGTTACCATCAAAAAGAATTTAGCACTTCATACACAACTAGTTGTATATTTATACTTAAACGCAATTCGTTACCTATCATGGTCTCTGTTGAGATTTTGAAATTTGAAACAGTAGACCTGCCTAATAGGTACAGCTTATATAGATAATGGAATGGACTCATGGACCCATGAAACTGAAATTGAAATAGACAGGAAAAGGTTTTTAAAACACATATAGGGTCAGTCTTTAAAATATTAGGCAGGTAGCCCTAACTTTGTTATCACACATCTTTCTAACCTGTAGCAAATCCATCCTCAATCTCTTCTTTCCCCTGCCCACCCCTTCACCCCCAATCCTTTCTCTATTGTTCCCTTTCTCCCTTTGCTTAATATTCATCCCAATGGTGGTAGTGATGGTTTAAAGATGAGGGGATAAAGCCCCTGCCCTCAAGGAGCTCTTACTCTAATAGGGACTGATAATGTGCACAAAATGATTTGGATTTTGATACAGTGGAAGAACCCTTTCATGCAGGAGCTCTCAGGAGCACAGCCCAGTAGAGGGATATCTAATTCATTGGGGATGGGGGGCTCCCATGAAGGCTGCCTAAAGTGACAACAAGGTTGGTCTTAAAACAAGATAGGAGTTAGGTTTTCTGTTTGCCGGGTGATGCATTGATCTCCAAGTGTTGCTGTCTACTTCATAATTGGATTACTGGCTTGGGTGGAGGCCAGTGCTCCACGTGGTTTATTGATGGATCTTCCAGACAGCTGTTTTAGAATGGAGAGATACACTCATCTCTGGATCTTGCCCAGTAGTCTCCTTCTTTTGCATGACCCCTTCATCCCTGTAAGGATGCCATGTGTTTTCTGGCAGTGTGTCCAGCTGTTCTCCCACGGGGTGGAACTCTGTTGGGACTAAGCTATGGGGCTTCTCCCAGGAACTTCCCCTGCTTGAAAGTCAGAAGGTAGAGTGCTGGAGTGTGCTTGCAAGACATGATTCTGCACCTTCTCCAGTCCTATGGGCTGTGTGCCATATATGTATTCTACTCTAATTATCAATCATACATATCAAGGAGTCACTCACTGCCTTGGGAGATAAGTGCTTCATTTCCCATATCTATGCACTGTCTTCTCTTATATTTTGTTAGCTTATAGGTTATCTGCTAATCTTTTCCGTGTCTCTGATTCTCCTGGGATCCAGAGAATGCCTGAGAAAGACCTTGCATTCTCTTCCCATTCTGGCCAGTCTTTAGCATGTCCTTTACTTGCTTCAGACTGTATCCTTTACACTACCTTCGGAGATTGTGTAGTTCTTTGCTCAACCCATCAGGAAATAGAATTCTTATTTTGTTTCCTTTGTTTTGGGTTTTTTTTTTCCTTTTCCTTTTTTGCTTCCAGGATAATGTTTCTTTCATTTTACTCATTCACTTTAAAAATCTGAACCTCTCTTACCTTGTGGCATTATTTTAAAATATTTTTTGGTATTTTCCAGGATGATACAACCTTGCCTATTATCTGTCTTAGTTTTCAGCATTCAGGCCTATCCCTACAAGTTAATTGTTGTCTATCTTTTTATCTTTCTCCATATTTTAGCATTGTGAGTGCAAATTTGTTTAATAATATTAGAAACGCTTTCTTCAACCTGTTCCTCATTGATGTAACTTTCTTCCCATTTCTGTCCCAGTATTAAACTTTATTTCTTGGGATGTACAAAATGATTACAAGGATTGCTCATTCAGGACAGCCAGTTTGCTGTTCACAGTTCTAGCCTCAAACTCTCAAGACCACATTTAGAAGGTGACCAAAGTGGACTTGAAGGTGTGGACAGCCCTAGGGAACTAGTCACTTCTAGGTGCCCTGAAAATGGGGATGGGAAGATGTCAAAGTTAGTTTAGGGCAAAATCCTTAGAATAGGCCAGGATCAGGTAGAGTGCTTAGGAAATCTCAACTTAGTGTCTTATTGGGCATGGCCTCATGGCCCGAGTGTCCTGCACAGGGAGCTGACAGCTTTGCAGACTTCACATCCACACTAGAAAACTAAGTCTTTTCATAGAATCTAAGTTCAAGACAAGACTCCAGGCATATTATCTTTTAACATTGTTCTACGTGGACTGGAGAAAACCCCTTCTTAAAGGGCATGTGTTGCCGGCTGTGGTGGCTCACGCCTGTAAGCACTTTGGGAGGCTGAGGCGGGTGGATTACCTGCAGTCAGGAGTTCGAGACCAGCCTGCCTAACATGGTGAAACCCCGTCCCTACTAAAAATACAAAAAAATTAGTTGGGTGTGGTGGCGACTGCCTGTAATCCCAGCTACTTGGGAGGCTGAGGCAGGAGAATCGCTTGAACCTGAGAGGCAGAGGTTGCAGTAAGCCAAGATCGCGCCACTGCACTCCAGCCTGGGCGACAAGAGTGAAACTCTGTCTAAAAAAAAAGGGGGGGGGTGGCTTGTGTCAACAGGTGGGCAGTAGACAGAATTCAAGTCAGTAAAAAGGACCTGGCATTTTTTGTATGTAGAAGGGGAGGTAATAGTGAAGGATTTGACCCTTTCTTAAATACTTATTTCTTCCTAAGCTTGCATTTCAGTAGGATGACAAGCTTGTTTTTTAGTTTCATTTACCTTACAAAACCAATGGCTAACAATGTCATCCTGATTAAATGAATGAAAGTTCTGAACCACAAAGCTTGTCCATTGTTGTATAGGCTTAGTTGTTACACAATAGAAAATCCTGCTGAATATCTCTATATTGACCTAGACCAGCTATAGTCTTAAGAATTTCCAGTAATCTCAGTTCCCTCTTTGTTCTGCAGTTGAGTTTTACTGCAGTCGCAACTATAGTTTCTGCCCATATAATTATTTTGTAGGAAAATGTCAGTAGTTTTGACAATTTTAATTCTTGTGTTTACCGACTGCTCTGCCTTCTGAATCATATGTAACCAAATCAAGTCAAACAGGTTAGAAGACAACTCACACTTCAGTGTCATCTGTACTCTTATCTTCATGAGTGTGGGAATGTACAATCCACTTTCGCTCACTATATTAATTCATTCTGGTTCCTCATGTACTTAACCTATTTTTATTTTTTCAGTTTGGATACAACCCAAATCCTCTCAAGCCTTTTAAATGCAAAAAAAAAAAATAAATTTAAAGTATATGTAGTTAAAAATACTCATGTCTTTACCCATTCCTTTGAGAATTTCTGTAGAGGCTTTCTCAAAATGCAGAGAGTGGAGGCAGTCATAACATATGATGCCTGCAGATTGGGGTATCTGTCATTTAATCAAGAGAAGAAATAAACATTTTATGTCATTGATTTATCCATTTTAGTTGCTATCATCTTTATAGGTTATGCCCCAATACATGGGCTTTTCTAGAAAAACTATAGAGAATATGAGAGTTGGGAGGTATTGGAGTCCTCAGGTCTTCAAACCACCTACAGGTTGTGTTCTACTCACTGTATCTCCTTCAAGTTTTCTCTGCTCAAACAGCTCTCAGAAAATCCACTCTTGTGTCAGCTCTTTCATCTTTGGATCCAAACACTCTTTCACATAGTTCTCATAGTTTCACATAGCTGTATTCAACTACTGCTTGTTCCCTAAATTTTTTCTTCTCTACTTTCCACAGAGTTCTTCAACCCATAACTTATATAGCACAAGTTCATGTCCACCTTGATTACTCTTCTCTGTGCGGCTTATAATATGTAATTGTCCCTCTTGATCTTGGATACCTACAAGTGAGCACAAAAAGTTATTCTCTGGGCTTGCCTTTGAGGAGGGGACATGGGACTCAAAGGGAATTCCCCTTGAGTTTGATTGTGACATTTCTTAGAGCCATGTAAAGACCTGAGGAATGTTAGCACTGATATCTTTCCAGCTACATGATATAGATACAAATAAGTCACTAAGAGAAAGTCTTCAGAATTTACCGTCTTCATGGGATTCTCAAAAATTCAGTATTCTTTGAGAATACAGATCTACTAGTACTAATAGTTTCAGTGCATCTTAAGAGAAATAAGAGATACTTGGGCTTCTGAAGTATCCATTCAAAAAGGATTTACTAATATTAAATGCCTATATAAACTGAGGAGCTGTCAGGTTCTGAAAATATGAAGATCAGTAAAATGTGACTTTAGCCTTGAGGAACTCAGACTAATTGGAAAGACAGCAGTAAACAGTCAATTATACACAGTGTGATCAGCAGCCTGGTTGAAGACTCTAGAGAGTAGAAAGAAGCACATTGTGGGGTGTCCTCTGCTCCAGTCTTATGTCTGTCAGCATAGTATTCTCTTAGCTTCTGTATACTGCCTACATTTATGCGCAGTGTGTGTGTAGACATTGCGTGAAAGGGCTTATGTATGCCATCTCCTCTTCATTTATGTATATCAGCCTCTTACAGGTTGGTCCTATTATGGACCCCATATTGCAGCTGGGGAAAATGAGAAGAGATTTAAGGTCATAGTAAGTGTTGTATCCAGAATTCAGACCCAAAATTTTTGCTCTAAACCAGTGCTCTGTATCACCCCTCTCAGAGAAGCCTTTATCTGGAGCAGTGGTTCCCAACCAGGGGTGATTTTACCTCCCAAGGGACATTTGGCAATGTCCTCAGACATTTTTAATTGTCAGCACTGGCATCTAGTAGGTCGAGGTCAGCAATGTTGCTAAACATCCTCCAATGCTCAAGAAAGCTCCTCAGACAAAGAATTATCCAGCCTATGTCAACAGTGCTGAGGTCTAGAAACTGCTCCGGAGCACAGGGACACTCTTTTGTGTCAGCCTTCAAAACATCTTTTGCAATACTTAGAAACATTTTTTAAAAGAAGAGCATGGGGCAAAAATGCTGGACCAAGCTCATTAATATCTATTGAAGTGTGTTTTGTCATTTAGTGTCCCTGAATGTTTGGGATAAAGTCCCAAATGTAAAATTGAGAAAATAATGCCTTCTTTGTCTACCTCTGTGGGTTGCAAGGATCTGTGGAGGCTCTGTAAGAATGTGAGGAGATAACGCATACGAAAGCCTTGGACATGAAACATCATCCAAAACTCTTGGAGTCCTTGGTGTGAAAATATTAATGTGGGCCACAAGAATTAGATAAAGAAGATCCCACAGCAGGCTTCTTTTTGTTTACCCCGCCTACCTTGTCAGCTTACACCCCCTCTTCCTTCTCTTTATCCTCCCATTTTTGTAAGCGAGTTTGTTCCTGGTATTTACTGCATGGACTAAGCCATTTTTAGATGTATTTTTTGCTGAATATATACTTTTTTGATTTAGTATTTCTTGCCATATTACACCAGACTTAAGGCAGCTAATTTAAATTATATTTTTTCTTTATGTACTTTATACAAACATTCATGGATAGGGGGAGATATTTAAATACCATGCCTTTCTTCAAAATGAATAACAAGAACATTCAGCCCCCTTCATTCTGCCCTTTCAAGGTCTAACGTACTTGAAGGGGCAATACTTGTAGCATTTGCCACATAAATGCCAGGTAGTGTCTTTCCACATCGGGGCTCACCATTACCTAGATCTGTAGTTGCCGGCCATGAAGCCAAACAGGTGTGCACCGTGGTCATTGATGGAACAGATGTAAACTCATAAATTTAGTTTACTGAGGTTTTCGGTGAGTGTGGCTTCCCGTCCGCGTGCTTTTCCTATACAACCAGCGGCGTCCTGGCGGAGGAGTCACTGTGGACTTCCCCGGAGCGTTGTCACTGCCATCCCTCCCGCGGTGAATCACAGGTCGGCCTCAGGTGCGCGCAGCACACACCCGGAGCAGCCGCGGGTTTATTTATTTATTTCCGGGACGGATCCATTCCGGGCTCCGGGGAGGGGGAGCGGCGGCCCAGGCTGCGGGGCTGTCCCGGCACCGGCTGGGGTCGCGCCGCGGCCGCCTGCTCCCTTTCCCGTGAGCCCCCGCTCCTCAGGCGCGGCCGGGGCTGGTGGGGGGTGGGGGATGCAGGAAAGCTGGGGGCGCGGCCACCAAGCTGTCCAGGGACAAGGCCCTGCCGCCTCCTCCCAGCCGGACCCTGGAAGGGTCCACAAAGGTGTCAGGTTCAAGTCCTCCAATAGGCCCATTTTTTAAAAGTGCTTTTAAGTTTCCGCTTTTTTCAGGAGGGGAGGGCAAGAGCAGCTTTTTCTATTCAAATTCTTTTCCTTGTATGTAGATACCAAAAGGAAACTCGGCACTGGGCATGTTCGGATGTGAATGGTTTTGCTGATAAGCAACAGCCTCCGGAACCAAAGCCTCAAAATAGTCGTCTCCCCCGCCCCTCGCAGAAGCGGCGAGTGGTATCTGCCAAACAGATGACAAAGTACCTCCGACTGAATCCCACAGACAGCGCTTTGAGCAGAACGCACGGCTCAACTCATGTAATTACTGTTTATAGCTGGCCGAGCCTGACTAGGAGAGGGCAGACCCGAGAGGAAATCAGTTTCCCGGACCTTTGAGAGGAGGCTGTGTGTTAATTAAAGGCTAGGACGGGACGGGTACTTCTCAGACATGCTCCAAGTTGTTCTTGAGATCACAGTTCCCATCACATTTTCTCTGGAGGGAGTGAGTAGATAATTGGGATTTTTTTTTTATTTTTGGCCTTGTCTTTCTTCCTTTTTTTTACCTCTCCCCATTTTAGTCATATGGCCTTGAACCCACAGTGAATTGAAGAGAGAAAGAAATGGATATGTCTGACCCCAATTTTTGGACTGTGCTCTCAAACTTTACTTTGCCTCATTTGAGGAGTGGGAACAGGCTTCGGCGAACACAAAGGTAAAAACGCGGGGATCTCTGCCTGGAGAGGGAATGCTTTCACTTCCCAGGGGCCCACAGGCGGAGCTGCCTGAGCCCCTCAGGAGCTGGGGTTTTGTGTATTGGGTGACACTTTGAAAAGTTTATGCCCCGCTAGGGGAGGGGGTACTGTTTCAGGTATTTCTTCGTCCTTGTGGTTTCCTGGGTAACCCTGATAAATGTGCTTCTCATAGGTTTTCTCCTTTTGAAATGTGGATAATAAGACATTTCCTTGTGAGAGGTGGGGGAGAAAAAGGGAAAGAGGAGGAGATACTTTGTCTAAGTCTGTCCCTTTGACCTGATCATGTTTATCCATTTCATTCACCCAGTCATTGAGGCTTCTGGTACTTTTCGTTGAGCCCTTCAGATGTTCCTCTCTATTAAATATTTGACCTTTATAAGATGCAGATGTACGATGCAAGGATAGCCCAGGTTAGCTATTTCATACTATCTGTGGAGAGGCAGATCTACATAACTTTGTCATTTTGATTTTTCAATGGTTTGCTGGCATTTATTACTAATACAGGAGTGTCCTTTTCATTTTGTAACGTATATTTGATAGAAAAGATGGGGAAAGAAAAAGAATTTTAATGTCAAGATGAAGCTCATGCCACAAGTGACAGGCAGTTCCAAGAGTTTGCTGACACTTGTGTTGAGAGACTATGACTTTGAAGGAGGCATTTCTCACCACATTTGTGTCCAGCACAGAAAAGTAAGATTGTTGTACTTTTAGAGGGGCACACCTTTTGAGTTGTGTTAATACTGATTCTTTGTTTTCCTTCAAAACTTGCCTTGCATGTACATGTGAACATGCATGAGAGCAACTTTGCAGTCAGATAAACAGGATGCAGGCTCTCAGATTTGGAGCTTCACAATCTCTATGCTTCAGTGTTCAAAGAACCCAAGAAAATGGTTCGTTCTTTTTGGTTATACCTGTAACTTTTTGTAGTATAAATGTGGATATGTGATACTTTAGAAAACTTAGTTTTTCCTTTTGAAGTTTTTCATGGTTTCTTACATTTCAGAAACATCCTGGAATACTCACATACACTGTTTATATACATGGGTGCACACACAAATCACATGTGCACCTGTGTGTATGAGAGAGACATCTGGCAGGTTTCAAAGTCATATTTGCTTTTTGATGCAGTTTGAAGTGTTGATACCACTAAACTATGTTGGATTCTGAAGTTGTACCTTTTAAGTAATGTGACTATGTTTTTCTCGTTCTGCCATATATGGTCAGAGACCCTCTCTTGTAGTATTGCTCATTTTGTAGTATTGCTCATCAAGTTGTGTCAACCATGCACCAAACCTCCAAGACAACTAATAAAGTTGAAGAGAGATACATGCTACACATGAACTAGGCCACTGCTCAACATGGTGATAATTCGTATGATTTCTTACCATTTCAGCTGGACAGAATCCCTTAAATATTTCTGAGTTGTGTAGTCCTGGCTGCGGTACAGCCTCTACTCTTACCTGGAACCAGTTCTTAGGGAGAGAAGTCTGTTCTGGCATCGTATGTGTGTGTCTGAACCCGTAGAGCAGTTGGAGCCTTTCTTCTTCCTACCTACCTGTTGATAGTATTATTGGAGAGAGTCAGATGCAGGAGGATTCTCAGGCTGCTCTGAGCCTGGCTTTAGGGCAGTACCTGTCCAGCCTGAACACTCCAATTCAGACAGCTCACACTGACAGAGAGCCTAGATTCTAAGGAAACCTGAATTCTTCCCAGTAAAATGGGAGAGCATTGGGTGGGCTGTTTCCACCCCAAGTCATGAAACCGTATCTTCAATTTGGCAAAATAGAGAGGGAAGGGGATTTTCTTCTCCCCCTTTTAAGAGTAAAGGTTATGACAGCCTGTTTGTTGCTGGAGATTTTCAGGTTTTGCAGTTTGGAAATAAACATCCCAAAGATCATCTCTACATCCATCGAGTCATTGTCTGTCTCAAAGGGCTAGCATTGCTTTATATTTATTATGTAGATTCAGAAGGCTAGGTATCCTCATCTCCAGGGCAATGTATGTGGCTATTGCATCCTGTTATTATACAGTGATCAATTCTGGCTCCATGTCCTTCCCTAAGGACATGAAACATGTGCTTACATTGTGACTTCTACTTTTGAGATGCCCCTTAACTGTTCTAAATCCTGTTTCCTTTTCCAAGTCTAATGCTGTACCTTACCGGGCTGAGTAGTTTTTCTCCTTTCCAAAGGACCTTTCTGTTCGCAAGTTGTTCTGTTTTGCCATCCTCGATAAGGGTGTCCCCAGTGTCCAGGTGAGGACACCTTGCTGTCATCATCAGTCAGATATGCCTTAACCCTTGAGATATCTCTCATTCCCAAACTTAGTTCCTCTCCTGCACACTTGCTGACTTGTGTGACAGATTGTTCATTTTGAATATTTTATCCCATCTGTTTGTTCTGATTAACATTGTAATCTGGAGGACTTTATCTTAGCTTTTTCTTTAATATCAGCTTCTTGCATCTATCAAAGTAAAATTCAGCTTTGAGCCTATGAATGAGCATCTTAGAACTCATAAGGATAGAATGTTTGTCACACTTAAACGAGAGCTTGAATGGTTTCAGACTCTTACCTTAAACCTTTATTATGGTAGAAATTGTCATCATGGAAACTTTTGGTTTGCTACATTACGTTTGCCTTATAGTTCAATGTGATGCTGGTTTGTTAGTTTGTACTCTCAGAGAAAAATATTGAAGGTTTTTCTTAAAACCTACAGCCCTACTTGTGCCTGTAACTCTTGGGGTTCCTGAGGAAAGAAGCCTACAGACATACTCTCAGGCCTAGATTCTCAAAGATGACACAGTACTGATGAACTGAAAGACTCTGTCCCTTGTGCTACGTCCCAAGGACAGTATATTATGCCCTTCATTCTCTTTTGTCTTGACCATGGCAGACATGAGATTGTTGGGATGCACACTGGCTTTTGTCTACTCTGTTGCTGTATAGCTTACATGTTCCATTGGAAATAGTTCCTTCTATATAACTGGCTTTGTCCTCCTCTCCCTTCCCCTCATTTCCTCAAGGTAGTCTCAGTACAGCCATTCACCTGCTGCTTTGAGGGACAGAAACCTAGGCATAAATGAAGAGACTTTATACGAAAACTTGTTGCTTTAGACTGAAGTAATGATTGCATGTTTCAGAGATTTTCAGTTTCATAGGTCTGTGGCTATTCCATTCATTGAGGATCCTCTCACAACTCAGAATGGAAATTAGTTGGCCTGCATTCATGTCACTGCTTATGTTTATAGCATCTTTTCTTTGCCCATTGGATGAAAAACTTTTGGGGGAAACGAATCAAGCTTCTCTTTTAATTATATCTGCTCTCTGTCACACCTTAAGGAAAGGGCTACAATTGATTTCTAAATGTTGCTGCTAAGTTTTGAGTTGGGCCTTTAGTTTTGCTGAAGTGCAGTCTTGAGAATCCAGAAGATGCTTGTGTTTTAACCTTAATGTTTAGAAATCTGTCATGTTTTCATTTTGCTTAATGATAATCTTTCAACCTTGATGATGCCTAAATCAATAAAACCATTTTCCACGCCGATGGGTAGTTTGTGACTCAGTTCATCACTTTGAGCAAGTTTCCAAATGTCTTTTTCTGAGAACCAAAAAAGAAGTTTTTGGGGTTTTTATTTTGGTAGTTGTTTTTTGCAGAATTCACATTACTCAGTAATTGCTATGAACAGCAGGTACCTTCAGGGATCTTAAACTAAATCCTGTAGTTGTCAGGATGTATTGAATTTTTTATGCATTCGGCATCTTCCCTTCAGATACATCTGTAGTGTTTGATGAGTTTTTCCTTTGTTTTGCTCATGAATATATGTCATGACTATGAGAACTATAGAGAATCCTCTTCCCTCTTGCCCTGGTATTCCAGGTGTTAGTAAACCTGTACTCACCCCTTTTACCCAAATCCCAATTAACTCCACATTTATTAAGCACCTATTGTGTACCTGGGCACTGTGACCCAATTTTGAAAGCTGTAGGCATGCTTTCAATGAAGACAAGTAAATGAATCATTGCAAACCAGGACAATCAAGAAGTATTTACAAGGTACATATAAGCCATAGGAGCTCACATATAAGCTCAGTGAGTAAGAGAGAATTTGGTCTCAGGGAACCAGAAGAGACACCACATAGAAAAGGTTTTGAAAGATATTTGCTGTTGACGAAAGTGAAGAACAGAGCCTTTCCAAGGGGCAGGATAAATGGTGTGTACAAAGGCCTGGTGACCTTGGCAACACAGAGTTCCAGGAACTAGACATGGCTTAGTATTGCTGAAGCAGAGAGTTGGAAGGGGCAGTACTGCACAGTGGTTAAGAGGGTCGTTCTGAAGCCCATTTACCTGGGTTAACATCTTGACTGTATGAGATTGGTTATGTTAACTTTGGACTTCACTTGCTCCGTCTATAAAATAGGGATAAGTATTTATCTTATAGGATTGTTGTAAAGATTAAAATGCATTCATATGTGTAAAATGCTTAATGAAATGACTGGCATGTAAAAATTCTCAATAAATTTTAGCTGTTAATATTACTGCTGTCATTACAAATGAAGATGAGTAGTGGGTGGTGAAGCTGCGGAGGAGAGCTGAGGCGCTTGGCATATGAGGGAGTTTGGTTTTGATCCTGTGCTGGGAAGACATGTCTAGCCACACTGGGGTTTAGGTCTGGGAGTGGGGGTGAGACCTGCAAGCCAGTTAATAAGTTCTTGGGGTAGTCTGTTTAAAAGATTTTGCAGGGCTAGATAAAGAATGAAGTGAGATTGTGCCTTTGAGAGATATGAAGGATATGACGTTGATAGAAGTTGATGAGCCATTGACTCTGAGAGAAGAAGAAATATTCCATGATGGCCCTGGGGTTTTTGACTCCAGGAACCAGGAAGAGGGAGGAACCACCTGTACTTATGAGAGTGAGGCGGGGAAAACACAAGAACCTATATTATACTTGCCCCTTTTTTCCCCTAAAGCTCAGTTATTCACATTTATTGAAGATCTGTTGTGCACTGAATACCACGGGATATTTATTCCTTCATTCAGCCAGTATCCCAAACGTGTATCCCATGCTGGTCAAGGGACACAGTGATAAATGAGATAGATGAGTACTTAGGCCTCACCAATAAACAAGTATCCAACTAAGTCAATTGCCAATGTGGTCAGTATTCCAATGGCTGTAAGCAAGAGCCGAGATGAGAACATAACCCTGTGGGGTGATGATGGGAGTTACTTCAGATAACGTGGTCAGGGAAGGTCTTTCGAGAAGGTAATATTTAAGGGAGCCCTCAAGGATGAGAAAGAGCCATCATGGGAGGAGTTTGGGGACAGGCATCTGGGAACATCGAAGGCACTGAGACTGGAAAGAAAGAGCCCCCTAGGCAGGCAGCTGAGTACATAAATCCAGGGCACTCAGGCAGGCTGTGCCAAAATAATAAACACGGGACTTACTATTAAGACCATCTGAGAAATACATCAGATTAATACATGGGAGAATTAAAGATACCCCGCTTAAGGAGTGGGCAGAAATGCAGCGAGGTACAGGAAAGGAGACTTAGTCGGAAAAAGTCCCCTATAAAGGGAGGGGACCAGGAGGGTGCTGTCCTGGAAATCCCAGGAGGAAAATGGTCAACACCCCCAGCACTCCACAGAGAGTTGAAGTGAAGGTGTGTGTTGCATCTGGCAACTGGAAACTCATGGATGACTTGAGCATGAACAGGTGCCCCAGGGTGGGGGTGTCATAACCCAGGAGAGAGTGAAGCAAGGACTTGGAGAACAGGGGTGGTGGCCACTCTCTGTGGGCAGCTAAATACAGCAGCAGCGCAGCTATGATGGCCTTGCCTCTGCACATTCGTGGCTGGCCCGTCAGCCCTCCTCCCTGAATCATATCCCCTTACTCACTGTTGCTCACTTTGTTGTCTGCTTCATTGCCCAAATTGGCAATGACAGTTTCCTTTTCACCTCCCTCTGGAAGCTCAAATTTCTTCCGTAGCCTTATGACTGTTCCTTTGTGACATGTTTAGGTTTGGAGTTTCTCTTACTGTAAAGCCCTGACCGAGCGTCTCTGGCTCCCACACACCACCTCTTGCTCTCCTCCTGAGGCCCTGGTACCCCAGCCCCTCCCCTGCAGCCTAGTCCACAGGAGACTGAAGCCTGGCCCCACTTGTTGCTCCTCTCCTCCTCTCCACGCCTGACCTGCAGGCTCTGCCCCTCCCTGAGTCCCTGAGCCCATTTCCTCCCACTCCTTGCTTTGCCCAGGCCTGTTTCGTAGTTGCTTCCTTTCATCCTTGTACTTTCTTTATGCTCTTGACTGTGTCTTCTGCAGGCAGGACAGACTTACAAATCATGCAGGGCTTGCCCCTTCAGTCCTTCTGTCATTTCTAGTTAGCTCTCACGTTGCTAATATTCCATGACGCCGTCCAGTAACCTGGGCTGCCCTTGCTCCTGACCGCCTCTCCCCCAGCCTGGTCAGGGATACCCCTAGAGCAGAGGAGAAAACTGAGCTCCAAGCCCAGAGCTTCCAGCAGCTGAGTGGCTCCTGTTGAGAGCCTGGCTGTCCCAACTGTGGCAGCATTCGCAGATTCTGGGCATCTAAGGCTTACCAGATACAAAGGATGGAAGCAGAAATATGCACAGTTCAAAAATGTTGCTTTTAGCTTCTAGTGTGAAACTTACAGTAGGAGATCACAGACTGTTTTGCCCCTGGAATATGTAGGTCTTTTGTGAGACAAGGGGGAGGGAGGAAGCGAGGAAAGAGTGAGAGAGAAGGGAGAGAGAAATGTGTGAGAGTGCAAAAAGTAGATTTCAAAAGAAATTCATTAAAAATAAAACATAAGAATTATGGAGCATATGCTGCATGGGGAGGCATGGTCTATTCACTGCTATTGTGTGTGTGTGAGAGAGAGTGTGTTTCTGTGTGTGTCTTCACTCAAGGCAGTGGTGGGAGTAGTATATTGATAAGTGCACAGTGATGGGTAGAACATTATATTCTCTAATGGTTTTGCTTGCTTCTCTTTACACATCTATCCTGTTATCAGAAGCTCAAGTAATACCTTTAAACAGGAATCGTAAGCTTCAAGATAGAGACCATTTGCCTTCTGGGTTAAAGATTGACAGGTGTTGGGGTCAAGGAATCATTTGAATTCCTGTGTGGAGATGGCCCATAGAAGAGGAAGCTTGGAATAGGACTCTATCTGAATAATTTGGGAAAGTCCTTCTTCCGTTGGTTGAAATGGAAATAGCTGGTGTCTCACACAGATGGAAACTGGAGGCCCTGGACCCCAGCCTCACCCTCCATACACACCCATCTCTAGTGTGAGTAAGCATGTTATGTTAATCTGAGCTGTCTTCACTACCTGTAACTAGTCATTTGGGAGTGACATCATGGTAACTGAGTAATCCTTTTGAAACTTACATAGTAGAGCCAAGATATTAAAATGGTCCTGGGGCTACCTAGATGAAAGTAGATACAAAGTGTGCATAAAATTGTCTACTAAAAGTAGAGTCAGTCTCTATCAGTAGGAACTTGGTTTTTGTGATAATGTGGTACATTTTGTAACTAGATAGATCTCAAAAGTTCATACATTGTAGTTCTGGTACTGTCCTTATTTCCAGGCAGATAGAAAAAAAGAAAAGAAAAAAATTCCACTAGGAACTTGGTTGTAAATTCTGAAAATGTTGATCTTAAACCTTATTAATACAATAAAAGGACCTGTGGGAATTTTAGCTACATTAATGTCTATTGGACATGCCTATTTGAGAAGGTAATTATACTAATATCACAACTGACATATCATGGTTTTATTTTAAAGAAAAAAGACCATAGCAGAGAATTTAGGCTTTGATCAGTACTTGAAGGTAAAATAGATTGGTAAGAAGAATAGGCAGTCATTACTGTATATCTCTTATCTGAAGCACCCCATTGCTTACTTTATTATAGAATCCTGGGAATTTTTACATTCTGCTTTGTGGTCCTACATTTATCAGTGACTGATTTTGTCAGAGTTTGGGGGCTCTTAGCAAACTGTAATTGCAGGCAGTAGTACAAGCAAAATGCAGATCTTGACATCTGGTAGGCCAACCACCATTTTTATTCTGAAGTTCTTGAATAAGCTTTTAGCTGTTCAAAGTAAGTACCAGCACCTTGTGCCCCTGGAAAGTTTCTAACCTGACATGGAAGTTCAAGTGGCAGTATCTTTTAGAGGTAGTATATTGGGTTCTGAGTGAAAAACCTAGGTGGAGGGAATGAGAAACTGAAAATGTGAAATTTGCTGAGGTCTCTTAGGGTCATAGAATTAGAAGGGGAAGAAAGCTGATGGATTTACCAGGCCCATTTTGCCACATGAGTATTTGTTGAAGCTATCAAACAAAATAAAAGCTGTAAAGAAGTATGCTTTATTCTATCTAATTTTAAATGTTACAGTGTATGTTTATGTCTCACGCTTTACTGGGTTTCTTCCTTAAGAGTCGTTATTGGAATATTATGTAGTCATTGACAAATTTCTCAGCTATGAAATCTGTAGAAAATCACTGGATCCATAGCTTACATAAAAATCACTTATGCCCCTTTCACATTAATGTTTTCTAAAATGCAATAGGATGGATATATTTAAATTGGGAATTATAATAATTTAAAAAGTATAAGTATAAAATGTTTTACTTTTATAGATGTATGAAGGGGTTGAGGGAAAAAATTATGTTTGGCATGGGAAAAACTGCCAGCTGAATAAAGCACTCGAGGAAATATGGTAAATGAAGCCTTTGTTACTGTAAAACAATAGGCATTAAGTGGCTATTATGTAATGTTATTTCTTATGTCTGATTTGAGTGGCTTGTTGATCTTGGAACTTGAGATATAATTCCTGTAAAAATATTACTTTCACTTGGCTAATCTCAAGACTTTTGATACAAAAATCAAAGACTTTTCCAAATAGATTACCTAGATCAGGAACTAAGTACTGGAGCTACTGAAGCTATGTCAGATTTTTTTTTTTTCCATGTAAGGACTGATTTTATCTACTTAACTATTCCCTATCCTAGTACCCTTCCAGATAAACACAAGTAATTTGCTAACCCAAAAACTGGTTTATTGTAAAATTAACCTAGGCTTGCTCAACCACTGCAAAGGGCAGGCATGTGGCAAAACAATTGATAGGCACATCAGTTGCCTTGGCAAGTTGAATGGATGATTTTAAGTTCGCATTTCCATAGTAGGTCCCTAAGCAGAAGGATTTCTCATCTTTGATGTCAAATGGCCTTAGTGACCAGTGGAGCTAAACAGATGTGGGATAATTTGGGTGCTTTAGGTAATAGTTCTTGTTATGGATTCTGCAAAATAAGCCTCTAAGCGTATGAATCATAATTTCCTATATGTTTTAGGATTTGATGTCTGGGGTTACGTATTTGAACCGTGGAATAAAAGTTGCCGTATTTTTACTGTGTGGCCTGTAAAACTTATTTGTAGCATTCTTTCTCAATAGATGCCTTCTCTCCTGTGAAGTTCAGGCAGGTTAGCCTTTGAAATCAAGGATTTTTAAAGTGAAAAATCAATAGTGACTTTCTTAACATTGGAATCCAGGCTTAAGATCAGAGACCTGCTCTCTTCAGTCCAGTTCTTGGATCTTACTGCTTTTAATGCTATTTTACCAGCATAGCCATGGCCAAAATGCCATTTTAGCAGGTAGACTTCATTTTTCTATAACATTGTGATTATGTATTATTTGATGGCTTCTTGTAGAGGAAGCTCTTTAATCAAGAGCAATTGTGGTTTTTCTTACCTTTTGAGATTTAACCTTACAATTAGTCTACCTTCTCACATCAGATCTAGGGTGATTTAGAGGTCAAAGAGAACAGATACTGAACTGGTTAGCTATTAATATGATACAACTTCTTTATGCCATTTCTCGGATATAGAGACATTCCATGGAATGGGTCCCAGGTTGGAAATCCATGAGGGAAAAGGGTTCTGACTCTTGGCACTGATAAACATATTCAGAAATGTTGTATTCCAGCCAGAGTAAATATATATGCCCTTTATACTTTTTTTCAGTTAGCAGAAGTTACTTCTAAACACTTATTTTGGCATTAAGGAAGCTCGTCATGACCTATTGTTCCAGAAAGATTATAGTCCTCGTTTTAAGCCAGTTCTTTAGTTCCCATGTAAGTGGCATGCCCAGCCTGGAGCTGAAGAAACAACCCCTGCTTTTCAAACCTTCCATTCTTATAGGTGTGTCCAGCAGGCAGTGGCTTGTAGCTGTTCCTTCAGCCACTTAACAGGTTTGATTTCAAAGCTTTTTAATAGAGAAACTAACATGTTTGGAGGGGATTCATGGCCCAACATTTATGGATTTTGTTGGGAAGTCTCAGGTGTGTATTTATCTTAAGTATATGTTAAGGCTATTAGACAAAAGTAATTGTTTGTGCTTTGCTCTGTTTTGTTTTTGCCGTCTAGTCCTAGACTGAATTTCTTAAGATTATCTTAGGGATTGGACTGGGAGGGAGTAGTTCCGAGTCCCGAAGGCTATATATCTCCACTTTCAGTTCCTTTTCTTTGGCTGCCTAAAGAGGAGCACTAAAGAGGAGTCAAGTGATTATAAATTCGGCCAAAAGACAGAGAAACCAAGAGCTGGACGATTAACCTCTGAAACATGGGAAGTTAATTACATTTACAAATACTTGGAGGGGCTATTTATGAGTCATGCATCTCTCTGTGACCCTTTTACTGCTTTGGGAGCTTGTGGATGAGGCTGAATCACTCTCTGAAACCTGATAACCTGATAACCTAGTTTGGCTAAGTTTGGCTTCTGTGAACAGGGTCTGAGGATTTATCACATCACGTCATTTTTTCATTTGTATGCCAAATATTTATTGAGTACCTTTTATGTGACCAGGGCTATGATTATCACCTGGGAAACAAAGATATGTATAGCATGATCCTTTTCTTCAAGTAGCTCAATCTAGTGGGCTTTAGACAGTAATACAAAGAATTAGAGTAACATGCGGTAACTGGTAGATCTGCCAACATCAGCCGAGGAGGAGGGAGGGGGAGGATATCTGTGGAGACAGTTTGATATAGTCTCATTTAATCCTCACAACAATTCTGTGAAGAATATGTTATTATATTTATTATACAGATGAAAAAATTGAGGATTAGAGAAATTACTTAACTGTCCCTAAATCTCACCACTAGTGAGTAGTGAATTTGGATAAAAACTTTACTATCTTATGGCCAAAAGAAATACAGCTCCAACAACATTCTAATTACTGAAAATAATATTTGTAAAGCAAGATTTTAGTACCTTTTTAATTTTATAGGACAGTACCCTCTTGGCAATTCAAAAGATATTTGTAGAATATAGAGCTCTGATAATTTTGATCTTTGGTACAGAAAATGCTGCTGCTGTCTGAGGGAAGAGAGTGAAAAATAGAAGTAGGTTTTACTTTGTTTTAAGATTGCTACCTGCTGATTCTCTTTCCTATTAATGGAAATTGTAAATGTATTCTGCTGTAATTTCCTCATCTTAAAGTATCACAGTTTATGATGGTATTTAAATGGGTTTGTGCTTTTAAATTGAAGCTTTACTTATGGTGTCGCTCTGCACAGCTGCTGTCTTCCAGGCCTTTGAATGATTAACACCCCATGCACTCAGGCTTATTTTCCTGAGCTTTCCCTGTATGTATTATAAAATCCTGCACATTCACATAAGTGTATATGTTATCTACACATTTCAAAATCCATGCCGATCTTGTAATAATGCATATAGTTCATCCCTTAGAAAGGACAAAAATTCTTTCTGATTATGGATGGCAATACAATGGGTATGCCAGAAAATATCTGTTGGGAGATTTTAGAGATGATTTACTTATAGGCTTCTTTCCTTTTAAAAAATGTAATAATTCGTCTTGAAGGTGCTATTGCTAACTGTTTTTAAGGAGGAGATGACTCGATGGCACTCAAATACACCTTTTCCTTTGAGAAAATTGCTGTGTTTAGAGAACGAAAAAGTAACTGCTTTGTAATACATAAAACAATTGCATAAGAATAGACTATAAATAATCTACAACACACAAAGGACACAAATATTGTGTCCAGAATTCTCTAAACCACACACACACAGAAAAACTTTACTGGCCATCTCTTAGCTTTTGGTGATACAATATGTGAGCTGTTTTTGAGGAATAGCTGCCCCTACCTAAGGACGGAATGAAAGAAGTCTTCCCTTTAGGAACTTTGTTAAGGGTTAAAGAAAGTGTGTCTTATTACTATTAACCTAGGCCTAAGAGTTACTCAGATGTGTACTGACACAGGGTTTACCACTTGTATCAGGCAACTAGGTGTTAGTTTTGTTTTGTTGAGACAAGTTTATTGAGATACAATTTACACATGGTAAAATCATCCTTTTTCAGGTATGTAGTTCAATAAGTTTTAACAAAGTTATGTAGCTAACATACAAGGAAAGATATAGAGTATTTCTTTCTTTCTTTTTTCTTTTCTTTTTTTTTTTTTTTTGAGACAGACTCTCACCCTGTCACCCAGGCTGGAGTGCAATGGTGTGATCTCAGCTCAGTGCAACCTCTGCCTCCCAGGTTCAAGTGATTCGCCTGCCTCGGCCTCCCGAGTAGCTTACAGGTGTGCGCCACTATGCCCAGCTAATTTTCGTGTTTTTAGTAGAGACGGGGTTTCTTCATGTTGGTCAGGCTGATCTGGAACTCCTAACCTTGTGATCCGGCCACCTCGGCCTCCCAAAGTGCAGGGATTGCAGGCGTGAACCACCGCACCCGGCCAAGTATTTCTATTACCTCAAAAAATTTTACATAGATTGAGCAGTTTGATAATGCTAATATATGATTAGAATAAGACATTTTGTTTTGCTCTCCTTTCCTATTTTACAACTAAGCTTTACATTTTACTAATATTTCACAATTTTTTCCTAATATCCTTTTTCTATTCCATCTAGGATACTATGGTACACTGTGTCATCCTCTTTAAAAATCATTTTTATGAGGAAATGATTAACACATAGTTAGATTACATGGTGATATTGTCAAGTGAAGTACCAGAAAAATGCATCAGAATGGGATACTTGAAAGATAAGCAAACTAAATTGTGTGGTCTACTGTTAATATGTAATAGCTCGTTTGGACAGACACAGTTGCTTATGCCTGTAATTCCAGCACTTTTGAGAGGCAGGAGGGTCATTTGAGCCCTGGAGTTCAAGACCAGCCTAGGCAATTTAGGGAGAGCATTGTCTCCATAAAAAATTTTAAACATTCGTGCCTGTGGTCCCAGCTACTCTGGAGACTGAGGCAGGAGGATTGCTTGAGCCCGAGAGGTCGCAGCTGCAGTGAGCAATGGTCGTCCCACTGTACTTCAGCCTGGGCAACAGAACAAGACCCTGTCTCAAAAAAAAAAGTCCCTTTGATACTACATAGATGAAAAACTTGTAAGAAACCAGATAAACAGATTTGACTAGCAGGAAATTGTTAAAAATAATTTGGGGGTGTTTATTGGGGAAGGAAACAGGGCCTTGACAGTGGAGGACTTGGAAGACATGTAATTTAAGATATAGAGTATGATTGTTGGAAAATAAGCATGGAGATCCAGAAGGAATCTTAAGAGTTTTTCTATGCAAGTGAAGATGGAAGAAAATATGTATTTTACAAAAGATAAATTACAAGTACCTTATTTGCTTTGCAAAATAACTTATCATGTTCTTCCACTATTTTTATTATATTTTAATTTTAATGAAACTTATATAACATTTACACTAAATTTTAAATACATGGCTCAAGACAAAAAAATGGGGAAAATATTTTTTAAAAAATCACCCCAAATCCTGGTACTCAGACATAACCACTATTACAAACTTGGCAGAGTAATATTTTTCCTGTCTGCATGTGTGCACACATGTGTGCATGCATACCACAAAGTAGATGTTTTACTATATCTCCTGGTTTATTATCTGCTTTTTTCCCTTAATAAGATTCTTTTAAATGCCCAACTTTGCAATGGTAAGATTTCTAGAAATTTTTAAAAAACCTATAATATACAAGAAGACTGGGGCGGGTTGATGGTAAATCCTGGGGCACATTGGAAAGGCGTCCAGAGGCCGCTGTGCTAATTAATGCGCAGCTGCACCCATTGTGGGCATGTCCACAGCCGGCTTCCTGGTATGCAGTGGAGATGGGCCCATTGACACTAGTGAAGGGACCCTGGATGGGCTCACATTTCAGGTCCTGTTTTTCTCCAACTGTATTTGGATCTCTCTTGAAATGCTCCCTTTAAAAATACTAATGCTAGCTCAGAAACACTCCAATTACCATCTCCCCACAGGCTTAAATGTTAAACCTCAAGATCTAAACTTTATCCCTTATGTATGTGAGCAGGCTTGCCAGATGGCAGGCCAATTAATATATTTTTGCAAGGTGTAGAAATGTTTTTTCTCCATAGGGGAACAATGAATCCATCTGCTCCACATCTTCCTTTCCCCTCTGTCTTTTGGGGAAAACCATTATTTAATTTTCAGACATAAGTTGTGCAACTTTGTAAGTGATACTTTCTGCTTTTTTAGGGAAGTAGCTTTAATAATTGAAACTTTTTTTTAAACTCTAAAGATGTGAAGAACCCTGTCATGGACTAAAATATATGGACATCTAAGTTCTATCCGGGGAATTACTTTTTTTGAAAGTTGGGTATATAGAGTCGTATGTTGAAAATCTGATTCATGGAGGTATAATCTGGAATAGACTTCCAAAACCGTCTAGTTGAACCCCCTCATTATAAGATGAGGAAATTAATATTTAGGTAACAAAATTTCAAGCTGGTAAACAACAGAGATGGTCTGGGAACCTTGTCTTCAGGTTCCAAAGTAGGACAACCATGGTGAAAATAGAATCTTTAATCTCTTGAGGGGAAAACCTAGTTAAGATTCAACTAGGAGAAGTATGCTCTTATTTATGCCTGTTCTCCCTTGAGTTTCAGGCACTGAACTGTACATGTTACCTCTACAGTGTCTTTTTGCCCTCAAGTGGCAATTCAGATCAGCAGATAATTAACCATTTAGTGACTATGCCTTGCTTCCCAGTTCTCTTGAAAGTTCCTGAAGGACAATTGCCACATCCTCTTTTAAAGTAGTTATGGATGGTGTACTAGCTGGTCATGGAATGAATTAATTACTGAATATATAAATGTCAATGAGGTTGTTTTACAAAATTCTCTCAGAGATTGTTGGAATTCTGGGAGCATGACCACATTATATCCTTCCAACAATCTGCCACATTATCATACAGAATTTGGTTTCTTTCCCCTTTGGTATGAAGGAATTTACCACTGACTATTCCAGAAGCTTCTCTTGGAAGGATTGTTTCGCCTGTTTACCAGCATGTTTAACGTCCTCCATATTTTGGGATAGATGGGCTTACATCAGCTACTGTTAAACAAGAAGGAAGGATTTAGACTTGGCATTTTTTCTTCTATTCAAGTTGACGCCTCTTCCTCTGTTTTCACACTAAGAGGCCCTTCTCATGTAGTAGAAAGGGTTTAGAGTTTGGATTTGGACAGAAGGTTGGAATGCTGAGTTAGACTTGTGACCTTGGCAGGCCATCTCACCTATGATACTTGGTTTCCTCATCTTTCAGTATGGAAAATAATCAGCAAGCCTTTTTTGTACCATAAGTAAAATGGATTGTGACGCACTTAGAGCAAGTGTAGACAGACTACAGCCTGCAGGCCCAATCTGGCCACTGCCTGGTTTTGTGTACCGACCTTTATTAGAACACAGCTACACTGATTCCCATGGGATGGTCTGTGGCTCTTTGTGCTACAATGACAGAGTCAAGTAGTTACCACAGAAACTCTGGACTGCAATTATCTGGCCCTTGACAGAAAGACTTTGCCAACCTCTTACCTAGGACAATCCCTAGCAAATATAGAGACTCAATAAATTGTAATTTTACCCTTTTTCCATTGGTTGGTTGAAGTTCAGTCTTTCCTTTAGGCACTCTTTCAAGAAAGTTAGTTTAGGCATGGCCTTCTCTGGTAACCCTTCTACAGCCCTACCCCACTTCTGGAGTATAGCCAAGGCCTTGAGCCATGGTACAGGACAGAACATGTTGAAAGAGGTATCTTCATGGCCCCCACACCCTGATATGTATCATGTCCTGACTTGAATTGAATGTTGTGCATGTTACAGGAATAGAATTTTCTCTTATCCAAGTGTAAATACAGGCATGCTATATAGATTGCAACGTATCCCAATTTAGCTTAGATTATTTCTCACTATATATTGCAAGGTGAGTCCAGTCTATGCTTCTTCAAAAGCTTCTAAACACATTTGAAAATACGCTAAAAAAAAATCATTACAAATTGCAAATACCATATTTAGCAAGGGACCTTCTGAAATCTTAAACCAGGAATTTCTGAAATGACTCTGAGCCATTTGAACAAAAAAGTTCTCAAAGGAGCAATAAGATTTTTTTGGTGTGTTTATTTTGCTTTGTTTTTTAAGCAAAGTGAATTCACAGTTTCTTAGCAGTTTTGATTAGGGACACCCTGGTGTCTGGTAGAAGACTAAGACTGAGAATAGACTGTGGTAGAATGTGCCAGGTGAGGACTTACTGATTGATTACCACACTCTAACTCCCACACACAGTGGAGAGAAAGATGAGGACTTCTGAGAGTTGCTAAAGGCAGTTATGTTTGCTTGATATTTTTTATTTTAAAAAATGTATTGAGGAGTCATTTTTCAGGATACTAAAAGGATTTCTTTGTTCAATATTTTAACATTTCCTTGTGTCTTAAAAAATACTGAAGAAATTATAAGAGCATTACCCAAAATTTTGTAAAGTTCTCCTTGATTCTCTCTGTCCCCTACTCCCTGCTTATTTTAATGTTTCTTTTGCTTTCACACATTCCTCAGTTAGCATTCATTCCAACATGTTGTAATTCTGTATATACTTATCTGAATTCCAAGCTGACTGTGAGTGTCTTGAGACATAGACTTTATGCCAGCATAGTGCCTGGCACATAATAGACACTTAATAAAGGTTTATTGAATGAAAGCACCGCACAGTGAGCATATTCGTGCTTATAGCTTTTTCTGTCTTTTGGACTATGTCCTTAGGATAATTTCCCAGAATAGAGATTTCTATGCCAAAGTGACGTGAACATGTTTATGAATCTTAATACATCATGCCAAGTAGCTTTTTGTCTACTTGAGGTGCCTTCCAAGTTTGTGACTCTCATATTGCATGGTACATTATTGCTAGAATGTCAGTCTTGTGTTCCCTATTTTCTCTACCAAAAAAAAAAAATGACAGTAGGGTATGTTATTGCCAAATTCATGTTTGGAATGAACATTGCATATACTTTAGGACGAAGAGCTTCTAAAGAATAAAATTCCCTCATGTGGAACTTGGGAAACAAGGAGGCAGGCAGCAGGGGCAAGGTACTGGATAAAAGATACTTTTATAGGGGCAAAGAACTTCTGGAGTTTCATTACTACTATGAACCTTTACTGAATTGTCATCAGTATTTCAAGGAAACAATTGAATATTTTTGTTTACTTTTCCCCTTTAACACATTTAATGTTCAAATACGAAACATTACTAAATGCAAATTGCTGTTAATGCACATTCCAAGGTCTGCTTTTAACAAAGTCTGAAACTGTTTGTGTAATGTATGATGCATTTCCATCTTCAATTGATCTGATTTGTGTGTGTGAAATAAGATTGAGCCTCCATGCTGTGACCTTGAGCAACAGTAGCTTTTTTTTTTTAAGTTTCATATTTCCCCTCTCACACACCTAGAATATGGCAGGCCCATAAATTACCAATGATAAATAGGCATATCTACCTTTTGGTGCAAGCATGTAATTGATGAACACATAGAATCACCCAAGTGATACTTTATAAGATGGCATGTGAAGTTTGTGGGGTCTAAGCTAAATAGAGCAAGAACAATGTTCTATTAGAAATATCCTGTGGAGACTGATGTAGAATCATCAATTCATTAGAATATGAATAGGAAGGTTCAGCAGATATTCTAAATAACTATGATTTATGATTAATCTAAGTTACATATTCCATTGTATATATGTTATTGTCCAGCTTAGCTTCAACCCACATTAAGCTATGACTTCAGTTTCTGGAGAGATAGTGAGATAAAGGAATGAGAAAAAACTTCTTACGTTGTAGGTCTAGCTTTCAGATAATATCCCTCATCTTTTCTAGCAATCTAGAGTCTGTGGGCCTTGACCTACTTGGACATTTTTAGGAGAATCTTTGAGAAGCCAATAATTACATGGTAGCACATGATCATACGTTGGTCATTCCAAGCCATACGTAGCTCTATGAACAATGATGTCAGTGTTTCCAGAGCCCATTGCTTCAAGACCTTAAAGATACATCTAGGTGGCTCATGGAGAATCAAAGTGAGAAAGTCTTTCTGTGGACCCTGGGTCCTATTATTTAGACAGAGCCAAATGAATCTTCATTATGTGGATCGGAGTGAACATGGTGGAGGACTAAGAACAGATCCTCCTAACCCAATGGCTGTAACTCTTTTGAGATGTGTATTTTTATTCTGAGTTATTTGCAAACTTATGGGTGGAGGGCAGGATGGTGGGGTAATTATGATGTGATATTTTGAGTGTTTGAAAGACTGGCAAATGTAGGATAAATATACCTCCTTAGCTTATTCATATTCAGTACTCAGGTTTTTTTTTAAATTTTGTCCAATTACTGCTCCATCTCTTCTTCATTCTGTTCATGTCTTTTATTATTTTTTAGGATAGAAAAAAATGTTTAATTGTGTACACATACAATTTACCATCTTGGCCATTTTTAAGTGTACACTTTAGTAGTGTTAAGTACATTTACAGTGCTGTGCAGCCACAGAACTCCTTTCATCCTGCAAAACAAACTCTACTCATTAAAGAGCAACTCCCCATTCCCCCTCCCCCAACCCCTGGCCACCCCCATTCTAACTTTCTGTCTCTATGAATTTGACTACTCTAGGTACCTCATTTAAGTGGACTTATGTAGTAGTTGTCTTTTTGTGGCTTGCTTATTTCACTTAGCACAATGTCCTCAAGGTTCATCCATGTTGTAGAATGTCTTGGAATTTTCTTCCTTGTTTCTGGCTGAACAGTATTCCATCCACACACACGATGGAACACTGTTCAGCCTGAAACAAGGAAGATATATATATATATCTATATATATATACACACACACACACACATACATATAGATAGCTATATATGTACACACACGATATATATCTATATGTATACACATACATAATCGTGCAAGCATATATATGGAAGGTGCACTGTTGTGCTCAAAATGTGGGGTGTGTATATATAGATATATACATATCTATATATACACATTCAAAAGACTTTCAAATCTATTTTCTAGAAAGGATTGCGTTATCTTCATCCTAAGTAATGTGTAAGTACTATTTGCAGTCATTGAGGATAATCCTCTTTGGTGGTAAATAGGTGAACTGATTTTCTTTTTCTTAGATGTTTGAGTTTTAACACTTAATATCTAAACTTGCTTTTGAATACCTTGAATGAAGAAACTGATAGGTCCACACATACCGATGATGACAAAAGATTGTAAGAAGGAAAGGGATGATGCATGTGAGAACCCAGTGCCTCATTCAGTGCCTAGAACATGCTTCCATTTTATGTTCTTTCTTTTGGGGATCCCATGTTTTTTTTTTTATTTTTAGCTAAGGTCATCTGGAATGAAACAGCGTAATGAGATGAGCCCTGAAGTATGACACCAGAGATCTTGTTTTATATAACTGTGTACCCCACGAATATGTACAATTATTATTTGTCCATTAAAAATAAGAATTTTAAAAGAGATCTTGTTTCTGTTCACGTTTCTGCCACTAACTAGTTGTGTGACATTGACAAGACATTGTGGATTCTCTCTTGCTTACCTGTTTTGTTTTTTTATTTTTTAATTAAAGATTCCATTGGCAGTATAGTAAAGCCTATGGATGTAATTTCAGAATAACATTTTTAAATGCATAACATAAGATACGTAATATTATAAAGGAAACCAATTATAATGAAAGAGTCATGAACACATTAAAATATTTGTGATATATGTGGTTCTTTATTAGCACATCAGATATCAAGATCTAGAGGCATGTCTAGTAACTACCGTAACTTTGAAGTGATAATGAATACAAATAAGTTTTTAATATATCTGCAACAACTGTTAATGTGATATGGAAAATACATGGCTAATACTATGATGATAGATGTATAAATGAAGGAAATGTTACATTTCAGTTTCTGGTTAGTGAAAATAATAATTTTTTTAAACAAGCCAAGTTAGTGGACCCAGTGAGTTCTATTCATAGACATCTTGGAAGTCCACAGACTCCAGGTCAGAAGTTCTCTGGTGTCTCCAGTGGGTTAAACACTAGTAGTGGAGTGAAAGGCTGACCCAGGTGGCCTCTGGAGTTTGTTATGAAACTTGATTATCAGGGGCCTGGCATAATTGAGGGGATGTTATACAAAAAAAGTAACCTTTGATTTACCTGGTCAGCACTCCAGTCAGAAAAGTGCTGGCTTTCATCAGTTATGTTTAGCTAGCATGTAGCTAGGAAAGCCCGGAGTATATTAAAACAAAGAAGAACTATAGGAAAGGAGTAGAGTAATTATCACCCACATCATGTGCCTCTGGAGGGCCCCAAGGCCCGGACATGTGGAAATGTGACTGTGTCCCCTGTACTTCGTGTAGTACTTTAAAGGAGTCTGTATCTGTCAGCATCTCACCATTCCTTTGTCATAACTGCATGCTTTTCCCTAATTAAATGTGGCCATGAATGTATAAAGATTGTGTACTGCACCTACCTACTTGTCAGGCTTGAATTGGTGCTGCTCAGCTGGAAAGTAAAATCTTTGAAATACAAAAAAGCTAAAGAATAATATTGATAAAACACTTCTCATCTGTTAGTCTTAAAGCAGTTTTCTTTCCTAGAGTTTGTAAGTGTTTTAATGATCAAGGTCTAAATATACAATGAATAAGAGAAGTGGCGAGCAAAATTTATCCTAACCTTTTCAGAGGAGTGAAGACATTTCTTCCCATTACCTATATACCTACCACCTTCGATGCTACATTTTAGAGGGGAAAAAATATTTTAAGAGGCAAAGCCTCAAATGCTTTTACATGCCGTGCCACTTGCCTACCACAACAGCATCTCACAACAGTTTCTAATGGAGAGGAGCATTCTTTTTGGCTTTACAGCTGCTGCATAAATGCCCCTGTGTTAATTTGGGTACAGACTCACAGCCTGATAGACTGGGGAGTAGAGCAAAGTGCAGAGATTGATTTGTCTATCTGCTGGTGAAATGTAATTCATGCAACCATCAGCAGAATGCTTTGTAAACATGGAATTATTTTCAGGTTATAAGATCCTCTACTAAATTAGATAGGAAGCTTGAAGCATAGACTGTAAGTAATTTTTCCTCCTTTAGTTGTTGTTATGGATCAATACATTTTATTGACTCTTCTAGGGTTTCATACAGTTTTCTATCATGGTCATTTATGCTAATCAGCATGAGACAGAATAATTGTAAATCATAGCCCCTTAGGCACACTTCTGGAATATTTGAGACCACAGAATTCTGTTTTAAAAAGATGGAAAAAACAATTCATTTTTTAATGACTCATGGAGCCTGACACAGATGTGGAGGGCAAAGACTCCCTCCCTCCTTATCTTTGGGCCTCACCTTATATTAATATTTTAATTCTTAATGCAGATGAAAGAGAAACTCTTTGAAAAGAAATCAGGTTTAAATTAGCCAGTTACCTTTATTTGTAAAAATCCAAATATATCATGTTAAATATGGAAGGTAGGATATAATATATCCTATTTTTAATGATTTTACATAAGATTATTATCTTCAAGAACACATGTTTATATAATTATTGTAAAATATCAGAGTTATTGCTACAAAATATGTAAGGATATTTATCTACATTTTTAATGATACAATTCAGAGAATTAGTGTAGAAGACAGCAGTTTTATACTTTAATGTTGTACTAAGAAAGGTGATTTGAGTGCTGTTTGTATTTATTGGCAGTACTGAATTCACTGAAATATATAATTATTACAAAAAGAAAATAAACTGTATCTGTCTTGACCAAGAGTTCATACAGATGTTTTTTATTCTCATCAGATTCCCAACTATGCTGTGGAAGCAAAGTTGAATCTAGCCAAGTACCATATCTCTGTATGCACTCACAGATGAACGTAAATACACGTTGTGCACATAAGGATCTGGAGGGCTAATGATACCTCCTGGTACAACTGCAAAAAGAAACATAGTTTAGTGATGGAGTCTTAGACATGGTTCCTGAATGCACAGTTGATTCTAACCATAGAACTGCATCAAAGATGGCAGAGCTTCCTTCTAGTTTTCTTCTGATAATTCCAAATATAAACTTTACCTGTCAGAGTAAAAAGTAGAAGCTGTGCATTTTATAAGAATAAGCCTTTTCACCATAAGGGTTTTCAGTCTAAAAACATGTTTGTGGATTGTTAATGAATAGAGTTGGATGAAGAAGGAATTTTTTGACTTCTAGTCTGTATTAAGCAATTCAGATATGAAATATCCTTACTTCCTGGAAGCTACTCTTTAGGATAGGATCTGTTGTTATAACCACCTCTAAGTTTAAGATATGCAGAGGAGATTTCACTTGGAGATGAAGCTTGGAATTTGGAGCTGAGTGTAGTTGACTCTCCATCCTCTGCATTTATTTGTTCATTAATTCAGTAATATCAGTTGAGCACCTTCCATGTGTTAGGGATTGTGCTGGAGAGGCAGTGGTGAAGGAGACAGATGAGTCTCTACCTTCTTGAACGCTTGCAGCTTTATGGGAAATGCTGTGGAGTTGGGTGTAGAGACAGGAAAACACAAAGAAGTAACAGAATTTACAGTATCATGTGTGAGTATATGTCTGTCTTACTCCTTCTTAGCCATGCATGGTGGGGATTATAGTGAACTTTGAGGGCATCCAGGAGACACACAACAAAAAAGTGGGCTGTGAAAGAAGTAAACAACCTTGATGGGTGAGAGATCATTGAAATGTGGAAGACTGTAATCTAGGCAAAACAACAACAACAACAATACAAAACAAATAGCTATCGTACAGAGACTCGAGTGAGAGTTGAGGAGCAATTCCATTAGAGTGGCAAACAGGAAATGTACTCTGAGGGTAGGAGGTGCCACTGAAGGGTTTTGTACAGGACAATAAGATCACATTTGCCTGTAGGAAAGATTCCTAGCAATGAGGGATTGAACTGGAGTTGTGCAAAAAGGATTCCAGGATCTGAGTTAGAGCAAGCATCACGGGCTTCTGGGGCAGATGGTGATGATGCCACAAGCAGGCTGGTGACCGTGAGAATGAAGGGAGACGCTCAGGAAGTGGATTCTGAAAGACTGGATGACTAACTGAGTGATTAGAGTGAAGAAGAACTAAAGTGGAGGTTGTGCTCATAGTTCTGCTTTAGCCTGTTAGACAATGGTACCAATTACTGAAATTGGGAACACAGAAGCAAGACACGTTGGATGAAGATGATATCTTCAGTTTGGGATTCATTGGACTGGAGCTTCTATAGACACACCCAAGTGGAGATGCTGGATATGTGGATCTGGATGGAAGGCAAGAGAGTTCCAGATTGGGGATTAAGAGTCATCCACCGCCGGGCATGGTGACTTATGCCTGTAATCCCAGCACATTAGGAGGCCCAAGTGGGTGAATCGCTTAAGCCAAGGAGTTCAAGACCAGCCTGGGCAACATGGCAAAACCCCATCTCTACAAAAATAAAAGATAAATAAATTCGCTAGGCATGGTGTCATGTGCCTGTAGTGCCAGCTACCTGAGATGCTGAAGTGAGAAGATCACTTGAGCCTGGGAGGTTGAGACTACAGGCAGCCATGATCACGTAACTACACCCAGCCTGGGCGACAGCACGAGACACTCTCTCAAAAAAAAAAAAGTCATATACATAAAGATTAATGAAGAGTGCCAAAGGTAATTAGTGTTGAATATTTATTTTCCAGCAGCTTCAAGTATTTATGGTCTGCTTAGACCCAGGTCAGAGTCTAAGGTTTCTGGCCCTCTGCATTCCCAAGAGAAATGGAGGTGGGGATGGGGAGACAATTTGTACATGATTTTAAAAGTGTTTTCTAGGAAAGACAAGCCATAGAGCCATCCTTATACTTATGTTTCCCATAGGCATATATGTTTTGTTTTACTTTGGAGTAATATTCGGGATGTAAACATCTTTGCTTGTAGGAGGATCAGATACCTACTGAAATGTCATCAAACTGCTAGCATGTTTCTTTTAGTTAAGTATATTGAGGGACCTTACCATTCTGTGTATTTCATCTCTAAGAAAAAGGAAATTAGGCTGGAGAGGTTTGAAAGAAATTGAGCAGGAAATTGGGGTTGCAAAATTCTATGGCAAGGTGATGGTGTGTTTTGATTGTTGGGTTTTGTTTGTTTATTTTTTGATAAGAACAAAAAGTGTTTGCTACTTAGAAAACCTTTATTGGCAGCATGATTTCTGTGTCCATGAAGAATGAAAGTGAGGTGGATGGAATAGTAGGAGTTTTAGAAGGAAAGTACATTTCCTCATGTGAAAAAGGTAGGAGAAAGGAAAATATAAATTCATTGCTGTTGACTTTATAATTTGATATTAACAACATTATTGAAATTGCTGTGGACTTGAAGTTTGTCCTGTTTACGAGTTTGCACAAAGTTAATCCTAATTATTCTGAAACTAAGACTTATATATTATTTTTATACATTTGAATTTCTCTAAATTATATACTTAAATTTTGTTTAATGAAATTTTTTCAATTAAATAAAAATGTATGTTTAAGGTTGAAATTTACTAGTATTTCACATGATTCCTTGTTAAGTGTTATATATATTTAGGAGCATCTAGGAAATTGTAAAACCAAATTTCAAATTAAATGTGTATTTTTATTATCTAAATATTTTGTATACATATGGGTCATTCACATCCTTATAGGTTTTTATTTAACAAATCATTTCTCAGGGCAATACAACATAAAGGCTCTATAGTTAATTTAGTAATAGCATGGTGTGATACCTGTATTCCGTATCTCTTTTGTTTTATAGTGTTACAAGCAATATTTGATGGTTTAGGGTTGTTTTCTTTTTAAACTTTGGCTTGAACCAGGTTAGCACTGAATGAGAGCTCTGAGATGACCATCTGATGTTTATTAGATAGCTGTGGTAAAATGACATAATCATCATTTTGGTTTTGAAGAGGTAACCATAGCACTGGTGGCAAAAATAGATCATCTGAGTGACATTTTAACTCAGAAAATAAATACCTTTTCATTTCTGTACATCACCATTCCAGAGCAGGCCTGGGGCAAATTGGTCAGAGTCCTAAGGGGTGATATTTAAAATAAGATCTGTTTTGTATTAGTAATGAGGTTGTGGTTTTAAGCCCTTCCATTCTGTTGTGTAGTTTCAAGGGAGTTTAGTTTAAAACATTAAAACCATACAAACATTGTATATTTGGAACACCTAACCTCTTCTAAGTGTTCTGTACCTCAGCACTTTTTTTATCTTGGGTGTTTGTGTCACTCTCTTACAACGTCTACTTTTATAAAGCCTTGGGTATCTCAAACGCTATGTTTTTATTTAGTATTTTAGTGCAATAGAACATTGTGCTAAAGAGGCCAAGGTCATGGGTGTTGATTCTATGCCAATTAACTGTTATGGTGAAATTTTTTTCCTGTAGCTTTGGCTGGTATTTCAGAAGTTGCTAGAATTTGACTACTTTTGTTTAAAGTGTGGATAATGCTGCCTAACTCATTAACTGTCCTGTAAAAAGTAAAATTGATGTCTATTGGGGATAACACTTCCACATAGGATATTTTTTTCCTATGTGAAAAAAGCATTTACTTTCATCTGTGGATGATCTCTGACTAGACTAAAATGTATGCGTTTATTAAATAGATTAATATCAGTTCCTGGTGGGTGGAGATTATCAGTCTTTAAATTGCTACTCTTTGCTGCTTTCCTCTGCATAGATACAGAGAATCTGTCAGCTCCCTGGCTAGTCCAGCAGAAAGCCCTGGGCATTTCCCAGAGTTGATGGCAGAGGAGGGTCGTCTCTTGTCGCCTTTTTAGCCTGATTTATTGCCCTTGAATTTTTTAATAAGGACATATTTTAAGTTCTGTCTAGGGACTGAGGGCTTGGATCATTCATGCAGTGAACTTTGAATAAGTTGGAAAGATTGGCTGGGCCCTGTTATCATAATGGATGGTGACTATTTGACATTTACAGTGGTATGCTCCATTTGCACTAAAATAAATGAATTTGTATTTAGACATGATTTGCAAAATTTTTCCCTATCACACTTAAAGTAGAGGTTATTTGCATTCAAAGTTAAACACTGAAAAACTGCGTACAGACTTAGTGAAGATTTGTAAAATACATGTTAATTGGCATAACACCATTAAACCTGATTGTGCTGATCTGTTAGCTGGAGAAAGAGCAGGAATCATCTTGTTCCCATATCCCTACAATCTAAATTGTTAGAGTTTCTAAAGATGGGGGACTTCTCTGAAGTGAATATTCCTGTCAGGCCTGTTGACCTTACTGCCTAGTGACCTATTCATAGGTCAGGATGGCAGTTCTCCCTGCTGGGTCAGTTTTTATTCCACCTTCTTTCGTGAGAGAACTAATTTGTACAGCTCTTACAGGTGGAGAACTAGATCACTGGTGTCCTTTACTGCCTCTGATATATGTGGAAATGAATCAGTGGAAAATTCAGTTACTCATCGTGACCTACTTCTGTCACTTGCGTTGAAGGGGTGCTTATTTGTCAAAAGCAATCTGCCCCCCTTCCAAAAACTCTTGCTCCATGGCTGCTTTAACTCATTTAATCTATAGATTCTTTCAGAATGTTTGCAGTTGCCTAAATCTTTCTGTGAATTATCCTGCTGTACCTGTAATCCATTTTAGATTAAGCCTCTGGAGGCCAATGAAAAAATCTGACTTTGTTACCTCTCAGCACAGCCTGACCCACAATCTCTGCTTTCTAATGAAGATTCCAGGATCTTTAGGAGAAACTGTAAAATGGAAACTTCCACTAATTTGAGAAGGGGGAGATTTAAGAAAGGTTGGGTTTTATTATGACTAAACTTCCCCACCCACGTTTTTTGCAAAATTTATCTTTTCTCATTTTTATTGGCTTATTCTTTCAAAATATTCATTTATTCAGCAAGGTTTAATTAAGCATGCCTCTGTGCCAGGTATTGCATTAGGGTCACAGAAAGAACAAGATACATGCTTGTCTGCAGTGCCTAGTAGGAGAGCTATAAGGTATCATGTTAGAATAAATAAGACCGGTTTTAAACGCCATTTTTATTTTGGGGGAGGGCAGAATTATTTTACATCAAGAACAAAATAAGGGTTACTTCTTACCTGACTTGATGATTTTTCAGCAGCATAGTCTGGTCTGTCTGGATCAGTGGTTTACCTATTTCATATGGTCACATGTGTCAGTATGTACAATGATTATTTACCATAGACTTTTAGGTAAATGATGAGAGGATTATTGAGAACAACAGAATTCAAAACCCTTGAAAAAGAAAATGATGTGTATCTATATTTTAAGCAGAAATACACAAACACACTTATAGTAACTACAAATAACATCTAGTAGCTCAGACCTATTGCCATTTATTTCATGTTCAATATTGTACAGACAACAAACTATGAAAAGTGATGTACCATATTTATATGTATACAGGTGAATTTCAATCCAACACTAAGATAATTACTTTATGTTGTAGAATCATATATAAATACTTTTTGCCCTGTTCTAACCATGCTTACGAAGACTTTCAGATTAAGAATGAATGGTCATACTTAAAATAAATAGAAACTAGTATTTGATGAGGAGAATGGCATTCCTTTGGAAACCCATCTCATTCTTGGCAGTTAATTAGTTCTTACTGTGAACATCTAACCCTTAAAAAAAAAAAAGAAAGAAAAACACTCTTGCTGACTTGATAACACTTTTTAAAAAGTGGCAGCTATTAACATTAAAATAACAGTGAAATTTTTCTCTCAGCTGAGAGTTGTAAGGATTACTTTTTTGGGTTTTCATTTCTCTGTGTGTGTGTGTGTGTGTGTGTGTGTGTGGCTTTTTTTTTTTCAGATTGTTACAGATACTTCTCCTTTTTGAAGAAACTATACAGGCAAAAAAAAAAGCAGTCAAGCTGAGCTAGTTTGGCATAGTATATTGCAACATAGGCATAGGCAGGATTTATATTCTAAAAAATATTCTGTGTTTTTTGGCCAAGGAACAGAAACTCCTGGTCAAAGTCATAAATGAAGCAGCAGATTCAGAAGTAGCTGAGTGTTAGTTTACATTAGTGAAACAGTTACAATGCTAAAGCAGTGATGTGTGGTGCCCTATGAATTTTGTTACATTACAGTGATCTAGATTTCGTTATATGATAAGCTGATTAACTTTGACTCTCCCGTGGGAAGACAGTCTGCCTGTGGGTTTTGTTTGTTTGTTTGTTTGTTTCTCTTTACCATTGCCACCTTTACCCTGGCTTTTGTAACCACATTCAGTGATAAGCAAAATAAGTTTAGGTTTCAAAGAAAAGTATCAGTTTATTGTCAAATAATATGGCATTGTGAATCCGCATCTACGTATGCCATCCATCTGCAGATGGATGTAAACAATGAAGTATGAGAATAGATTTTTTAACTCTTATTTCATTTTAGATTTGTAACCCTGTTTATCTATTTGGTCTTGAATGAAAGAAGCCCTTCACAGCAGCTTACTCTTTACAGCAGACCACATTTCAAATAAGAGATTAGAGCATAAACCAGTCGGCCGGTGACTTAAGTACAAAATGTCTTATCTAGCTTTGTACAGTCTATCCATTTAAACAACTTGCCTAAAAGGCCTATATCTTTTGTTGTGTTGTCATCACAAGCCACACCTAGAGAGTTCGTAATTGTTCCTTAGAGCTTCTTCAGATGTTTTCTGCTAAGTTGGCTTTATGTAAGGTGCTGAAAGCCACCTGAACCCTGAACTCCTGACATAATTGAAATGCTCTTTGTCACCACAAAAGCCTGCCTTTTCTGCAACCTATATGGAAAAGGCTCAAGAAGGAAATGGACGGGATCCATGTCAGGTGATACTTGTGGGCCTCTTTAGGCTGGGTAGAGATAGGGGTAGGGGTTACGTAACAATGATTTCAAACCCACAACATCCCTTCATTCTCTCTGGTGCTAGATTCCTAACTTATGTGTTTGCTCCATCAGTTCTCTAGCCAGAAATTCAATAGCGAGAGTCAGGCGGCCTTCCTGAAATGTCAGACACTGCAGTAACAGATAATTCAGTCCATCTCACTAACCCCAGGACTGCGAGCTTTAAGCTTTAACCAGTGACAGTGTGACTCTAGTTAGATTTGGCATTGCAGCTTTGACTTTGTAAGTTTTCTGCAAATTGGATGTGAGACACTTTATATTCCAATGCAATATGATAATCACTGCCCAAATATAAATTCAGTAATTAAAGCTCCAAAAGGAGTGAATATATTTAACAATAAAAGCTGGGAAAAGATGACGTCTGTGGAATTCTTTATTATTTTAGAGTAGCTGGTTATGTCTAGCACTATAAAAATTGTGTGCTCTATGTGGATTTTCTAAAATGATAGTATCTTCATTGATGAGTGCACCCCTGTAACTCAGAGGGTTAATTTATAAACCAAAAAGAAAGTTCCCCTATAGGACTGCTGGTTTAGAGTGAACCATAGAGACATAGAGATAACCTGCATTCACTTTCAAATCTCTGCAACTCAAGTTGTGTTTTTTTTCAAACCTCTTCAACTCAAGTTCTGTTTCTGTTTTTTGCATTTTAAGTAAAGGAGTCCTTTTTCTTTTGGCTTTGCTATTTCTGAAGTTCACCAAACCTGCCAAAGTCTGGCTGTGTCTCTCCCACATCATCAATAACTATTAGAATGGGCCTGGCCTGGCTTGGCTTTGATTAGCGTTGCTGTGACTACTCAAGGAACAGCCATTGGATTGTAATTTAAGGGGTGCAAACAATTCCTTTCATTAGCAAACTGTACAGTCAGCATTCTGTGCTTTGTTTTCACATTTTAAGTCAGGTTCTGAGGAGGGATAGACTTTGGCTAAAAAAAAAATGGCATACAGTATATTGATAATTTCCTGAGAAAGACAGTTTGCTGGTATTGTGGGTTGTCATTGAGTAAGTTAGGGCTGGCTGGTACTTCTCAAGCAAGCGGGATCTACTATGTCAAGTTTTCTACTGTAGCTGCTTGATGTAACCTTTATGATGTGGTCAAGTGACACAGAAACCAGGAATCACTTCCTACTCATCAGAGTTACTTATTGTCCAAGCCCACATGGAGTGATGTTGCCTGTTTTAAACTGGGATGTGGTCCTCCTTGATGCCGGTGGTGGGCAGGAACATCCGTAACTGGCACTTACACAGTAAGCCTGGCTTCCTTTCTTCACTGTGTGTTGCTCACCTCTATCCCCAAGCCACACAATGCCCACCATGGAGCCTGTCATCTTCCACCCCTTGGAGTCCGTCAGTGGAAAGGAGTAACAGGTTTTTGTTACTCACATGGTTAGCTACATGATCAGACACTACTGCATTTAAATCGTGTCTAGGGTACTTATAACACCTAATACAATGTAAATGCTATGGGGAGGCCAGACACCACTGCCTCCCTCATTCCCTACCCCAGTCTCAGGAAAGCAGACCCCTCTAGGCTTGAGAAGCTTACCCATTGCACTCCCTGTGGGAGTGTCTCAGGAAAGAGCCTGGGTTGGGACTTGCTTTTAGCATGCTTCCCAACATCCATTCCCTTTCCTGGGACCAAAACGCATTAAATACCCTTCAAGGCCCAGGAGGCCAGACTCTGAATACAAAGACTTGGTATAGAGGAAGGAAAAAATACTTTTCATTCTCTTCCTGCAGAAAGAATACCACAAATTAGTATCTCAATAAAGTATCCTGTTACAGGACCCATTGCCCACCCTCTCTAGCTTCTGCCTTTCTGCTTAGAAATTGTGGCTAGCAATATTTAAAAGGACATCAGCTTTTCTTTGTAAAACTCACATTTTCCAGGTTAAGAGGTTAAAATATTCATGATTAAAAATTTTTGAAAGCTAGAGTACAAGCATACCTACATTCATACTCCCATATTCCTGCCACTGAGAAGTAATCACTATTATGATTTATGTACATTTTCTTCCTATTCATCTTCTTTGCATTCTCTATGCAGTAGTCCCTCAGTGTCCCGAGGAGTTGGTTCCAGGACCTCCCTTGGAAACCAAAATCTGAGGATGTTCAAAATCTGATATAAGATGACATAGTATTTGTATATAACCTACCCATATCCTCCTATATACTTTAAATCATCTGTAGGGTTCCTATAACACCTAATGTGATGTAAATACTGTGTAAATAGATCTTATACCGTATTGTATAGGGAATAATGACAAGAAAAAAATTGTATGTGTTCAGTACAGATGCAATTTTTTTCACCAAGTATTTTCTGTCTGAATTTGTTTGAATCCATGAATGCATAACTCACGGATACAGAGACTGATGTTTAATATCAGTCTTTGGATGCTATATATTTTCTCTTATGTCTTTGTAAGCATTTTTGGAGTAATCCCATCTTGTGGTGATAGTATAGCTTGACTACATTTTATTCAGGGTTTTTAGGAGAAAGAGACTAATCATTTGTCCCTCACTGTCTTTTGTTCATTGTCATCCCAGAAAAAGGCCAAAAAGAAATGTATGTATAGGGGAGATTTGTTGTTAATTGGCTTGATTAGAAACAAAAACCTGCCACATAAAAGAGGTCGTTAATTCCAGGGTGGTTGTTGAGTGGTCTCCAGTAAAAAGGAAAGGTCGGGTGCAGTGGCTTAAGCTTGTAATCCCAGCACTTTGGGAGGCTGAGGTAGGAGAATCACTTGAGCCCAGGTGTTCAAGACCATCCAGGCAACATAGCAAGACCCCATCTCCATAAAATAAAAAGAAGAAACGAGAAAGTTAGTGGCTAAGCAGAGAGGTGATTGTTGAGGGTTCCAGCTTCCCAGTTCTTGGAGGGCAAGCCTGTTCTGTGTCAGGCTTAGTCCTTGTTCTCTTTTGAAATGCCCTCTTTTCCCTCTAGACTTTGTCATCATTTGATTTTAGGCTGGTGTGACTCAGACAGAACTGGATCTGTATTATGGAGTAGAGTATTAAAAATACATAGCTCATTTAGTACATAAAAAGCATTTGGAGGACAGAAGAAGCAAAAAATGAGCTATCCTAAGAAACATTGTCAACCCTATTTCTATTCCTGGATCTTATCAATTTTTAATAAAACATTTAAAAAATATCAGGGAAGCAGTTTTCTTCATTTCTATACAAATTGATTAACTCTTTCTCCTGGATGAGCTAGAGATTAATCTTTTTGAGGTAAAATCATCTCTTAGAAGAGAGAGTAGAAAACTAATCAATGTTCTTTCTCTAAGAGGAAGTTTTAACAGTTGAAAAATGACCCATCTCTGATTCAAGGCTTTGACAACAAGAGCCAGGAGAATTTGGGAGATAGAGTTATCATTTATAATTAATATATCATTAATTCTTTCTAACTATGATGCTAGACTCATTGCCCAGGGATTTTTTTTTCTTTTTTAAAACTAGAACACAAACATTAATTGTTCGTTCTTCTGGTGTTTGCCTGATACAATAATCCAAAAAAAAATTTCATAAGTGGAATTATGTTTTGTTTAACAATATATTATGGACACATTAAATAATCTTCCTAGAGACCTCTTGCATCCACCTTTTTCATATTTCTTAATGATAAAAAGAAATTTGCTTCTTTGTTAAATATCTTCTCTTTCCACAGCATTTATTTCAGAAAACACCTTAACCTATGATGGGAACACTTTGTCTACCTGGCTATTGAAATCTTTCTCTAACAGTTGCAATTCTAGTTTAGATGATTTTATATGCTGCTTTATCTTTATTTTTGCCTTTAGTTTCTCTTTTTTTTTTTTTTTAACACAGATTTTGTCAAATCTTAGGTAGACTGATTTTTATTATTTATTTTTGTCCTCCCAGTTATACAAAGTCACTTAACTGAACAATGGATCTATTTAATAATGCAAGGAAAAGTCACCCTCCCTAGACTTCCTGATTACAAACTCCTTGTAAGCACTTGTCTTGGGCCCTGGTACCAGTCCTCTGCATGGGGCAAGATACTCTAAAAACTGTTAGGGGATTTTTGGTGGAGTAACGTGGCTACTTACACATCAGAAAAACAAGTTACCTTAAAACAAGAAAACCAAATTGATGATGGTGTTGATGGAGTGGAGTGGAAGTTAACTTTGTCCTGTGAAACTGTTTATCACCAAGTGCTAGTCTTCAATTTGTAGAAAGACAGCATAACCTCATGCTTACCACTCATCTCCCTTCTTATACATTATTTTAAAATATTGACACATTTAGATACAAAAATAGGTGCTCATGTGATTTTTTTTAAAAAATAAAATGAAAATGATTTCTTATTATTTGAAATACATAGCATCAAATTTTTGGTGTACTGTCCAGGAGGCAAGCTAATAGTACAATGTGGTTTTGCTCCTTACCATATACTTTTGTGAGTTCAGAAAACATTGCAGCCTTTTGTAATAAATAGTCACTGAAGCTAGTATCTTAAGACCCAGGGCTCTGGAGAGAGATCTTTAATTTAAGGACATAGAAAACACTGTTTCTTTTATGTAAACGAGCTCCACAATTTTATGATTATACTTGAATGGAAATATGTTATGACCACAAAGCCAAAGGAATGACTCACTTGGTAGCTATCGACAGGTTTTATTTTCAAGATGGATTTAACTGCATTGTTGTTTTCAGATGTATTTTACCCTTTCAATAGGATTTAGGGTCTATTTAGAAAAATAATAAGTGGAAGTAAGCAATAGAAGAGTTCATGTTTATTTCTTTCATAGTACCGTTGATTTCTTTTCAGTAAGTTGAGGCATCCTAATTCTGGTCTTGATATGCAGTTTAATTTCATGTGGGTGAATTATTCACAATCCCTTTCAATATGGAAAGTTGACACAGTAGGGTGCCATCTGTCTATACCATTGAATTTCTGCTTAGCAGTACTTCCATGTGAAGGTCAGGGATTCCATAGCTTTCATAAGCAGGAATCCAGGGACACAGTGAACAGGAACTCTCTGAGTCACTGCAGGGAATGCAGAATGAGTTTAGGTTGGGTGTCTGGTGAATATGGTGAGGAGGAATTGATGTGTTATCCTGGAGCTTGGAGTACTTACTGATAAGGACCAAATCTCAGGCTAGGGACGAATGAGTTCCTCTCATTAAACAGAAGGCTGGACCTGTGAGAAACAAGTGTTCGTACCTATAAGAGGCAGGCAGGAGATCTGAAAGTGACTGAAACCACAGTTAAACTTTTCCTCATTAACTGAAGCACTGTGTCTCATCCCATCTCCTGCCATAGTTTTAATCTAATCCACACAATTTAGTGAGGCCTCTTTCTACACACAGATCCCTCTCCTGTCTGCTTTCTTAGAGTCTAGGGAGTTCTTGGAGGATAGTAATGGTGGAAGATACCAGACTAAAGGAATAACATCTTGAAAGAATAAGTGCAACAGAAGAATCTACAATTTGGGGTTACAAGGCTATAAGATTTGTAAATATAAGATTTTTTACTGTTGAGTTTGCTTTATTTTGAGATTTTATATATATATATATATATGTGTGTGTATATATATATAATATAAACTTATCTCACTAATGCAGTCAGTGTATCTTATTCTGATTTGCTGGCCAAATTTGCTTTCTGACGCATGTTACAATGTGGGCATTAATTCTTCTTTTCCCCAAAGCCAGTGCTATACAAGGATGCTTCATATCACAAATCTGATTTCTGGGTTCTCTTGAACACTGAGAGTGAGTTATCTAGAAATAAGAAACCAGAAAAGTCATATAAAAAGAGGCATGATCCAGAAATATGGATTTGATTTTGAAATCCACTAAAAAACAATAGAACAAAAAAAAATCTGCTGCATGCATAAACACAGTTCTCTCCAGAGAGCTGTGTCTGGCTAGATCTGTTGGTTTGGGCAGGCATAAGGAAGGAAGTGCCTGGTTGACCTGGGTAATTCATATGTTGGATCATCTACCTATGGATCTTTGAGAATACACTGTGGAGGAAGGAGCGTCTATATCGTGTCCACATCCCACCTGTCTACCATGAGCCTGAAAAATCTGTACACAAGTGTATCCTGGGATAAAACTCATGCCCCACTTGGTGATACTGGACTGTCTGTCCACCAGGGTCAGACTTACTGCCTCCGGAAAAACCTCACAATCTGATGTAAAGCTCCATAGCTTGAACTATCTCTTGTACCTGACCCTCATGCTACAGACTCAAAAGTCTGGTTTGGTTGGTATCCTAAGTACCAGCTCCATCTCTTAGCTGTGGATTCCTAGTTACCAAGCTCATGTGATTTCTATGTATGACCAGAATGGTGAGATATTAATTTATAAGTGTACATATAATCATTATTGGGCCTAGGCCCTTCAAAGGTCTTATTCTCTGCTTTGTAGACAGTCTAGCAAGATTGTTAAAAACACAGGTTCTGAAGGCAGACTGCCTGGGTTTAGATCCCGGTTCTCCCACTTACTAGTTCTGTGATCTTGGACAAGTTACTGAACTTCTCAGTTCTTCAATTTTCACATCTATAAAGATGTGGATAAAAATAAGTCCTACCTTATAGGATTGTCATGAAAATTAAACCATTGCTTGGAGTGTGTTAAACGCTTTGTCAGTGTTAGCAGTTATTATTATTATTTTTAATCACTTTTGGGCAGACCTCTCCATGAAGCTAATAAGAAGGTTGTCTGGGGACCATGGTAGCAGAGCAAGATTGGGCTGATGTGCACGGTTTTGACAGTTGTTCCAAAGCACTGAAGTCTGTTGAGTGCAGTCCCTTGCATGTTGCTCCACCTTGATGTTGACAATTAGAAGCCATTGGCCAGTGTTTGAGTGGATACTTTGAACTTGTGGTTCTGAAGCTTTTGTTTTTCTGTGTTTCTGAAACCCACCAATTATACTTCTTACTGGTACCTTCTTTCTATAACTAGGATAATGTTTACATTTACCATCAAGCCTTGCTGCCCTAGAACTAACCTCTTGTATGAAAACGAATATGCCTGAGAGAATGTATACCAGGGATAAAGACCAAATATTTTATTTTATTCTTTTTTCTTCCACAACATCAAGTACTCTAGAATTATTTTGATGGCCAAGATTTATAAAGCACTTGCTGTGTGCCAGCACTATCATAATTTCTTTACATAAATTATCTCAGTTAATCTCCACATAGCCCTCTGTGGTCATTGATATTCTTTTGCTTTTTGTGACAAAGTCTTGCTCTGTTGCCCAAACTGGAGTGCAGTGGTGCGATCTCAGCTCACTGCAACCTCCGCCTCCCAGGTTCAAGCGATCCTTCTGCCTCAGCCTCCTGAGTAGCTGGAATTACAGGCCTGTGCCACCACACCCAGCTAATTTTTGTATTTTTAATATAGACAAGGTTTCGCCATGTTGGCCAGGCTGGTCTCAAACTCCTGACCTCAAGTGATCTGCCTGCCTTGGCTCCCAAAGTGCTGGGATTACAGGCATGAGCCACTGTGCCTAGCCATGATTATTGATATTATTATCCCTGCTCTACAGATCAGTAAATTGAGGCTTAGTGGGTTTGGAATTCAACAGTAGATCTACTAATGGCAAGTCCTTGTATTTCATGGCTGCATTCTCTTAAGAAACTGAGTCCATTTAATTTAAAACAGAACTGTCTCTTCCTTTGTAGAACAGTTACTGTATGTTCACATAAGAAGTAGTCAAGTATATCCATATGTCTCATGCAGATTTCTACCTTCTAATGTACCCTGGTTGTGGGAGCCACTTAACCTCCCTTCTTAGGCTCTGTTTGCCACTAATTGGTGGTGCTACGTTGGCAAGTCACTTCGTTGTCTTCCAGACCTAAAATTCTGTTACCCCACAAATAACAACAGCAAGGAACACTCATTACCCAGACTGAATACTGAGCATCTTAAAGACCAGCGTCTTCTGGTAATTCCCCAGTCCTCCTGTCTTTAGCAACAGAATTGGTTCCTTGTGGCCAATTTCATCTTTGCAAAATGAGAGAATGACTAAGAAAACATTAGTGGATGTAAATGAGGAAAAGAAAAGACATCTGTCAAGTTAATTAAGGGAAAACATTCCTTTGACCTCTTTTTTTTTTTTTCCGCGCTTTTCACCAAGGTGGGCTATTCTTCGCTCCTTAGAGACTACTTCCCTTTTCGTGTTAGAAACAAATAGTAGGGACCAAGCACTAAAGTATAGGATAAACACGCAACTAATTTTAATATCCGTTTGGCAGTTTTCCTGTTGCTTCTCCATTCAGGAAACATTTTCTTCTACTTCTGCCCATTATCACAGCTTTGACATTCATGTCATTAACAGAATGTCATTTTGCAAGATACTGAATTAGGAGCAGCTAGCAACAAAACATGCTGAACAGAAAGACACTGGCTTTTTGCCACATGACTTCTCACAAAAAAGAACAAAGTGGAGCTCTGGTGTCGGTTTCTTATATTTGTATGTTTGTGTTCCGATTGTGGAGGCACATGAAATCAGGGACAGTTCACTTGTGGGCAGAACGTTATGCCAAACTGCTATATAAAAGCCAAATGCTGTAGAGCTGGGAGGTGTTAAATAGTCATGCTGTTCATTCTGGGCTTGAAATAAATTTCTGTTGAATGTCATAAAAGGAGATTTGGTGGTCACGGAAGTAAACCCCCTTCCCTTTTGTGGGTCAAAAAGAAGTGGTCCTTGGGTCCTCGGAAGCAGAAGGAAGGAAGAGACCCTTTTATTTTTTTGGTTAGTGATTAGCTATGTAGCTAAATTATAGACTAAAATATATTCACCAAATTAAATAGTTCTAGTGGTAGCAAGTTAAACTGAGATTTAATTTCTGTATAGAGAAGGCTGAAATGGGTAAAACTATATTATAATAATTTAGTTGCTATGTGTATATTCAAATAAGTTTTGGATATAAGGACATCTCCCAATCAAGCTTTCTAAAGCCAATGACCATTTCATAAAAGCAATGCAATTGGGACATGAGGTACAGGAGAAAAAAGTTAATAGTAAAATTTTACTGTGTTATTTCCAAAAAGGAAGATTGGAACATTAGATTTAAGTTATTGCATTAACTCTGGCTTGGGACTGCCACCACTGTCTAAGGTCTTTTCAAGAGTTACTTCCTTATCCCTGGCCATTTGAAAATAATCTAATGCCATTAAATTAAATTGATTAAAGTAATTTTAACAGTAGGACTTTGAACTTGGTTTTTCTGCTACTTGGAAAAAGATATATCAAATTGTGAATTTAATATACTTACATTGAGTACAAAAAACGGAAGTTAAAAACAAAAAACAACTTGTTTATGTCACACACATCTTCCCTACCCCCAGCACACACTTGTAAAGTAGAGGTTTAGAAAACCATTAATTTGTGTTTTGTGTATCTTTTCTTAATTCCCCAGTATGTCTGTTGACTTCTCTTTGGTCCCTAATAATAACTGACCTATGGACAGCCAACCACTTGGATGTCTGTCTCATAGGTATTTGATCTGACCTTTCCCCATGTTATAAAACTGGCTCCACCACCTCCACCTTTCCCCCAACTTTGCTACTTTGATAACCCAGCTCTAGGTAGGGCCAGCCAGGTCATAGCCGCTGTTTATCCTGGCAGGCTAGATTAGGCCATGTGAGTTTTGAATGACTTTATACTATGTTTTAGGTAGCATCAGCCCTTGGAGAAGTTTCCCAAGTTACAGCACATGCCCTTTATCTCTTAGAGATAATTACTGGCCTTTCCAGTACTCTCTTCCCATCTTCATCTCAAATGGTAACACTCTTTAATGTGTGTCTTTGATCTTTGGGCTGTTGTACTAATCTGAAATCCAAAAGCCATCTCCGTCATTGACTCTCCCAGCCCTTGAGGTCCTTCCTGTAAATACATGACCTGCGCCAATGACCTAGAATCCCTGGGGTAGGCATGCAGACTAGGTCTCTCCTATGACTCATGTTGCAGATAAATTGCACTAAACAATTAATAGGCAATGAGATATAGGCCCTTCTCACATTAATTACTTTTTTACTTCTAACATTTAAAAAACTTGGATTTATTCTGCTACTATAAATCCTTCCTTCCTCCCCACCTTTTTCTTTTTTTAAATTAGAGAGGGTCTTGCTCTATAGTCCAGGCTGGAATGCAGTGGAGTGATCATGGCTCACTGTAATCTCAAACTCTTAGGATCAAGTTATCCTCCAGCCTCGCTGCCTGAGTAATTGGGACTAAGGCACACACCAGCATGCCTAGCTATTTTTAAAAATATTTTATAGAGTGGGGTTTCCCTATGTTAACCAAGCTGGTTTCAGACTCCTGGCCTTAACGAGCCTTCCTGCCTTGGCCACCCAAAGTGTTGGGATTACAGGTGTGAGCCATACAAATCCCATTATATCCAGCTTCTACTTGACTTCGATCATTGTGTCTTGCTCCCTCTTTTAATTAGACGGATGATCCCGTTGCAGTTTTATTCAGAATGATATGTATGTTGATTGTTCCAGTAGGATGTTTCATACCATGCATCCAGCACCACAGACTTCGTCAGCTCTTTGTGTTTTCTTAGCTATGTACATTGCCTTGATCAATCCAGTAGTATTGGACTATATTATGTCATTTTAAATCAGTTTAGTCTCATAAGTTGGACTATATGTTTGTCCTCCAAGGTAAATTATAAACTTCTTGAAGGCAGGGACCACATTTAGCCAGTCATTCAAAAGTATTTAATGTGTTTCTGTTCAACTAATCTTTTTTCTATGTTCTTCTGGGTATCCAAAGGGATTCAGTGTTACATAAAATATAATCCTTGTTATCAAAAAATTTATAGCCCACTCCTAGGTTGTAAGCTTCGTGTACAATTCGAAGTTATGTTGTGACCACCAAGTGATACTGTGCTTGCCAGGTTTACTGCAATATGACAAGGTGAATGTCAGCCACCAATGACACGTGCTAATACTATGACATCAGAGCCCACCATGTTAGCCATGTAGAAATAGCTATGCTGATATGTCTAACTTTGAAATAGAGCCACGAAATGGAGAATAACTCAGGAGAAATTAGTTGTTAAAAATGTACACTTATACACAGTGTAACATTTCAGTCAACAACAGACCACATATATGAAGGACTGCATATACACAGGTGGTCCCACATGATTGTAATGCCATATTTTTACTGTACCTCTATGTTTAGATCCTGTCAACCTGAAAGGAAAAGTCCAAGGCAAAATTAAGTAGAGAGTTTCATTGGGGCTAAGTTTGAGGATTGCAACCCTGAGCATAGATTCAAGTTGCTCTGTATATACGCTCCAATTAGCAGCAGTTACAGGTAGATTTTTAAAGGAAAAGAAGAGGTAGTTCCTAAATTGTTTACCAAGAATTTATGTTAAAATAACACAAGCTATTAATTGTGTATACATTGTTATTTCTGTCATAAATTCCAGGAACTTGAAGATAATGAGTGAAGCAACTAGTCAGAAACAAAATGCCTTTAAACGATTGTCCCCCAGGCAAGGTGGGGATGTGACTGAAGTCCCTACTCCTGTCTCTCTGGGCCTGATACATTTTGCATATTTCACGTAACTCAGACTGCTCTGAGCTATTTTTCTTTTCTCAATACACAAATACCATTGTGTTGCAGTTGCCTCCAGTGTTCAGTACAGTAACATGCTATACAGGTTTGTAGCCTGGGGTCCATAGACTATCCCATATAGCCTCAGTGTGCAGTAGGCTCTACCATCTAGGTTTGTGTAAGCGCGCTCTGTGATGTTTGCATGAGGACAAAATAGCCTAACGAGGCATTTCTCCAAATGTATCCCTGCTAAGCAACAAGTGACTGTATTTTCATCAAGCAGATCACTGAAATTACGAGATTATTTAGGGAAGTCCTATGAAATGGATGGATAATCTGCAATGCATAGTGTATTCTGTAAAATTCTACTGTTTATTGTTTATGAAAATGTGTTTAAAAGCTGAATGGGAATTTATCTCACACTTCAGCAGCAAATTTTTGTTGTATCTCTTTTCCAGATTCTGCCTTAGAGTCTAGTTATCTGTGAATCAGTCTTATCTCTCCTTTTATACTTTAAACACTTTGAAACAACTTCATTTTCTTATCTCACACAGTACTTTGTACATGGGAATAGACATTCCAGAAATACTTGTTATATTGGATAGTGCCTTTTCTAATATCTACATGTTCAGCTGTTTTTCTTTTCTTCTATGAAGACAGAGAATTGGGCCAGATCTCACTGTGGATTTATCTTAATGGATTAGATATATTTCCAGAAGTACTATATAAGGTAATATATATTTTCCTATTGACTTTCTTCATAATTTTTGAAAGCTTATCCCTTTCTCTAGCTATTGAAATTAGCCTAAATTTTTTTTTGTTCATAGGTGAAAGCAGTGTAGGCAACCATTCATTCCCATTACAATTAATGCCTTTAGAAGAGTTTTTCTGCTAATAGAAAAGTTAAGGTCAAGTATCAAGCCAATAAGGTCAATAATTACATCCCCCTGATCACTATGACCTGGATCATTACATTGATACAAATATGGAAAAGCCTGAGGCACTCAGGCTGATAGTATCAGCACTTGCTATTTCTCCAAGTTTTTTGAGGCTGTACAAAAGAGCACAGACTGATGTAACACTTGCATTGAATTTTGGAGCTGTTTTTGTATAAACTAATTTTTACAGTAAAATACTATATTTGAAAGCAGAACCACAGGCTATAAGAGTCCATTCATCCTGCTTCCTCCTTTTAATCTAGCAGCCAGAATGATTCTCTAAAAACAAAAGTCAGGTTATGTTCAGAACCTTCCAACAGCTTCCCTTGTCACTCAGGGACCAGACTCTGCACTGTGGCCTGCAGGCTGCTGCAGACCTGCCTCCTGCCATGGCTCTACCATCCTCTGCTGGCACTCTTCCCTGGCTCTCTGCACGCCTGCCATGCTGGCCTGCCTGCTGCTCCTAGAACACTCTGGCCTCAGGGCCTCTGCTCTTGCTGAATGCTCACTTCCTTGCTTTCTGGTCTTATCCTCTCTCACCTCCCCAGTGAGGCCTTTCCTGACCACCTGTTTGAAATTGTGAACTCCCACCCCTGCAATCTCTGTCCTACTTTGTGCATTATTTTTCCTCCATCGCTATCTCATGTACCACAAATTTTACAAATTTGTTATGTTCATTTTCTGCTTTTCCCTCCAAAATGTAAGCTCCCTTGAGAGCAGAGATTTTTGTTTGTTTAGAATAGTGCCTAGCATATCTTAGGCACTCAGAAAGTAATTTATTGAAGTAATTAATGAAAGCCTGGGTGGAGCTCTGATTTCATGGGCCATAGGGAAGAGGATCCCAGCGAGTTTCTTAACTTCACATTAGTAGCAAAGGGTGTGTGACAAAGGCAGAGAACAGCTTTGTTGTTTGTCTCTGCTGCCTTCTAAGGAGGAATAGTGCTTATCCAGCCAGCTACTAGGTGTGACCTTGTGCTATTCAGAAAAAGTGGTGGAGATGTAGACTTGAAGATGCCTAGAAAGAAAGGGTCGACTGATTTACATGAGAAAGACAATTATTTCTGGGAGAAGACAACAGAATGTAGGCAAAAATAGAGATATCCAGGTGAAGCAGCAATAAGCAGGATTTGGGCAAGAGGTGTCCAAAGATTTTAAGAAATATTTGCTTTATGTTGCATGATATAATTTTTCTTTCAAATATAGCCTCTTATCAAAGACATTTTTCAAAGCTTTTTCAATCAAATGCACAGAGTTCTAGATCTTTAATGTTGCAAAGAGGAAAAAGAAATGTCCATGATATATAATTTTAGTGCATTTAGGAATCCTAAAATTTGCTTCAAAGGAATAATCTAAAAAGGGAATGAATTAGACCCATATTTACGTTGCCATGGTTAAACCTCAAAAACATAATGTTGAGTGAAAAAAAGTAAGTTACAGAATATCTAATTCTGTAGACATTCATCCAAAAGTATAATTCATCCAAAAGTCAAAAACATGACTGTCATACAAATATGAAGTGAACATGTATCAAATATTTTGTTTAACATATCAGTGAGGGCAGCAGTAACATATTAAAACAGGTTCAAAGAGATTTTTTTAAAATCAGACATATATGAATAGATATACATAAATAGTCAGGAATTATGAAACAAATTTGCTCATAGATGCAAAATTAGTATCTTATAGGACAGTGATAGTAAATATTTGAGGTCATCTTTCCTTGGGGTGGACATTAATTGTATCTTCACCAGATAAAATTCATTTACATTATTATGGATGGGAATCATTTGCATTACTCCCAGTTTTCTACTTAACTTCAGCTTCTACAGAGTTTTTAAATCACCTAGTCAATAGAAAAACAATGTGTATACCTTTACAGAATCAAATAATTCCCAGGGATCGTCTGCTATACAAAGCCCAACAAGCCACTAAAAGGTAACTGTTAATTTCTTTTGTACAATTTCAAGTCTCTGTTTTTCCTGTTATGTGATACTACTAGTGAAAAGTGGAAGCACACACATATAGTGTGGTTATACATATAGCATATATATATATATATGTATATATATATATACACACACATATATATATATACGTATATATATATATATATACGTGTATATATATATATACGTATATATATATATATATACACTACCATACCAAGAATGAATGGGCAAGCTGCAAGCCCCAGTTCTTTCAGTAGTTGCCTTTTGGGGACTGGAATATGTTATTGGCTTGGACTTCAGAGAGTACATTTTGTTCTCTTTCTAGTTTCTATATCTTTTTTAAAGATTGGAAACAAATAGCACAAATGATACAGTTGCTTGTTCCAGTGTGGTAGGATTTGTTGGATTATTTTTCTATTAAAATTTTTGAGACCAAAAAAAGTAAGTTTATGAATATTTATCTCATCTGTTTCAATCCCTTCATTGTGAAGAAATGGAGACAGAAAGCTGCTTAGTTCATAACATTTATGCAGCATTACCACATTAGCTAGACAATTTCTGCCTCCTGGTCATGCCCTATTTCTTCCACTTCAGCCTTCTTCTTTAAGAAATATTCAAATGTTCATCTTCTCTAAAGGTGTGAGGAAATAGTTAGCAGATGTTCATGGACAGTAAAGCTTTGGTCTATGATGGGTCTCCTGTGCAAATTTATCAAATTTTCATTAGGACGATGTAATAATTCTAGCTTTCCAGAATTACCGGGGCCCCTCTTACTCAATTCACTATATTATTACTGCCCCTCAATGGTGGTTAGTCTTATTTTTTACTGAATGTTGACCTTTCAAGTCAGCTGTCAATGTAAAAATCACTGCCTGTCGGGGTTTCCTCTCTTCATTTTTCTTGCCATGGTCAGAAATGATCAGAATTTATGTCTCAAAGTGAATGTAATTTAAAATTAAGTTGGATTTCAGCTACTCAGAGTAATTGGAAAAGGCCACAGCCTGGTGGGCTTCACAGCTTTCAGAGACCTGGTAGGGGATGGCTAACAGGTTCTTCTGCCAGGAGACAAGTGGCAGACCCAGGTGTGAAACTTTTACAGGTCCCACCAAGCCTTTCTTATGGAGCACAGAGCATAAGGACAACTTCTGCAGAAATGGAATGGGGTACTTGGAACCAAAAATACATACACCTCCTTTCCCACCTGCCTCCAGCTTAGTAGCCCATAGTCCTCTTTGTCCCTCACACTGAGCCAGGCCTGACTTAGATGATGAAATGCATGGCCTGTCTCTTCACCTTCTTAGCAAATGGGAGGTGCTGTTGGCAGTAATTAAGAAATTGAGAAGCTCCTTGTGAAACTGTTTTCGCGATGGTAATAGTGAACTCAGGGAGCAGGTGTGGTGCCTCTTTCAGTCCTCATTTCACCTGCCTGAGCAAAAACCATGCAGACAAAACACTTCCTGGTGGTGACCTCATGTCACTCCAAAGCATCTCCACCCAAGCACCTGTTCAGCTGTGACATTCTTACACGCAGTGTTCTGTCCATGCCTGCTCACCTCCTGCCCCTCAGGGGCAGCCAGTCCTCCCTCAAGGTCCTATCATCAGAACATCTTTTCCCCTTCCCATTCTTCTCGGATTCTGTAGTCAGCAAGGTGCATTTCTTGTGCTCTGTGTCTAAGTTATCTTTCTGTGTCTCATAGTTGCCCCTAGGAGGAGCTTCCCAAGGAGGTACCAGATAAATGAAGTAAAAATAAATGCTTGTGATCATCAGCTCCTGTCCTAATCCATTGTTTATGCCATTGTCTCAAGTTGTTATATGACTGTCTTCTCAGCCTAAATTCTGAATTTGCAAGTAGTGACTCTGTGCCATTGTGTTAATAGAACAATAGTTGTCACTTTCCAAATTCAGAGAACAAACTGTGCAACTCACCCACAGGAAAGTAAGTTTTTCCATGTGCTGCTTCAACTGGAGAACTGATAGAGGGTACTTTGTGGGAAGTGGTTAGTCTCATGTTGGGCTTTCACGTCGGAGCATGGGCATGGTGAATGGCTTCTAGCTGTTGAAGAATGAAGTCAAAAGAATGTATTTGGGGATGGAATAGCTGCAATTTGAGTTCATAACTTTTCTTTAGTTTCATTTTTGCGGTCATGTCCCTGTATCCCTGAGGATGAAAACTGGAGATAACTCTTTACAAGCTCAAATGCTTAGATAAGGGTGAGTTATAAAAAAGATATTTCTGCTACAGGAGAAGTAGTATTCATGTTTAATCTGGTCGGACATCACCTGTTTTTCCCTTGGGTGACTTTGCTTGAAAAAAAAAAAACAAGGCAGAATTGACTTAGTTGTGCTGGTGAAAAGGAAGGAGCCTTTAATTTGCCTGAGTGGAGATGTTTCCACTGTTTTATCATTTAATGGGTTAAATGAGTAGGTGTGGCCATGAACACCTGGAGAGACTGCCTGACGTGCAGGTGCCATAAACTTCTGCTTTCATGGGCAGGAAAGTGTGTGATACCTGGAGGACAGAGGTCAGCTCAGCATTTTGCACCAATGTTATTATTAATGTGGGCATTGCCAGGTGCTGTGGCAACCTGGGTGACAGATGCAGTTCTAACCCACTTGAAGTTTTCTTACTGTTGGAGTTAAGTGCAGATTTTAATTCATTTATTGGGAATCAGGTACTTAGAGTAATAAGATTAGGTGACTGTCAGATATCCCAGAAGCAGGTAATACTGAGATTGGATGACTCTTCCTTCCTGTACCCTGGAAAGGTTTTCTACAGAATATCTCAGTAGGGTCCTAGGATTTTAAAAGTATTTAGATATATATATCAAGATATAGGTATTTGGGAATGAAATGCTGTGTAAAGTGTCCCTCTACCCTTGAAAATTTTAGCAACAAATTCATTCATAAGGCGAAGACCCCATTTCATAAGTATACAGATTTATTTCATGTACATATGGAAATATATCAGCCTATATTATATAAACACTGGCTTTGCTACTTTGGGATCATTTGATGTTTAAAAGTTTTCTATTTCATTGTTGAGAGAGATCCCAGAAAGTTCCAAGTCTGTTGTAATTTTAATATCATCTCTAGCTTCATGTTGAAAGGAAAAAAGATTAGAGGAGACACTTTCAGTGATGAATTATGCTTTGATTATTCATGGCATTTGTCAATAAGATATACCTTCGATAATTTGTTTTGTGTAACATACTACCCATACCTTAAATATGGTAAACTGTTCAAATTCTGAGGTAATTTGTTTTTAACTTCTCTTCTTTTAACTTTCTCATGTATTCATAGATGAAATAGCCTGTTTTCTTTCACTCTACATTGCATTCATAATGAATCATCTATTTATAAAGATTAGAAATCTGTATAGAGGAGTAGATGCACCCAGGATGACTGTAATGTAAATCTGTTTGTATATTGACCAAACAAGTATATTTTATTTGGGGGTTTTATTTAGACATTTCTTTTTGATATTTTTTTTGAATCACATTTTTGAAATCACTTTTCTACCCCTTTTTGATAGATTTTAAATAACTAATGGAATTGTGAGGGTTTGTTGTTCATGTTTTCATTTTTTAAAAAATCTAAATTGTTCATTGTTTTGCCTATTGTGGTAGTGTATGTACCTTAGTATGTATGGTAGTGTACGTTTCTTAGAAATTTTTTAAGTTTTTCTTAAATAACATTTTCTAAATTTAGTTTTAAGTATATCAGCATATTTCACTGATATATCTAGTTAAGATATTCATTAGATTATTTGCATTGACAGACATTTCTTATGAATTTTATTTATGCATATAAACAATAAATATGTTGAAAAGATCTTTATGCATGATGTAGATCAAATGCTAAACACGAAAAAATGTAGCCATTTTTATAATAACCTGAACTTCAGTTAATTTGCTGAAAGAAGTTTGCTGACATTTCCAGGACATAAATCTGTCATTTATAATTTCTTCTATTAACATCAGCAAGTTAATATATTTAATATTTCTGTATTGGAATGAAAGAAGACATTAATTTGAATTAACACTGAATACATTATACAGTATCTTTTAAAACCAATCAGACTGTCTGATTTAATGATTGTGAATTTAATAGGTTGAATACATACATTTCTTGATAGATGAGTTGATAATATCCAACCCACCTTCATAATTAAATATCAAAAGTCTATTCTTATTAACAACTGCTTTAAGGCTGAGTAAACATGAGCTTAATTAAACTCACAGATAATACTAGGGGATGCTGATTGCTGCACTAAGGAAAATAAAGTGATGCAGCCTGACCTTAAGAAATTATAAATATGGGACTGTTGACAAATGATAATAAGCAGCAAACATCTAAGAGAAGATAACTCCCAAGTCTGTATTGCTGAAAGAAATTGGGTTTGGTTTTGAAATGTATTATTTGAATATTTAGAAATGTTATCTCACTGTACCTAAATTAGAAGTCCAGTGAAAATTCCTGTTTCAGGAATCTGGTATAACAGAGTTCTGTCCTGCACTAAGAAGGCATTGCAATAAACTCCTAATGGTGGTTGAGGGCAGCACAGTGTAGGAGGATAGAAGCACAGAGCCCTGAGCCTTGTTATAGGTGAATTAAATGAGGTAACTTGCTGGGTTTTACCACCCTCCTCTGACTACTGTATTGCTAATAGAGAATGAAGTGCCAGTCTATTTTGAAGAAAAGCAAATGAAAATAAGATAATATCCACTTCACCCATCCGCCAGTTTTGTATTTGTCTTATTCTTTAAGGCTTTTGAAAGTTACTTTGAAATCAAATTAGCCATTTTATAACTTCCTTCTAGCAGAAACAGGAACAAATTGTTGCCCTGTGCCCATGTGTAGTAATTTATTTCTATGCTCTGGGTACTCAGGATAAAACCAGTAGCTAGCATGCTTGTGAAAGAGGACCATCACTATTATTTTAATACACTGGGATCTGATTTTATGATTCCAGAACATTTACCTTAATAAAGAATTGAATGCCATATACAAGATGAAAAATGAATGAGTGGTGAGACACATTTATCTTAGGCATCAGCTATTCTATTGACAAAAGGCACAAATAAGAAATTTGTCTAAATAATTAGATTTTTAATTAGTGCGTCATTATAAGATTAATGTCACTGCACTTCATTGCATGTAATTTTGTATTAGAAATTTTGTGTCAACAAAGATGCTACCTGTGGTTTGCTGATTTGAATCCTTAATTTATCACTTGTGTGTATGGCATGTTACATATTTGCACTCAAGCGCTGGAAGAAGGCATTTGATTATTGCTCCACTGGTGGTGAGGAATATTGATGGTGTTGTGCTATATGAATACATTATATTTTCTAATATTCAAGAGGTAGCCACCCCTCAAATATTAGTGAATGCATAATTGTAATAATTTTAACAATAACATGAGCAGATAGGTTGCTCAACCTGGTCCATGTCTACCGGGAACATGGTTGAACATTATTGATGCTATATTCTTTTTAAACTTTGTTTTTTCTTTCTTTTTGATAGTTGCCGAACAAGCAACCGGAAAAGCTTAATAGGCAATGGGCAGTCACCAGCATTGCCTCGACCACACTCACCTCTCTCTGCTCATGCAGGTAATTGGTTACCATTTCTTGAGTTTTGTTTTATTTCTTTATTTGTTGGTTTTTTAAAATAATTAATGCATTTTGATATTTGGTATGTCTTCACATGTTATCTTTGTTTTCCTGCTGTTTTATCCCTAAGTTGTTCTTTGCGATATGTTAGCCCAGATCTTATCCTCTCTGTTTCAGTGTTTGGACTCTAAAATACAGAATTCCTTTTTATATGGGGTCTCTTTTTAATTATTTCTTTCTCCATTTCTAAATGCCTGGATGATACAAGACATGGTTTCCATGTTAGGAATATCCTTGGGAAATGTAAACATGATAACTCATATGAAAAGTACTAATGTTAAGAACTGTTCAGCATATTTCTCCCTAAAATTGAACTTGTCTAATACATTGTGATGGTCATTTTAGGGACAGTGAAGATTTAAGAGAGAGCCTTTGGCCTCAAGTACTTTATAGAATTATAAGGAAGGTTAGAACAGTACTGTAAAAACTAGACAATGAAAACTGCTTTATATGCTGGTTTTTTTTTTTTTCTTCAAAGTTCTATCCATGGTGATGCAAAGAAGAGAAGGGTTAATTCCAATAAAGAAAGTCTGGAAGAGTTTAAAGGAGCCATTTGCCCAAGATGTTGAAAGATGAGCAAGAATTTGTTGGCTGGTAGAGATGGAGTGAGAGAAAGGGAATTCTCAGTGTATGGCTAGAGTGTGGGGATGTGTGTACTTCATTAAGAGAACATAAGGATGGAAAGGCAGAGGAAGGTCAGGAAGTGGGAGGAAGTTTGACTTTGAAGCCCTTTCAAGGGTTTTGAGGAGGATCTGTGTTATAGGAAGGTATCTTCAGGATTGTGAAGGATGAAGGTTAGAAGAATGAGCTCTTAGCCCTACTTCACTGTACTCTTGTGAAAACTCTAATTTGATACTCATGTGTTCTCAGATGATCTTGACCTTAAATGCAGGGCTACCACTCTCACCCAGAAAGCAGTTCTTAAGCTCAGGGAGCCTTTCAAGTTGAGATTGGGAGTTGTCTGTTATATTACTGGGGAGAAGAAGGGAGAGAAAAGTAGTTGCTCCTTTGGAGTGAAATTTTATTTTCTCTGTAGAAATAATTAAAGGAATTAAAGGTGGTAAAGTAAAAAGGTAAAAGATAGATAAAATTATGACACTGTAAAATGACCACTAACATCTAGAAAGGCCTTTCCCAGGTAAAACCTTAGAGTTGGAGAAGCTCTTACACAGATGAAGACAAGTTCTAGACCACTCATAGCAGCAGCATCTGTAATAGCTAAACATTTGAAGTAACCTAACGATCTATCACTTGGAAAATGGATAAATGAATTGTGGCATAGTTATATCCAAAACACACTGTGCACATAGAAAAGAAGTGAACACTACTCAGATTTGCGTGGATGAAACTCAAATATATTGTTGGACAACAAAAGCGAGTCACAAAAGAATATTATGTAAGCCTTTCATATAAAGTTAACATGCTACATACAATATTTTGTTTAGGGATATATATATATATATATGTACATGATATATATTATATATCCTATAATATGATTATATTCTATATATTCACTGTATTATATTTTATGTATTTTTATAATATAAGAGCCTAAAGCAAAACATGGTAATGTTAAAGATTGATTTCATGATAGTAGTTACCTCTGAGAGGGCATGAGAGGGATATAATTAGGGAGCGGGTGTAAGCAGTGGTAACATTGTATTTCCAAGGCTACGTAATGAGGATACATTACTTCTATTACTACCATTTCTGTTTGTGAGATTGATATTACACCCTGTCATTAAAATCCTACAGAGGGTCAAACAGTGCCAGATACCTTACTTGGGACATTACTCTAGCACTCAGCACAGTGCGCAGCAGTGTATGCTAGATGCTAAGTGAATGATGATTCTGTTTTTTAGTATATAATTCTGCGATTTAAAGATTTTAATCTCGCTCCTCTTTATAGTATTTATAGCAATTTCACCATCATTTATGTGCCTGTTGATTCATCTTTTATAGCTGTGATTTTCTTCACTTCTAATATTGAGACGACAGAACGTGGTGAAGACTTTAATGATCCTTTTAATTATTTTTATTTGCTTTCATAGACTTAGCTTAAGTTCTTTCTCCTTCAACATTAATATAGAATTTAATCAGAGGAATGGGCAGAGGGAAGCCTGTCATTCAGGTTCTAAGAGTGTTTTGTTTTTGTTTTTGAGACAAAACCTACCTCTGTTGCCCAGGCTGGAGTGCAGAGGCACGATCTCAGCTAACTGTAACTTCTGCCTCCTGGGTTCAAGAGATTCTCATGCCTCAGCCTCCTGGGTAGCTGGCATTATAGGCCATGCCACCATGCCCAGCTAATTTTTTTTTTTTGTATTTTTAGTAGAGAGAAGGTTTCGCCCTGTTGGCCAGGCTGGTCTCAAACTCCTGTGCTCAAGCAGTCCTCCTGCCTCAGCCACCCAAAGTGCTGGGATCATAGGCACGAGCCACCGCACCGCACCCAGCATTGTTTTTCTTTATGTTATGGAGCCAACATGTTGTTGTTCTCTCAGAGGCAGTGGAAGCCTGTCAGACTTTCTGTGAGAAGTGGCATTTATTACTGTCTGGTAGATTCCTATTTCTGTATAAAAAGAAGAAAAACATGTGAATACGATACAGGACCAGGCCCCACATCCTGATAACATGCAGTGCCTCTTCACCAGCCATGCCTTTTGCCTCACCCTTTCTGTTGCTATGTTCTCTATCCTGCGTTGGACAAAGAGTGTCAGGCGAGGTTTTCTAGGCATCTCCATCAAAATGAGAAGGAAAAACCTCCATCTCTCAGCACTTATTAACCTAAAAGATAAAGTTGCACTTTCTACTTTTCTTAGGTGGGGATTACATGAGCCCCACCAGTCATCACGGACACATCGTTTGTACCTATCAGATGTATCAGTAGAGATGGGGACATTAATTTGTGTAGGGGTGTCAGCAGTGCTCTGGGGAGAAAGAGATATTGGCATACACAGTGGTCTGGAGCATGTCTTCACAAAATAGTGTTTGTGGGGAGCCAGAGATTCCTAAAAGAACAGTGAATAGCACAGTCTCATTAAAAAAAAAAAAAAGAAGGAAAGAAAAGAAAAGAAAAGAAGGCATAGAAAATCACAGGCTCTTATGTCCAGGAAGATTCTAAGCATGAAAAATAATCCAGAAGTCTCAAAGGGAAAAGACTAGTGTACCTCTCTTACAATGAAAATTTCTGTATCAAAAACAAACTCAAAAGAAATCAAAGTATGAAAAATGTTTGTGCCCATGACTGATTGCCAGTTTACATGAAGAAATTGTGTAAATTGATATGAAATGGTGAATGCACCAATAGAAAAATGGGCAAAAGGTGCAAATAGCATGACATAAGGAAAAAATAGCCAACAAAACATGAAATGATATGTCATTGCAATTATAAAAAAAAAAAAAAAGTGGCCAGGCACAGTGGTCACACTTGTGATTGCAGCACTGTGGGAGACTGAGGCAGGAGGATTGCTTGAGCCCAGGAGTTTGAGCCTAGATGACATAGTGAGACCTCATCTCTACAAAATTTCTAAAAATTACCCAGGCATGGTGGCACATGCCTGTGGTCCCAGCTACTCAGGAGGCTGAGGTGAGAGGATCGCCTGAGCTGGGGAGATCTAGTCTGCAGTGAGCTATAATGGTGCCACTGAACTCCACCATGGGTGGAGGAGATAGTATCATTCACCTAGCATGGGGTCAAAAACCTTTTTTAATTGATAAAATTCAGTGATAGCAAAGATATGGGAAAGCGGTCCCTTTCCCATGATCTAAGGGTTGATGTGAATTAGTGTAACCATTTTGGTTAGTGGTTTTCAGTATTGGTGAATATTTCAAATGTGTTTACCCTTTTGCCCGGCAAATTAACCTAAAGGAATTTATCTTACTGATATTCTCATAAAATAACAGAAAATTATAAGTATAGCATGGCTTTTGTACCTAGCAAATGGAAAGGTACCAGTTTTTTATTTAAATTTTTCTTCAGTAATGGACTAGTTAAGTAAATAATGATTCAGGGGTGTAACCCAGCACTACATAGTTGTTACAAAGAACAAGGTGGGCTTTCATGTGCTGGTATTGGAAGGATACACAAGATACATTGTTAGGTGAAAACATTGCATGTTGTCATTTCATGTGCATCTGTGTTTTAGAGTGTGTATACACAGATGAAAGCACACTTGTATATTCATGCATAGTCATAGAAATTTGTGGAAAAGGAAAGGAGAAACTGTTAATTGTTTAGCGAATAAGAAAGTAGGGAAATTAGCACATAGTGCCTTTCTAATAAAAAGAAGGCTGTAAAAATAAAACCCATAAGAAAACAACATAATATCTGCAGTAGTTTTCTATTGCTGTAGTAACAAATTACTCATAATTTACTGGTTTAAACAACATGCATTTATTAATCTTACAGTTCTTCAGGGCAGAAGTCTGGGCAGGCTCGCCTGGGTTCTCTGCTCAGGGTATTATGAGGCCAAAATCAAGGTGTTGGTTGAGCTGGGCTCTTACCTGGAGGCTGGGAAAGAACTCACTTCCAAGCCCATGCAGTTGTGGACAGATTTAGGTCATTGCCTTTGTAGGACTGAGTTCCCCGCTTCACCCTGGCTATCAGCAAGGAGCTGCTTTTCAGCTCCTAGAGGCTGGCTGCCCTCTGCGATCTTGTAGCCAGCAGGGGCATATCCGGTCATTCTCGCACTTCAAATCTGACTGCTGCTCCTTCCATCAACCAGAGAAAACTCTTGCTTTTAAAAGGCTCACTTGGTTGAGTGAGGCCCCACTCAGATAATCTCTATACTTGAAGGTCAACTGACTTGGGACAATTACAGCTAAAAAAATCTCTTCATAGTAGTATTCATTTTTGATTGAATAACTAGGGGACTGGAATTTTGAGGAGACCATGGTTAGAATTCTGCCTACCACAGTAACACTTCATATTGTATTTTGATTTAAATGAGTAAAAGTAGGAGCTCTAAGAGTGATACTTAAGAGGATGAGCCACAGAGGAAAAGGAGATAAAAACTGAGACACAGTGACTCCAGGCTTTTAAAGTGCTTAGGTAGCAAATGTAGCCCTGTTGGCCAAAATACCTATTTTCTGTGTCTTCAAAAGTTGTTTTACTATGAATTTGCAGGTGGCTACTTTGATGTATTTTTAAAAGGGTTTCTGTAAGGAAGGATGGAAAGGAGTTTCACTTTTCTGTTGGGCAATTTTAGGAGTTATTAAAGATAGGAAATATCCCTAAATCTCTGTCTATGTGTATATATAGATTTAGGTTACAAAGAGACTTCATTTCTTAAGGGTTAGTCACCACTGTATTTATGCAGCTGTGTTCTGCTTGTTTCGGGTAGGCACATGGGGTTTGGGCAACAAAACAAAACATCCCGAATCCCACTCTTCAAAATGAATCACGTGAACATTTTCATGCATATCCCTTCATTATCTCCTCTGCCTCCCACCCCACAACCACCCATGGGGCTTTGACTTAACAAATAAAACTCAGCTTGTAACTTAGAGGGTTTCCAAGGAGAAACTATATGACATCATGTACATTTTTTAAACAGAATATCTTCATTATTTCAGACAACTCTTAAGGACCTTTCTCCTTTTGATTTCTTTTAGAGTCTCTTTTTGAGCCATACATGAGAATTGTTTGCAACTTGCTCACCTTGCGCTTCAGCTATATCAGTTCCACTCCCCTCAATCTTGCAACTCGTTCATTAGATGAGATACTAAATTGGACGGTGGTAAAGGCAATGGTTTTATAAACAGGCATGTTAATGCAAATAATTGAAAGTTAATAGTCTGGCAATAAGGTGGAGATAGGGAAAAATAAACAAGGCAGACTAATGAATTCAGAGAAGACAGTCTGGGGTAGAACAGGGTAAGCAGATATTCCAGTGTGCCAGAGATACTCCTGGGAGTATCACAATTTTTTTTTTTTTTTTTTTTTTGAGACAGTCTTGCTCTGTCGCCCAGGCTGGAGTGCAGTGGAGCGATCTCCGCTCACTCTAAGCTCCGCCTCACAGGTTCACACCATTCTCCTGCCTCAGCCTCCTGAGTAACTGGGACTACAGGCGCCTGCCACCACGCCTGGCTAATTTTTTGTATTTTTAGTAGAGACGGGGTTTTATCATGTTACCCAGGATGGTCTCGATCTCCTGACCTCGTGATCCACCTGCCTCGGCCTCCCAAAGTAGGGAGTATCACTATTATAACCCAGTGCCATCCTTGATATCAGCATGAAACTTTGTAATATTCTACTGCCCCAGGACTTTAACCTTGGAAGATGTGTAGTTGGGCCGTAAGGGATTTAGTAAAACCTGAAATTTTGGCACATAATGCCAACCAAGCACTTACTTGTTTACTAATAGGCGTGTGACTGTTTCGTTTTAAAATTTTAAGAGAGTTTATAGGCTATGTTGCCATGACTCTAATCTTCAAGGCTTGTTTGCTTTAAAAGTGTGAGTTTCTGATTATAACAGTAAAGCTAATAGTTTGTAAGATATACAAGAAATCACCTGGGAAATATAAATCCTCTATTAACCCATTACTTGGAGATAACCCCTATTACCAGTTTATTGTATTCTTCAGTCTTTTTTCCTGTATGTACTCTGTGTGTGTGTGTGTGTCCATCTGAACATGTGACTGAAATGCCTATGTTGAAACTTTTGTTCCCCCCTTATCACCACCAAATAGTACAGTGTTGAAGAGTCCATCAGTACAAGCCAAACATAATATCTTACTATTCGTAATGTACATGTTTTATTTCTATGGGATTTAGACATTTTCCATACTCATTAACCATTTGTATCTCCTTTTGTTATTTACCTTTATTTTTATCCTTGGTCCCTCTCTTTTGTTTAATTTTTATTTTATTGGCTTATAAGAAGTGAGAACTGATATTAATCTTTTATAATCTCACCAGTATCCTTTTTCAATTTGCCATTTCCCTTTTTATAACAGTGAGGGTTTTTTTTTTACTAATAGAAGTTATTATTTTTCATTTTGTGCATGTATGTGTGGTCCAAACTGTCAGTCTTTTTTTTATTCTTCTGATTTCTTCCAAGTTTGTTGTTATGTATAGTTGTACAGAGTTTTGCTTTTTTGACAAGACTGGTCTTGCTCTCAGCATCTCCTGCTCTGATCTCATTGCTTCCCCTCCCTCTTTCTGCTTAACAAGTTCAGCACCAGTGACGCATTTCTTTACCTTTTCATACTCTTAGTCTGTCAGTATAGGATGATGGTTTTCCTAAGCAGTGAAGAAGTTCTTGGGCAAAAAAAAAAAAAAAAAATCTGAATTCTTTCTAAACTGTATTGGTGAGCCTACAAAGGAAGGAAGTCTGTAAGCCAAATGGGCATTACAACAGTTTTTTCCACCTCCCCAGACTCCTGGAGTTGACTGATACACACACCTTTCTGCTCAGGTATTTGTGGTACCATCAGATTTTCATGCAGTGCTCAAAGGAGAGGCTATTACTTATGAATTTTAGTTTGCTGGTGAGAACAATTTAGTCATTAGAGATGAATGATCTTTAGGTGCCAGTGAAAGAATTCTCTTTATAAGATGAGGCTGGGCTGGGCGCGGTGGCTCACGCCTGTAATCCAAGCACTTTGGGAGGCTGAGGTGGGCGGATTACGAGGTTGGGAGATCCAGACCATCCTGGCCAACATGGTGAAACCATCTTTACTAAAAATACAAAAATTAGCCGGGCGTGGTGGCACATACCTGTAGTCCCAGCTACTCAGGAAGCTGAGGTAGGAGAATCGCTTGAACCCAGGAGGCGGAGGCTGCAGTGAGCCGAGATCACGCCACTGCACTCCAGCCTGGGCGACAGAGCAAGATGGTCCCCAAAAAAAAAAATGTGAGGCTGGAGACATGGCCCTGAGTGAAATATTGCCTTTGTTGTGTTTATTTTGTGACTTTCATTCAAAAGCCTTCAGCAGATTTTCCATGCTTGAAATATTATTTCCCAAATGTTTGAACCTGCTTTATAGATCTTTAATAAAAATGTTCATTCAGCAAGGCAATGACCTCCTTTAGCTGCATAGACATGATAGTACAAGACAAATAGTTCCCTTGCCTCTTTAAATTTAGGGAATAGGACAAAGGAAAATTAGGTGCTCATGGAGTCATAACAAATTAATTGTTAGCCTTAATAGGAATTAAGTTTCCTGGTGCCCCACATAACCACTGTTTCTTTAAAATAATATTAACTTTCTTTTTTGTTTTTTCAAAGGGATTTCTGACATCATACATTTCCTTTTTAAAAAAAAATATGTCAGTCTCAACAAAATCAACTTGTAAAACCTTATCTTCAGTTTAGGGCACCTTGCTGTCCTCCTTGTAGAGTGTCATTTTATGTTGGTAAAATAGGCAAATCATGTGGCTAAACTTTATCCAGGTGATTCCTTTAGTCAGCCATGGGTAGAGCATCATCTTGGAATCATCTAATTTTATTAAAACCTTTTTCACTGAGCCCCAAGATCAGATTTCTTATAGTGTGTATGTCCAAGCTATATCATTTCACAGTGCATCTGTTCTGTGACTTCATTTCATTAATAAGTTTCTCTGCATTACGGAGAATACCATCTTTATGTTCCATGCTGTACTCACTTTTTTTTTTTTGTCTTTAGCCTTTGTGTAATTGCCAATTGTTACTTAAGTAATGACACATCTTGCCCTTCCTGCTTAAGGAAAAGAATGATAAAATCAGATGGACTGACGTCAGTCAATGTGTTTTCCTAGTCTGGGGTATTGCTTTGTGTCAAGTCAATAATCGGGTGTATATACCAACATCATTAGTCTTTGTTAATTCCTTTATGCAGATCCATCTGCCCTGTGCCCTTCATTTATCATTTTGGCCCTTTAGGAAGTCTGTAATGTTGATGTATAATCTATTCCTAGTAATAATTCAATGACATTGTTCATATTTCCCTAATCTCTGGGTGTAAGAGAATTTAATCTGAATGGCCTTTGATTTAGATTTTTATTCTCTCCTTTATTATAAATTAAAGCTGTTGGAAACTGATGCCTAATTTTAATTTTGAAGCTCACCCATGTTAACAAAAGTGGTAGCAACTTTTTTTTTTTTTGTAAGAACATGGGTCATCCTGGGCAGACACCCATAGGGCAGGTTTTTCATTCTGTTTAATTTTGCTTTTCAATCACAATTTTGCAGCATTTTTGTTGTGTTTGTGTATCCACTGGGGACTTTGTTTAGCTAGGGTTGGTTGCTGAAGTCCCAGCTGGATCTTAATTACATATTTTCCATGTTAGAATTGACAGTCCTTAAAGAAAGATTGGATGTAGGGTGAGACAGAGTTGATCAAAGGTGACTTCCAGCTTGCTGAGAATATGGAAGACTGGACGGGACATTTCTCAAGATGGAAGAAACGAGAAAAATGAATCAGAGGTCATACTTAAGAGTTCACTTTGCTGCATATTGGGCCAACTTGCTCATGAGTCATTCAAGTGATGTAAATAGGCAGTTGTTGTTACATAGGTCTGAAACTCAGAGGTTGCCTCTGTGTTGGCGATGTCAGTTGGAAGCCATTAATTCACTGATGGTATTTAAAATAGTGAGAGGGGAGGAAATCATTGAAAGGAGAGTTGGAGTGAGAAGAAGCCAAAGCCTGGCTCTACAATGCTAACATTTTAAGGTCCTGAGAGGACACATGGCCAGCAGGAGACTGAGAAGCAGAAACCTGAGATGCAGGAGGGAAGGTGGAGAATGCAGTGCCATAGAATCCAAGAGCAGACGGGTGCCCACAATGAGGGAGGCGTCCATCTTAACATCAAGTCAGCCAGCCCTATCAGGTGCGTCACAGATGTCCACTGAAAGAATAAATAATTGTTTATAGATAAATGGCCAAAGACTCATTTGACTCTTAGGACCAAAAATGCAGCATGTGCCCTAATGCAAGTCAAGGATTACTTTCCCCCAAAAGAGGGAGTCTTCCTTAATACTGAAGTACCACAAAGCCCTGTACATCATACATTATCTTAATTACTTTATTTTGAAAGTAGTTTTAGCAAATCTTTCATTTGCCTTGTCCATAATATAATCCATTTCAACCATTGCTAAGCTGAATGGAGGCTGTTGCCTTTCAAACTCTTCCATAATTTAGTTGCCAAGGTGAGACTGATATACAACCTGCCAAGTCCAAAAAGCAGCCAAACAGGGCAGTGCTTCACCTAAAGCAAGGAAATCTAAAACTTTCTATTTTTGACAGAAAATCGACATTGGGAATTCTTGAGGTTAGATTCTTATAAATTTTAGAGAGGAGAAGAACTCTTGAAAAACTAGAGTCTCAAAATAGTCAACTTCTTGAAGTTACTGAGATAGGATAATCTTTTTAGTATCAAATTTTGTCAAAAAAATACAATTGGAAATTAAAATAATTGGTTTATCTACTTTGTCCATTTTTGTATTCGACATTTTCAGATTTAAATCTGGTGCAGCATATAATTACATATTTATTGCTTAAAATGTCTAAATTAATAAATAGTATAAATGACAATGTATTAGTATATATATGCTAAATCCCTAAAAGTTTATGTATTCAAACTGGGAAAAATAATTTTCTCATCTGCTAGTTGAAAATGAGAAATTGCCTTGTGTCTAGGGTTGCTTTTGTTCTAAGATATGATCAGTGACCACCTAGAAAGTAAAAGGTACATTTAAAATTCTTCCTAGTCACCTCTCACTCTTGTGGTTTTGAGAACATGGTAGTCTGTGACAGGACAGTTTCGGTGACCGTCACAGTGATTTCTGTGGCTTTGGCTTTTCTGCTCCTAGCTCACTCGTCAGCAGTTTACTCTCAGGTTTATCTCTGAATTTGAGTTAGAAATCCTCAGCTGTATGTAAATAGAGACTGTCTTCCTCCAGTCATTAGCTGGTGAGAGAGTGTGGATTTGTGTCACAGGCAAACTAACTGTTCCACAGAGACAAAAGGACTTGAGGCAGGGGCTCCGTTAGTGTGAGGATCAGCCAGCTGTCTTCATTAAGTGCCCAGTGCCATAGACAGAAGGCTGAATGCTCAACACAGCCACAGTGGCCTGTACCCATCAGGCAACCAGTAAGGGAAGTTTAAAAGTCTGTATCTTAAAATCAAGTATATATGCTAAAAAGCATTTTCTTTTTTTGGCACATTTAAATATCATGTACAGGAATGATATCTGTATCTTTGAACTTATTCATTCTGGCATAATTGTAGTTTCAGCTTTATGATGCTTTAATGCAGATTTTAAAAACTGACTACAGCAATGTATGAGTACTTCTCTACAAAAGCCGTGTAAACTGCAGGCTTTGAAGTTCTAAGCTTTCATGTTTGGAGTAACAGTGAGTAATTGCAGAGCTTGTCATGAAGTGTTCAGGTGTGCACACACTGTGGCAACCCAGAAGTTTAGAGGGTTCAAGCCTGGGGAGGAGGAGCCCATCAACACTCTGCACTGGAGTTGGTAGCATATTTTGGTTTCCCTAGTCAAGGGAGGAGAGAGGTAGATAAAATTTAGAAGTGTATAAATACAAAAACAGTCATATAGTTTTAGGGGGGAGAGATGAATTTTGCTTGAAAAAAATCTGAACTATTTTAGATGTTTTTAAAAATATGTTTAAAAACTTCTATTTACAAAAGCTGTATATATTCAGTGTAGAAAACTTGGAAAATATAAGAACAAAGAAGAATTGAAAAATCATCTATATTGTCCCCCTTAAAAGAAACATATAGATAAAAGAAAATAGAAATAAATAAATATAAATCATCTATATTCTTATCCATTACTCAGAATTAACTACTTAACATTTGAATGTATGTCTGTGCATTTTATATATCTATTATAATATTTATAACATCCTTACATAAATTTATATAAATATGATTTATATATATACATTTGTATATACATATATAAATGTATGATCATAAATATAATTTTATGTCTATATCATTTTCTTTTAGCATTATGTTTTGACTGTTTTTATATGTCCTTAAATATCTTTTTTCCCCTAATGGTTGGTTTCAAAAGATACAAAATATTCTATTTTATGGAAGTGCCATAACTGCCTCCCCCTAATGGACATTTTGGCTGTTCCCAGTATTTTTGTTCTTATAAGTAATGCTGTGGTGAATAGCATTATTCATGAATCTTTGTGATCAACTCTGATTAGTTTCTCAGCTTAATCCAAGAAAAATGTTCTTTCAAGTGTTGGCCTTTTATTGTCTTGTATTTGTGTTGTTGGGCTTTCCATTATTTCCTTACTTAGATTTTTGAGGCCCTAGAAGCCAGAGATTGTATCCACAGGAAATGCTCTTTAATGCTTGCTGCAAATGACATTTAATAAGCATCAAGAATGTGTTGTATAGGCACCAAGATAACTTTACACATATCTAAGTACCTCTCCAGTATGTTCTCCCTAGCTGAAACAATAGCCAGTTGTGTTAAACTTCCAGGAACTTTGTACCCAGTGACATCATGATGACCTGATGACGTCAGTGAGATGAATGAAGAAGGAACTATTGCAGGAGGCTACAGAGCCTGTCACACTTTTGTTCCTGCCAGACATTGAGGACTATACTTTAGTGTAGAAACCTCCTTCTACTATGTAACTCAGAAATTCTGCTACCCAAACCCTTTTGATTTTGAGATGGCTGACAATTAATGATATGCTAAATGGTGTACATAATAAACACTGGACCGCAGGGTAAAAGATCTGGTCTTTACCTAGCCCTCCCAGTTAGCAGCAATTCTACTTTGGGCAGTTCACTCTCTGGGTCTCAACCTCCTCATCTATCAAATGGAAGTAGTCAAACTTGCTCTTGGAACCTCATATGATTGTTTAAATGGGAAAGTATTTTCAGTATTATAAAGTACAACAACAGTGTCAAGTTTTAAGAAACTACCAGAGGATTATTACAACCAATCTGAATTTATAGCTAGAAATTTGTAGCTAGAAATGATACGACATCATAGTGTGTAAATACAAAGCAAATTAGGACACAGGCTTATTGCCATCTCCAAGGGGATTATTGACAAGGCATGTGTCATCCATGTAACCAAGTCTCTGCTGGGACACACTTGCAGTAGTCTGTGATATTTTCATTTTGATATACCAACCTTTGGAGGTCCCTTTGCTGGTACAGTTACTCTGGTTTCGAGCTGATTTGGGAAATTAATGGCATTTAAAAAAAAATCAACTCCAGTAGATCAGAACCACGGCAGTTCCAGAGAGGCTGCCTCAGTGATAGGGAGAGGCAAGGGTGATCTGGTAATGGGATTCACAGCCCCTACCCCACCTTTGCTTCATTCAACCAGAGAAGCTCAACCTGTCCCATTTTGGACTAAGGAGTAATCTTTTGCTTGAGCTGAAGAATCGGTGTACACACACATACACACACACAGGCTTGAAACCATTCTAGGAAACGGAGACCCAGTGCACCTAGTGTCCAGGATCCTGTGACTTGCTGGTATCTGACCCAGCTCTGGAGCTCTGCTCCCCAGATCTCTGCATCTTGCACCCCTCCCAGTGAGGCCCTGGAATCTATCCCTGAAGATGCCTTCTAGAAGAATCAGGAAAGACCTGGGACATCTCCAGAGTGAGCCTTGATTCACTCTTCTCTCTGGGTCCTGAACACAGTGTTTAGATGAATGATTTTCTTCATTTATGTTTCATCTGTCCTATTCTGTTGTATTAGTCTGTTCTCATGCTGCTATGAAGAAATACTCGAGACTGGGTAATTTATAAAGGAGAGGTTTAATTGACTCACAGTTCTGCATGGCTGGGAAGGCCTCAGAAAACTTACAATCATGGCGGAAGGTGAAGGGGGAAGAAAGGTACCTTATTCACAGGGCGGCAGGAAAGAGTGAGAGCAAGCAGGGGAAATGCCAGATGATTATAAGGCCGTCAGATCTTGTGAGACTCACTCCCTATCACGAGAATAGCATGGGAGAAACCATCTCCATGATCCAGTCACTTTCCCCTGGGTCCCTCCCACAACATGTGGGGATTATAGGAAGTACAATTCAAAATGAGATTTTGGGTGGGGACACAGCCAAGCCATATTATCTGTCAAAGAACTTGGGTCCCCCACTTAAATAGATAGTGGTGGTGGGGTGGGAAGAAACCTCACTTTTCCAAAAAGAAATACAGGCATTTTTTTTGTTTACAGTCATTTTGTTGTGATATTTATCATTTATGGGATGTTTTAAGTATAGAAAAAATTCTAGTATTATTTTAGGAATGAACTATATTGCTGTGGTACATTAAAATAGTAGTCAAGAGATAAGCAAGGTAATAGTAAGCTAACAGGTCTCATGCAACTAAATCATGTCAAGAATAGTCAGCAGGAGACGGCACCCACCTGAGAAACACGTGGGCTGAGAGAGGAAAACTTCCTAACCTTTGTAATAAAAACCATGCATTTCCTAAGTATTCCGCTGACCCTCCTGCTGACACCCTTCTCGTTGGTGGAGAGTCGCTGATACACGTATACCTAAGGACGTCCCCAAAGCATGAGCATTCTAAAGTGGTCCATGTATTAAGGTATCAGATGTTGATGAACAGAGAGACTGGCATTTAATTACATGGACTCTGCTCATCTTTTATCCTTAGATATAAAGAAGTTATATTTCAGGTTAATTTTCTTAAAGTTTTATCATGGTCTGCTAACAATCAAATATGACTTTGAACAATTCTCTTAACTTGGCTTTAATTTCCTTTTCTGTTAAAGGAGGAGATTGGATATATATATATATATATATATATAAAATTTTAAAATATTCCTTCTAAGGCTGTACCTTCATATTTCTAGTTCTTTGGCTTTAAAGAAGATTTTCTTTCACCCTGTGTTCTCAGGATTAATATATACCTGCCTTGTGTTCTCCATTGGAGGCATGCTTTTAGTATTCCAGGTCTGATGACAAATGACACTCTCAGCATCTAAAATATTAAAGATAAAAGAATGGGTTAGCTGGTTGGGCCCAACAGACATAAGATGTGAGGGCATGCCCGAGTGACCCCCAGCATGTTCTGGATATGCACTCCGCATTTCATCAGCATCTGAGGATGGATGTGCCCTTTGGAAGGAATTTTGAGAGGAAAACAGGTTGTCCTGTGGACCGTGCCTCCCAGGAACTTTGAAGGCCAGGTATCCCCTTGTTTATCTGGAGAAGCAACACATCCCAGTTTGTGGTAGTTATATCTATCCGCTGGAACAATTAGGCCTAAAGCCTATTTTTGCACATGTGGGAATGTACTGGAAGTCCTGCAATAGTTACCAGAGTGACCGGCCAGTGTCTGAAGGAATGAACGTAGTTTCGAAGGCTTTGAGAGAAAGTGTGTGTGTGTGTGTGTGTGTGTGTGTGTGTGTGTGTTCCTCAGCAAAAGAACATGCCCTACTTCAGTGTTTAGAGATGCAAATCATCTTAAATAGGCCAAATGCAGGAAATGAAACAAGTTCCTTAATTGGTAAAAAGCCCACTTCCTTGTGGGATCAGTAATTTGGCTTGGGAATGCACACATTCCAGCATCCTTGAAATTGAAAGAAAAAAAAATAGGTGAATTGATTCACATTTGGTGCTCTTATGCCATTATTTCAGTAGGAAATGTGGGTTATCATTTCATTTGACAGTTTTGATTTCCAAAAGAGAAGGACCAAATGCAAATTTTTCTCCCTTCTCTGGAGACATAGGCGGACTTTTAACATCAAGAGATGTACATACCTCCCCTGACAACACATTTCACATAAGCAGTATCAGTCTGCCCTGTCAGTGGTTCTGTGAAGCTGTTTATTTCATCCTACTGTTCCTATTGTTGACAAAAATGAGGGATGTTCATTTCTTCTAGTGATGTGGGCTTTAACTATTTCTGTCACGAGTGCAGTGTGCCTATCTAACCTGAATTCTGCTTACCATTCATTTCCTGAAGTTGTCTTTACTAGCAGGGTAGAAGTTACAATATCTAAATTTAAGTTGCTGACCTTTATTTACTTCAGAATAAGCAGTTGACTTGTGAGTTTATGTTTGATAGCTAATCATGCATTCTGCTTTTTATTAAAATACCCATAACATCTGCCACCACACCTTATTTGTAAAACTGCTATAATACTGGAAACTAAGAACATACCAATGATCATTCACATCTTGAGTAGGAATGAATGCTGTTACCTGTGTCAACAGAAAATCTTGTGTCAGTAATCAGCTCATGGCTAGACCACAGAAACAGTATGATAGCAAGATAGGCAGGAGACAGAAGGTGGATTTCACCTTCCTGGACTGCATACCCTGACATCAGAGACTTTATACCTGTCCCTACAATCAGAATATCTGGCAGTCACCACCCAACCCCGCACCACAAAGAAGCCGCATTTTGTGCTGATCAGAGCCATCCATTGCCCTCCCAACAGTATTATCTTTCTGTAGGAAATTTAAGAAACTATACTTTCCAGTATTAAACATCCCACATCAGATAAGTTGGGGATTCATTTATTAATCTGTAATAATATGCCTTTTTGGTGGGGGAGCCAAATTAATGGAACAAAGTCAATGATCAAAAATACTATCATTGAAGACTTTGATAAGTTGGTTAACAGTAAAATCGGTACAAATAGTGGAAACAAACAAAACTCTGCTCTAGAAATAGTCTTGTGGCTTTTAAATTTTTAAGCAATGAAGGCGAAAGACCTACAAACAACCGAAACTATCTGAACAGGAAATAAAATAAAATAAAATAATTGCTAACAAAGGAATAAAACGCATGCTGACCTCAGTCATACCTTTCACTGCTAGATAATGATGTAATGGCCAGAGAACTCTATTTGGTAGGGAGGGAGGGAGGTAGATAGATAAAATCATATATTCAAGAACACACAAAATAACAGTCCATGGATCTTTCCTGGAAAAGTCACTTAAAGATATACAGAAGATGGCTGGGCGTGGTGGCTCACGCCTGTAATCCCAGCACTTTGGAAGGCCAAGGGGGGGGCGGGGTGTATCACCTGAGGTCAGGAGTTCAAGACCAGACTGACCAATATGGCAAAACCCCGTCTCTACTAAAGATACAAAAATTAGCCGGGCATAGTGGCATACACCTGTAGTCCCAGCTACCCAGGAGACTGAGGCAGGAGAATTGCTTGAACACGGGAGGCGAAGGTTACAGTGAGCCGAGATCGTGCTGCTGCGCTCCAGCCTGGGCGACAGAGCGAGACTTCATCTCAAAAAAACAAAAAGGATTTACAGAAGATGACTGAAAAATTAAAATGAACTTAAATTGGAAAGATGAGTTATAAAAGTACTATAGTATTGATAGGAAAATGAAAGTTTAAAAAGATACTTTAAAATGTAGTATAAATGATAATTCACTAATAGCAATATAGATCTAGAACTCATTAAGATCAGAGACAAGGGTGACAGAAGCACACATGTGCAAAGTTCCTTAACTTACTTTGAGGCATGGGGGAGGAAATAAGAATAAATACTGTATTTCTTCTCAACTCATTAATTAAAATATGCATGCATGTGTGTTTTTTAAACATTTTAGAATAAAACTTACTAGCATGAAAAGCAATTATTTCCTTTTATGTTACTGAAGAAAGAAAAGTAACCATCCAGCAAGGAATTAAAAAATTACCAACTTTACTTTGAAATATAAATGTGAAAAGTTGGTAGAACAGTGTAAGAATTATTTACTGTGAATTTTTGGGATTCTAAGAGTGCTGATTAGTTTAATATTATAAACACTGTTAATACATCATAGCAGCGTGTCAAATGTTCATCTGAATAGACATTGAAAAAGCCCTTGATAAAATTAAACATCCATTTCTGCTAAAAATTATTTAGAAAATGAGAATGAATTGAGAAATCCATAATGTAGAAAGACATCTAATTTAGACTAATGGCCAATGTCTTACTTTAGTGAAATACCAGAAGCATTTTGTTAAAATCTTTCCCCATTAATATAACACTTTATGCTACACATTCTTTGCAGTCAGATAACACATAAAATGGAAACAAAATATATAATTCAAAGATGGTAAAATTTGTTATATTCATATGACATAAAGAATCTAGAAAATCCAAGAGAATTCAGTGAATAAGTTCTAAAATTAATAATGAAGTAGGTTGTATACAAGATGGATATATAGAAGTTAATGCTGTTGTATATTACCAACTATGACAAGTAAGAAATGATAGTGGGAGAAAGGAGTGATATTCTGTGACAGCATTCCATGCCCTTTTCCCATAACCCCACCCCCACTGCCCACCCTCCAAAAGGGCAGAAAATATCATGCTTTGAAATAACCAGAAGACTTGAAAGGGATTGCTATGAAAACACAACAAAACTTTATTTGAAAAGTAAACTGTTATGAATAATGGAAAGATGTGTCCTGTTCATTGGAGAAAAGGCTAAATATTGTTATTTTCCCCAAATTATAGTTGTGATGGTACTTTCAATTAGACTTTTCATGAGTATGTATATGTGTGTTTAACTGTTTTCTTTATTGCAAACACTGAATGCACTCTGTCTGGTTTAAGCAGGGGAGGAATTATTAAAGTATATTAGGTAGCTCACAGAATTAGTATTAGTACCAGAGAGTGAGCATTGGAGGCCAAATACCCTAGAAGAACACCCAGCCCACACCATGGCACTGTGCCAGAGCAGGTCCAGCTCCTGCTGCTCCTGTTCTCTGGGTTGCAGAAACTCTTGACACTGATGCTCCCCAAAAGGAATGCCTCTACTGCCACTTCTGTCATCAAAATTGATTTCTTTGGCAGGTCTTCTTATTATTGCATTGTTTCAAGCCAAAGTTGAGTTTAGCTTAAAAACTCAAAAAAAACCTAGTCTATATTCTAACTGCAAGGAAAGTTGGAAAAGTGGGTGGTGGCATCAGCCCTGCAGAGGCAGGACTCGGCTCACGATATGGGAAATTCCTCTTACGTAGGGAGGTTGCTTAGAAGATAACTGGAGGCCATAAAGATGACAAATGCTTACAGTGGTAACTTGATGTAATGACCCCAAGGTACATCTAGAAAACTCAGTAGATACAATTAGCCAAATAAATCAGTGAGTTGGACCTGACCTACCTGAGATTAACACATATCAGAAAGTGACAATCCAAGCATTCATATATGAATAAGAACAGGAAGGAATGGATGAAGATATGTTGAAGAAAACATCACAAACCACTGCAAAGGAAATAGTTTAATCAACAGATGATACTGGGAAAAGTATATGAAAAATACTTAAGGTGAGCTTCTTTCATACTATATATACTAAAATGATTCATATGGCTTTTAAATTACCTGTAAAAATTAAATGCTAAAAAGTAAAATTAATATATAGTTGAACATTTAATATATTTAGGATGGAGAAATAATTTCTGAGTATGAAAAAGTAGAAGAAATCACTAAAAGGAAAAGATTGATAATAGAAATTTAAAATTCTGTAAGTTAAAAAATACTGTAAACAAAACTAATACACTAACAAATAACTTAGGACATATCTACAAGAAGTATAATGGGCAGAAGATCAATATTGTTAAGTCATAAAGAGCTTTTTTTAATGAACGTATGAAAATACTACCCCCTAAATAAATAGGCAAAGGACATGAACGGACATCTCAGAAAAGAAATAGAAATGACAGATAAACAGATGAAAAGTTCAACCTCTTATTAATCAAATAAATGTACATCAAAATGATGAGACATCAGTTTCCACTTGATTTGCAAATATTAAACAGCAAACATGGTAATATTCATTTCTGATGATGGTATATTGAAATGGATATTTTCACTACATTAATGTAAATTTACAATGGTTTTAGCGAGCAGCTTGATACTTTATGTCAAGAGCCCTAAAAATAGTTCACATGACTTGAACTATTATTTGCATTTTATGAAATATAATTTAAGGAAATAATCAGAAAAGTACTCAAATGTATATTTTAGGATGTTAATTGCAGCATTAATTTGTAGTAGTACAGAATTGGAAACACCCTAAACATTAAATACTAAGAAGATTGATGGTTAAATTGTAGTCCATCTGTATAATGGAATAATTTGTAGCCATTTAAAAATCACATTTTTGAAAAATATCTAATAGCATAGGAAGATTGTAATTATAACCTAATTATAAAGAGCAGGACACAAAACAGTATGGTTTATGATCTAATTTGAAAGTATATTTGTATATACGTGTATACACTGTCAAAAAATAAAGACACTACAATATTACATTAGGATTATCGATTTCATTTTTATACTTTAATGTATTTTGCAGATCCTCTGCCATGATCATCTGTTAGAGTCAGATTTTAAAAAGTTATTTTAAAGGTGAGCAGTTCTTTTCCTATGGATTTTAAACGTTTCACCAGAAAAATTCATGTGCATATTGCTTTCACCCTCACCATCTGCCTCAGTCTAAAACAGTTAAACAGTTTTATGTGTAGCGTTTTCCAACATTAGTAGCAGTACTAAAGTTATCCCCTCAGTCTAATTTGTCCTTAGTCAGCCCCATGGTAGTGCTGGGCATATGCTACTATCTTTTACCTAACATCCACCTAGAAATGTATATGTCTGCTGGAGGTTAGTGTATGATCTGAATGAAGATTGGAATGAGTTTTTTTTTTTTTTTTTCGTTCCTTTTTAGAGAGAGTTTTGCTCTGTCATCTAAGCTGGAGTGCAATGGCATGATCGTGGCTCCCTGCAGCTTTGAACTCCTCAGGCTCAGGTGATCCTCCCACCTCAGCCTCCTTAGTAACTGAGAACTACAGGCGTGTACCACCATGCCTGGCTAACTTTTTGTATTTTTTTGTAGAGACAGGGTTTCTCCATGTTACCCAGGCTGGTCTTGAACCTCCTGGGCTCAAGTGATCCACTGACCTCAGCCTCCCAAAGTGCTGAGATTACAGGCATGAGCCACCACACCTGGCTTTGGAGTGTTTTTTTTATGACATGCATTGCTGAATAAAAATGTGATTGGTGAGGAGTTGAGTTAATTAATGTAAAATATTACAAAACTATTTAGCAGAAGTTTGTCATCTTTATCTTTTAGAAAAAAAAAGTAAATTAAAAATGGCCTAAGAAACATTGTTCTCCATTAGGATTCCAAAATGATAAATCTGCTAGCCTATAGGGGAAAGGTCAAAATTTTGTTTTGCTGTAACTATATGTCATAAAATATAAAAGCTAAGCACTCCCTTAGGCATTATCTCACACATTGTTCCACTTGCTAGCACATTTTTAAGTTTTTAAAATCATACTATGAAATGATTAGCTATTATAACATTTGAAGTTTTTTTATTTTTGAAATTATAATTTAATTAATAACCAAATGTAGATCTTGTTATTTATTATCTTTATTACATGTCTTGGTAAAACAGAGCCAGGAATTCCTATTGTAGTAGTCCTGGGAAACTAGTCCAGGTGTAACATTGCCCATGATTAATTGGTGATGTACTCAGGCCTGACACCATCCCACTCTACTGCTCCACTGTGGGAGATGCACCTTGATTGCCCAGTGGCCTAATCTAATCCAATGACCTCTTTCTGGGAAAGAAAAAAAAAATTGAGCATGAGCACCCTGCAGGATTTGATACCAGGAACCATTTCCAATTTCTTGAGTAGTTGTCTTCTCTTGCTTCCTGTGGTGCTTGCTTCTGTATTTCTGTTCTTGTTGGCTCCTTTTGCTTCTTGTGCCATTTTAACTATTGGAATCCCTTGGATCACATTCTCTGTCACACTTAATTGTGGCATAAACTCTTTTACCAAGGTCCTCTCTTTCATGCGTGTGCCAGTTTTTCCCACAGCTTTCTCTTGGGTCTGAACCTTTCTCCTGAACACAGATGCATGTGTCTGTTTACTAATAGTCTCTCCATCTGATTGTGTCCTACCAGCACCTCAAATCCAGCTGTTACCCAATAACAAATTTATTTTCTCCAATTTCTGTTTATTCTCTCTGTTATTAGCAACATCATCCACCTTGTCACTCAAACTAGAAATCTCAGTATCATTTTTTGTTACACCCTCTCTCCCACTTTCCCTCTGAAAAGTGTTTTATACCTGACCCCCCTCCCCAGTGCCACAGCCACTGGTTCCAGGATGTTTCAGTGACAGAGAACTGGGAGCCTGCTTTGGCACTTCCTGGGCTCCACCTCCATCAAATCTCTCTCAGACATCGAAGCTCATTTTTTTGAAAGACATGAACTTAATTATGTCTTTTACCTAATGTAAAACATTTCATGGTTCATCATGACATACGGGAGTATAGTGGTTATTAAAGTGATTCCCAGATGAGCAGCAGCATCCATCGCCACCGCCACAGACTAGTTAGCAATACAAACTCTGAGGCTCCAACCCAGATCTACTAAGTAAGTAACTGTGAGGGGTGGTGCCCAGCACTCTGTGGTCTAACACATTTTCAAGGTGATTCTGATACACTCTACAGTTGGAGAATTAACTGCCCTGTAGGTTCTAAAGCCTGGCTGTGCATTTGAGTCACATGTGGAACTTAAAGACATACCCAGACCCAAGGCCAATTAAGTCAGAAACTTAAGGTGTCTGGCCTGGTCTGGCCTATATCTTTTTAAAAGCTCCCCAGAGATTTTGATACAGAGTAATGGTAGAGAACAACTTAAACTGTAAAATTCACTTTTTTTTTTCCAGCAGAATCTAAAGTAGTGTTTCTGAAACTTGAATGCACACTGGAGTCACCTGGGAAGCTTTAAAAATGACTGATGATTGCCCTCCACCTCCCTCCCCATTCTGATTTAATTGGTTTGCAGTGTGGCTTGGGCTTTGGGGTTTTTTAAGTTCCCTAGGCTATTTTAATGTGAAGCCAAGGTTAAGATCACTGTTCTAAAGCTAGGATTCAGAAACACTATTGTGCCTAAGAAGCGCCTGGAGTACTTGATAAAAGTAAGGGCCCCACTCAGGTGACGAATCACCTGGAGTACTGCCCTAAAGAGTATTGCCAGCTGGCCCCTGACTGTTGTAGTTACGCTTTCATCCATCCACTTTGCTCCTCACCATTCACTGCTCTGCCTTAATTTCCTACAACTCCCCGTCCATAACATCAGATTACTTCACTTTACTTAAGTGTGTCTTGCTTAAATCACTGGAAGGAAGTGTAGGTTATTCAAGCCAATAAATTGTCCTGAATCAATTGATTAGCCATTTGGAAAAGCGGTAAGCCAGACTGCTATCTTGCTCCTTATAAGAAATAAGCCCCATATAGATTTTAAAAAATGAATTAAACCATAAAAGTACTAGGAAAAGGACAGGTGCAGTGGCTCATGCCTATAATCCCAGCACTTTGGGAGGCCGAGATGGGTGGATCACCTGAGGTCAGGAGTTTGAGACCAGCCTGACCAACATGGTGAAACCCCCTCTCTACTAAATACAACAAAATAGCTGGGCGTGGAGGTAGGCGCCTGTATTCCCAGCTACTAGGGAGGCTGAGGCAGGAGAATCGCTTGAACCTGGGAGGCAGAGGTTACAGTGAGCCAAGATCGCGCCATTGCACTCCAGCCTGGGCAACGAGGGCAAAACTCTTCTCTCAAAAATAAATAAATAAATAACTAGAAAAAAATGTGGATACATTTGGAAAATAATTTGGGATTGAAGAAGGCCTTTCCAAACAGATAAAACACCTAAAAGCCATAAAGGAAAGTGGTTGACAAATTTGATTAGATAAAAACTTTTCCACAGAAAAGTTACCATAAGTAACATTAAAAGATAAACACAGATGAGAAAACCAGTCTTCAATATATTGACAGGGTTGCCTTGATGTGAAAAAAAAAAAAAAGTAACAATAAAAGACTAACAGAAGAACTCAGTGGAATGAAGTACAAACTCTGGGTAGTTTGTACAAAAAGAAACACAAATCGTCAGTTAACATTAAAAGATGCTCAGCTTCACTCATAATCATCTGAAGAAACATGAAACGTTATATGAGGTGATGGCTATGTTAATTAGCTTGATTGTGGTAATCATTTTATAATTGTATAGCAAAACATTATATTGTACACCTTAAATATGTACAATTTTTGTCAAGTCAATAAAGCTGGAAATATATATTTATATATTTATATTTATATTTATATCTTTATATATATTTATTTTATATTTATATTATATTTATTTATATTTATATATTTATATATAATATTTATTTATATTATATTTATATTTATCTAAATATATATTTATTTATATTTATCTAAATATATATATTTATTTATATTTATCTAAATATATTTATTTATATTTATATTTTTATATTTATATTTATATATTTAAATATATTTATATATTTATATAAATATATATTTATATAAATATATTTATATATTTATATATTTTTATATAAATATATATATATATATATATATATATATATATATATATATGGCAATCTGATGTTATCTGTCAAATTACCAAAATCTGAAAAAATTTAGTATTGGCAAGGTGGAAGGTAGACAGCATCCTATATGTCACTAGTGAAAATATCAGTGCAGTGTCTTTGGAGAGCAATTTAGCGAGAAGGACCAAAGTGAAAAGTGCACTGTACTCAACTGTACCCAAAGTTTTGCTCATAGGAATTTAGCTCTTGGAAGTACGTAAATATTTAGAAGATATTCATTGAATCTTCAAAACACTAAAATTAGTATAAATATTCATTCATAAAATACTAAGTAAATGATGCTAACTGAAATATTGGGATATTTGGTGCTGAAAGGTGATAATAGAGATTTAGATGGGCTAACACAGAAAGTTATAGATAATTAAAAAATAGCAAATATAGAACTTTATATAAATAATAGAGCATTATATTTGATGTAGTATTTTGGGAGGAATTTTTTTATACACATATGCTTGTGAATATACACATATTTCTAGATAGGTACATACCCTATCAAAAGAGGTCACTTCTGAATTGTAGGACTGGGCATGGGGAGGTGGAGGTGGGGACGCAAAGTCTGGTACAGAGCCTGACACAAGTGTTTGAATGAACCAGTGAATAACAGTCAGAGGTTGAGAGAGGTTTTTTGGCTTTATCGTATGTCTACTTGAATCATTTGAATTTTTTTCCATGTATATATCATTGCTCTTGTAATAAAAATTAAAACATGTAAAAATGTGCAGTTCATTTTTGGGACTCTGTCCCTTCATTTTCCTCTGCCTCAAAGCCTCCTTTCCTTTCACTTTTCCTTCTAGATGCAGATCGAAGGTTGCCCCTGCAAAGCTATCCATTATTTTCTCTGAATTCACATCTTCCTTAATTTATCCTTACCACCATGAACACAAAGTTCCACATGCTGGGTCTCTCTTCCTTGCCTCATGGGTTAGAGGCTTGTGGTCAGGGATGGTCTGATTCAGCCTTCTTTCTGCAAAGGCTACCAGGGGTCTGCAAAAGGGGAGGGAAAAGTGGCAGTACTTTACTGTCCAGCTTCTTAGCGCTAGTCTGCCTTAGAGTCGTCACACCTGACCTGACGTACAAAATAATTCACCATTTCTAACCCCTTGAGTATTCTCAGAATACGAAGCTTTGGCTTCATTAAACACAGCCTTCAGAAAGGTTAGCATTCCATTGCATCCATTGTCACTGCCAAGATCACTTGAAGGAAGCCCCGGGTATCATTTGTCTTTGACTTTCTGGCCCTAGCAAAGTGTCCAGCATATATTAACTCTGCATAAGTGCTTTCCAAATGATTTAAAAATTTTAAATATGTGCCTTTTATGTACCTACTTTTTCATTCAAAGAGGGATTTAAAGACCCTGTCATGTTCTTTAAGAGAATAATCACAACTTTTTTTCTCCCATCTCAGTTCGTCCCAGAATACCTGAAGGATTCAACACCTTGCAATAGTAACTGTGGCTGTGTAAGGTAGTGATTCTCTGAAGGTTGACATTTGTGCATACAGAATCTCAAGAGTTGTGTGTGGCTTAAAACAAGCTCCACTAATCACACTTATCAATTATTTTCAGATTGTCTACTAAAGATATCATGGATGCATGTACAGAACATAAATGAAAGGACCGGAAAGGCCATGTTCCTATTATGTATAAAGGCAAATTATGTTTTATGCAAGAAGGAATGATAAGAATTAGAGTGAATACTCTTAGTTTTGCTTCTGATAATCAGTTGTTGAATCTAGATCCCGTGCCTTGATTTTAACTGTCCTAATAATTTTAAATATTATAATATTACATGGACCGTATAATAGGCATTCTGCCTCAAAAAAAATGAAAGCAAGCATGAGATGCACAGATTTTAAGTCAAATATTCATGTTTGTTAGATATGATTAAAATGAAAACTGGTTTGAACAAACATGAGTAAAGTTGATAGTGAAAATGTAAACATTATGGTTAATTAATGTTTTCTTTAATTATATATATTATATAATATAATATATAATTGTATATATTATATAATATATATAATTGTATATATTATATAATATAATATATAATTGTATATATTATATAATATAATATATAATTGTATATATTATATAATATAATATATAATTGTATATATTATATAATATATAATTGTATATATTATATATTTTTTTTTAACAGAGGTTTTAAATCTTAACCCAGGAACACAGGAGCAATAGAAGCTTAGCATGTGGGGAGAGGTTCCTATTTTAGAGGGAAGGGAAAACTGTGCATATAATTGGGTAAGAGTAGCAATAGGATTTGGGGTGGGGGAGGTTATGTACGTGCTTAACCCAGGAGGATACCTGTGGGCATTTGGGACTTCTGGATAATTGACATGGTATGATATACTATTTGTTTGGTTTGAAAGGGAAGGAATTTCAGGTCTTAATGCTGTTTTGAGAATACTTAGAGGTCAAAGTGAGGTGAATGTAAAACAGGCATCGAACTAGTATGATTGAGACAAGGAAGAAGAGATGCTGAATTATGGGAGAAAATAGGGAAGTGAAAAAAAAATATTAAGACTTCCTGGTTCAGAGCTCTCAGGGACAAGTGGAAGCTTAGAACATGATTTACAGTATACAAGAAATTCTAAGGCTATGGTTCTCAACCCTGGCTGCACATTAGAATTATCTCATTTAAATGGGGTGGGCCAACTTCACCACTATGTAATATATCTCTGTAAGACAACTGCACTTGCACCTCCAAAACTATAAAAATAATTTTTTTCAAATGTTGACATATATAGTATTTTATTTTTAAATATTCTAGTGTGATAAAGCATACTTTTGTGAAAATAAAATTTCTATGCCCCAGACATTATATGGAAAGCTAATGTTGTGTAAATAAGATGGCAATTTTTCTATTACTTGTAATGACATTTTAAATGTGTTTCAGAAAGTGCCTGGGATTAATCACAAAGGGAAAAATAATAACTTGACAGTGAGGAACTGGTGGACACCACCTTAGCCACGTGACCAAAGTTATCAATAACAGGATAAAATCAATCTCATGTACCTCTGGATATGTTACACTGAGAAAGATACTTCATCACTTACATGATATTGCTCCCCCACAAATTTCATAACCTGAATCTAGTTATAAGGAAATACTATGCAACCCAAATTGAGGGACATTCTGCAAAACAACTACCTGTAATCTTTTTTTTTTTTTTTTTTTTGAGACGGAGTCTCACTCTGTCGTCAGGCTGGAGTGCAGTGGCGCGATCTCAGCTCACTGCAACTTCTGCCCCCGGGGTGCAAGCGATTCTTCTGCCTCAGCCTCCTGAGTAGCTGGGACTACAGGCACACGCCACCACGCCCAGCTAATTTTTGTTGGGGTTTCACCATGTTGGCCAGGATGGTCTCCATCTCTTGACCTCGTGATCCACCCACTTTGGCCTCCCAAAGTGCTGGGATTGCAGGCGTGAGCCACCGTGGCCAGCCTACCTGCAGTCTTTAAAAGTGTCAAGGGCATTAAGGCAGAGGTACAACTGAGGAACTGTTTCAGACTGAATGAAACCAGAGAGACACAGCAACTAAATGCAATGTGAGATGCTGGATCAGATACTAAATCAAGAGAAGAGAATAGCTCTAAAGGACATTATTTGGACAATTGGTGAGATTAAATGTAAATATGGAGTGCAGATTAGATAATAACATTGTATCAATATTGTATTTCCTAATTTTGAAAATCAGACTGTGGGCATGTAAGAGAATGTCCTTGGTCATATGGCATATATACAAAAATTTAGAGTTATAAGACCATGTTTCTGACTTATTTAAATAGTATTAAAATCCAAATTTAAAAATATGGAGAGAAATAGTAATAAAGTAATTGTAAATGTTAAACAGGTGAATCTGAGTAAAGAGAGCAGAAGCTCTCTGTACTATTCTTACAACTTTCCTCTAAATTTGAAATATTAAAATAAAAAGTCACCAAAAAGGGAGGTTGGGATAGGGCCTGGGTGTTAGCATTTTTAAAGCTTCAAAGGTGATTCTGATATGCAGTTCCCATTGACACCTGTTTATTGATCTAAGGAAATGGAGGAAATGAGTGTGAGAAAAATATTAGAGGAATAAATATCTACAGGCCAAGAGTTTCCAAGATTTCCTGTGTGGTTTGTGGGAACTGAAAAGTCAGAATTCTGATTTGATAGATTCTTGGCACATCACGTATTATTTTATTATGAAGCAACAGGGTTAAATGCCTTTGATCCTTTAAATCTGAACACACTTCTGAAGCTAGAAATTGAAAAATGATTAACTTAAAAGGAAAAGGAAAACACCTTTGCACATATTTTGCTTCTTCCAGATGGAATTCATGTCTACCAGAGGCAAACAAAATGTTTAGCATTTGTTAAATGGGGCCACATTAAATTTAGCATTTATTTTTTAACTAAGAGCCAAAAGAAAGAGATTTATAATAGAGAATACCTTTAGATGGCATTTAGAAAGTTATATGGATATGTGTTTCATTTAAATACTTTCTCTTTGACTAGAAATTACTCAGCAATTGAAACAAACAGTCTGAGAAAAACCCATTTCCTGATAATATCCACCCTTCTTCTAGGAAAAAGGGGGAATTCTTTGTATCTAATTATGTTAAGGAATTAAATCCCTTCATGTAAGATAGAAAAAAAAATACGAATGCATTAGGTTACATTCTTTAACTCAGAGTTTTATCCAGATTCAGTCTATAATTAATTATGTAAGATTAATAGAATGAATCAAGTTTCATGAAATTGCATGATGCTTAGGAATATCTGTTACAGTGGCTATGTTCTTACCTCCCTTCCTTGACCTTACAAATGCTACTCAGTAACTTTAAACAAGGGGTAAAAGTAATCTCTTCTCTGTTGCTAGGAAGGTGAATTACTGTAGATGGGAGGAAAACATGCAACTTAAAATCAACTTTCTTCATCACTCTTGACATTCACCAGTCTTTACTTGGGATCACCTTGAGATGTGACATCAATTCAGAGTAATAAGGAAGGGTCAGTGAAAAGCTAAAACATTCTCAAGAACCCATTTTAACACATCTCCAAGGGATTCCTGTCAATGCCACAGCATTTCAAATACAGTACACAAGTTCCAGAGAAACAGCTTCATGAAATGGAGACAATAGGTATCTGTGCAAGTCTTATGACAAGAAATTGACCTCTTATTGGGTCTCTCTTCCACGCCCTACATGTTTTTCTTTCTATAACCTCATCAGTCATTCCTTAGAAAACATTACATGTCCGTTTATCAACAGTCTATTGTGAAACAGTACATTTTCTGTATACTGTTGTCACTGGCAGGGTTTTCTTAAAAAGTAAGTATGTTTAAGAGCTTTGATTTAAGAAAGTTTCTTTGTCACATGGATAAGGATCCAGAATTGATTTCATGAAGTGAGTTTGGAGTTGGATATACACATCTGTATCTATCAGTAGATGTTTAGCTCTTTACATTGTGTTCACCTATAATCTGTTCTAGCAGATAGCTCAAAGCCCTGTGCATAACAAGAACTTAATAATTATTAAAGTAGAAAAAAACTATTTTCAGTTTGCTGTATAACAGGGATGAGATTAGACACTGAGAACTCAAAGTACACTTTTTGTGTATCTAGATATATAACTGGAGTTTATCCCTTACCATCACTTACAGTTATAAATTATTTAGAGAAAGAGAGAAATGGAATATTGTCTGCCTATTGTTATACTCCATTTAGTTTTACTTATCGGGACAGGAGACAGAATGATTAAAATGATCATTATCCAAACTTTAATATCTAGCCTGTAGAATTTTCCTTCTCTACAAATATTTTACTTAGCATTGTTGACTGGTTTGAATGTCTGAAATAGATTAGGGCCATGAAATTCATTATGCACTAAATAATATGAGATTTAAAAATGTTATTTGCTCTAATGTACAATAAGAAAATTGTAACGGGATTCTTAAATGTTTAGGTAGTCTAAATGTTACATATGAGAACTGCAATTAAATGTAACATCGTTACATATAATTGCATAATCGTGGACTATGAGCACATTTAATATATTTGAAATTATTTTATGTGGAGCTTCCATAAGTAAAAACGACTAAAGCTTGCCCAGGTGTTCAAGTTTTGCCCTTAATTCTCTCTCACACTGATGAACCATATTCTCCCTCAGTCTTCTCCATCTCAATTAATGCCACCATATACCCATTTGCTTCTAAAATCTTGAAGTCTTCTTTGTGTTCTTTTCCCCTTTATTCCACTCAGTTCCATTTTTCAGCAAATCCCGTTGGCTCCGCTGCCAAAACATAACAGCTCTTCAATCACCCTATCTAAATCACCATCTCTCTTACCTTGTCTGTGCTGGTAGCCTCCTAACTCATCCCCCTGCTTCCACTCTTGCCTGCTTAAAGCCCACTGGCCACAGAACAGCTAGAAGGCTCTTTCTAAAACGTAAATAAAATCATGTTATCCCTCTCTATAGAGTAGATGATTAGTAAATATTTGTTGGCTCAATCAGTCAAGCAGTGAGTAATGGTGCTATAGCTATGGAAGGGTCAATAAGACAGGGACAGGAAAAACCAAAGATTCAGGGAGCCCAGATTATAAGAAAGCCTTGATTCATTGTGTATAATTCTGTCTTTACTTGAAACTTAAGCATATGAGTCTACTTCTATTGATTGGCCTGCCTGTGAACACTTGACAACTTACCCAGAGAATTCCACTGACGGCCAATCAAGGTTTTTTTCTTGGCCACTTAGAGTCGAAACAGCTGCCCAGGTTTAATTAATAGTCTACAATTATATCTGGAGAGGAGCCAGTTTGAGACAGGTGTCTAAATGAAAGGGAGATTCCTAGCTCTCTTCATGAGTCACCTGTCTGGGTCTGGTGAGATAGACTCAAAGTTCTCAGGGGGAACGGAACTGTTATTTTAGAGTTCACTCAGGTTGAGGTTCCTGCATCGTGTTCCAGTGCCCACTTTATCTGTTGGTATTCATCATACAAGGAGATCCTAGGTTTGATTCTGTGAAGTTTGGTTTCAGGGTTTTTAAGCAGTGTCCATTTGCCAGGAATCTCCAACAAAGCAGTAAGAAACACAGCACTGATTGTTATGGTGCAAATGTCACAACTCATTTAAGGGGATCATCAAGTAATGACAACAAAGATTCAAATGGGGGCTTACTCTTTGATCCACCAGGAGTTTAAATAGCAATTATCATTAATTCTTGGATTCCTCCAGTCCTGATAGAAATTCAAGCTATCAGAAACTATCATTTCACAAACAGACAGCTATTAAAAGCACATTAATAATCTATAGAGGGCATAGCATATGCCTTTTAAAAAGATTTGCAGCTTGCTTCTATGTGGCAAAGACACAGGACTTCTCCAATCTAATTACAAAGCAATCAAACAATTTAATTAATCTGGAAATCACTTTCTTAACAATAGCTGCTGCTAAAATGAGGCACCCTGTGTAGTGCCGTTAGGTAAAGTATGTTTTTCCTACACTGTTTATGTATTAGCCATGCTAGTTCCCCAGGGGGATCATGGAGTTAATTACCTACCTAATGCCTGACCACTACTAAGGTTTACTTTACCAGGTCAGAAACATCAGCAGCGATACCAGCAGTCTATAAAGTGTCCTAGCACTCAAACATCCAAGAGCCAGCAAATCCCTGGGAGCAGCAGGATTTTAGTTATAAGCAAGTGCTGCACATATGGGCAGAGAATTAACTGGCACCAGTTTTCATTTGGGAGTCTCTCAGGTATTGCTTTGCAGATGGGTGGATGAATTCAGAGAGCAGTGCTATGAGGAGTGAAGGTCATGTATAAGACTCGGGTTTCACTCCTTCTTACTCTCATCCTGGGGAAGCACTGTGCATGTGCACAGCAGTCAAGTCCTCATCGCTGAGTTTAGAACATATAACATGTGCTTTATAATTTGGCCTGTTCTAAATTAGCAGTATTTTGATCACTGTATAACAAAATAGTATTGCTAAGTCTTCAGAGACTGAGTAGGAGTCAATTTTTATTTCAAATAAGAACAAAGACTTCAGAGATTGACTTCTACCTGCCTAATCTGCTAGTCTTATAATTCCTCCCTAAGGAAAATGGAGGAATTTCTGTAATAAGTAACACAGAAGTCTATAGAATGCTCATTGACCCTTTTCTTCTGTTACCACCACGACTCCATTTCTCTCCCAAAATTTCCTATTAGAGGGTCAGTCATTTTCCCAATCTACCCACATTGGAAACATCAGTCACTTTTTTAGCCTGTATCCTTTTTCACTCGTTTCTAATCTGCTAACGACTATGCTTGGTTTGCCCACCAGAATATCCTTTCTCTTGACCTTCCATGTCCTGGTCTAGGTCCCTCCTCCTCTGCTACTCCCCTGGCCACCCATACCAATTACACTCAGGCCAGCTTAGAACCTCCAGCATCTCTCTCTTGCCTCCAAGTATTTCTTAAAGCCTCTAACTAATCAGTACCAATAAACACAGCTCATTGGCTTTCCCAGTCTGAATTCCCTTCAGTCAGAGAAACTGTCTCGATTGCCTTGCCCTACTGTGTTTGGGTTGTTTCTGACTCCTTCCTGAAGTCACCTTCTGTTTCTCCTCTTACCTAAAACCTGCTAAACTGCCCTGAAATTGAGCTAGAGTCCCTTGTCCTTAAGGAATTATCAGTTGCTCTAGCCCACATCACTCTCACTCATTTTCTCTAATATCCTCTGACAGTTAAGAGCCTTAATGATAATTCATATGTGTATGTATATGTGTGTATACGTATATATATATTTGCATTTTAATTTAGCTTTTTGGTCTGACATGAAGCAGAAACATCTGCGATTAGTAAGATAGAACTAACACCTCTATAGTCTTGAAGTTGAAGATGTGGGAATTTAAGTTAGGTTTTACAGCAGTGTAGTAGATGAGAAGAAAATGAGGAAAATGTTCAAGCAATGGACCTAGAAAGGCAGCCTAAGATGCGAAGGCAAAATCTGAATATGGGAAATGGTTAGTGGCAGCCTTGTTTTATTTTTATTATTTTTTTATTTTTTAGAGCAGAGTTAAATTCACCTCTTTATCTATATCTCTGCCCATTCATCCTGAAGATGAAGGGTCAGCATGGGGACCATTCACTAATATCCCTAAAAGTGAAAAGGGTTTTAAGTCAATTCTTTGTTTCTTCTTTCTTCAGATTAAAAAATATATATTAATAAGCTCTCTGTATTGTTCTAGTTGATCACGTTGTAATCTCCAGGTATAGTGTTTTCTTTACAAAGAACACAGGGCTAAGAATTCGGTGCCAGGTTTCATTGGCCTTATGATTTCATTTTGAGTGAATAAGTGTAGCAGGGATTGTTCTTAGAATGTCTTGGCTTCAGATAATCAGTTATTGTGTTACGCCTAATTATTTACTGGTAGTTTGCTCTTTATGGTGTGTGAGCAAATTGAACACTTTTCCCAAATGAAAAACAAAATTTATATGAATATTTCTGGCATTAGATTATTTCCTTTAGGAAACAAAATTTTTAGCCATCTTGAAATTTGAGATTTTTAAAGGAATATGAGGAGAAGTATACAAGCTAAATTAGGGGTGTTGGGAGAGGGGATGAAGGCTATTGAGAGAAGTTGAAAGAACTTAATTTAGCTGTGTGTAGATAAATGGACAAAATGAATCCTGGATTACTGGATGGCAAAAGCAGAATTCATTTCTCCAGGGGCCCAAGGAATAACAGATGCAAAGCCATGATAAATTTCATTGCAGCAGGGGGAAAAATGCTTCATGATTCTCTATCCATAAAGAAATGGGCTTCTCAGCGCTTCCCAGTTAAATGGCTGTGATTGTGCTGTCTGTCTTAAAGTTAATGTCATTTGTTGAAGACATCACTATAAAATTTGCAACCTTCAGTTAATTGAGAAATTTCGGTAGAGATATAGCCAGTCCAAAAGTCCTCAAGGTAACACTAAACTTATCCTCCTTAATGTGTTAGTCTATTCTTTCTGCACACTGGTAATAAATTGTTTCTACCTTTACAGCCATGTACTGACTTTGACATAAAATCTTGTCTTCCTTACACCCAATTACAATAGTCACTTTCATTAAGAAACCAGTAATGTGGCAATTGGCTTGCCCTTAGGGATTAAACATAGCTTCCTGATTTATTTTTCCTTTTTCCTTTTTCTAGAAGGTACAGGATTGCTTTGCAGCCTTTCCTTGCCCACTTATTTAAACCAGCTACAGTTCCATGTGGTCCTCAGACAATTCCGCCAATCTAATTAAACATGCAGAGGGAAGCAGGGTGGTCTGGAGTGTCCTGAACTTGCCCTCGCCAGCTGCTGGCCAAGCTTTCTCAATGATCAGCAGCAGGTTGAGTGGGCTAATGGAGAAAGTAACAAGCCCCAGAGGAGCTGCCCTCCTTCCAACGAGCAATCACTGCCCCACACCACCCCTGAAGGCCTGGGGAAGATGAGCTCTGCCAGCCTTTGTGTGGCTGTGGCTTTTTGAGGCTGCCTGGCCAGTCACAGTCCAGCTGCTTAGGAGCAGAGGGATTGTTGAGGAAAATATTGACAACGGGTAATCCTGCTGAGCCACTTGGCAATGCTGAGATAGATCTGGGTCATTGAGAAATAGGTCCAAACTGCTGTGGTCTTCCCAGTGTTTTACAACTAGTTCTGACACATCCACCTTTAAAATATGTGCTTCAGAATATGAGGATTTATCTTCAGGAACTCAGACTCTTATTCATTCTACTGTAAACAAAAAGTACTAAGGCTGCCTGCTAAAATGGAAAACACCTCCAACTGAAGCATATGCTTACCCATGCATCCTGCTCATTGAAATGTTCGCATCTGGAGGGTCACAACCAAGACTTGTATATATTCATTACTCTATCAGATTGAAATATTTGTATTGTTATCTCCATGCAGGACTCCTGGTTGGTGATATAGCTGAAAGTGTTTATTCATGTGTCTTGCACACTTAGAAAGCTGTGCTGGAACTCATGCTCCCCCATCCCCATCTCCTCCCCACCGCCCACCCCACCATCCCTGGTCCAGGTAAAACTAAAGCATTATTGGAGGAAAGGACATTCTACAGAAATGTAAATAAACTTATTTCTAAGGAGAGAATTATTGATGTGGAAATGATACACAAAATCATGTAGTAAATTTCTCTCTTTTCTCTTTCTCTAGGAAATAGCCCTCAAGATAGTCCAAGAAATTTCTCCCCCAGTGCCTCAGCCCATTTTTCATTTGCACGGAGGTAAGGACTTTTTGTGAGTGGAGGCATAAGGTCTTATAGAGAGAATCCCATTTTCCTCTCCCTCTCCCCACTTCTCCCCCTCCCCACTTCTTCCCGTCCCCACTTCTCCCCCTCCCCACTTCCCCTTCCCCCCACTTCCCCTTCTGCCCCTCCCCACTTCCCCTTCTCCCCCTCCCCACTTTTCCCCCATCTCACTTCCCCCCTCCCCCTCCCCGCTTCTCCCCCTCCCCGCTTCTCCCCCTCCCCTGCTCCATGCCTTGTGAGGTCCTGCTCATTATTCTGTAAGGCCTTCTCCAAAGCCCCACTGGCCAAAGAGCTTAGGCTGCCACAAAGCTTTGTTTTAACACACCTGCTTTAACAGTTTCAAGGCAGCAATTTAGTGATCCCATTGAGAAAAAGCCATGCATGGGCTATAGGATGTTTTCTGCTTTCTCTTCCTATCATGTTTGCAATTGGGCACCAGCCGTCAAAGATAGATGTCTCATAACGGGACCACTGAGTCAAGAGGAAGTGTTTTCATTGTTCAGAGGATAGCAGGCACACAATGTCATGTCACACCATGTTCATTGTGGATTTTCTGCTATGACGTAGCCAAGTCAGAGGAGTGTGCACAGTCATCTCTTCTGTGTTCTGCATGTGAAATTTGTCTGCTTCGCCCTGTCAGATGCAATCCTTCACCTTCCTGGGCTCCTTCATCCCTCTCACATGCATAGCTTGTCCTCCTCTGCCCAGGAAAAACACCGAGAAAACAAAATGGCACCTTCAGCCAAGTTTCTGAATATTCAGGATAAACTCGGTTTATGGTCTGAATGTCCTAGATATTTGTTCAGTTTTCCTCAGAGACCTAACTATATCCTAAAGTGGATTAAAGTAGGACTTAATAAAGACATATAGGTAGGTTAAAAAAAAATACTTGTTCTTACACATGTGACTAACTAGCAAAACTTGCAGTGCCCTCACGACCGTTTGTCAGCATGTCATGCATTTTACGTTACTAAGTCTAGAAAAAAAAGTTGCGGCATTTTCAGAGTTCTGTGTAATTAAGATTTCATTATAAATCTGATGTAAAAAAGTTTGTTCTTTCATAGTTTAGTTGTTTCCCATCATGTGTTAAATGCCTTTATGTATCTCACCATGGGGACAATACAAGAGTGATAAAAACATCATCTCCAGGGAACTTATTGAGACCCATACACTGTTTTTACCCCCAGCTCCAGCTTTTCTTTTTTCAGCTTATTTAGTACTGTAAGAAAATGTACTGGTCCCAGAAAGCCTGTTTACCCAGTGAATATTAATTCATAATAGTGCTACTATTCCAAGTGGAAAGAATATCCTATAAAAATTGATAAACAAGTGTTTACTATAGTCTTTAAAACATATCTCTATAAAGGGGAGAATGCATTTAATTATTATAAGTAATAAGCAAAATGGAAATCTCATGGAGTGCATTTAAACATGACAGAAATCACGGTATCTTAATCCTGGCAGATTTATAAAAATGGAGAGAATCTAATAATTAAATAGGTGACTCAAGGACACGTGAATCTGGTTTCCATGCTATTAAAAAAATACATAACCCCCCCAGGCATGTTAATTTTTGACAAATAAACCATAAACCGTGACAGGAGATTATCACAGGAGACCTCTAGTTCATTTTGCATGAATTTCCGAATGGAACTCCCTCCACACTCTTCAAAAAGTATTAATTTAGTTTAGGACATGAGTGATCATCATTTTAAATTGTTATTCAAGTAAACAGAACCCTGTGTTATGAAAACTCAAATTGGTGTATTTTTATGTAACATCTGGGATATGTCTCTCCATTTTAGAGTTGATTTTTCCTCAGGCAACATGGAGATTCCACTCCTAGGCCTCTGTTACCTTCCATTTGGTGCACATTGCTGAGCCTTTAAGAAGTAATGTCATTTTGAGACTCCCACATTTTATTGTTTTGTAAAATTTAGTCCAATTGAGGAAATATTGCTCTGTTTTTAAAAGTAGTCTTGGGTAAAGGGATAAAAGTCTGGCTTATTAATCTTTTCTGACCTTTCTTACCTTATGTGATAATACTTCCCTAGTAGCCATCCCTTGTAACAAAATAGTCCAAGTATAGACTAGAAAGTATAATGACACAGACTTGCTTTCTATATTTTAAAATGCAGATTTGAGAGTGAAATTATCGAATTAATTTTTTACTATTAAGTAAAATAAAAGATGAAAGTGAGAACCATAGTATAGATTTTGTCTGGAGGAAGGCCACATTTTCACATTGCTAATTGTGGTATTAATTTACAATCCACCTGATTGTGGACCTACTTAATCCTTTTTTCCCTGGCGGTAAAATGGAGGTTAAAAATACTCTCGTGCCTTTCCCAGAAGTTGTGGAAGTTTATGTATTGCAGACTGCTTTCACTTTTGATGGAAACATAGAGCCCTCCAAGAAATGCTGTGAGTCTCTCCTAGTTCCCTAGTTATTATGCACTAGGTTGAATCTCCAAGTGTATTTCCACAAGCAAATTACTACAACAAACTTGCCTGCTGAGTTCAGGTCATCAGACAATTGTTGAGTACTGGGCTGGAAGTCAGGCCTACTAAAGATCATTGGCTCTGGTTGTCATTTCCAGATGATCCTGTTTTTCCTGCTCCCTTTCTGTTTTTATTCATTTGAATCTGCTGAGTCTGATCATTGTAACCTCCCAGTTACACCTTCAGAATTCTGGAGTAGATTTTAGTTATTTTAGCTATATTGGCATAGTTCAACTTGTTCCAACATCAACTAGAATATTTGGTGTATCACTCCAGGTAACTATAACAATAAATCTACTTCCTCTTCATACAGTTAGAATAGCCAGGTTGATACTGGAACTTTTCATTCTTTCTTTGTTGTATACCATATTAATCTAAATTTTTGTGAGTGGTATTGAAATGAGGGTTGTTATTTTTTTGCTGATCTTTTTTGTGTCCCGTGTTCCCATCAGATGTTTTTCCCTTCTTACTTTTTCATTTAATGTAACACCAAGATTCCCACCCACAAGGAAAAAGACTCTTTTCAAAAAAGGCTTGTTGCATTGGCAAGAATGTAGTCTTGTCTTCCTATAACATTTTGTTGGTAACTACTGCAAAGAAAAGACAACATTGTTAGCAGGATTGTACTTGTGTGATACCTTTCTTGAAAAAAGGGCATGTTCTCTCTTAAGTACTGTAGATAGCATGTATAGTAACTTCTGATGTGCAGTTGTCATGGTGATGAAAATGCAGTGGTCCTTTGTGCTCCATTTGAGTAAATAGACACAGACAACTTAGGGAACTTTATGAGTTGTAAATTATTTCTGGTCCCTGGCTGTACAGAGTACTGAGCACATTCTCGTTTAAACATCTTTCTAGTTGTGTGTTTTCTGGAGCAAGCAAATGTAATTTATGCTTCAGAACTAATAAGAACATGTCTTCTCTTGGAATTGCTCATTCATCTAAAATATGTTCATTGATAACTGAGGGGAAGGAGAGTTAATGCATCACAAAACAAAATCATGGTGGGGAGAAATTGTGTCCCTCACTCTTTCCAGAGACTAGTTTCTGATAATTGCTATTAAAGGGACTGAATAATTCTTTTAAAATCATATCCTTTTCTTACTTTATCAAATTGGAGGTGTTTAAAATATATAGTGCAGGTATGGATTCTTAACTGTTTAATAAGTAGCCAAATAAAATAATATCAACCAGTGTCCATTTAATAATCAAGTATCTTTGTAAGCATGTTATTACAATTACTTTCTTCTTAAATCATTAACATTTTCAGTTGTTTAAAAGTATTTCAAAAGAACATATAATTTATCTCAATTTCTTTTATCTGGTATATTTACATACATCTTACTTTGCTTCTTTTTTTTAACATACTTGATTCATTTGTACTCCAATCATGGTACAGAAATGACAGGTAAATTTTACTAAAATCTTAACATTGTAGTAGTTCTGTGATTTGTCCACTTGAATTTTTCCGTCTTGTCTTTGTGGACCATTTGCATTTATTGGAGGTTACACCCATGGCAGCCTATAATTTTATTTTCCTACGAATATAAATTTAGGCTAAAATGTCAGTTTTTTACGTTAACATCTAACTGTGACGTTTCTCAAATTCAAGCCTAATGTTGTTGAATTCCCTAACTTCAATTTATTGTGAATGTATCCCTGGTAAATTTTGTCCACTCTTGTCACTTGGCAAGTTAACATAATAACAAACGTAATAACACGAATTACAAAATGTCCATATATGACACTGCAATCTTATTGACCTAAAAATGCAATGTTGCTTTTTTTAAAGTGTGTTTTTCCTTTTTTTTGCCCCTTGACAAATTTGCATAGAACATTCAAAATGTTCTGTGGCTTTTAAGGCACAGTCTTGCGTTTAAAGTAATAGCTCTGGAATGCCAGAGATTTCAGAAAATTTGCTTTCTGTTGTCCCCTTCCCTTTGCAGCAGTATTGTTTCTACTGCTGCATTCACTCATCTGAGACCCTTGTAATGACCCTTATCCACAGCCAAACTCCAACTGAGAAACCACCCATTCTATCATCACTTGAAGATAAAACCACCCTTTTCATGGCTCCTGCCAGCTTTGCCTCTAAGGCTGAGGCAAACAACTTTACTCTTTGCATTAAGTTCTATCACTGGTGGAGAAGGTTTCACTCTGCCCCCACTGTTGACTGGCCAGAGCTGGGCTGCATGCTCAAAGACTCTGCAGGAGGCTTTGCTGTAACAAGCCAGGTCATGTCCGAAGGCAGTAACTCTTAAGAGATTCTAAGCATAAGGTCAGTTACTTACTTAATGCTAAAGTTATTTGACACTTCAGGCCTGAGCCAGCCATGAGCCTAATGATCCCTTCTTCCCTAAGCATGATGAGTATAACTGTTCCTTGAAAATAATAAGCAGAAAGTGTTTCGGATGCAAAGAAAGTCCCCACAGGCCCTTGTGCCATGCTGGAAGTTAGCCCCTTCCAAAGATCATTTGCTCTGGTTATCAGCTTCCAGATGAGAGTGTTTTCCTCCTGCCTTTCTGTTCTTATTCATTTGAATCTGCTGAGTCTGACCATTGTAATTATCCCTGGTATTCATTTTGTCAAAGTATATTAGTGAGACATCAATAATATGGATCAACCCATTCCCTTTCTACTTGTTTGGTTGTATTGATTCAGTTTAAATAAAAGTCAACCTACTGTATAATGTTTGTTTACCCTGACCCTTGCTGAACATTTCCACATCCTCACAGACTATGTTTGTGTCATTTGTTTGACTAAAAATACTTAGTTTCCCTGGGGTTCCCATGTGACAGTACGCCAGTGTTGGCCTAAGCTAAACTCACTTTCTCAATAGGACTGATGGACGCCGCTGGTCGTTGGCTTCTCTCCCTTCCTCTGGCTATGGGACAAACACACCCAGCTCTACGGTCTCTGTAAGTGCCTGACTTTTTTTTTTTTTTTCTCTTCCTCACAACAACAGAGCTATTACACAGGCAGTGTTTTCTCTGGGTGTTTCCTGGTAGGGAGGAGAAGATAAATTCTGCATGTCTGCCACTCTGAATAAGTGACACATCAAATGATGGCCTGACAAAAATAAAAAGGACATACTTTCGCTGCAAGCTTTTAAACTGTAGTGCATAAATTGAGTAAGTTCCAGGATCACAAGTTTGGAGGAAACTGGAAGCTTTCATTTTAATAACATTTGGTGTAGTTCGGGGGGAAAAACACAATCTAGTTTTATTGCTTTGGTTCCATGCCAGTGACATTATGCTAAAAATGCCATTGAACTTCGATAGACTGGGTCTTTCTTCCTATGTGGCTTAGATAGAGGTTTGTTTTGTTTTGTTTTCTTTCTCCTTCAAAGAAAAAAAAAAGGCAAGTCTTAATTTGTCTGTGCCTTCTAGGTAAGAACTTTCTTTTAAGAAAGAATTAAAACAACTTAGAAGAAGGTTAAGATAAATAAAGACATAGTGGAATTATGAAAATAGGATAGAGGAAAATGGATACTCTTGCCCCAAACTATAACATTTCAACAAGAGACCTAGCAATTACTGGAAACAACTCAGTAGGTTAGATGTATGTTTTTTTAGTTTATGTTAGTGATCATGTGGGATAACTGTATCTGCAGGGCTATAGAAACAAGGTGGTCATTTAGAAGGGCCTAGTAGATTGCAGGTGTTCAATATATGGAGTGATCTGGCTCTCTTTGCACCAGCAAGGAATGTGGACCTAGAGCCTCATTTTGTCAAAATCTCTGGTTTATTGTTTAGGGATATCCATCTATTGTATTTTTGATAGCCCCCAGCACTCCATTAAGCACATAGGTTTAGCCACTTAATAACACTTGAATGACAAGAAACTACAGTTAAATAGATAAATTCTAACTGGTATCACCTCTGCCTTATACTGATGTATTTCCAGAATTCCAAGTATAATAATATAACGTAGATTTTCTGGAGTACCTTTAAAACCAAATTGTTAAAAGCTGTTGGGTTATTTTTACCATCTCTTTATGGTATTTCATTGAGCAGAGGTAATTTATTTTTCTATCCATTATTCCATTTTGTTGTGATATATGAGTCTATTGTCCATTTAGATCATATTTTTAGAAACATCCTAACAACCTTAAGTAGTTTCAGAGGCATATCAGCATCAGTAAAAGATGCTTAAAAATCCTGAATAGCATGAATGAATAAAATTGTCAGTAAATAATAGTGAAGTCATCCTTGATTCTTATGGCAGTCACTATCAGTGGTTATTGGCCAATATTTTAGACGTGTCTTTTAACTCCAAATTGTTTTTTTTATTTCAACTCTGTCACCTTGCATTGCCTTCAGTCAAGTTTTATTATAACTTGGACATAGAAGTCTCTCTTTTGCAAGAAAAATAGGGGTGAGTTCAGGATTTGTATTCTTTCCATCTTTAGTAAGTCATTCATCATTTTTAAAAGTGAATCCATAAAAAAAGGTGAGCTACATAAAATCAGACCCTGTTTGGTACAAATAATGTTTAAAATAATTTTGTTTTATAAATACTTGTTATATGCCAGGTGCTTGTCTAAATTCTTAAAATGCATTGGCTCATTTAATCTTAGCAACATCCCCTATCATGTAATTGCTGTTGTTTTTTTCATTGTATGGGCCAGAAATCTGAGGCACAGAGAGACTGTTTAACTGAGTGACTGTTTACTGTTCCCTTGTTTTCTCAGTCAGAATACGGTAAGCAGTTTTAGAACCCAGCATCTTGGCTCTTTTAAAGGAATTTACATGGCATTTTTTCAGATAAACCTTGTAATTAATAAAGCTGACCTGGTCGTCAGTCAAAATGAAATCGTTGCTGTCTCTAAATTCTGTATGTGCCTACGGAAGACACCCCCAAGACCATTTTTAGTCATACACACATACTTTGTGTTTCTAACAGCTCTTCTCTGAAGTGTTTATTTTATTGAAGACGTTAGTATCATATAATTATTAGGCTCAATATTCCTATTTTTTCCTCCAAAATGAAATTTTAGCTTCCAGAATTACTCCTTTTGCCAATAGAGAGAAGGAACTATTTAGATGACGGACTGCAGGTGCTGTAGTGTGAAAGTTCAATTATTTTTTTCTCCTTATTGATTGTTGATAAAAGTGATGAGCGAAAACTAGGAAAGCTACTTCTCTATTTTTCTCAGTTTCTTTGTGTTTCTATTCTTTAAATATTAGGGCAAAAACTGTGTAAAACTTCTTAGTAGTTGCAGGTTTTTCTTTTCTAAAGCTAAGCTGAATCACTCTTAGATTCTTATTTCCCTGGGTTAACTGTTAGTCATTTAGCCAATCAGAAATTTACTTTAACTGTTTAAAAAATCAAAATGTAGAATATATACGAATAAAATTGCAAGCATTTTGAAAATATAGTTTAAACTTTACAGATAATTTCAGCTGTTGTCTGAGTGCCAGACTGAAATGTAAACATTATAATATCTGTATCCTTTGGCTATTATGGAAACTGCAAAATTGCTAAATGTTAAAAATGCTATATTCGGAAATTTGAAAGATTTAGCCAGATGAAGTAAATCAGTCATCCCAGAGAATATTCAGTATTGTGGTTTCTTGAAACATCACAGTTTGCAGTTAAAATTAATTTTTGGACCTTTTCCAATGTGATATTCAGATAATTCTTAATTTTGAAATAAGTACTACAGAATTGTATCAGTAGGAAGACATTCTCCCGTATGTTTCTTACCAGATAAATTATTTTCTGCTGAAAGTACAGAAATAAGAATATAAATACTCATAAAAATATGAAGTATGTCTATCAAATGATATGATTTAATAAAAAGTAGAAACTTGTATGTGCATATGAATACTATCCTTTGCAAAATGGTTACCTGGAGAGACTAAATGCTTACTGAATGATATCATGACTCAGAACATGGTTTTGGAACTCTAATTGCCTGAAGAACTAGCAGCATAATTTTTTGTGTAAATCTTCATTCTTTGGACCCTTCTCTGAAGTCAATAGATACTGTTCCTGTGCAAGTACAGTTGCATGGTATCTTGAGCCTGGTGTGTTTTGGAATTTTCACTTTTAGAAAGGCAACATCCCTGTTCTGTACATAACAGACCAGCAACAGTGGGGCCAGCTGCTCATAATCAAATATATTAATATTTCTGCAGCAGTTTGAATCAACATTCATACTAAGTAGATTAAATAAATATTTTAAACAGCTTCCCATCAGTTCAGTTGGTGCTTTGCCACCAAAAGAGATTACTGTAAACTTAGGAACAAACTTCTGAGTTTGTGGGTTTTGAAATCTTGGATACAGGATTGTGGACATTGATTTACCTTTGAAACATATCTATAGATTCTTAATTCTGTTTGTCTATTTGCTAATTTCCTTATCTTTCCTCTTATCACCACTGCTTATCTCCTGCTTGCATTGATTTTATTTTATTTTTTTCTTGATTTCTTGACTTGATTTAGTTCATGTGTTTTATTTCTTTTTTCTTAGTGAGAAGTGTTTAAGGCCATGACTATACTTACTGAATACAGCTTTGATTTATCTCATAAGTCTAGTAGTGCTCTCATTTTTTTATTGCTTGTAAAATAATCTCATTACATTATAAAAATTCCTCTTTGTCTCAATATGTACTTAGTAAGATGTTTTATAATTTCAAGTTATAGGAATAATTTTTAAGCTTTAGGCATTAATTTCTAGTTTTGCTGCATTGCAATGTTTCAGTATTTATGAAGGATACTCTTAATATAATGATTTTTAAAAAAAATGCTTACTAGAACTGACATTTTAAAATAAGTAGTATCTTTCAAAATACGCTTATTCTAACCATGTTTCCATTTACTAAAAAATTTCTGAGTCTCTTTTATTAGAATTACTTAAGGAGTTTACCTCTGACTGAAAATGAAAACAATTAGTTTCTTTGCTTTTTAGTTAAATGTTTCAGATTGATTAAAAGCAGGGTTATTTAGCTGTTCATCTTTCCTGTCTTTCCTTGTTCCAAATGTTGAATGACGATTTTCAAAAAGCAAATCTACAGGCATGGAACAAAAAATTCACCACCACTTGAAGGTTTTTTTTTTTTATTTTAAGTTATAATCTCAGCCCCCTACTCCCTCCAAAGAAAAGGAAGAAAGAAAATTCAATTCCAGATTTTAAGACAGTGGCTTTATTGGGAAAAGGATCTTCTTTAATCCCTCCCGTTTTACTCATGCCACACACTGATGCATTGTAAAGAGAGGTTTCATTGCCTTATTGACGATCTCATATCATACCATTTATTTCATGTTATTTACCTAAAAGTCCGCATTTGATTTTGAGCAGCAGTAAACTCGGGGGTGCCATGTTCAGTTGAGAACTAATCTGTGATACAGTGCTCCCTAATGTCACTCCAGTGGTCGCTTTCTTGCTTTGGCTTTGACTGGTTCCGATCCATTTTCAGAGCCTGGGTTTTCTCCAGAGAGAAAACTATCTTTTGGGAAATTATAAACAAATGAGGCAAAATATGGAAAGCATTTTGAACTCTGAGAGAGAACATCAAGTTATACATTTAGGCAGTCGTTCTTATAACTTTAACATGAAAAAGAAACAATAAAAATGGTGGTATTGTCCAAGTTTAACTCATCGATCTCTCCTGTTCATTTGAAGAGTTTCTTTCTGAGGTAGTTATGTGACCTCACTTTGGTTTTTTTCAGTCATCCTGTTCCTCCCAGGAGAAGTTGCATCAGTTACCATACCAACCAACACCAGACGAGTTACACTTCTTATCAAAACATTTCTGTACCACCGAAAGCATCGCCACTGAGAACAGATGCAGGAACACGCCGATGCGCCCCCGTTCCCGAAGTCTGAGGTGTGTGGGCCTGGCTGAAAACCATTACTTAGTTGGATTCTCTATTTTCAAACATTTTGAGTGAACACTTCGGTCCTTTAGGTCATATGTGTGTTAACTGACTTGCAAACTATTACAAATATAGTGTGATGTTTCCATGTACACATAATATTGTTAATTACCATTGAAAGGCATCTTATAAGTTTCCTTTTCAGTTCTCACAATTTGCTGATTGCAGCAGTAGTAATCACGATGGTCTTGGGACTACCTATGAAAACATCTAGCCACTGGAAATTTCAAGGCAGTGCAAAAGCAGTTAATGTTGTTATGTTAAGAGGCAACAGCTTCGTGGAAATAGAAGGACAACAAGAATAGGAGGATTTTTTAAAATTCCAGATTCCATATTACAAAATATCTTTGTTCTTTCTTCCCATCGTAAGTCTTACTTTTCTCTAAGACTGTGAACACATTTTTAGGAGTTTGTGTCACCTGAAGTTTGTGGATGCCAAATGTAGTCCACCTAACACTGGGTAGGGCCAGTTTTACTGTGAGTTTGTTTCCTCAGGAAGCAGAATCTAAAACAGAGCTTCTTGTTCAGCATGTTTCTTAGGGAGTGCTTTCGAAATTAGCACCTGTGGGAGGGAAGGGAGAGGCAGGATTGGACAGAGGGAGAAGTCCAGCAGCCTTAGCCGACTCCATGGAGAGCTCGGGAACGACAGGACTCAGCAGAGTTGCTCCCCTGGGCCAAATGCGACTTCTTTTATATCCCTACCTCAGTCACTGGGTCCCTCACTGGATGTGGCACCCTGGGAAAGACTCAGCCTCAGGCGAGATGACTCCTTGCAGCTGATGCCATCCCTGCAGGGACTGGCAGCTGAAGGTTTCTGTGGATAGCACTCCCAGAAGCCGGGCAACAGGTCCTTCTTTGAAGGAGGGATCAGGATAGGGCATCACTTATCCGCTGCAGTATGAGATCTTTATGCTATAGAATTAGTGCACTTTGATATATTAAGGTTTTATTATATTAAAAAATAGCTTATTTATTAGGCGGTCAGTTGAATATCAAAGTTTAATGAGAAGCAATTTCCCTTTGTACTTTTTGTCTTTACTTAGTCTCATAAACTAATACTAAATATAGCCACACTGGATAATTGTGAGACATGTTAGATTATTCTGAGATATGGAATTAACAGCTGGTTTTACTATTTCATCTACAGGCACCATGTTTTACTACATTGGTGCCATTTTTTGTTTTATTAAAGGAATTCCTAAGGTGCGTAGTATAAGCTGTATCCACTTAGGAATATAAACACACCGAAGTTGCACAACTATATATCACTAGGAAGGAAGATAAACCTACTATTGAAAGAGTAAAGAAGAATGCACAATAGTTGTATGCCTCTGTTTCATATAATACATAATGCCTACCTCAGCATCCTAGATAAATATTTGCTAGGCTAGAAAATGGATCTCAATTATGACACCTGTGCCATGGAAGACTTTCAGACTTCTTCAGTGATGTGTGGCAGACCGCAGGTGTATGATAAAAGTGTGAAATTATACTGTTAAATGTGTCCTAGATGTTGCTCTTTGTAGCTATCCTATTTTATTTTATTTTGCAGTTTGTTAATTGTTTTCCAGATCTTATGCAAGCTCATACTACATGCAGAATATAATTTCAATTTACAAACATTTTCTGAACTAGTATTGTATTGTAACTATGATGATTTTGTGGCATTCCACTTCTTGAGCTTTCTTTTTCAGTCCTATTCAGAGTATCTTTGTGTTTATGGGAATGTATGTGTGCATGTGTACTAATGACTGATTTTGTAGTTTATTATCTGATATACTTTTCTTACAAAGGTTGCATAGTACTTTTGATGCAACTGACTGTTTATAAATAAAAAGCTTATTTTCATTTCATGCTGTGGCAAGTTTAAAAGGGTAATTTGCTTTGCTTGCAGCCCTGGACGTTCTCCCGCCTGCTGTGACCATGAAATAATTATGATGAACCATGTCTACAAAGAAAGGTTCCCAAAGGTAATGAATTGAATTGAAGATGCCTAGCATCTAAACGAACAGGCACCATAGGTTTAGAGTCTGTAAGGTTGTTTTGTTATAGGAAGTAAGGGTCCAATCTAGTAATGATTTGCATAAAACAGCTCCATAGTCTTCTTAGAAAGAGAAAATAACTAAAAAAAAATGTTAAGCTAACAACTGCTGAGAACTAGCTGTGCTCTACGTGTGCTGAGCTGGCTCTAAAGTGAACCTGCCACTTGTGCACCACACACGGGGTGGGCCTGGTGAGGTGCCGTAGGGAGGGTCTACTTTGAAAGGCCTCTAGACTGTGCACTCTGTACCCATATTCTGGGCCTGCTGCCACATTGTTAAGTAGAGACTGTTTTTCTCCGTTAGAAGCCTGTAGATTGGTGTGTCATGAGAGTTGCTGTTGTTGTTGTTTTTCCACATTACTTTTCTGTGATTTCCTATCTCTTTAGACATTGTATTTCTAAACCTATTAATTTAGAAGAGAAGGCACAGTTGTCGTGTTCTCCAGTTAGACTGGTAAAGGAACATGAATTGAGAGAGCAATTGTGAAGGGCTGCTGCCAAGCCCCTGGCTGCAAGGACCTGCTCTCAGATGGTCCCATTAGCTCACCTTGTTTCCACGTCTTTCCCACCAAAGCATTTCTGCACATTTGGGAGAAGGCCCCTCTCCACGTTTTTCCGATCCACCCCCACAGCCTGTGTTGCCCTAAACAGGAGAACAAATGAAAATCTTTGGTTTCATAAATCAAGAGTAGAGTACTTATTATTTGCAACTAACCCAACATTGATGTCATTGATTAAAGCTGTTTTAGCTATTTATCACATGTCACTTGCTCACCAGGGAAACAGATACTGACTGTTAACCTAGTTAATGCAGGTTAGGATATTAGAGGGGAGGAGGAGGGAGGAAGGAGAGGGAGTCTCCCTGCATATATAATTAATGTAAGCAAGGAATATGGATTAGGCAGTGGGTGACCAGAGAGAATGAAATGAAAGTTGGAAAGGAAATTTTAGATTTATTTTACCAAGGGAGTCCCCTGGGACTTTTACATAGGATGTAGCTTTGTGGCAAAAGAAGATGATATAAGATGTGTGCTCCTGGCACATTAAAACCTAGCCCGAAAGATACATTTTTAGCTTAGGTTGTGGAACTCTAGCAACAACCTGATGTTTAAGTACAAAAACATAAAGAAATGTTTGATATTTTGGACAGTCCATCTGAAAGAGCCCAAGATCTTAAATGAAAGCGTAACAATTCACAGATACAATCTGAGTTACTTGAAGAAGCTTACAGAGACCATTTTACATTTGATAGAACACAGAAAAGGGAGATTATCATTCTGAAATGTTGATTTCACTTATGTACCCTCAGATCTGTATTTCACATGCTGAGGCTGCTGCTTTTTTATAGCAACTTTTTAAGAACAGTTTTAGCTTCACAAAAAAATTGAGCAGATGGTACAGAGATTTCCCATGTACCTGGGAAGGCTATGCATGAATGCCCCCAACATGCATTAGGGTTCATTCAGCCTTTGTGTTGTATAATCAATGGGTTCAGACAAATGTCTGATGACATGTATGTACCATTATTTTATCAGAAGTGAGGCTTCTTTTAAATTTGATTTCTAGAATCCCATTTAACAACTTGTGGAGGTCTCTGAAAATGCTGTAAAAATGTGATGATTGAATTGTTTACATGTGTGTTTCCTCGTATTACATCTGTGTATGTGTGTCTTCTCTATATAGGCTACAGCTCAGATGGAAGAACGTCTAAAGGAAATTATCACCAGCTACTCTCCTGACAACGTTCTACCCTTAGCAGATGGAGTGCTTAGTTTCACTCACCACCAGATTATTGAACTGGCTCGAGATTGCTTGGATAAATCCCACCAGGGCCTCATCACCTCACGATACTTCCTTGAATTACAGCACAAATTAGATAAGTTGCTACAGGAGGTAAGAACCATGTACCATATAGTTTTCTGATTTATTTTGCTTTTCCCTGAAAAAAATTTTTTTTTGCTTACAAGTTATAACCATGAAATGGAGTTCACATTCCAGAGAAGCAAAAAAGAAGGAAAAAAAAAAAAAAACTCACCTGATTGCTACTTGCTATAAATTGATTCTGGTCTTTATTTATAGTAATAGAAAATTAATGTAATAACCTTTACAGGAATCTTAGGACCCAACAATCTATGACTCTAGGATAAGTGGATTGTGAAGGATTTTGAAGCAGTGATTTTTTCCCCCTTTAACCATAAAGTTATAAATTGCCTGAGCGTATGTGTGTTATTTGATGATGCTATCTAGTTCTATATCTGAAAAAGCTAAATGGAAAATTGCTGGCTTCTTCCAGGCTGTGTGTTCTATTAATTAACCTGCATGTGGTGTTGAGTAGTGAATGGCAACCTATATTTTCATTAGTGTCAGTTCTTCTTCTAACAAAATATCCAATTTCCAAAATGACAGATAAACACAGGACCTGTCTAGGCCTAACACTTGCATGCCTAGCACTTGATAACACCCAGGACAGGAAGAGAGTCTGTATGGGGGAATGGAATGCATGTATAATATTGCTCTTCTGGCTGAAATTGACCAGCCACAGCCTAAAATGAAACCTATTTAGTCTATGTATTTGTATATATTGTATTTTTGTATCTCACAGGGCACAAATTATGCCTTTGCAAACATAATTATAGATAGTTTTCTCTAGACATGAATATGTAAATAATTGCAGAAAACTGAAGGAAAATATTAGCATCCTAATTTTTGAGAACTCTATCTATCCTTGCCCCTGCAGAATTTAGCTGGCGAGATAAGATCCTTCTCTGGCTGGCAGCCGCTGCTTTTCTCCCCTTTGCCCTCTAGGCCTTCTATACTCTTTCCCGATTTCTCACATTGCAACCAACTGCAGTCCACTGATGCAGTCCCTTTCAGACTATCCTTAGGGTGAACACATTGTTTTGGGGTTTTTCTGTTAATTTCTAAGTTGGCATGGACCTGTTCTCTCCCATAAACTAAAAGGAAAATGAATTTTACAGGAAAATGATCATGCACTTGGGTTTCCTGGCAAAGTAAAATTGCTAAATGAGTTACATTACAATGTAAAATTGCTGTAAGAGTTGCCACGTGCTTACGCTTAAAATTGTATTTATCTCATCACGCACAGATGACATCGTGGACTGTTCCCAGTCCACAGGCTGCCCTTTGACTTCTCTACACTAGAGTATAAAGTCTCTGTGGACAGGGATATTATCTGCTTTGTTCACCTAGGATGGTGTGTGACACATAGAAGGACTTTAATATTTTTTGAGTGAATGGCTTCTGATACCCCTCAACTCACTGACATCCTCCTTATTGTCATATCCACTGGACATTTTACTGGAATATTACTGTATTCAGCAGTGTTAAAACCCTCCTTTTCTCTGCCTTCCTTTTAATTTATTGTTCTTGGGACATCTCTGACCATTTCTTCTCTGCCTCTTCCAGGGATTTCTCTTCCAACTCCCGTTTTCTACAAGTTTTCTCACGATCTCATCTTTAGTCTACTCCTCCTCCCTCTCTCCTAGGGATCTTGTCAGCTGTCTTGGATTAGAGACCTATAGACTCTAATGGCTTCAAATCCTTACCTCAGACCAGTAGTCATCTCTCACATTTCAGAATCATGGATCCACCTGCCTACTGAATATCTTTCTACCTGGGCAGCCCACTGAAGCAGCAGTCCCAACCTATATAAAACTAGACAGCATTTCCTCAACCACACATGCTTCTCCCACATTCTTTTCATCCATCATTGGCACTGCCATCTATCCAGTCACCTGCTAGAACTCTGAGAATACTAGACTCCCTCTCTCCCTTCATCAAGCAACCCATTAGACCTTCATAGTTTACTTCCTAAATATTTCTACAACCCTTCTTTCCTGTTCTATAATCACTACCTGGCTCAGACCCTCATCCAGCTCAGACCCTCATCCTCACCTATCTGCCTCCCTCCAGTCTTAACTCTTCAAATTCATACTTTTATGCAGCTGCAAGAATATCTATCTAAAACTCTTTATTGGCTCTATCTTGCCCATAAGTAAAACTATAACATGGCCTGTTGCTGTGCCCTTCCTCTCAATGCATTTAGCCATAATGAATTGTACTGACTTCTGTGGTCTCACTTTACCAGCAGACAGGGGGCTCTTTGAGCAACAGGAGTCACCTCTAACTCCCTGGTACTGAGTTCAGTGCCTGGTGTTTATCGGTTCCTCAGAAACCATGGAAGGGAGGAAGGAAGAAAATAGATACAACTGCATGCCAAAATATTCAACCTATTAGGATGTATCAAGTAATCTAATTCTGCTGTTGCTTTAATCAAATCAGAGTCCAGAAAATGCTGGAAACACTATGCATATTACTATTTATGAGAATATTTTGAAAGTTATGTTTGCTAAATGGTGCACTTTTGAACAGAAGAGGCAGACACAGGAATTCTGTAGTCAGCCTCTGTGAGATACTCCTAATTCTGCAATTCTGTCCCAGGATATTACCATAGTTACCAGCTTAGTCCTGTGTTTTTCATTCCTTTATAGGCATGCCCTGAAAAGGGTAGGATTGCTATCCAAAGCTATTTACACTGAAATCCCCTACTTAATTTTGTTTCTGTGACAGACACTGCAGATTTTCATGACAATTAAAATAAAATCTTACGGTTTCACAGATCATGTGAATGGGTCCTGTTACTATTTTTAAAATATTGATTTTTAAAGAAATTTCTTTTTTGGCCAGAGAAGCATGTATACTTGTGGCATAAAGGTCTTGTTGGGCATAAATAAGAATGGTTTCTTGTTTAGCTTTGCAGATAAAGAGCTTCCTTCAGCCCTTTTGTAAAAATTTAAACTATTTGCATAATCACATTTACAGTATTTTTCCAGAACTTGGAGCTAATCCATTGCAGAGGGGCCTGCCCTTTTTAGATAGAGCCAAATTGTGAAACTTGCCTTGGTTTCCCCAGGATGCAGTTGTCAGTTCCCAACTGTGACATTCTGTGCTCTGTAGGCCTATCTCCTAACCATTTTTCCCATTGTCTGTCTTTTGCATAACCCAGGTAAAATCCCCCTAAGGTTTGAGCAGCTTAATGCCTTTTTGAAGTCCTGAGGCCTAAGACAATTCCAGATGAATGCTTTTATGTCTCCATTCTTTTTTGCACTTAGAGAAGTTTAGCCAAAGACAATAAAATACATAGGAAGCTCTAACCTACTCTCAAATCTAGGTCATGGTTATGTTTTGTAGTGGCCAACCCTTAAAATACAGACACAGGGTATCCGTTAGTGTTTCCCCTTTGGAGCTTGCTGGTAACAGCCAGGAACAAATTTCTCTTCATGGGCTAATCGTGTCTTTATTTTGTGTTGTTTTAACAGGGCTTCTTCTCCCCACTTAAGTTATTAGATAAAATACTGTTTGAGTTAATGTAAATTATATGTTTTATCCTTGATTATGGCTGATTATTCTTAGAACTAAGAAGGTAGAATAAACTGATTATGATTTTTGAAATGAAATCTATTTAATCTAAACTGACTTTTTAAGTTTATTAAGACACAAAATTCTCATTTCTCTTTGAAGAGACAATCCAAAATGTGTTTAGGCTTTTCAGATTTTCTTTATATTCCTGAATTTATAAACCAAAAATGATTATAGTAAGAAGAAAGTTCAGTATCCTTCCCAAAGTGTCAACTAAGAAGTTAGGTGTTTTTTTGCTTCATCTTTAAAGTTTTCTGTTTAGTTTGGTTGAGGATAAATCATAAAGAAGATGTAACCGTATTTTTTGGCATTCACTGGATCTTCCAAAAATCTATTTTTGTTGCAAAGCAAAAATTGGGAAGAAAATTTAAAGACAGTTTCAATATTTGAGATGTATATATATGTGCATTGTTATATATGTCCTAACATCCTTCCTGGTTACTAGGACCTGTCGTTATAGTTACTAGTTGGTGTTCTTTGAACACTTTCTGTTCTACGATTATTCACCAATGGTCATTTTTCCTTTTATTTTAATGTCAAAAGTTAACTGTTTTACTTTTGCCTGTATATGGTTTTTGTACCTGTGTTTTGGAAAATGGCTTTTAATTTGATGGCTTAAATTCAGCAGACATATTACTTCTGAGTACAATCATTTTTTATAAATTTGATCTCTGCCAGTTCTTTTCATGGGGTACGGGATTGTTCCTTGTCATGGTAAAGCACCTTCAAGAACGATTGTAAATGTTTATTACTGTGTTTGTGAAATTATATTGTACCAGCATCACAATGAAATGTTATTTTTTAATCCTTAGAGGAAAGTAAATCATAAAAACAAAGATTAAGAGAGCCTAAAAGTGAACATACAGAGAAGTTTATGTTAAAACCTCTAAAACTTGTTTTATGCCTATCTTGATACAGATTCATCTGATTTTTTTCAAGAAAATATTATTGAAAATTTAAATGACTATTAACAAACAGTTTTGCTCTCAGAATATTTGTTGTGCTTGGGCAATATATAAAATAAAATTTTAAAAGATTTTAAGTTAAATTTTACTAAGTTAGGTGCCTAGGTATTATTTATTCAATGTGTGAAACTGGATTCACATTTATATACCCAGGTATAGGTTGAGCATTCAAATTCCAAAATGCTCCAGAATATGAAACTTTTAAAGCACCAACATGATAACACAAGTGGAAATTCTCATACCTGACCTCATGTGATGAGTGCACAAAGTTCTTCAAAAATATTCTATAAATTTACCTTCAGGCTCTGTGTATTAGGTGTACATGAAACATAAATGAATTTTTATGATGAGACTTCGATCCCCTCCTCAAGATATCTCATTATGTATATGCAAATATTCTAAAATTTGAAAAAAAATCCAAAAGACTTGTGGTCCCAAGCATTTTGGATAAAGGATACCCAACTGGTATATACTTTATCCAGCTAACACTTGAAAAAAGCATTGCACACTTCTTACGTGTGATAATATAACTAATTTATAGGCGAATCATATTGGATATATGAAATATACTTCAATAATGTGTTAAGTGTCCAGGATAAAAGCAGCCCTTCACTTTCTTAGCCATTTCTTATGTCTAAGATGGTCTTAACTGGAAAATCAAGGTTCTTGATCAGCTTCCCACTCTACTTGTACCGTGTGCTTAATGTGTCATAAACTTTTAATGTCTCCTTCATTCATGGTTCACATCAAGCGCCCTTTGATTTTTAGCACAGATAATATATCAGAATTTTGCAATTAAGGTTTAGCTAATAGAAAGATTTTGTAGATATAGGCGTTTAATAGTGTCCATTTATATACAGATAATGTCTGTTTATCAATCTTTTAATAGCATTTTCTAAATTACTCGATTTTTGAACATTTGCAATGATCTAATTAGCATGCTTTGCTGATTTTCTTTTCCATTTAATGGAACAACTCTGCATCATCACTCTCTTTATTGCTTTTTCATAGGCTCATGATCGTTCAGAAAGTGGAGAATTGGCATTTATTAAACAACTAGTTCGAAAGATCCTAATTGTTATTGCCCGCCCTGCTCGGTTATTAGAGTGCCTGGTAAGTTGCCCCTTGATGTGACTACATTATTTATTGTTAACTGGGAAAGCAGTTACCATCAGAAAGCTCCTTCATTTGGTTTCCAGCACCAGAGCTAAATGGAAAGAGTCAAAGGGAATTACAACTTGTGAACGTTTATGATGATGTCGATATGTGACTTGTCCTTTCTGATTTTAAAGAGACTTCTAGGACTTTTGCTCTATTAAGTGATGGTCATACCATATTCTAGTCAAACTTGAAATATAATCATAAAATAATGTACTTGACCTTATCTCAGCATAATTACTTTATGTCACAGCTAGTTTAAAACCCTGGCTGTACCACACTTTTTTGGAATTGCCAAGATGCAGAGAAGAAATAGAGATAAATGCAGAGATAAATAGTGACCTGTGATTTATAATTATTGTTTGTTTTAAAATGTGGCAAGTTAGAAAATAAGATGCTAACCATCCCATTTGGGAAAATACAGTAGAGCCTCATGCAGACCTGAAGGAATGAGACTTTTATAGATGATTAGTTCATGTTAACAATTATCTGTTTTTGGCTGGATGTGGTGGCTCACGCCTGTAACCCCAGCACTTTGGGAGGCCGAGACAGGCAGATCACCTGAGGTCAGGAGTTCCAGACCAGCCTGGCCAACATGGTGACACTTGGTCTCTACTAAAAATACAAAAAGTAGCCAGGTGTGGTGGTGCACGCCTGTAATCCCAGCTACTTGGGAGGCTGAGGCAGGAGAAGTGCTTGAACCCAGGAGGCGGAGGTTGCAATGAGCTGAGATTGCACCACTGCACTCCAGCCTGAGTGACAGAATGAGATTTCGTCTCAAAAAATAAAAAAAATTAAAATTAAAATTATATGTTTTTGGCCAGTGATCATTCTCCTATTTAAAAGTTTTTGTTTTATGAAATTTTGATTTGAGGTTTCAGTTAAAACTGTGAACAAATATTTGTCTGTGAACATTATAATTATTTTAAGGATCTAGTAATATAGCATCAAAACTCACTTTAAAGTTCCACTGGTTATTAAAGTAATTATAACATCACATACAATACAGCTTTTCAGAAATACACACATACATACATACATAATACATACATGGTTGCAGTGCTTTGGTCTTGCCCTTATTTTAACTACCATCCATAATAATTTATAATAGTGAAATATTCGCAGCACCATAAATACGTACTAGTGCCTTGTAAGACATAGAGGGAAAATCTTGAGGAGAAAGGTAGGGAGTTGGGAGGTGTAGGGAAGGGCTTTCTATCAATGGTGAGGACCCTTAGAATCATAGAATCAAACACACCATTTGGCATTGAGTGTCTCTGGAAGGCTAAAAGGAAAAAAAAATCTTGGATGCCTCAGAGAGAACTGGGTGACTGATAAATCCAGGTAGAATGGTTAGTTAACTTTTTACTGCCTCTCCTGTTGTAGCTTTTGAATTATGGACCACATGTTTGTACTTCCCACAATTGTTTAATTTAGGGGAAAGTGTCATTTAGCATTAAAACCTGTTTTTCTGGACAACAGCAGATATACTAAGAGCAGATCTTGCTTTAAAGGAGGAAATTAACTTTTTACAGTAATCACTCATAATCGGAGGAGAAAAAGTATAGCTTCTCAAAGATAGAAACAAGTGAACTTACAAGTAGCTTGGAAATATTGCTGCTTTCAAAGTACTCTTTAAAGCTTAGATGAAACTGGAGTTTCATAGTATTAGGGGATGCTTCCCCCAACCTATCACCTTATCCTTACAGTACCCAGGCTTGCTCTGTCAGTCATTGTAGTAGGTATGTTTGTAAAGGCTCTGAGTATTTACATTGGTTTGACTTTACTCCACTTGCAGCAAGTTTTTTTTTTTTTCTTTCTATATGGCCTTTAAAAACTCCTGAGTAATTCTCAGGTGAAATGCTGAGATTCCAAAGTTGCCTATTTTGGGCATTAACCAAAATGGGAAATATCCAGGAAATATATCTGAAATTAATAACTGGGCTTTAAGTCAATAAGCATAATTGTTTACAACACATAAATCCATGGCATCCCTTTGGGCATAGAGGAAAAACCAAACTCGGTTTCTCCTGCTGTGCTCTCACAACATGATTCTGACACCAGTTATGTGGGAACCCCACACAACAAGCAAGCAAGCCTTTCTGCAGCAGACACCAGCTGGGTGTCCTCCAATTCCATTCCAACACTGTCTACGCAGAGATAGCATTAGATTCCACAGGTTGAGGGGTCAATTCCACAAGAGTGCCCCTACTTCCAATGCCAGTCGCAAGCTCCATATGGTTTTACCTGTGCCTCTCACCGTCTGGCTGTAAACCAAGGTTCTTATGACCCCTTCTCTGGGTTTGATTAGTTTGCTAGAGTGGTTCACAGAACTCAGGGAAACACTGAAGTTTACCAGTTTATTATGAAATACACTAAAAACTATACAGATGATGAGATGCATAGGGTGAAGCATGAGGAAAGGAGTGCAAAGCTCCCTGGCTGCACTGCCTTCCAGGAAACTCCACACGTTCAGCTATCCAGAAGCTCCCCAAGTGCAGTCTTTTTGGGTTTTTATGGAAGCTTCATTACATAGGCATGTTTGATGACATCATTGGCCATTGGTGATCCACTTAACCTTCAGCCCCTGTCTGAAGTGGAGATGAGGATGGGGCTGCAACTCCCAACCCTGTCATCATATGGTAGGTTCCCCTGACAACAAGCTCTCTTCCAGAGGCTACCCAGGAGTGCCCAGCCACCAGTCAACTCACTAGAATACAAAAAGCCACTTATTACTTTGGAGATTCCAAGGGTTTCAGGAGTGGTATTTCAAAAAACAGGGATGAAGGCCAGGTGTGGTGGCTCACGCCTGTAATCCCAGCACTTTGGGAGGCCAAGGTGGGTGGATCACGAGGTCAGGAGATCGAGACCATCCTGGCTAACTCGGTGAAACCCTGTCTCTACTAAAAAATACAAAAAATTAGCCGGGCGTGGTGGTGGGCGCCTGTAGTCCCAGCTACTAGGGGGGCTGAGGCAGGAGAATGTCGTGAACCTGGGAGGCGGAGCTTGCAGTGAGCCGAGATCGCACCACTGCACTCCAGCCTGGGCGACAGAGCGAGACTCCGTCTCAAAAAAAAAAAAAAAAAAAAAAAAAGGATGAAGACCAAAAATACATTTGACAGTATCATAACATCCATCTAGAGTGTGGTGATCCTGAAGATTTTTATTACACACTAGACGCAAGAGGCAGCCACATACACACAAAAAATTAAATAGATAGGAAAAATATATTCCCAAAGTTTTATAGGAGACAGAGGCTTTAATTTCCTATTTTTCTTTCTTGTTCTTTACTTTATGTGAATAGTAGTAACTTAATATTATAGTTAACTAATAAAAAATGGTAACGTTGAAGTTTTTCTTTCTAATGTTTTTGGATACGTCTATATTAAGAGAGTCTCCTGCAACATTTTTGAGTAAATATATTCTAACATTCCTTTTGTTGCTGGTTGAGTGGAGAGAGAAATTGAATCTCAAATCTTCTGGATGGAAATTCCCAGATTTTACAACTTTGCTAGAAAGGCACAATTAAAAATCAGATCTGTTCATTGCCGACGAGCGAGATCTTAAGTGGAGCATAGTACCTTCGTAGTTACATTACAAGCAAATTGGAAATGATCATTATCTTTGGGTTACCATGTGCATAAATGTGTTGGCTTAGAATATGAATAGGCTTCAAATATGAAGTGAGAATTACATACTTTTTAAAGCCATTTGCCTCCTTTCTGCATAAGTAACTTACAGCCATGTATACCCAGCAGTTATATTGTGAATGGGATTTATGTAATAAAACCTCAGACAATTTTGGCTCAAAGAAGTATCCATCTGTGATTGTCTTCGGCTAGGAATTTGATCCGGAAGAATTTTACTACCTATTGGAAGCAGCAGAAGGCCATGCCAAAGAAGGACAGGGTATTAAAACCGACATTCCCAGGTACATCATTAGCCAACTGGGACTCAATAAGGATCCCTTGGAAGGTGAGTCCCTGGGTTGTTCCTACCTTTGACTTTGCTTATGCACTGTCGCCTCATAGAAGAAATCTAAGTGGCAAGTCTTTATTTTTCCTCATGTTTTGGCTCTATCTATTGATAAGTCCATATTTGGGGACTGGTTGCTATTTGAAGGAAATAGCCATAAAATGGGTCCTGAGACACGAATGAGCATGACCCATTTTGTGTCTACCTAGAGCGTGGGTCAGGCCTTGACATCCTAGAAGCATGTCAGCCTGAGAATGCCAGAGTGTCCCAGAAGGGTTGCAATTTCAGTCTTCACTGAGTAGTTTTTCTCTTGCAGAGCTCAGTTGGGCTCTTGAGAGTACTTCTAATTTTTAAAATGTTGCTAAAGAAATTATCATTAATTAAACTGACATTTAAATTTAATTTGGAAGTAATGCAATTGATGGTAGATTACTTTAAATTGAGTACAGTATTCATAGGTATATTCTTGTTTACTTAAAATATAAAACATAGTAATATACAGGAGAGAAAAAAGAAATTTTTTTTAAGCTTATAAAAGGATTTATGGGCTGGGCGCAGTGGCTCACGCCTGTAATCCCAGCACTTTGGGAGGCCGAGGTGAGTGGATCACGAGGTCAGGAGTTCCAGACCAGCCTGGCCAATATGGTGAAACCCTGTCTCTACTAAAAATGCAGAAATTAGCTGGGCATGGTGATGTGCACCTGTAGTCCAAGCTACTCGGGAGGTTGAGGCAGAAGAATCGCTTGAACCCAGGAGGTGGAGGTTGCAGTGAACCGAGATCGCACCACTGCACTCCAGCCTGGGCGACAGAGTGAAACTCCGACTCAAAAAAAAAAAAAAAAAAAAGATTTATGGTTTATTCACATTTTAAAATAATATTATCAAATTAAATACAGAGAATAGGAAGCATCTTGTCAGTGAACTTTTAAAAATCTGATATTGGTAAACCACTCCCCCTACAACCTGTTCCTGTTCATGATTGTTTAGGATTATTATTTATAACATTTAGGTTATATACTCCCCAAAAAGACTCAAAAACTATCCTTGACTCCTTCATTCAAAATTGTCTTCTCGGTTCATTAAATTGTATTTGCAAACAGTGTTTATCTTGTTAAATTGTTTGTAATGGTGGTAAATGTTGGCACAGAGATTTTCCCATCTGAAGCCAGGGAACCTGCTGCTCTCTGCCCTGCTCTCCTGTTTCCCGGCTTTGTTTGCTCCTATGGCCATCGTATCTTTGCTTCCAGTGAAATGATGCATGCATTACTGTGAGATAATGCCAGATAAATTTATACTGTACTGAAAGCAGTTCCACAACAGATTCATCACTTATCAGAGACTGGTGGCTGCTTTTCTGAAAAGTTCCCTGGGGAGAGATTTTTCCCCATGGCTTTTAAATTACCATCTTTACCTTTTTGAATCATGAGTCTTCAGAAATGGTTTAAATCAGTGAAATAAAAAGGGCAGATGTTTAATGGTATTTAGATGAGTTTTAAAAATCACTTCAGGCATTACAAAATGATGCCTTAGCTTCCTGCTTCAAAAGCTGACTCTTGGTTCCATTCCATTACTACCCACTGCTTACAAATAATATGTATTTTTCAGATAATAGTTGTTTAGCAGAAATTCTATTTAAAACAGAACCATCTTTTAATTTGTTTTTTTTTTTATGAAAATAGTTGGAATGGGGGAGGCTGTCAAAGTAGATTATAGCGACTCTTCACGCTGGTATAGTTAAGATTGCGTCAGCTCTTGAATTGTGGACCCAGTGAGTTCTTTAGTTTTCTTACCTGGCAATCACTGTAGGCTGAACTTTGGTAGGGGAATAATCTGAGGCCCATGTATAAACTAGCTTTCTAGAGGCTCTGAAGAAAACATGAACAGTGATCTTTGACAAGTTTGGAGTTTAATCACTGGGAGTTGTGTTTTTAACTCTTGACAATTTAAGATCTAAGGCTAGTTTTGTTTGTTTGTTTGTTTGTTTGTTTGTTTTGTTTTGTTTTGGAGATGAAGACTTGCTTCGTTGCCCAGGCTGGAGTGTAGTGGCATGATCTCGGCTCACTGCAACCTCCGTCTCCTCAGTTCAAGTGATTCTCCTGCCTCAGCCTCCCGAGTATCTGGGATTACAGACGTGTGTCACCATGCTCAGCTAATTTTTGTATTTTTAGTAGAGATAAGGTTTCACCATGTTGGCCAGGCTGGTCTTGAACTCCTAACCTCAGGTGATCTGTCTGCCTCGGCCTCCCAAAGTGCTGGGATTACAGGCGTGAGCCACCGCACCTGGCCTTGAGGCTAGTTTTTAATCTATTTGTTAACATTTGAAATATGACTTCTCCAGGTAATTTAATAAACAAATTGCACCGCGCTGAGTGGATCACCTGAGGTCAGGAGTTCGAGAGCAGCCTGGCCAACATGGTGAAACCTTATCTCTACTAAAAATACAAAAATTAGCTGGGCATGGTGGCACACACCTGTAGTCCCAGCTACTTGGGAGGCTGAGGCAGGAGAATCGCTCGAACCCAGGAGGCAGAGGTTGCAGTGAGCCGAGATGGCGCCATTGCACTACAGTCTGAGCGACAGAACAAGACTCCATCTCAAGAAATAAAAAATAAATGATTACAGACTCTGATTGTTCTACATTTGTTTCCCTTTCTTGTCAGCGTCTAAACTAACATACCTTAGACTTGTCCTTTGAAGGTTAGGAATTGGGAGTTCTGGAGCTGGGCTGCCAGGTTGTCACCCTAAGCCAGCACTGCATGCTGTGTGAACCTTGACCATCCAAATTGACGCACCTCTTTGTGCCTCAGTTACTTCCATAAAAATGAGATAATAATAGTATCTATTTATAGAATTGTTTTGAGGATTCTATGTTTATCTTTGTAATTGCTTAACATAGTGTTTAACAGATGTTAGCTGCTGTTGCTGTTTTATTTAAATACTACTAATTTTTGCCCCTTTCCTTGAGATCCCTTCCAACTAGATGCATTTTAGTTCACCTCCAAGTCCATAAATCTAAGATGCTAGTCATATTGGATATTGACATCATTTGAATGAGACGAAGAAAGGACATAGTTTGTGCTAAGCTCCTTTTTATTCTGGAATTTCCCCTATAGGTAAACTGAGAAAGTTATTGGCAATGTCGTTATTCCAGAATCTAGAATTTATACATTTTTATCTAAAGGTAGTAATCCAGTGTTGTTTTGCTTCATATCTCTTAGGCATAATGTCTGCCCAGAAGGGATTATCACATTTATAAGAACATGAATACATAAAATAAGAAACTAAGAAATAATTTTTTAATTATTTAATTTTAAATAAAATTAAGTTTTTTAAAATTGAAAATTTTAAATATATTTAGATGCACACAAAAATATGTAACTAAAAACTATGACTTTTATTATGCATGTTCAATTTTGAAAAATTGGAAAGTACAAGTAAAAGAAGAAAATATTAATTATCTGTGATCCTATCACTCAGATAAGACCTATCATAGATTTAGAGAAAATTATTTCATGTTTTTTAAATAAAACATGATTTTTTTAAAGTATAAAAAAGAAAATGAACAATAAAAGAATTTGATTGTCTCATCTACTTCTATAAATTCAAGGATGCCTTCCAATGTGAATTGATCAATTTAGACACCTTTGTCTCTTTTAACTAAATAGTCAGGGTAGTACTTAAAGCTGGTGTCAAGCATGTGAGCATGTGATATCCAATCCAAGACTGATTATACAATATGATTAATAATAAATAATCAACATTTAATGAGCACTTAATTTTTGTTAGTATGCTAAGAGCTTTACATGCATTATCACATACAGTACAAAAAACTCTAAGAAATAAGTAAGGTTGTTTACCTTTTACAGGGAAGAGCTTGAAGTTAAAAGGTCAGTCAGTCAGTAAGTGCAGATAGTAGTGGTAACCTAAGTCTTTTAATCTCCAAATCCCTCTTAACCACCATTATTACTTCCTCTCTGACAAATTACAAATTCTTAATGTCTCTGGCAGGGTATTTCTCAGTAGATATGAAGGAATGGAACACGAGATATGCACCACAACTTAAGAATCATTCCCTAGTTGTTGTCGGTGCTGCTTTGATGCCCGCCAGAGCCTGGAAAGATGTGCCTCTCTCAGATACCTGATTCTAAGCAGAGTTGTTGACCCACCGAAGCCTTTCCAAGCTGTGGTGATTGCATCAGCCAATGAGTTCCTATGCCCAGCCTCTAAAGTTCCTATGTCTAGGTGTTTGCAAGAAATGGAGTTCTGGGGAGGAGTGTGTAGTGAACAATTTCAAAATACCAATTGCTGCCTTTTTTTAGATTTAAGATTTTCCCATGGGCACATTGGAGTATAGAGCAATTTTTTTAATATGGGAGAAACTATTTTTCTTTTGTTTCAGCTTAGTATTCTTATCCAATTGCAATATTTTTATTAAGCTTAACTTTTTTTTTTTCCAACTTAGAAATGGCTCATTTGGGAAACTACGATAGTGGGACAGCAGAAACACCAGAAACAGATGAATCAGTGAGTGTAAGTATATTTCTTGATGAAATATGATGTTGGTTTTTCTGTTTAGCATCTGGAGACTTTGGCTATGTTAGTTTATTTGTTCAACAAATGTTTATTGTGCTTCTATGTGAATATATGAATAAGAATATGGATAAGATCTATGAAGAAAAAAGACCATGTGCTACCATTACGTAAAGATATTTGCCATAGTCTGTCCAGTCCCAGAAGATTTCCCAAGGAAATGGCACTTGAGCTAAATGTAACAGATTACTAGGGTAAGAAGGGGCAAAAGGAACATTCCAGACACAGGCTACATCAGAGGACTAAGCAAGGGAGACAGCAGAAACTAGAGCACTTGAGTAAAAGCTGGATGCTTAGGTCCCTGTTGTTCATGTTTATCAGGTTTTTTGTTTTTGTTTTTTAAGAGCAATGGGAAATGACTGAACTTTGGAGGAGGTGTATGGGTATATGAGGGTGGGAGGAGTGGACAGGGAGATAACCCAGTCAGAGTTATGGCTTGAAAAAAAATCACACTGACTGCAGTGCAGAAAGCAATGGGCTGGGAGGAGGAGGGAAGGGTGACCATGTGGAAGCCAGTTCAGAGGCTCCTGCCGTGGCACAGGTGAGAGGCCCTGGATGCTGGTGCCATTCTCCTCAATTGTGAACACCAAAAGAGGAACCAGGATGCATCAGAGTAGGGGTTAGGAAAGCAGGAGCAGTCTGTGTAGCCTGGGGGATAAGAACCCAGGCTCTGGAGTCAGGTTGCCTAGATTTGAAAACACTCTGCTTTCTACCAGCTGGGGGGTGGGGGAAATTTCTCTGTGCCTCGGTTTCCCTGTTTGTAAAAGATTAAATGAGATTTTTATGTAAAACGGTTGGGACAGTATCACATAGTAAGTGCTAAATAAATGATAGCTGTTTTCTTTTATTATCTGACTCATAATTTTGAATGTATTGAGACTAAAGTTCCTTTGAAACATTAAAGAAGATCCATCAAACTGGCAACTGTATATAAGGTCTGATATCTTCTGGCACTCAGAGGGAGAGTTTCTGGTGGAGGTGGAAGTGACTTAGGAGTCATCCATGAACATAAATGAGATCACTCGTGTAGGGAAGAGTTAATGAGATTAGAGAGCCTTGGACAGAGCCTTGCAGCCCAAACCCATGAAAGAGCAGTAATAGTGAGTGAATTACCTTCTGAGGCAGTGCAAAGTAGATAAGAAAACAAAAAATAAAAAAAGAATAAAATAATTAAAAGAGTAATAGTGAGTGACTAAACAAGTAAGTGGTCCCAGTCTCGAAGTCTGTTTTCTGTGATGGAGCATTGGCAGGTGATGACTAAATAGATCCAGATCTTAGGGCCAGAGGCCAAAGGGGAGCAGAGGAAACAGATGGTTCAAGTTGAAGAGGTCAAGTAGCCTGGAGGCCAGTGTTGGGTGGGTTATCTGTGTAGACACTGAAGTCACCCTGGATGATGAGAGAGCTCTTGGGCAAAGAGGAAGGTGGGTAGCCAAGTTTTTCAAAGATGAGTGGGATGACAGGGTCAGTGATGACAGCCCTGAGTTGAGGATGATGGTGCCCACACAGGGTTTCTTCCAAAACAATAGGAAGGGAATTCTGGACTCTTGCAGAGGGGAGCAAAGAGCTGGTAACTCCCTCTCCATGCTAAGATAAATGGGGCATGAGAGAATTTTTTTAAAGCATTTTTTTCTATTCCCATCCTTTGAGCTAAACTTTTTAAAGAGCTGTCTTTTTGAAACTTGTTTTGTAAGCCATGTTAGATTTCTGGCATGGAAGTAAAGAAAGGCAGGCATTCTGTACTTGGGTGTTGCATGTGTTGCCTACTGCTTTTCTGAGCAATGAAGATTGCCACAGGAATGAAAGAGACATGCTCTGTCAGGGATAGAGCCCCATGTAGAGCCACTCCGGCCCATTCTTTTTTGGCTGACAGAAACCAAAAGGAAAGCTTGGCATTTTGGAGTTAAATTCCAAAATGTTAAAAGACTAGGACAAGGCCAACCTGAGTAGTTTACAAAAGGAAATTAATATCAGGAATTGTCCTTGATTGCCTGGAAGTGTGGATTCGCTTAAGTGACAGTGTCACAAGGAGTTTGTCAGCATTGCTGTGGATGATGGCTCTGTAAAGCTATCCCTCAGGTTCCTGTGGCTGGAATACTGTACTTCAACATATTACATAACAGCATGTCCTTCAAATATTATCTATTTTGCTGATAAAATAATTTTCTTAAATCTAAACTACTTTTTAACTTCCATATTTTGTTTCCAAGAGCTCTAATGCCTCCCTGAAACTTCGAAGGAAACCTCGGGAAAGTGATTTTGAAACGATTAAATTGATTAGCAATGGAGCCTATGGGTGAGTAATTCAAGAAAAGCTCTCTATTGTATTTCTACACACTCAAGTGATATATTTATTCTTAACATTTATCTAAGGCCAAATAGAAGCTGTATAGGGACTTGACTTTTCAGATCACTGCTCCTTTCCTGAGGCTTGTACTGTGCAGCCAAAATCACTTCTTACTGGACACCTCATCAGAAAACATGCCAAGTGACCAAGGAGTTACTTTAGAGGGTTGGAGAGAAAGATTTTCAAGGAAAAATTTTATTTACCCTTGTTTCTGCCTCCTTCATTTTTGCCCTTTTGGGTTAAAAGAAATACCTGACTCTTGATTGAAATATATATGTATATATTAAATACTATCATATATAATCATATATTTATAATTTTCTATATAGTATTACTACATGAAAATTAGCCTGTATTTCATGTGTGACCAGCAGACAACCTTAAGATAAATGTCTTTAAATAAGTCTGGTTGAAGATTTAGAGCAGGAGTGTCCAGTCGTTTGTCTTCCCTGGGCCACACTGGGAGAAGAACTGTCTCGGGCCACACATAAAATACATTAACACGAACAACAGCTGATGACCTGAAAAAAAAAAAAATCACAAAAAACTCATAATATTTTCAGCAAGTTTACAAATTTGTGTTGGTCTGCATTCAAAGCCATCCTGGGTTGCATGCAGCTCACAGGCTGCGGGTTGGATAAGTGTGATTTAGAGCAATATATGTGTTTTGGTCTTTATTACACCAGGATTTTGTTTTTGTTTTTTTAAAAATTTAATTTTTTTTTTTTGAGACTAGGTCTTGCCCTGTCCCTCAGGCTGGAGTGCAGTGGTGCAATCATAGCTCACTCACTGCAGCCTTTAACTCCTACACCAGGATTTTCAAAATTGAACTGTATCCTAAATAATCTAATGATATTAATGGTGTTCCTTCCTTGATCCCTTTTTGTAGACACATAATTTTCTCCTTGTGGCAGTAAACAGTGACAAGATTCTTCTGAGTTACTAATAGTTTAGAAGGGTAATTAATGCACAAACTATGACCTGATCCATTTTCGACAGCCCAAGAATTCTAGTTTAATTAAATATTAATCCCAATTCTATTTGTATATAAAGAGCAATAAACAATCTCATTCACATTTATTGCCATTTATCACACATGAGCAGATGAAACAAAAGAAGTTTTTGTTGTGCCACAAGGGATGTTTCTGTTACCATTTTTTCACCTTGAATATTTTCCACACCATTAACTTAAGAACTTAAATATTTGTGAGTCCCTTCTATGCTTCACTGATTTGTTTTCAGGATATGTCAAATGCCATATTTCCTATTGTGGCTTATAAATGCTTTCTGATGTTGTATTTTTGCAATATTTTATTTTTCAAGGACCTCATTGAAACTTTTCTACCTAGGAAGATGGTTCTAGCATGCAATTGTTTGTGGTTTCTACTTGCTTATCGTTTGTTTTTTAGTTCTTTACACTTTTGGAAATGACCTGAAGATTTCTTTCTTCATTAGGGAGAAGATTAAACTTTGATTTAATGGGTGTATGGGTTTGAGCACTGCTAGTTTTTATTAGCAGTGGAATTCTGGAATAAGATTATCTGTGAAGCACGACTTTTAAAAATTTGGGCATATATCTTAGCAGTATTTGGAGTTCTAACTGGTTGAGTAAACTCATTTGTAGTGCAATTAAACCACTGTATAGTAGATGAGGTATATCACACTTTGGGGAATAGTTGGGAATATACAAGAAGTTAAACAAGCTGTGAATCAGTAAACACCCAGGATGCAGGCCAAGTCATTAATGGACTCACAAGCTGCCTGTGGGAGTCTCTGCTGATCAGCCAAAACTCTTTTTTTCTTTTTCTCTTCTCAGATTTAATCTCTCATTATATTTCTGATAGATTTTCTCAACGTTTTAATAATCTTTAATTTGAAATTTGAATAGAACCACCCCCATTGGTTCACCCAGTCAGTGAGGCTGACTGCCGGCTTATGGGAACTGGCTGAACAAATGTATCCCGCCACGGGTGGCTGAACTGGCCCTTCTAGAAGCTTTCTTAGGTATCCATGTACAGGGTCTACCACTCACATCAGTGGCTCAGAGAGACACCAATTCCATGACTCCTCAAAAACTGGTGGAGCTGGGAACTAACCCTGTCATTAGGAAGGGCTTCTATCTGTAGTGCTAAAACACACATGGCTTTCTCAGCATCATACTTGGTGAAAATTCATGTTATAAAGCCAATTTGGTAAACATCTGATTCCTTCTCTGTTTAACACACTTCTGATCCCTGACTGGAAGTTAAACGTGTCTTTTTGCCAACTTAGTGCTTTATAGAAAGCTGGTGCTATGTGCCTGGCACTGTGCTGGTTTCTTTATATATATTCTCTTCTCACAAGAGCCCTTGTATGGTAGTTGATATTATTTCCACTCACATGTAGGGAAGGAGAGGCCCAGAGACAGAGTCACGGATACCCTGATTCTAAGTGGAGCTCTCTTCTCTCTATAAGGTATCCATTTGTTAAAATGTTTAGCCATCCTAATTGGAGTTGTAGAGGTCCTACCTCTTCCAGTGAACACTTCCACCAGGATCTTTAAGTCATAACTTCAAATGTTTTCAAAGTAAAAGAATAAAATTGACTTAAAATTTTTAAAAGTAAAAAACTAATTTTGAAAGGCGCACCATTTCTCCCCCACTTTGCCTTTCCTTCTAATCTTGATGCACATGATTCTCTTTTACCTGTGAAGGGGCCCAGGACATGTGCCAAAGAGGCGCATGTGTGCAAGTGGCATACGCCCTGTCTCCCACATGCTATCCCTGTAGTCTTTCTCTCAACTTTCCTCTGGCACACACACACCCTCCTTCCCACATGGAGATTTGCTAGCACGGAGTCACGTATTGGGCTCTCAGAATCTTGCATAATTTTATACACGCTAGACATTCATGCTCGCTATAGGGCTGATTCATTCTGCTCTAGATCCTGTCAGCTTCTAGTTCCACTTCTCCCCACCCTCCCACACCTCAGTTCTGCATGGTTGGGGAGAAGCTTGGCTCAGAGAGAATTAGGGTCTTTGGTTACGTCTTCCCTGCCCCTCCACCTTCTACCCTTGGGTTTTCCTGTTTCACAGGGAGGTCAGTGTAGGAAGAGAGGCAGAAGCAGCCTCTTCAAAGAAAGCACAACCTCTGGGACCAAAAAGCAGAGAAGAAATGTGGAGCCATATCAGTTCAGTACAACTTCTAACACTGGGAGGTTTACAGTCCACTTAACAGTGTTACATGTCTGGCTGTCGGTGGCTGTCAGAGCTCTTCTTGTTTCTCTCTGTCTCTCTCTCTCTCTGTGCTAACTTTAAGCACATTTGGAACATCAACTTAAAAGAGAAAAGGTGTATGTGAGAGACAACAATTATTACTAAATAAACAAATTTCAACATGACGAGTAATATGCCCAAAGCAATACAGAAATGTAAAAACCCAAGAACAGAAAACAACAACAAAAAAAATCCACCCACAACTACTTCTAATTAGGAAGCCTGTTTGACCTTTGTGACTTGATCAAGATATGCATGTCCTGAGGCAGCGATATCTCAAGCTACTTATAGGATTCTTTTAAATTGGTTTAGGTCGGTTTTCCCAAGGATTAACTGATTATTGTAAGTACATCATAGCAAGGGAAAGCAGAAAGTCAAACAAAGTTTTATGAACTGAAAATCTGAGAATAAAGACTAAAGCCGTTTTTTATATAGTGCCACAGAGAGACCCAGTGAGGATGCTGGTCATATTGGGCCGGAGGCATCTTTGTCTTTTATTCTTTCATAAAATCATGGGTAAGTCCATTCTTCTTCCTTCACTTCCTATTCTCAAACATATTGCAGAGCAGTTATTTATGTAAGAAATGGTGATTCTTGATTGAAAATCAGAATGGCCACCTTGTGATCATCTGTGAAATTCATAATATACGTCCAAGGCTCCTCAGCACTAAACTTACTAAAAAACAACTATTGAAGGAAGAGATGGTAAGCAGTATGCCAATTTACTCTCTATAATAGGCAAGCTATAAAAGAAAGATACTGGTTTCTCCCTGTCAGTATTTTAAATTCTAACTTTCATTTTAAAATATATATTTCCTGTTTGAAAACACCCTTTTTTGGTTCTTTTTTTTTTTTGTTATTATACTTTTAAGTTCTGGGGTACATGTGCAGAACATGCAGGTTTGTTACATAGGTATACACATGCCACGGTGGTTTGCTGCACCCATCAACCTGTCATCTACATTAGGTATTTCTCCTAATGCTATCCCTCCCCTAGCCCCCAACTCCCCGACAGGCCCCAGTGTGTGATGTTCCCCTCCCTGTGTCCATGTGTTCTCATTGTTCAACTTCTACTTACGAGTGAGAACATGTGGTATTTGGTTTTCTGTTCCTGTGTTAGTTTGCTGAGAATGATGGTTTCCAGCTTCATCCATGTCCCTGTAAAGGACGTGAACTCATTCCTTTATATGGCTACATAGTATTCCATGGTGTATACATGCCACATTTTCCTTATCCAGTCTATCATTGATGGGCATTTGGGTTGGTTCCAAGTCTTTGCTATTGTGAACAGTGCCACAATAAATATACGTGTGCATGTGTCTTAATAGTAGAATGATTTATATTCCTTTGAGTATATACCCAGTAAGGGGATTGCTGGGTCAAATGGTGTTTCTAGTTCTAGATCCTTGAGGAATCGCCACACTGTCTTTCACAATGGTTGAACTAATTTACACTCCCACCAACAGTGTAAAAACATTCCTGTTTTTCCACATCCTCTCCAGCATCTGTTGTTTCCTGACTTTTTAAGGATCACCATTCTAACTGGCGAGAGATGGTATCTCATTGTGCTTTTGATTTGCATGTCCAGTGATGATGAGCTTTTTTTCATATGTTTGTTGGCTGCATAAATGTCTTCTTTTGAGAAGTGTCTGTTCATATCCTTCTCCCACTTTTTGACGGAGTTGTTTGTTTTTTTCTTGTAAATTTGTTTAAGTTCTCTGTAGAGTCTGGATATTAGCCCTTTATCAGATGGATAGGTTGCAAAAATTTTCTCCCATTCTGTAGGTTGCGTGTTCACTCTCATGATAGTTTCTTTTGCTGTGCAGAAGCTCTTTAGTTTAATTAGATCCCATTTGTCTATTTTGGCTTTTGTTGCCATTGCTTTTGGTGTTTTAGTCATGAAGTCTTTGCCCATGCCTATGTCCTGAATGGTATTACCTAGGTTTTCCTCTAGGGTTTTTATGGTTTTAGGTCTTACATTTAAGTCTTTAATCCATCTTGAGTTAATTTTTGTATAAGGTTTAAGAAAGGGATCCAGTTTCAACTTTCTGCATATGGCTAGCCAGTTTTCCCAATACCATTTTAAATAGGGAATCCTTTCCCCCATTGCTTGTTTTTGTCAAGTTTGTCAAAGATCAGATGGTTGTAGATATATGGCATTATTTCTGAGCCCTCCGTTCTGTTCTATTGGTCTGTATATCTGTTTTGGTACCAGTACCATGCTGTTTTTCTTATGGTAGCCTTGTAGTATAGTTTGAAGTCAGGTAGCGTGATGCCTCCAGCTTTGTTCTTTTGGCTTAGGATTGTCTTGGCTATGCAGGCTCTTTTTTGGTTCCCTATGAAATTTAAAGAAGCTTTTTCCAATTCTATGAAAAAAGTCAGTGGCAGCTTGATGGGGATAACATTGAATCTATAAATTGCTTTGGGCAGTATGGCCATTTTCACGATATTGATTTTTCTATCCATGAGCATGGAATGTTTTTCCATTTGTTTGTGTCCTCTCTTACTTCCTTGAGCAGTGGTTTGTAGTTCTCCTTGAAGAGTTCCTTTACATCCCTTGTAAGTTGTATTCCTAGGTATTTTATTCTCTTTGTAGCAGTTGTGAATGGGAGTTCACTCATGATTTGGCTCTCTGTTTGTCTATTACTGGTGTATAGGATTTTTGCACATTGGTTTTATGTCCTGAGACTTTGCTGAAGTTGCTTATCAGCTTAAGGAGATTTTGGGCTGAGACGATGGGATTTTCTAAATATACAGTCATGTCATCTGCAAACAGAGGCAATTTGACTTCCTCTTTTCCTAATTGAATACAATTTATTTCTTTCTCTTACCTGATTGCCCTGGCCAGAACTTCCAATGCTATGCTGAATAGGAGTGGTGAGAGTGGACATCCTTGTGTGGTGCTGGTTTTCGAAGGGAGTGCTGCCAGTTTTTGCCCATTCAGTATGTTATTGGCTGTGGGTTTGTCATAAATAGCTCTTATTATTTTGAGATACGGTCCATCAATACCTAGTTTATTGAGAGTTTTTAGCATGAAGGGCTGCTGAATTTTGTTGAAGGCCTTTTCTGCATCTATTGAGATAATCATGTGGTTTTTGTGGTTGGTTCTGTTTTGGTGATGGATTACGTTTATTGATTTGCATATGTTGAACTAGCCTTGCATCCCGGGGATGAAGCTGACTTGATCGCGGTGGATAAAATGACAACATTTGTATATCAGTGCTTATCTTCTATTTGAGGGATGGCCAAGTTATTTTCTGTGCTCCTTTATATATCTGTCCTGCTACCATCATCTGATTAGGAGCAACTCAAGTTGTCTGTGGATTCTTGATAGTATCTCATCAGTAGCTGAAAAAAAGAAAAACATACTAAAAGCCTTTAATCTGATACAAAAAGAACTAGTAGTTGGTTGTTTAATTTAAAAGTTGGTCAAAGTAGGAAATAATTTAAAAAGATATGTATTTTAAACATTTCAATTTAACCTAAATATACATAAATTTCCTAGTCTTTTGTTGGAAGTCCTTTTCAAGAAAGCCAGTGTAAACCAGACTTACAATATATTGTTTCTGTTTTCCAATTTTAGCGTCTTTAATGGTGAAACAAGAACTTGAAGCAATATGAATGTAGGAATCTAGATTTTTGTTATTTTTTTCAACTTTTGCAAATCTTGTCACCCACATTAAATCAACAGGAATTTAATTTAGTAACTGACATTTATTAAGACTTTCTAAAACATTCGTTTAGTTTTCTGATAAGCAATAATGCTTTCCCTTTTTATACTCATGTTCCTGTTTAAATATTTGTTTAAATTAGTTAATCTTAATATCAAATCTGGCCAGCAAAACAGGTGTGGGAATCACTCAAAATGGTGGGAGCCCAAGGCTTTGGTCATCCTGAAGAGTACCACCAGTCGGCGTGGAAAGTGCTGGGCACCCAGCTGGCTGGCTTACAGTGGGAATAACAGCACTAGATCATTCGGTGCATTGATTATAGGAGGTATGGTTAAGAGAGTTTTTTACTGTACAGTGAAGGAAGAACTAGAAAACCAAAGAAATGAGAAGAAAAATATGAGCAAAGCAAAAATAATAATAATGTTTAGACCGAGACAAAAATATAGATGTGTGATTTGCCGAATAAAGGAAAAAGATGGGCATGATGAAAAGACAGAGATAAAAACACACATTCATGAAAGAAAAAGTGATTCCAAGCTGAACACTTAAGGTAAAAATGTTAACATTGATTAAACTGGGATTGAATATAGTTGAAATTTATTTCAGTGAATCACCCTGATATGTTGATTGAGCAGGAGCATAGGGTGTTCTGGGCCCCCTTGCAGTCATTGTTCAGGGATGGCTAAGTAACTAGTGGAAAATCCATTTCAGATCACATACCCCCTGTTTTATAAGGTGGGCACTGGACATACTTTACTGTGATTGATGGCTGTTCAGGTAAATGATTTCTTGTTTGATCATTGGAGATTTCAAACCTGTTCCCCCATGATATTGACAGGTGAGGAAGACTTGTGAGAAAGGAGCCCATCCAAGACATGTTCCTTGTTGCTCATCATTTCCAGATGAGCTGTTAAGACTCCTTCTGATTCTCTTCTTTACTTTATCCCAAGCCTCATTGGGTCCCTTGTCTTTACCTAGACATAATTGGCTCTATAAAGTATTTGGGTGAGGCTTTAGGCAGAGATTGAGTGTAGCCTGGTCTGGTTGTAAAGTTCCCTGACACCTTGACCGTGGGTCTGAGAGAACAGAAATACAGCTCCATCGTTGGCCCGCTCTTATGCTGGGACATGCATTTCCTGTTGAAACGGCCATGGGGTAGCACATGCTGAGGACTGCAGTGAGGAAATATGCTACCCTTTGTTGCAGGACAGCCCCGTATAATGTGTTAAACACATACTTCTCATTTATCTGGAAATTTCTTTGGAAGTAAATGTCTCTGAATTGGAAGCCAGATACTCTAAGAAGCTATGGGGTTTTTTGTGGATCCCAATGGTATCATTTAGAAAATTATTGCTTTAGGGTCCAGGCATGGTGGCTCACGCCTGTAATCCTAGCACTTTGGGAGGCCAAGGAGGGCAGATCACTTGAGGTCAGGAGTTCGAGACCAGCCTGGCCAACATGGTGAAACTCTGTCTCTACCAAAAAACAAGCAAAAAATTAGCTGGGCATGGTGGCGTGCACCTGTAATCCCATCTACCCAGGAGGCTGAGGCACAAGAATCATATGAAACCAGGAGTCAGAGGTTGCAGTGAGCTGAGATCATGCCACTGCACTCTAGCCTGGGCGACAGAGCAAGACTCCATCTCAAAAAAAAAAAAGAAAAAGGAAAAAAAAGAAAATTATTGCTTTAGTTGGTTGAGAAAAAGTGTCTAATATCTACTATCTAACGCTAGAAAGGATCTAGCTTGTTATATGTGTGTAACTTTGTTAATTCTTTCCTGTTCTGACATATATCGAATTTTGATGTGTTTGTGGAAAAACTGAAAATGTCAGCTAGCTATTAGGAAATAGGTCACTTTGGGGACTGCTCATTTCCTTCCTTCAGCAGTGAAGATGAATCTGATGCCTGGATATGACCCTTGACCTTTAACTGAAATAATTTGAAAAAAAATCAATCTAGCCAAAGGAGTTTAGCCTGGGATGGGATGTTTGTAGCTGCCAGCTTGTGTGAGCTACATTCCACCTGCTGTGAGAACTTTTAAAAAGTTGATGATTTATATGGTTTACTGTATCCCCAAAACATCCTTACTTTCTCTCCTCCTGTCAACCCCAATACTTCTGCTCCTTTTCAGGGCAGTCTACTTTGTTCGGCATAAAGAATCCCGGCAGAGGTTTGCCATGAAGAAGATTAATAAACAGAACCTCATCCTTCGAAACCAGATCCAGCAGGCCTTTGTGGAGCGGGATATCCTGACTTTTGCAGAAAACCCCTTTGTTGTCAGCATGTATTGCTCCTTTGAAACAAGGCGCCACTTGTGCATGGTCATGGAATATGTGGAAGGTATCTGACACGGAAAACATGACACCTGTACCCAGGAATCCCTTGCTCATTTGTGTTGTTGAAGCTGTCTGTATTTGTGCCACATAATGGCTGTATCCACCTAGGAACTGAAGCCAGGCAATGAAATGGCTGTATTCCCAGTCATTATCTTCTGATAATTGCTTGTAAAGTGCCTGCTCTACTATAACAAAGAGAAAATTAGCGCTATCTGGAAAAAGGTTATCTTTTTTAATAGTTTTTAATCCTAACTACCTCCTCTCAATTGGTCATTAAAGTTGGAATATAGGTGATGGGATTTTTTTCTGCTTATTTTTATTACATATCATAAAAGTACTCATCACAATTAGTCTTCTTACAGAAAGAAATATATATTCTTTTCAGTCTATAGTATGAAATAAAATGGAAAAGGAGATACATTCAAGAAAATGCAGCCAGTCTTCCCGATTTTTAGCTTTTTTTTCTTTCTTTAAGAGGTTTATGGACTACCTTTTCAATGCTCCAAGTAATCTTATTTCCATCAATTTTATATTAAGTTTCTGAGTTCGAGTGACCATGACTTGTTGACATAAAGTTAATAAGATGAATAGATCAGTAACAATTTCAAAGCATCTAATTTAAGCTGTTGTCATTGAACAGAATCCCAAAACTATAAAACTCAAAGAAACATTAGATATCCTTTTAGTTTAACCTTTGCATTTCATAGATGAGCGAAATAAAGTCCAAGAAAGGAAGACTTACTAGATAGAGTGGTAGATAAAAGACAAAAACGTAGCTTGCCTTATTTTCACCCAGTGTCCTTTCTACCACACCAATATTTTGCTTTTTTAACCTTTGTTGTGGTTATCTTAACAAAAACAATTACTAACATTTATCACACATTTAATATGTGATATGTGTTGGGCAGTATCCTAAGTTCTTTATATAGATTATCTCATTTAATTCTCGTAAGAATTCTAACAAAGATGGTATTATTACCATCCTCGTATTACAGGTGAAGGAACCAAGAGTCGTTTGCCTAGGATGTCTCAGCTGGTAAGAGGCAGAGCTAGGATTTGGACTCAGGTAGCCTGATTCTAGAATCCATGTTTTATGCTGGTGTATTTTAAATTGTTACCATGATCCTAAAATTATGCTAGCCGTTCTTTAAAGTACAGTTTCACTTCAGAGCCAAACCTCCTCTCTTATGAATACTACTTCTTAAATAAAAATCTGTATTTTCTCCATACTGTTTCTTAGTTAGAAACATGATAGGTTAACACATAGACTCCAGTTGTGACTATGATATGCTGTGTCTATGGGTAGAGATGATTTCACCTTGAAATTCTGCAGTCTAAACTGATTTTCTACATTAAGCCTTCATCCTATAGCTACTAACTCTTTTTCCTGTGTTACAGGGGGAGACTGTGCTACTTTAATGAAAAACATGGGTCCTCTCCCTGTTGATATGGCCAGAATGTACTTTGCTGAGACGGTCTTGGCCTTGGAATATTTACATAATTATGGAATTGTACACAGGGATTTGAAACCAGACAAGTATGTACACAAATGAAATATATGTCTTCTTTTGCCCAATACAAAGTTCTCGTATGTTTATAAAGATGTTTTCTTTTAGTCAATGTACATTTTTAAATTATTCCATAATGTCCAAAATGAGTTGTTTTAACAGTATATATGGTAATTTGTATGTAAAACTTTAAAAGATATGCTTATTGGAAGTTCAGGAAACTCATGGAAAAAAGGATACAATGCATATGTATATATATATTTTATTATACTTTAAGTTCTGGGATACATGTGCAGAACGTGCAGGTTTGTTACATAGGTATACACATGCCATGGTGGTGTATGCTGCACCCATCAATCCGTCATCTACATTAGGTATTTATCCTAATGTTATCCCTTCCCTAGTTCCCCACCCCCAATGATGCTTATATTAATAACTTATCAGCAACAAGAGAAAAAGATAATGATAAAGCCAGAGTTAATTTTTTTAAGTTTTTTTTTCAAATGGTGCAAATGTGACAATAGCTTCATAGAATGCTGCTAGTTGTTTTCTGGGTAGTTTCTTTATTTGGTGTCATACTTAGATTACCTTTTCCTACTCCAAGATGAAGTGCTTGATGTTACATTCTATGTTACTCACAGTTTAATTTTTTAGTAATTTTTAATTTATGTGGAATTGATTTTGGTGTCTGATTTGAGATACAGATAGACTTTTTTCCCCAGATGACTAGCTATTCATCTTGACATCATTTATTAAATATTTCATGCTTTCTCCACTAATTTGAGAAGCCTCTAAAAGCATTACATATTAATATATAAAGACTTTAAGTATGCTGAAAAGTTTATGATAAAATTGACTCATGCTCATTCTACAAAATTTGAAAAATGCAGGGGAAAAAAGAGAGAAAAAAATTCATCTGCAGTATTACCAAAGACAACTATTAAAATTTTGGGATATTTCCATCCAGTAGCTTTTTAAAAAATACCTCTATTCTTTTAATTTTTAAATTACTGTAATACCGTATATACTATTTAAACTTTTTATTTTCCCACTTAAAATGAAAAGTTTTAAATATATTTAATTGCAGATTCTTTGCATGGGTAAGAAATATAGGTTTTGTGCTTAATGAGTAGAAATTTAAATTAGAGATGGGAGTTGAAATCTGAAACAATACAATATTTTTCTGTTTTTCTTTATTTTATGCCTCATTTGAATCACAAATGGGTTGCTTAGTTCCTGGTGTATGCCCTTTTTTTTTTATTTTCTTATTGTGAAAATGGAAAGGGATCAGAGTTTCATACTTGAATTTTTCTAAGAGTTTCAAAGTGTTATAAATGATATTGTATGTGGCTGCTCCAACAAAGATTAGCTACACCTTGTCTCTAGCCCTCCCTTGTGAATTACACTCAGCTGCTAGATGGAAGTATTTGACATCTTTATGTGACTCCATCTCTTTCCAGGCTGGGTTTTGTAATAAGCTTGATGCCCATATATTAAATAGTCTTAGAAACTGAGGGGGGAAGGGAGGAAATGAAAATAGATAACCAGCTTATAAAGTGATTATTGTGTTACATGTCCGTCTGCCTCATAGCTTGTTGGTTACCTCCATGGGGCACATAAAGCTGACAGATTTTGGATTATCTAAGGTGGGACTAATGAGCATGACTACCAACCTTTACGAGGGTCATATTGAGAAGGATGCTAGAGAGTTCCTGGATAAACAGGTAAGCTTGGGTGCCATTTAGTTTATTGAGAAATACAAAGTATGGTATTGCCAGTGAAGTTCAGAATCAACTTGTGTGGGCCATCTTCACATTAGTGCTGGTGGTTTAGATGTCTGTATAAACCTTACATTTAATAAAGTGCAAATTGCTCCCATTTTTCTCCCTGGGCCTCTTTGAATTGTCTGCTCCCTCTACATTCCTCCCCCAACATTATGGTCTATTAGCAAGACGAATGATCTAATTGCACACAAGTGAGAGTGTGAGAGAGACAAATGGAATACTGTTTTTGTAAGGAATTCAGGAGTCTCAGTAGAGTACTTGTGAAACTCATGATGCATTGTACCATCACGGGTGCTAAATCCAAGCCACGGCCCATTTCCCTTTAAGCATGCCTCATTACCATGTCCCCACAATCTGTTCATTGTAAAGTTACTTAAGGTAAACACATCTCAACTGTCATTGCTTTTATGAAATGACCTGTGTGTGAATATATTTTGGTCATATAGATACTAAAACTCTCTCTGACAATGACAAACTTAAAAATGCATTATTATTTTAAATTTAAGGATTATAAGTGGTTTTAATATTGTATAATAGGTAAAACTACCAAACAGGGTCAGATTCTCAATTTGAAAGTAAACATTACATATAATTTAACATTAGAGCAGAACTGTAAACTTCCCGTCTTTGGTAATAATTCTTTTCGTTGGTATTTTAAATATCTTTTTATAATTGGTGCTCTTAAGTTCTTTGTCCATGTGGTTCCATGTGGTTGAGCAGGTGCATTCTGGGCAAAATAATTGGTGACTAGCCATCTTGCTCATTTTAATTCATGTCTAATATTCCAATTATTCTAATATTGCAATTATCTTTTAGGTCTGTGGCACACCTGAATACATTGCACCAGAAGTGATTCTGAGGCAGGGTTATGGAAAGCCGGTGGACTGGTGGGCCATGGGGATTATCCTCTATGAATTTCTGGTTGGATGCGTGCCATTCTTTGGGGATACTCCAGAGGAGCTATTTGGACAAGTCATCAGTGGTAAATATCATCAGGAGTTATCTTTAGGTCACTGTTGGGAAGCAGCTATTTAATGTAAATCTGTTGAGTGTCACAGTTTTTACTACTAAAATGTTAACCTTTATCAAACAGTTGAGCCAACAAAAGAACTCACTCATCAAAGCATATAACTGACATTCTTAATCTCAAGAGAGCAATTTTTGTTGAAAATTGATCTGAAGAAATGTTGTTAACATAGAATTTGGAAATGTACTAGCAACAAAACCATTTTTTATAGTGTGCTTTTTCTGCAAAGGAAATTGGTGTGGGATTTACAGGCAATTTAATTGCCGTCCAGTCTTCCTTTCCATGATAGGAAAGTTACACCAGGGAAGAAAAGGTTAATGTGGGTAACATTTACATAAATAGGGAAAATGGCTAATGGCATAATGAAGAAGTTAACAAAAATGTAATAAACCCTAAAACAAATGTCTACCAAATAATAAATAATGAGAATGGGAAAGAAGCAAGTTGAATCCACAGATTGTTAATGATTTCATTGGTAGTTGTTATGGCGTAATGTTATTTCTGTAACAGCTGTTCATCTTTCATTTAAAATTCAATAACTTTTAGATCTTAACCTGCAAGCTGACCCTAACTATTGTATGTGGCCTGTGGCAAAACTAAATGATAATTAAATAGGGTGTATCACTACCCTACCTGCCGATTTTATAAATTTCCCTGGAACATACATCAGAAAGGCCTCTCATCTTGAAAGTTTGTCAGGCATCACTGACATCTTTATCAGCCACGTACGGTCTATTTGGACTGTGTTTACAAGGTCCAGCAGTGGAAGTAGGGGAAAAATTCATTTTGCATATGAGGGGCCCCTTTATCACGGCATTCTTTTCTATCTTTGATTTTGCAAGCCTTGCATATTTGTAAACTTTAACAAAGCAGATTTGTGAGTTGCCTGCAGTGTATGACCCCTTTATACAATATCTGAGCTGTTTATGGATTTATAACTAGGCTGTTTTCTGATATACTAAGGCCTGAATGGCAAAGGGAATCAACTGTTTAATTAACACAAGCAGCAAATGCTGGCTTTGTTCTTGATGCCTTACGGCTCAGATGCATATTCATGTTTTATTTTCCAAATCAGATTTAAACTGCAGCAGAGGAAGCTAGAGGCAGGCACACACAGAAATAACTCATGTTTTTATTGCATTTCCGTACACACAAGCACGCACACCTATCTTCAGGCAAACTCCTTCAGAATGAGAAAGTATTCTTAATATTTATGACAGATTTTAAATACTTCCATTACTATGATTACTTTGGGTTTTTTTTTCTTCTTCAGTCTTAGCACTTTGACCTGTTTGTTTGTTTGTTTGTTTGTTTGTTTCTGGAAATAGTTATTTTTACAAAATTACTTCTTGCTTCTTAGAGCTGAAGAACTCTATGGCTGTGGCCAAATTCTCAGTTGAGGAAATTAAGAGAGAAAAATCTGAACCTGAGATAATCCCTGGATGGATATATTAGCCACCTGAAATGGAAGTGTTTAGAGTTTCTATTATTTTAAGTCTTTTAATAACTAGAGAGGCAACTTTTTGGAAGCCAATTCTTTGAAAGAAAAATACATTTAAAAAGCAAATTAAAGATCTGCTTATTGAAATATTCTCTTCCTACCTTGTAAAAAATCTATGCTACTTATGTCTTGTAAAATAATGCTTCTCAAACATGACTGTGTTTAGGAATCGACTGAAGATCTTGTTGAAAGGCAGACTCTGATTTAGTAGGTCCGGAGTGGGCCTGAAATTCTGCCTTTCTGACAAATTCCCAGGTGATGTCCATGTTGCTGGGACCTGGACCCTCTTGTGAACAATATGGTTATAAACAACTTTTCTTCCTTCTAGATGAGATCAACTGGCCTGAGAAGGATGAGGCACCCCCACCTGATGCCCAGGATCTGATTACCTTACTCCTCAGGCAGAATCCCCTGGAGAGGCTGGGAACAGGTTAGAGCCCATGTGTTTTAATTTTGCTAATATGCAAGAAATAATGTCTACATGGAGCACTCTGAAGCTTTTGTTGTTGTTTTGCTTTTTGCATAGGCAACATCTGTTAGTTGATGTAGAACATGACTGCAACACATTATAGCAATAATATTTTGGATTTTGTTTTCTGATTCAAAACAGTGTGTACGCTAAGAGGGTTGGTTGTTTGTCTTTGTTTTTTGTTGTTTTTGTGTTTGGCAAAGCAGAAATTATGCTTAATTTGTTTCAATAAATAAAGCTTCTCTGGAAGAAAACCTCAAAGGCACATGTAACTCTTCTATCCCGAAAAGCATGCATCTTAAATAACTTGAAACAGAGGATTCGATATTTGGAACTCTTTTTGTTTTTGTCTTTAAATATACATCCCCATACGGATTTGACCCAGCACGTTACTATACACAAGCTTTGAAATGGGTTATCAGTACTTGGACTAATTACTAGAAATGAGTGTCTGGGGTTGAACCATGCTGTCCTGTCACAGTGATCAGCACCGTGACCCAAGAAAGAGAATTAAAAACCACTGTCTTTCAGGATTAACGAGATAGTAGATTTGTTTCTTGCTGATTATTTTTTCTGACTGTTCTGCCAGTATTTTATTCCCTTTTCTTCTCTGTATTCTGAATAGACAGACTTAGCAATCCCAGTATAGAGTCCCAGTCTGCCCAAGTATGTGAATTTATGTAGATGAGACTAAATATTAAATATAAATGCATATAGTCTAGCCAGCAGCCATAATTTTCATCAGTGAAAAGTGCTGGCTTGATGGGTTGTTTACTCTGGGCTGTTTCATTCTACCCCCATTTTAATAGAAATAACAGAAAATACTGAAGAAATCATTTTCTCCCCCATTTTTTTCCAAGACAAAAATTTGAAACAGTTCCAAATATTTATTGTATAGTATTCTCCACATTCACCCACCGATTCTCCTGTTGGAGGACCTGTTCTTACCTAAGTATAGACGAATGCTGTGCTACTAGAGTTTATGATAATGCATTACAGCAAGGGTCAGCAAGCTATGGCCAGATTTGTCCCACAGCCTGGTATGGTAAATAAAGCGTTACTGAAACACCTCCATGTCCACTCATTTAGGTATTGTATGGCTGCTTTCATGCTACAAGGGCAGAGTTAGGTAGTCATGACAGACCGCATGCCCTGCAAAGACTGAAATGTTTACTGTTTTGCCCTTTACACAAAAGCTTTCCAGACCCTGCATTAGAGAATCCAAGAAGGCTTAATATTAGGGCTTGACTAGACAACTTCTTTTAGTTGAGCCTCTCACTAGAGCACCTTGTGTCTTTTTTACCTTTTTCAGTGGTTGAGTGGACTTTTAACCTGAAAAGCCAATATAAATTGAGGTTGAGAGCATAAACTCCACAGTCAGCTAGGCTGAGTTTAAATCTCGGCTGTATGACCCTGGACAGGTTACTTCTTTTTGCATTGCTCATCTCCTCATTTGTGAAAAGGAGCTTTCCGAAGTGCTACCTCATAGGATTATTATAAGGATAAAAACAAATCATTCTAGGGAAGAGGAGGCATTCTGCTGGATGGCTTTTTAAAACATTTCCTCCAGAGTCATCTGCCTCATTAACAAGTTTTATCTTAGAATTATTTTCTAAGTTCATAAACTGACATGATTTTTTATTCTGTTATGAATGCGTACTGCCCTAGTCCTTCAATAAGCCCATAATATGTGTTTTTTGTTTGGTTTTTGGTTGGTGGGTGGGTGGGGTGGTTTGTTTGTTTGTTTAGAGATGGCATCTCACTCTGTCACCCAGGCTGGAGTGCAGTGGTGCGATCTTGGTCCATTGCAACCTCCGCCTCCCAGGTTCAAGCGATTCTCATGCCTCAGCCTCCCGAGTAGCTGGGGCCACAAGAGCATGCCACCACGCCTGGCTACTTTTTGTATTTTTAGTAGAGATGGGATTTTGCCATGTTGGCCAGGCTGGTCTTGAACTCCTGGCCTCAAGTGATCCACCCACCTCGGCCTCCCAAAGTGCTGGGATTACAGACATGAGCCATTGTGCCTGGCCCCATCATATATGTTTTAATCCCTGTTACCTGAGGTCAGGTGTGGAATTTTCCACTTGTGGTGTCATATCAGTGCTCAAAAAATTTCAGATTTTGGAGCATTTCGGATTTTAAATGTTCAGACTAAGGATGTTCAGCCTGTATTCTGTCCTGTATTTACTCCTCCAGGAAAACTTGGATCCTTGGTTGGGCTTGATTTAACTAGACAAGGATGTGATAATGATCAGCATCTCTGTGTTTATAAATCATAGGCTGCAAGTTACTTCTCTGCACATTTTCTTGTTGATTGCTACTTTCAGTCTTTTTAGGGTTTGACAGTTTGAAGAACAAATCCCCTAACAGAAATCCAGAAGAGACATTTAAAAGACCCTACCCAAGCTCTTAGAATTGTCAAGTGCTTGCCAAACAGGCCAGTCCAACATGACAGGTCCCAGTAGGGCCCAGAGACTGAGGCTGAGAATCCCGCAGGCCTGCCGTGCTGCTTCCAATGACAGCGTTTTGTATTTAATGCATATTTAGTGGGCAAAATAATGCACCGTGAAAATGTGCGAATGCACATTTGCCCAAGAGATTAGAGAGGCTGAGAAAAAGGGTGTGAAGAACATAATGGATGTTTAAGAAACTTCCATGAAAGGAGAGAAAAGGGAAAGTGTTAGTGTCAAAGCATAACTTGCAATTTGGGAGCTTGTGCTACTGGAACTACACTTTTGAACTTGTAGAATATTGAGTGGCAGCCTGACTCCCTGGACTTCAGAGCTGCTCAGATGTCACTGCTACCCATATCTTGAATAGTTTCTTCATTGTCCTGAGTCTCAGTTTCCTAGTCTATGGAAATGGGCATTTTATATACTTCACAGGATTATTGTGAGGAGTAAATGCAAAAATGTTCATTAAGGTATCTAGTTCATTTACTAAGTATCTAACAGGAGCTCAAGGTATAATGTTTCTTTTACCTTCATAATGAATTCTTACAATGAGAACTATCATTTGCATGAGTGATTTATTTTTAGCTCACGATGCTATCACCCGTATTTTACCAAAAGTTTAGTCCAGAGGTCATTTTCCCCCAATTTGTCCCTTTCTTTTCTTCCTTATCTCTCCATAAGTGCCTGAGAAACTGGACCCACTGATACCAGCTTCTCGTAAGTGAGGCACAAAGGCCAAAGGGTGAGAAATGTGAGCTAAATCAGCTATGGGCTGTAAATCCTTGAGGAGGACCCATTTGTCATTGTCTGCAGAGATGAAATGAAGGCTCTCAGCAGCTTGGGTCCCAGAGGATAGCAGGCAGGGGGTAAAACCCCTGACACTGGCTGCAGTCTGGTTGAGCTCTTGGCCCTAGAGAAACTGCTTTTCTGATAAAATCGAGCAACCCAAAATGTGAGGGCTGGGCCATTGATGTGGCCCCATGAGCAGCAGCTGAAGTGATAGTCATTGTAGTCTAGTGGAACCATCACTGCACTAGGAGTCCAGAGATGTGTGTTGTGGGCCACTAACTAGGGCTTTCCCTACCCAACACCCGCACCGTGCTGACGACCTCCATGTTGGATAGGGAAACAGTTAAGCCCTCTTAGCTTTCGTATTCTGTTTCTCCAAGTAAAAGAGCACTAGAAGAAAATAAGATGGGCAGTTGTGCATACGGACATTGATTAGGGATAGGTGAGAGCAAGGATGCATGGTGGGCTGGAGTGAGGCTCTCCAGAGGTGCTATAGAACAGCCACGTGAGTTGGCTCTTAGGCTCAGGTCCCCAGTATTGGCAGTTCTGAATCTGTTTGCAAAGCGATGCAAGAGAGGTGGTGGAGTAGGAACAAATTAAAGCATGCCTCTGCCTTATATGTGGCACTGAGGTTGGGCTTGGGTGTTTTTAGGCAGGCCTAGGTTCAGCCTTGAATCTTTACCCTCTGGGGGATCGTGGTCCACGGTGCTTTATTGCTTATGCTTCATTTCCACATCCACAAAAGGTGTTGTAATGCCCACTTCATGTGGTTATATTTGATGATTTAATTAAAGGAAACAAGACATCTGTCCTGTAGTATCTAGTGCAATACTTGTCACAAGTTGGCCCTCAGTCATAGCTGCTCATGCTTACAGTCAGACTTCAGTATTTTGCTAGAAATGTGGAAACCACTTGGATAGAATATGGGGTAAAGATTCTAATTAAGTGTTTTATAAAGAAGAATCCATTTCCCCCCTTTTTGGGTAGTTTCCTCACTTTGCTGTTTTCACTCCATTCCATCATTTTCAGAACACCAATTTGCCCTGGCTGGGTTTAGAGCTAGGGCTGACACTATGTCTTGTGCTAGAGGGGTCCAATGAGGACAGAGTCCAATCTTTGATCCACAGACAGCAACCCCCAACCAAGATTCACAGCCCATTTTGCATTCAGCTTGGCATTTCTCATCCTATTCTTTTTGGACTCCACAGAGGACAGGATGAGAGGCCTGGGTGACAACTACAAGAAAGAGGCATTTACTTGCACCTAGCAGAGATCTTTTGGCAGGGAGGCTGATTAGTCCCTGTAGTAGCTTCTCAGAAATCTCTCTTCTTAGAGTTTTTTCAGGATTGATTCTTTGTTATCTCTCTCTTCAACAATATGTGTGCTGGTGGCAGGGCGGGGATCTGATTCTTACGCTATGATATTATAACATGTACCTTTTTCTCTTTATATGGGGTATGGTGTTCATATTTTTGATGACCTGTCCTTTAAAATCGCTCTTTAAAATTATAAACTGAATTGAAAACATTTCACTGAATTATGCTTTCATGCTGACTTGGAAAAAGAAGCCTGAAACTTGGAAATGGTGATGGATATTTTGGAGACATTAAAAGTCTATAAAACAGATTTGTCAGTTTCCTACTTACAAATCTGTAATCCACAGAATCTAATTCTTATCTATGTTAATGAGCAATCCACTAAAATTGAATGGTAACCCCTATAAATAATATTTAGGAAAAATTTATCAATATTCACTTTACCTCCAGAGGAAATGTTGCTGTGAACACATTTTGCACCTTGTTAGAATTTCTCTGGGTTTTTAATGAGTGAGTCTGCTGTGGGCCAATATTTATCTACATCTCCAGGTTCAGCATACTGTGATTTTAAGTGGCCACATCATTAACCTTTGAAAAATGGAGGAAGTCATGGAAAAAAACTAACAAAGAAAAACAGTGCCATAGCAACTGCTGTTAGCAACATCAAATCTCCTACTGATAAATTATCAGAAAAACTTGTGGGGCTTTGGTTGTAGAATGAAAAAGTATGATTTTCATGTCTGTATTTCTTTGCTGATATGTTCTCAAAATTGTTGTTAAAAACTGATGTTTGCCTTTGCTTAGTGGGGATAGTTTAACACTTTCCTCTCTGTCTCTACCTGCCCCCTTCCAGGTGGTGCATATGAAGTCAAACAGCATCGATTCTTCCGTTCTTTAGACTGGAACAGTTTGCTGAGACAGAAGGCAGAATTTATTCCCCAACTGGAATCTGAGGATGACACAAGTTATTTTGATAGTATGTGCTTTATCTGACATAAAACATTGTTTGGCCTTTACTCGATAAATAATTATCTTTGCTTTTGAACCTTTTCATATCTCTGAGTTCTTAAACATAATGTTGATCCAGAAAATCATAATTAAAATATCTAAATGTTGAAAATCTGAGTAATTGGACCTGTTCCCAAACATTTCACTGCAGCTCGGTCTGAGAAGTATCATCATATGGAAACGGAGGAAGAAGATGACACAAATGATGAAGACTTTAATGTGGAAATAAGGCAGTTTTCTTCATGTTCACACAGGTTTTCAAAAGTAAGTGAAATGTGGCATAAACATACAGAGTCTCTCTGGGAGGATCTCCCGCTGGCCAGATAGTATCCCCGAACAGCTGGACACTTACCGTTTTCCAGGGTTTGAGGTCTCCTATGCTTAAACTTCCTTTTGTTGAAGAAAAGTGACCTCCTCAACTTATAGTCTGTCCCTATCCCCTAGGCCTTTAGACTGCCATTTTACCTTCTCTCTTTCCTGTGAGACAACAGAGATTCAGATAGCTGAGACCTTGGGCTTACCTGAGCTCTGATCCCCTTCAGGAACCCCGGCACCAATATATTTCTCTCTCCACAAATTAAGATATTGTTTTCTTAGAGGCATAGCCTTGCACCCACAGTCTTGTTTTTGGAGTGTGTGACTGCTACTTATATGATGACCTTGCCTTGAACGTCTCTCACCTGGCTCAATGCCAGGCTGCAGAGGTATCACTCATTGCTTTCAACTCAGGATGAAGAGCGCGAGCTTCACTGTGTACAGAGTCATCTCCGAGGGATTACACAGAGTACAACAAAAGGAGAAGGCTCAGTCCTTGACATAAGCAAAGATACCTGCGGACAGTTGACTGTAGGATTGTAAAGTCTCATAACTGCCAGGCATAGTGGCTCACGCCTCTAATCTCAGCACTTAGAGAGGCAGAGGCAAGAAGATAGCGTAAGCCCAGCAGTTCAAGACCAGCCCGGGCAATATAGTGAGACCCCGTTCTCCACAAAAAGGAAAAAAAAAGCCAAAAAAAAAAAAAAGTCTTGTAACCAATAAACAGAAATTATAAGCCATATTGAAAAGGCAGTAGGAAGCCAAGCTAGAATCATTTAGATAATTGATGCTTGAGAAAGATGCCTTTTTACCAGTACAGTAAAAGTTAAAAAAAACAATTAATCAAAACAAAGAAAACTGATAGTACTGAGACAGAACAAGGCCCTAGGAAAAACGGAAATCAACCTGAGGGCACCCTACCTCCCTTTTGCTATTTTCAGTAGCTATATATTTTCTGTTGCCATGGCATTTTGCATGATTATTGTTTAGCTTTTCTATAACATTTAGTGATTTTAAAGTGCTCCGTAGCTTTTTCTAAATGATTACCTAGATGCACCTGCAAATTGGCCAGCACTACCCTCCTGTGTATGGGAATGGCATCGAGGTAAGGATTTCCCTGGAGAAGGTGGTAGCCAGTCTGTCCTAGAGCCAGGACAGAAGCTTTGCTAAGTGTGGACTCAGACCAGGACTGTTCTCTGGGCCATCAAAGACAACAATGCCAACCCCTAAACACTGCTTCCTTCTTTGCCTTGGTGGGTATTTCATTTTCCCACCATCTCCTTTTCTGTAGCCACTTTCCTGCTATTCCTAGTAGATTATAGGAGGCCTGAGGACCATTCCCATGAGAGCAGCAAGTGTCTGAGCAGGGCAGTAGGGAGCGCTTCCTGCCCTAGGCTCTTAGACCCCCATTTTACCTTCTCTCTTATGAGACAACAGAGATTCACAGATAGCTGAGACCTTGGGCTTACCTGAGCTCCGATCCCCTTCAGGAACCCCGGCACCAACATAGGAAACTGCCTGTCTATAGATGTGATTTGTAAGCGAAACAAATACCTCTGGCTCTTATAACGGAATATGTACTGCATCCTTGCCACACCACCACCCAGTCTTGAAACAGATAATTTATTCTTCTGTTTGCACTCAATTCCAATTCATTTTTCTTCTTCCCACCCCTGACTGGTGGCCATTAAATCTGTTTCTCTGTTATTTTCTTTTTCCAGTTGACTTCATGGTTAAAAAGTAATCAAGATGTGCATTGATCCCAAGGCCTAGAAACTCCACTGCATCTGTGGATTTTGTTTGCAGATACAAAGTCCGCAACAAGATATGATGAGAGGATGATGAATTCATAGCTCCCTATTCGTATATATGTACACACACACACACACACACACACACACACTCACTCACCCTGACCCTTCCTCTCTGGATTCTGGTTAACAACACTGGAAAGTACTTTCTGAATACACAATATTAGTTCAGAATTTAGTTATCCTCTCAGGTTTTTCTCCCAAGACTTGGAGTGTTTTTCTGACAAACTCTTTTTAGTAGATATTAATAAGCACCAATTATTTGCCTTCCAGGTTTTCAGCAGTATAGATCGAATCACTCAGAATTCAGCAGAAGAGAAGGAAGACTCTGTGGACAAAACCAAAAGCACCACCTTGCCATCCACAGAAACACTGAGCTGGAGTTCAGAATATTCTGAAATGTATGTGAAATGCCTCTTAAGTAATATAAGCAGTAGCTACTAGAGCAGAGTTTCTTAAACTTTAGTGAGCATCAGAATACCTGGGGGGCTTGTTAAAACACAGATCTCCCACTTCCAGAGTTTCTCATCCAGTAGATCTAGGGTAGGGCCTGAAAATGTGCATTTCTGACAAGTATCTAGATTATGCAGATGTTGCTGCTGTGGGTACCACACATTAAGAACCATTGCACTAGACATCTCTTGGTTAGGCTTATCCAAGTCCGATTTTCACCTGGTTTCTTCCAAAATTCACCTTTAACACAGTTTTCTAGTATGTATATATGACTTTGTTTTTGCTTTTAATTAAGGCAACAGCTATCAACATCCAACTCTTCAGATACTGAAAGCAACAGACATAAACTCAGTTCTGGCCTACTTCCCAAACTGGCTATTTCAACAGAGGGAGAGCAAGATGAAGCTGCCTCCTGCCCTGGAGACCCCCATGAGGAGCCAGGAAAGCCAGCCCTTCCTCCTGAAGAGTGTGCCCAGGAGGAGCCTGAGGTCACCACCCCAGCCAGCACCATCAGCAGCTCCACCCTGTCAGGTAAGCCCCGGGCCATAGTGCCTGCTGTCCTCCTCACCACACTAAGTGTCTCCTAGTGCTCAGTCCCAGGGCGGGCCTCGCCAGGCAGTAAAGATGGGTGTTTTATGCTGCTAGACTTTCTCCATGGCCTCAGTCCTTAGGCTTGGGACACGATCTTCTGAGAGCTAAGATCAGATGTCTCAGACCCCTCCTCAGTGCTCGGCCATGCAGCAAACTGTTATTGCTTCCGTTTGACCTTGGGGCCAAACTTCACTTTCTCAGCCAGGTTGCAGGGGATCTTTTGAGGGAAGTCAGAACGTGCTAAGGGAGCGTGTTCTCAGTTGTTGATGCAAAGGTATGTCTTATACAGTTGCATCTAACTCAAAAGTTCAGTGTAAGAGCCAGTATCAAGTAGTCAGCTTGTCAGAATTACCCTTGAAGATGTCTTGAATCACCCTAAGGCACAGTATAAAGCCAGGTTTCTCTCTAGCATTGAAATGGATGGTTGTTTCTTTGATGGAGTTGGCTTTTGTTAAAGGGTTATGTTGTACCAAGTAATTTCTCTCTCCACACTAGACTCAGTGCAGACTGAGTGCAACAAGACGCTTAATGCTGTTCTGGTCCATCTGGGACTAAGGAGGGGAAAGGGGAGTCAGAAATACCAGCATGATTTAAATTGATAGTTTACGTGCATATGAAATAACTCCACTGAAGACAAAAGTTACCTTCCCCATCTCTGGGTAATTGGAGTAAGAAACTCTGGGTAATTGGAGTAGGAAACTCCTGAGACATCTTTGCATTTTTGGGAGGCAGCCAAGGGGGCTTGGGCCTTTGAAAGCACTTTTTAAAAGTTACCTTTGTGTGATGTAACCTTCCTGACAAGAGGAACAGTGTCTTCACAGATTTTTAAGGAGCTTAATATATCATGGATACTTGCTGGTCATTAGTAATGGAGGTATCCTCACTAGATATTCAAACTTGCAATTAATTGCACCAAAACAAGCCTCTTAAGTTCATTTAAAATATCATTTGATTTATAAAAATTTTATGCACAGCATATTCTTCTATAGAGTATGTGCATTTATGCTTTTTCAAAAAATGAGAGATGTATATGGCTTAGAATTGCTGTAATGAATGTTTTCATTAAGCTACGTTCAATATGCTGTATTGATAACCATGAATGATTCCAAGATTTTTCGTCAACATTTTTTAAACTAACTGAATATTCATAGTGTAAGCTTTTTTTTAATCATTTCAGGAAAAATTTTATGGGCTGGATTTATTTCAACCTCACTAAGAAGTTTGGATCTGTGAAGCTTCACATGTGCTTATAGTTTATTGTGGGGGAAAATAATGTTGGATTTTCTTCTCTGTCTTCACTTCAGTTCTGTTTTCATGTTGCGTAATTCCACTTATCCTAATCATAAAGCCAAGAGAACAGCAATGAGGAAGTAGTGTAAAGGCAACCTATTAGACTAAGATGCCTGACCATCTCTAGTTCATGCTGATGCTCAGATCATATGTAGATATCTTGGTATTTTCTATTCCTGGTTACAAAGGCCTTTATCTGGTTCTTAGTTACCTTACTCTGAATAGAGTATATTCACCTCCATTTAAAATTTTTTTCTTAATATAGTGAACTGTTTACTATCTCTTAGTCTCCTCAGCCTGCTCACTACCGGAAAGGTAGGAGGGGAAGGGAGGGGAATCGTGTCTAAGCATTTGATTGATTACTTTCATAATTAAAAAAAAAATTCACCTAGGTCCTGCCATGCATTTTGATTAATAGATTCACACCATCTTTCTCTCTCTCTCTCTCTCCCCCATACGCACACTAAAAATAATCAAAGGCCTTGGGGGCTGTGCAGAATAGAGAGATGAGCTGATTTGCTTATAGCCAAGGGTAATTAGGAAGTCTGAAAACCGTGACTGTAGTAAAATTAAATTTGTTGATTTTTATATTGCTCCACCACCAAAAAGAAGGAACCCTTGACATTTAGAGAACATTAAAGTGACATTATCTACCATTGGCAGAAAAGAAGCTCACGCTTATATGCAGTGCTGCAAAATAAGATGGCAGAGGCAAGAGGGAGAGGTGACACAAGGTTGTATATCCACACTCTGGCATTTAGGGAAGTACAACTTTATACATGTTTCTCTTTTATCATGACTACATTGTGTTTGAAGCCATGAAAAATAAACGTCTTGAAGTCTTAGATGTAGGGGTCAAACGTATCCAACAATTACTCATTGTAAAGAGATTCAGCTTTTCATTTTATACTTGTCAGTGATCCCATCCAAACCAAATTACAAAGAAGGAAGTGTGTACCTTACTCAATGGGAAGCTTAAGTTTTGTGAGATGAGATTTATTACTTGTGAAGCAGTTTTTATCAAGACCTTCAGTAGCTGATTTCTGTAAGAGAATGGAATATTCTGTTAAATGAGAATGAGTTTAGCATATAGGAGTAAAAACATTGATATTTGCCTTAAGGTTATCTCCCTTTGTTGGTCAGATGGGTGTTATGTGGAAGTCCATGAATCTTTTCCTGTACATATGCACAGTAGATGACCACAAAGTGTGCTATGACTAAAGCTGCTGTCCAAGTTCCCAGCTACCCTTAGCCTAGACCACAGCTGTAAGATCTGAACTTTGTCCATGAGCGTGGGCCAAACTACAACCATACCACTGAGTGGTATATAGACAGCAGTGTAAGAGAAATGCTAGTTGAGTCTAAGTCTAACTCTTTCCCAGGCAAACAGTGTCATATGGTCAGCACTTCGAAATGTGCTGGCCGCTCTTTCAAAGGATCATTTATAGTGGTGTTAATACTCTGCATGGATTGTATCTCTAAAGGTGATGAGACAGTTGATGATTTTTAAGCACATGGGGCTTATAATGTAGCATGTAGAAGTAAAATGAGATGAGCATTTTCTCTCCTGGATGGACAAAAATGTGCTATCAATGATGTTTTTAAAGAAAAACACGATAGAAAACCGATAACCTGGGAAAGAAAAAGTAGGACAAATCAAAAGGAATAGCTGTTCAGCTTCCTTCTGGGGGACTCAAAATGTCACCCTGCTGCAGAGCTTTCTTTACTCTCGGCCTCTGCATTCACCAGACCAGGGTCAGTGATGTTCCATTTCTGCACCCCCCTCCATATTTATCCTCTCTTACGCTCCGTTGTTGAGGGAAGCCCTAATTTTTTTTAAGTTAAAAATAACTCCAGTTTATATTAAAGATTAACAAAATTAAAAGTAAAGAAGGTGTGGTTTAGAGGGGAGAGGAAATAGCATGAGGGAGGATCAGCATATGATACACTGGATTAAAAGCCAGCAGGATGAAGTGAACTTGAGTAATGGAGGGAGTAATATCCTTTGTCTTGCTTGTCCTTTGAAATGTACAGGGAGCTTAGAATGAAAGGAGGCATATGGCCTGAGAAGTGAGAAGAGACACTTTAGGCACTTTTCTATCAGTTACTTGCCTCAGCCTAGTATGAGGTGTGTTCTAACAGCACAGACGTAAGTCTACAGGGAGTGATGAAAAAATGTCCACAGGTCAAAATTATAATTAACAGCATTGATAATGATAATCATCAGTATCATAAGGTAATCACAGTATGAAGTGGGCGGCCATGGTGTTTGGGAGGTAATATTTGATTCATGGCACAGCCTTTCATGGTATGGGGGGGGTAGGGGCACCAGAATTATCTCTGCAAGGTTTCAAAAATATAGATTGTTGAAAGAAACTAATTCCTCTGGTTACATGGAGTCATGGATTGAGAATTAGCAGACTTGTGTACAGGTAGAATGAAGCCTGAATAGATGCCTCTTCCATCTCTTCCTCCTCCACGTCACCTTTCTCAAAGCAATCACATGTTGTTAATGTTCGCCTGACACCGTCTGGACTTACTGGCCACATAGGAGTATGTTCTCTGGCGTTTACTCTTCCTGCTGTCTCTCTCTTCCCGTCTTCCCACCTCTCCTATCCTGGATTTTCCTGAATGTGTTTATCCCTTCTTCTTTGTACAGTTGGCAGTTTTTCAGAGCACTTGGATCAGATAAATGGACGAAGCGAGTGTGTGGACAGTACAGATAATTCCTCAAAGCCATCCAGTGAACCCGCTTCTCACATGGCTCGGCAGCGATTAGAAAGCACAGAAAAAAAGAAAATCTCGGGGAAAGTCACAAAGTCCCTCTCTGCCAGTGCTCTTTCCCTCATGATCCCAGGAGGTAGAGAGATACTACTTGCATGAAATTGTGTGATTTGTGCATGTGGTCCCATCCCTCCTCTCCCAATTTGGAATGCTGAATGAGATGCAAGATTGCTTGAAGTAATAACGGGTCATGTCCCAGGACAGCTCTTGAGAGCTTCTGCCTGCAGACTCTGAATTCTTCCTGCAGGATTTGTAGGGCCGCCAAGGAGCATTTTGGCCTATTTCATCTCACTTTCTGCATCAGGGGTACAAGAGAGGCTTCCTTCCCATGAAAGCTTGTTTCTGTTTTGTTTCCTTTCGTTTTCTTTTCTCCCTCCAAGTTAAATGATAAATTTTCCTTCCTTGAATAATTTTTTTTCTCTAGAGTATGTATAATTTATACACTTTATAGAGCTGTTTACAACATTTGTGTTGGAAAGCTAAGTATATAGTTTTTCTCATCTAATTAATGAGGAAAATAGTTAAGCTTTTCATTTCTGGAGATAGAGTCACAGACAGCATTGAAATTCTAGGTTTTCCCAACCCTGTCAGTTGAGCTATGCTTCCTCCTACTGGTAGCAAATCATCTTCTGCCCTGTTTTGGAAAACTGGGCTTAATTAAGGTTTTGTTGAATTGTAGTATTTTCCCACAAACTGGTTTTGCCACTACTGATCACTAACTCTGTAGTAATCCCACTGGCAGAAATGAAATATACACCCTGATGGTTGTGATATCACTCAAATGACAGCAAGAGAGTAGAATGGGACTCGAATTATATTGCAGATGGCTTGTTTTTGGAAGAAAACAGATCATGTATAAAAGGCATTGTTTATGTTTTTGAAGCTTCATATTTGTGCAGAAAGCAATTTGACATAAACAAATGCTCATTTGGGAGTAGTGCTCAATCTAGCAGATTCAGTTTCTGGGAGGTGTCCTGTTTAGCACCATAAAACAAACACCTGTATCCCTAGTCTGTGTGACTCTTCATAAGCTGAAGATGATGGTCCTGGTGCAGCTGCACAGATGGGAAGGTAAGTTGGATATGGGCCAGTGCAGTTTTGAAAGCTGGTTAGGAAGCCCGTACTTTGGTAGAACAAGGAAATTATTTGATTTGGGGAGATAAGGGAGACCATCAGAAGGTAAAGAAGTGGGGGCCTGGCCTTTCAGCAGTTTGGGATCTATGTGTGTCCACAGTGACCTCCTCCCACCTGCATGTCTTGAAGTTCCCTGCCTGCCAGCATGCATCTCTTCCCCTGTCCTTTGATTAGACAGAAGAGAGCCAGCAGAAGACAGCCAAGATGCTACATGAAGTCAGAGAGGGAAGGAGCATGGGTCATGATACAGTTGGCTTTGCTCTTCTTTGAACAAGCATAAGAATTGAAATAGTGGGTAGTATGGATACTTTCAGCTTACGGTAGCCACAATGGAACTCACCACACCCTGGTGAGCCTTCAGTAGCACTGGGAACTTTGTAGCCTGGCTCCAACCGAGCTCATGTTTAAACCGCAGCATGTTTTGTAGATTATTCTGCCTTTTCTCAAGTGCACACACACACAGACAGTTTCACATGACCAGTTAAGATCTGTTTAGATTCACGTAGATGAAACAAGGATATGAACTAAAAAGCATTCATTTCTGCTGCTATAACAAAATACTTTAGACTGGGTAAGGTATAAATAACAGAATTTGTTGATCACAGTTCTAGAGCCTGGGAAGTCCAAGATCAAGGTGGCGACAGTTTCAGCATCTGACAAGGGCTTGTTCCTCATGGACAGCACCTTCTCTATTTCCTCACATGGCAGAAGGGAAGAACAAGCTCTCTGCAGCCTCTTGTATAAGGGCACTAATTCATTTATGAGGGGCAGAGCCCTCATGACCTAATCACCTCCCAGAGGCCCCACCTCTTAAAACCATTACCTTGGGGGTTAGTTTTCAACATAGGAATTTTAGGGGGACACAGACATTCAGAGCATAGCAGTTTGCTTCTAAAACAAAGAAAGCAGTAGATTTGGTGTTTTGGAATATGCAATGAGATTCTCTTCAGGTTTCTCTATCTCACCTGCATTAGCCTCTCAGAAACCTTATTAGAATTGCAAGTAATATATGTAGAGAATCAGTTGTCACCACAGTAATGTTATTCATTTATAGAGAAGTCACCACTTCATTGTTTTCCTGATTAAAAATTCTTTCCTTTTTTTTTTTCTTCTTTTTTTCTTTTTTTTTTTTTTTTTTGAGATAGGGTCTTGCTCTGTCGCCTAGGCTGGAGTGCCATGGCACAGTCACGGCTCACTGCAGCCTCGACCTCCCAGGCTTAGGTGATCCTCTCACCTCAGTCTCCCACGTAGCTGGGACTACAGGCACATGCCACCTTTCCTGGCTAATTTTTTGTATTATTTGTAGAGACAGGGTTTAGCCATATTACCTGGCTTGTCTTGAACTCCTGGGCTCAAGCGACCAGCCTACCTTGGCCTCTCAAAAGTGCTGGGATTACAGGTGTGAGCCACTACACCCGGCCAGTTAAAATTCTTTAATCAGTATTCATTTAATAGCATTGTAGAAATCAGCTGGTAAATTGATAAATTGCTTTCCTGGCCATGTGTGTTGAAAAGGACCATGTTAAAATTGTTTAGTGAAGAATTTGGAATCCAGTATCTGTTAATATAATACATACAGTCTTCTCCACATGAAGACATACTTGAAATATATGCATCTATGATTTATTTCTTTACTTAAAATAAAACATTAAGTAAAAATGTCACAGCCAGAGGCTAATCCTTGTGGTGTCTTTTAATAAGCATAGAAACTAAAAAATTATAACATGAGAGTATTGAAATTTCTTTCTCTTTCCTAACTGAAAAATTAGTTAAAATAGCAACACTCTTGAAGTTTGACAGTTTTGGAATTCATGCTAGTTACTGATAGAAACATTTTTGTATTATTTCATCTTCATTTTGCTATTGGAAACAAATGGATTTGTGTTGTGACTATGCCCCCAGTCCTGGCAAGGCTCATGGGGTGAGGGTTGCCTGCATGGATGCTTGTGTGAGCCACATGGGCTTTGATGACTGGCTTCTTTGTTACAGATATGTTTGCTGTTTCCCCTCTGGGAAGTCCAATGTCTCCCCATTCCCTGTCCTCGGACCCTTCTTCTTCACGAGATTCCTCTCCCAGCCGAGATTCCTCAGCAGCTTCTGCCAGTCCACATCAGCCGATTGTGATCCACAGTTCGGGGAAGAACTACGGCTTTACCATCCGAGCCATCCGGGTGTATGTGGGAGACAGTGACATCTATACAGTGCACCATATCGTCTGGGTAAGACCTGCATGTCTCGCACTTGGGATTTTTCATTTCCAGCCAAGCTGGAGAGTGGATAGGTTGGCTGATAAATAGCAAATATATTTACTTTTAAGCTTGCATTTGCGACCTGTTTCATTTTCCTTTTAGAGCTCCATCCCTGTATGTGTATGGTGGAATTGAATTTAGCAAAAACGAATATCTCATAATTCTGTCCAGTTTTCATATTCGATTGTTCTTTCTTACATACCAAGCTGGTAGACATAGTCAAAGGCAATCCTATTTCCATCCTTCTTTTATTTTATCATTTTTTCCTAGCCTTCTTTTTAAAAATGACCTTCTCAAATCACCTGAAATGTTTTGGTCATTCATTTTTTTTTCTTTGTGGCTCTGGTACTTTCAGTCTGAATCACCTGAAAATTTCTAAGTACCATAGAAAGTTTCCTATTTTAGAATAATGATAGAATAGGAATAGTAAACGTACCTGTTAGATTTTCTATTAGAGGCTTAGGACATTTGCTAATTAACTCATTATTCTCCCAGAAGACACAGTAGGTGTTAGAGTAGTCATTTGTTTGCCTACAAATATCCTCTCCTCTTGGACTTTAGAATGTAGAAGAAGGAAGTCCGGCATGCCAGGCAGGACTGAAGGCTGGAGATCTTATCACTCACATCAATGGAGAACCAGTGCATGGACTTGTCCACACAGAAGTTATAGAACTCCTACTGAAGGTATTGTATGTTTTATGTCAGGGCCATGCTGATGAGACAGGCAGCCCAAAGGGGCTAGTACCAGGAGATTGATTTCCCTGTGTCACACCCATGTCTGATTACTGAGAAAGTATTCATTAGTCTCAAGTTTAAAGACAAAGATATTATGAATTCTCTGGTTTTATGTCATGAAATAATGTCCTTATATCTGCATACTCATTCCCTAATTTAATTTTGCTTCTCATTCTAAATTGTAAGTAGTAAGAATTCTCTTTGTTTATATACCTTACACAGTGACATCTATTTGGAGAGTCACCTATCCTGAAGGTGACTTCCTTCAGGAACTTCTAACAGGTTTCATTCTAGTATACTAGAAGACAAAATTGTATTAAACTGTGAGGTTTGATCTGAAGGTTTAGTCTGAGAATTAGAGTTCCTTTGAAAGATAAAATTGTAAATATATACACATGTACTATAAATTATAAAAAATAAGTGGTACTGAAAGAAGAAGTTCTAGCAATTATTAGGCCTCCCTCCCCACCATACAAATTAACTTAAACAGGGATCAATTTCTACTTAAAATGTAAGCAGAATATAGCCTATGGAGTAAGAAGGTCACAGGAAGCATGACTGTAAATGGAGAGAGAGAAAGGACACACACTGATCCTCTCAGATAGCTCTCAGATAGTTCTGTTCAGTTATTTGATTTGTCTTTTTCATTCTTTATAGCAGCGTTGTATTTTATGCAGAACAGCTCCTGCGACAGCATATCTCTAGATAGTATCATATGTCTGTTCACAACATTAGAATAAGAAATAATACACTGAAATGTATATATTGAGAAGTATACATTTGCTTATTTTGCTGAGACATAATTGATCACTTTCGTGATTTATTTTGTAAAGTATTTTAATAGAATTCTGTATTTTAAAACTTCTCTTCCTGCTTCTATGAAATTTGAATGTGTATTTCCCCTAGAGGACTCTGGCAAGGTCTCTTAGCAGACTCAGATGATCCCATTTCTATTGTCTTGCCCTCATCTGGCTACGGAGCACCTTGCACAACCCAAAGCCTTCATTTCTGGATGCAGTCGATGTGTGTCACTGAAACTGCTTAAACAGTGGAGTGGAGAGCCATTGGCACCCTTTGAAGCCACGGTGTACTCTGTCACAAATCCAAAGAACATCCTGCCTGTGTTCATAAAGGAAGCACTCAAGAGGAGTAAGCAATGTCATGAAACCAAGAGGATACAAGGGATTTAATTATCTTCCCAGTGAACTGTGTAATCATGCAGCTTCCTTCCAAATTTAACCAGTGACTCTTGAAATCAGAGTATTAAGTGACTAGTGTCAGTGCTGGGCTCCTGTGTGCCTTCATTGGTTTAACAGCAGGGAAGTTGGCTGTATTATGGTACTCTCGAATGCTGTTTACACAGTGTTTTATACTTGCAAAGGACTTTACGGAATGTCATGGCAGTCTTAGAGAAAGGTGGAGAAGTCCTGACAGGGGTGTAGGTGTATGTTTAGAACTGCATGACTACCTGTATAGTGTTTGTCTTTTGGATTATGAATATAGTAAGCATTTTCCATGTTTCATAGATTCACATATTTGGTCTTGTTTACCTTCACAACTTCAAAGTGAACCTGCTATGGGAGCACTATCTTCCATGCATAGGCAAACTTGTCCAAAGTCACTCAGCATCCTCGATCCATGGAATTATAAAATGTGATGGTTATCCAGTTCAGCTCCCCACTGGCTATATGAATCCCTGACAGTGTCCTCCTTCAGCTTCACCTCAAAGCTTTCCTGCCATGAGGAAAGCTTTTAGACAGCATCAGTCTTTCTAAAAACAACTTTTTAAGTAGACCGAGGTCATTCTTCACCCACTAGCATTACAGGTGGAGACGATACTTGGCCCAGTCCCATTACCTGTTCCAATTAGCCAGGCTTAACTTCTGTGATCTAAGAAACTTTCTTTTCAACCAAGTTGCTTTTTAAGTATAGCATTAGTTTAAATCCCCAATGCATAGGAGAAGCCGTAAAACTTTACCAGCCTCTGCTTCAGAAATTTCCTTTCCATGGACACTGGGGAGCTTCAGTGTACTAAAATGGGGGCCATCAAATAGCTTGATTACCATCCTCCCATATCTGTCAAGCCGCTGATGTGCACAGAGCTGATGTGCAAAATACTGCAAGGGCCAAACAAAAATGACACATAAGGGCCAGGCACAGTGGCTCATACCCGTAATCCCAGCACTTTGGGAGGCCGAGGTGGGGCGATCACGAGGTCAGGAGTTCAAGACCAGCCTGGCCAAGATGGCGAAACCCCATCTCTACTAAAAGTACAAAAATTAGCTGGGCGTGGTGGTGGGCGCCTGTAATCCCAGCTACTCAGGAGGCTGAGACAGAGAATTTCTTGAACCCGGGAGGCGGAGGTTGCAGTGGGCCAAGATAGCGCCACTGCACTCCAGCCTGGGCGACAGAGTGAGATTCCGTCTCAAGAAAAAAAAAAAAAAAAAGACACGTAAGGATAATAGTTAATGGGGCAAGCGCTCTTGATGCCTGCCACACTCTTGTCAATGGTTTTACGGGAATAAACGCATGTAATCCAAACAGTTACCTTCTGAGGTGGGTGCTATAAATATAAATGTTCCCATTTCACAGATGAAAAAAACAAAAGCAGAAGAAGATAACAAAGCAATCTAAGCTTATCTGCTGGAAAGGAGTATAAGATGATTTGCACCCAGGCGATGTAGCTCCGGAGCCTGCACTTTTTCCACTACCACAGCACACTGCTCTACATGTGTGCTGTACATACTCTCCAGCTGCCAGTAACTTAAAGTCTGCTGTTCACAGGGGGAAACAGTGGCCATACCAGGCTAAAATCAAAGTGTTCAACTTAAGTAACAGACTATAAACACGGCAGAAGTTCCAAAAGAGGGATGACTTTTCTCCAGGGTGGACAGGAATGGCGTCAAAGAATTGAGGGTTATCTGTGCAAGGCTTTGATGGATGAGTGGCAATTCAGTATATAGTCAGGGGTGCGGGATAGTCTAGGCCAAATGATGAGGTGTGTAAACATGAGGACAGGAGATCTCAAGGTTTATGAGGTATACAAGTGAACCAGCAGGCTGAAGCCTGGGTTAATGTGAGGATACAGTGTGCAAGATGGCCAAGATTGGGTAGTGAAGGGGTTGAGGCCGCAGGGATGCAATGGGCCCATCTCCCATCTGTGCTTTCCAGAGAAGGAAATGCAAAAGCAGTCGTTCGGTGAGTTACCCAGGGCCAAACTGATAAGTTAACTTAGAGCCAGACCCAGAGAAGAAATTGGACAGCCTGACTTCTGCTATTGTATTCAATTCCGGCAACTTGAAATAATTTTCTTCACACTGTGCACCAGTCATGAAAATAGTTTAAAGTAAAAGTGAATTAATTGAACATTTAACAGTCTGCCAGCTGCATTTTTGTTATTTTTTTAAACAAGTGCTACAGAAATTCTTCTATACAAGGTCAGTCATTAATCAAGAGAAGTTAATTGTGGGTAAATCGACCTAGTAAGCCACCTTGAGCAGTTCAGGTAGCACTCGCTGTAGCTGGATGGATCCACCAGGTGGCAGGCTTCACAAATCTCACCTATCATTTTTCCAATCATTTACCATTTTTGTAACCATTAATGCTTCCAACCTAATTATTGTACTCTGCATCCTTTGTGTCTGTATTTCCCCTTAGAGAAGTTGTCTTTGGCGTATGCCTGTAAGTTAAATGAATTTTCCTCTGGAACAGCCACTTGTGGAGACAAGAAACAGAACTGGGCTTGGTCTTTATAGGGGTAGGAGCATTTGTACTGAGTCTAGTGATGTGCTGTCATTTAAGCCCTGGTCTTCACTGTTTTCTGATGATAAGTATGTTGAGGATTTATATGTGTCTCATACAATTTTATATGTTTATGGCTCCTTCATTTTATCTTGACAGTCTTATACTTTTACCATGCCACGTGTCAATCAAGTGCCTGTTTCCCTTACCGCCACTCATTAAGTACCAGCTATGCACTGTGCCAGGCTCAGGAGAGATGGAGAGGACTGGGGGGCATTCCCTGCCCACAGGGAGCGGGGTTTGGTAGGAGGAGCTTTGGGGGTGAGCAGCAAGAGAGCCAGCATGGGCTTTTCCACTGGACTCTCAGTGACCTCGGAAACAAGAACCTTGTTGTCTGTTGTCTCAGAATCCGTTTTCTTTACCTGTAAAGGAAGGATAACAAACTCTTCTAGGCCATGAGGGTGAAACAAACAACGCTTACGACTTGTTTGTGAAAATAAATTTAGAGAATATATATGAAAATGGTTTAAAAATAAATCTATGCTTTTAAAAAGTCAATCCTGAATTGTATTAGAAAAGAGTGGAACTGGATTCCAGCTCTAGTGGCACACATGGTAGTATAGCCCCAGCGGTCATTATGGTTCTGCACGTCCACTCTCTGCATATGGAAGAGGACTGAAGGAACATCAGTGACACAGGAACTCGCCATGCTTGTTGCCCCTTTCCTTCACCACAGGAAATACTAAAATTTCAGCATGGCCTCAATTTGTGAAGAGAAGACCCCACTCCAAAAAACCTTCAGTGGTAGACCTTACATACTTACAAAATGATTTTTCTCATTAAAGAACAACTAGAATGCCATCTCTACTATCAGATAAAGGTTTATTTTTAATGTTTTGGGGCTTGCATGAAGAATGTTTATTATTTTGCGATAGAAAACAAAATAAACTTTTTTCTCTTGTTGAAGTTAAAGCCCCCTTTCCCTAAAATATTTCCTGCAAATATGACATTAGGTATGAAAGTATATTGTCTTAAACACACACAGAATTCTAAGTCAGCCGTGGTTGTGTGCTCCCGTAATCCCAGCTACTCAGAGGGTGAGGCAGGAGGATTGCTTGAGCCCAGGAGTTCGAGGCTGTGGTGAGCTGTGATCACACCACTGCACTCCAACCTGGGCAATAGAGGAAGACCCCATCTCAAAAAAATTTTTTTTAATTAAAAAAAATTAAAGAACTCTAAAACTAATAATAAAATACTAAGACCTTCCAATATTAAACTGGATGTAAGACTGAATAAATCATTTCTTAAAGAAATACAAATAACCAAACTAAATAAGGGACAACATCAAACTGTGTAAGAATTTAAACACAGAAAATAATCAGCTGGGCACGGTAGCTCATGCCTGTAATCCCAGTACTTTGGGAGGCCAACGCAGGCAGATCGCCTGAGGTCAGGAGTTCAAGACCAGCCTGACCAACATGGAGAAACCCTATCTTTACTAAAAATACAAAATTAGCCAGGCCTGGTTGCACATGCCTGTAATCCCAGCTACCTGGGAGGCTGAGGCAGGAGAATCACTTGAACCTGGGAGGTAGAGGTTGCAGTGAGCCGAGATCGTGCCATTGCACTCCAGCCTGGGCAACAAGAGTGAAACTGTGTCTCAAAAAACAACAAAAAAAGAGAACAATAGCAGTAAGGAAATATTACATAATTTTGATTCACCCATCTGATCGGATATATTGCTCAGCCAGTAAAAATCATGTTTTTAAAGATTATTTAATGATAAAGGGAAAATTTTTCCAAATTATATAATGTGCAATGAAAAAGCAACATAAAGCTGTAAATAAACTGAGATTTAAATTAGTTATAAAGCATGTGTACATATGTGCCTATTTACACATGCGTGAGAAAAAACCAGCAGGAAATATACTGAAATATGACTAGTGGTTGGGTGGTAAGCTTCTTAATTTTTTTTTAATACTTTCCTATTATCTTCTTACTGTAGCATGGATTACTTCCCAAATCAAGGGGGAAGGTAGATGCTATCTTTAAGACAGTCATTCCCTGTCTTTTCAGTCCTCTGCTGCCACCATACCTAACTCCCCCCAACTCCCCTTCACTTGGTACCATGTTGAGCTGAGCTCTAGGTATCTTCCAGGCATGGGCCTTTAAAAAGATCCTTTTCCTTGTACCTCTTGTACTTTCATGGTAATCGGGGCCATCTGTGACCTTGAAAGGACAGGTTTCTCCCCTGGTTATTATGAAATTCAGGAAGGGTAATTGATGCCAGGGACTACCCACCTGCCCTGGGCCCCCCTCGGCCTGACTGCTGACTCCACGCTCAGTTCCATCCCTAGAGGCTGCCCAGCAAGCCCCTTCCCAGGATTGAGAGAAAGGACACCGAAACTCACAGAAATTACCTTACCCTGTATGACCTGGTTAAAAAGAGGTTTCCTACTGGCTGGCATAAATGTTCCAGCTCTGCAAACTGATAGGTTTTATGGTGATAGAAAAGGAGCCTTTTAAAATAATTAAAAATAAAAGTCTCATTCGGTTTTGTTACTCTACAATTTTTAGGCCAAAGGAAAAACACAAAAAGGAGAAAAAAGAAAAATCAACCAAGAGCAGCCAGCCACTGGGAACATTAATACTTAATACCTGTGGAAGAAGTAGTTATCTTATTTATAGTGTTCTTTCCTTGTGTTGCACTGGGTGCAAAAGGCTTTACAGACTTGCTCTCATGTGATCCTCAAATGAGCCCCAGGAGATAGGTAGGATTATATTGTTAATTGGTACAGGAAGTTGAGGGTAGGGAGGGTAGCAGCCTGGTAAGGGCACAGTGCTTGGATTTGAACTCAGATCTGTGGACTCCAGAACTCACCCTCGTAAAGAAACTTCATATTTTGCCTTCCACCCAGTTTGTATTCTGGCAGGACTTCTTTGATTGAAGGGTTATTTAGAAACAGAAGGCCTTTTATATGTATGTTCCTTTCTATTTGTATTTGTCTATGAATCTCTCATCTCTGTTCTGATCTTGCTTCATCACAGCATTTCCCTTTAATGCCACCTCATCTTTTCTTTAGAGTGGGAATAAGGTGTCAATCACTACTACCCCATTTGAAAACACATCAATCAAAACTGGACCAGCCAGGAGAAACAGCTATAAGAGCCGGATGGTGAGGCGGAGCAAGAAATCCAAGAAGAAAGAAAGTCTCGAAAGGTTAGTAAAATCAGTATTCTTTTTAAGTTTGGTGTATACCTATGTTGGGGAAAAGTTACCCCTTAATTAAATGCTTATATATGAAGAAGATCTATTTTTCTGTGAGAAATTTTATGTTATGGTTCACATATATGTATACATTAAAATCCATATTCATAATAGCATCAACTTCCATAGTAAAAGGATTTACATATTTACATTGTGGAAGGATTCAGATTGTTTTTTATCATGTGTGAATGTCAGGAAAAGCCCTTTGCTGTTTTTTAAGCCTCTTCACTTGATTTCAGTTGAGTTGGATTGAGGAACTGGATCTTCAGGTGGTTTTTAACATTAAATCTACATTTAAAATGTCCTTTACGTTATCAAAAAACAAACAGTTGCTATTTTTAAAATGCCAGATATTCTAAAATTACTGTTACCTTTAAAGGTTCCGAATAAGCCTAGAAATAAAAGGGCTTTGTTTTACTCACTGAAAAACGAACTAGCTTATATACTTTTGTAGCCTGGGAAGCACTGATCAGTATCTTTTTGTGCTGCTTGCAGACACTAGCAAGAGGTATGTGTTTCTGGCAGGGCTGTTTCTTGCCAGGCAGCTCTCTGGGTGTGCCTCCTTTGCAATGCCACAGCATTTCTTTACTCAATTGGGCCTGATGAGTCACATCATATTAAAAGGATTTTTGATGATAGAAATGTAGAAAAACAAGCAAACGAAAAGCCATGTATTAACTCTGGGGGGAAAAAAAGTTATACAAGAAAGGAACAGAATTATGTTTCATATGGCCCAGCTGTGAACAATATTTATAATATAAGATAAAATACCGGCCGTTTTTCTAACCAAAAATTTTGCTTTCGCTATATTGGGAAGAATAGAAAAGGGGAAATATATTTGGTTGCAAGGTAGAAGGTGGTTGTATAAGAGCTTAATTATCATCTTTCATAGTAGAAAATCAACAGGTAATTTCTAAAACTGAAAAACTAAAAAATAGCAGTGTACAAACATTTAGCAATATGTAGACAAATGGGAGAAGAAACAGGTAAAAGAATACAAAGCGACTTCTTTGGGGAGTAGAGAAAAATTCGAGTAGAGGAGTTGCTGTTTTTCATTGTATGTTTATAGAAGTATTTGACTTTTTCACCCAAGTACATTTATTACTCTGATTAAAATTACACACACATAAGATCTTCTTTATTATTATGCTTTATATTTTGGCTGTGCTTTAAATCATTTAGAACAAATTGTTTCAAGGGCTAGCAACCAGAAACTTTGTTTTAAGCTTATGTGGAGTGGGTTAGATCTTACCATATATAGGCTTATATGGTAAAAGAACTTTGCACAGCCCGATGCCCTGCTAAGGTGTCAGAAGCTGTGCTTTTGCCTTAAGATGTGCTCATTGAGTACCAAATCCACATTTGCTTCTGCTGCAGTACAGTGTCTGCTGCCCTGCTGATACGATACGCTTCAGCTTCACCTTTCTCGGTTTTTTCTATGTCGTTGTACAGCCTGCATTGTTGTTAGGAATATTCAAGAGCCCACAATGGAATAAGCACAGCAAATAGCCCTTCATTGGCCTCTGCCCAGCCTATCACCATTAAAGAATTTGATTTCCAATACAATGGTTTTGCTTCCAGAGGTTTACTTTGTATTATCTCTTAGTTAAGTTGTGTCTGCATATTTAGGGGTAGGTACTCAGAAGCTTTCAAGCAAAGAGCATCCTCCTCATATACCTAACAAGTAAATGAATGTATTTTTAATGCATTTTATATTTTTCCTATTTTTCCAACTCTTCTTAAGTGTTTGGAATTGAGAGAGGCTCCATTGTCTACTATTAAATACTCTTCCTTTACATGTCATAAGAAGGTTTCTAATAGGAAAGTGGTGTTCTGCTCTTTAATAGGATCTGCTGTTGTATCCCTGTCCCTCACACGGAGTTATTGAGCTGAGCACAATGGTATTTTGGGGAGGCAGCAATAGTTCTGAAAGAAGACTGAACAATTTTTTCCTGTTTTTCTGTAGGAGGAGATCTCTTTTCAAAAAGCTAGCCAAGCAGCCTTCTCCTTTACTCCACACCAGCCGAAGTTTCTCCTGCTTGAACAGATCCCTGTCATCGGGTGAGAGCCTCCCAGGTTCCCCCACTCATAGCTTGTCTCCCCGGTCTCCAACACCAAGCTACCGCTCCACCCCTGACTTCCCATCTGGTGAGTGAGTCTCCTGGTCTAAACAGCAGAGGGGAGGGGAGGTAAAGTCATGTGAGGTCCCCAAAAAACATGAAGCTTGTTCCAGCTGAAAGAAAGCAGGTTGAAGGTGTAAATTATAAAGACAGATTTATAGAGAGGTCATAAGATGTGGCTATTCTGACCAAACAAATAAGTCAAGAAGTATGGGGCTAAACCTTGGCCTGGAGAGGTTTATCTGAAAAGTGTTTATTCCACTAGCTAAATGCTGAGACAATTTGCTGATCTTACCTGGCCTTACCTAATACAGTCTGGGCTACAACTGTGAAAAAAAGGGGAAAATGACCATGGATGCTCACAGCCTTCTGTTTTCCATCCACAGGTACTAATTCCTCCCAGAGCAGCTCCCCTAGTTCTAGTGCCCCCAATTCCCCAGCAGGGTCCGGGCACATCCGGCCCAGCACTCTCCACGGTCTTGCACCCAAACTCGGCGGGCAGCGGTACCGGTCCGGAAGGCGAAAGTCCGCCGGCAACATCCCACTGTCCCCGCTGGCCCGGACGCCCTCTCCAACCCCGCAACCCACCTCCCCGCAGCGGTCACCATCCCCTCTTCTGGGACACTCACTGGGCAATTCCAAGATCGCGCAAGCCTTTCCCAGCAAGATGCACTCCCCGCCCACCATCGTCAGACACATCGTGAGGCCCAAGAGTGCGGAGCCCCCCAGGTCCCCGCTGCTCAAGCGCGTGCAGTCCGAGGAGAAGCTGTCGCCCTCTTACGGCAGTGACAAGAAGCACCTGTGCTCCCGCAAGCACAGCCTGGAGGTGACCCAAGAGGAGGTGCAGCGGGAGCAGTCCCAGCGGGAGGCGCCGCTGCAGAGCCTGGATGAGAACGTGTGCGACGTGCCGCCGCTCAGCCGCGCCCGGCCAGTGGAGCAAGGCTGCCTGAAACGCCCAGTCTCCCGGAAGGTGGGCCGCCAGGAGTCTGTGGACGACCTGGACCGCGACAAGCTGAAGGCCAAGGTGGTGGTGAAGAAAGCAGACGGCTTCCCAGAGAAACAGGAATCCCACCAGAAATCCCATGGACCCGGGAGTGATTTGGAAAACTTTGCTCTGTTTAAGCTGGAAGAGAGAGAGAAGAAAGTCTATCCGAAGGCTGTGGAAAGGTCAAGTACTTTTGAAAACAAAGCGTCTATGCAGGAGGCGCCACCGCTGGGCAGCCTGCTGAAGGATGCTCTTCACAAGCAGGCCAGCGTGCGCGCCAGCGAGGGTGCGATGTCGGATGGCCGGGTGCCTGCGGAGCACCGCCAGGGTGGCGGGGACTTCAGACGGGCCCCCGCTCCTGGCACCCTCCAGGATGGTCTCTGCCACTCCCTCGACAGGGGCATCTCTGGGAAGGGGGAAGGCACGGAGAAGTCCTCCCAGGCCAAGGAGCTTCTCCGATGTGAAAAGTTAGACAGCAAGCTGGCCAACATCGATTACCTCCGAAAGAAAATGTCACTTGAGGACAAAGAGGACAACCTCTGCCCTGTGCTGAAGCCCAAGATGACAGCTGGCTCCCACGAATGCCTGCCAGGGAACCCAGTCCGACCCACGGGTGGGCAGCAGGAGCCCCCGCCGGCTTCTGAGAGCCGAGCTTTTGTCAGCAGCACCCATGCAGCTCAGATGAGTGCCGTCTCTTTTGTTCCCCTCAAGGCCTTAACAGGCCGGGTGGACAGTGGAACGGAGAAGCCTGGCTTGGTTGCTCCTGAGTCCCCTGTTAGGAAGAGCCCCTCCGAGTATAAGCTGGAAGGTAGGTCTGTCTCATGCCTGAAGCCGATCGAGGGCACTCTGGACATTGCTCTCCTGTCCGGACCTCAGGCCTCCAAGACAGAACTGCCTTCCCCAGAGTCTGCACAGAGCCCCAGCCCAAGTGGTGACGTGAGGGCCTCTGTGCCACCAGTTCTCCCCAGCAGCAGTGGGAAAAAGAACGATACCACCAGTGCAAGAGAGCTTTCTCCTTCCAGCTTAAAGATGAATAAATCCTACCTGCTGGAGCCTTGGTTCCTGCCCCCCAGCCGAGGTCTCCAGAATTCACCAGCAGTTTCCCTGCCTGACCCAGAGTTCAAGAGGGACAGGAAAGGTCCCCATCCTACTGCCAGGAGCCCTGGAACAGTCATGGAAAGCAATCCCCAACAGAGAGAGGGCAGCTCCCCTAAACACCAAGACCACACCACTGACCCCAAGCTTCTGACCTGCCTGGGGCAGAACCTCCACAGCCCTGACCTGGCCAGGCCACGCTGCCCGCTCCCACCTGAAGCTTCCCCCTCAAGGGAGAAGCCAGGCCTGAGGGAATCGTCTGAAAGAGGCCCTCCCACAGCCAGAAGCGAGCGCTCTGCTGCGAGGGCTGACACATGCAGAGAGCCCTCCATGGAACTGTGCTTTCCAGAAACTGCGAAAACCAGTGACAACTCCAAAAATCTCCTCTCTGTGGGAAGGACCCACCCAGATTTCTATACACAGACCCAGGCCATGGAGAAAGCATGGGCGCCGGGTGGGAAAACGAACCACAAAGATGGCCCAGGTGAGGCGAGGCCCCCGCCCAGAGACAACTCCTCTCTGCACTCAGCTGGAATTCCCTGTGAGAAGGAGCTGGGCAAGGTGAGGCGTGGCGTGGAACCCAAGCCCGAAGCGCTTCTTGCCAGGCGGTCTCTGCAGCCACCTGGAATTGAGAGTGAGAAGAGTGAAAAGCTCTCCAGTTTCCCATCTTTGCAGAAAGATGGTGCCAAGGAACCTGAAAGGAAGGAGCAGCCTCTACAAAGGCATCCCAGCAGCATCCCTCCGCCCCCTCTGACGGCCAAAGACCTGTCCAGCCCGGCTGCCAGGCAGCATTGCAGTTCCCCAAGCCACGCTTCTGGCAGAGAGCCGGGGGCCAAGCCCAGCACTGCAGAGCCCAGCTCGAGCCCCCAGGACCCTCCCAAGCCTGTTGCTGCGCACAGTGAAAGCAGCAGCCACAAGCCCCGGCCTGGCCCTGACCCGGGCCCTCCAAAGACTAAGCACCCCGACCGGTCCCTCTCCTCTCAGAAACCAAGTGTCGGGGCCACAAAGGGCAAAGAGCCTGCCACTCAGTCCCTCGGTGGCTCTAGCAGAGAGGGGAAGGGCCACAGTAAGAGTGGGCCGGATGTGTTTCCTGCTACCCCAGGCTCCCAGAACAAAGCCAGCGATGGGATTGGCCAGGGAGAAGGTGGGCCCTCTGTCCCACTGCACACTGACAGGGCTCCTCTAGACGCCAAGCCACAACCCACCAGTGGTGGGCGGCCCCTGGAGGTGCTGGAGAAGCCTGTGCATTTGCCAAGGCCGGGACACCCAGGGCCTAGTGAGCCAGCGGACCAGAAACTGTCCGCTGTTGGTGAAAAGCAAACCCTGTCTCCAAAGCACCCCAAACCATCCACTGTGAAAGATTGCCCCACCCTGTGCAAACAGACAGACAACAGACAGACAGACAAAAGCCCGAGTCAGCCGGCCGCCAACACCGACAGAAGGGCGGAAGGGAAGAAATGCACTGAAGCACTTTATGCTCCAGCAGAGGGCGACAAGCTCGAGGCCGGCCTTTCCTTTGTGCATAGCGAGAACCGGTTGAAAGGCGCGGAGCGGCCAGCCGCGGGGGTGGGGAAGGGCTTCCCTGAGGCCAGAGGGAAAGGGCCCGGTCCCCAGAAGCCACCGACGGAGGCAGACAAGCCCAATGGCATGAAACGGTCCCCCTCAGCCACTGGGCAGAGTTCTTTCCGATCCACGGCCCTCCCGGAAAAGTCTCTGAGCTGCTCCTCCAGCTTCCCTGAAACCAGGGCCGGAGTTAGAGAGGCCTCTGCAGCCAGCAGCGACACCTCTTCTGCCAAGGCCGCCGGGGGCATGCTGGAGCTTCCAGCCCCCAGCAACAGGGACCATAGGAAGGCTCAGCCTGCCGGGGAGGGCCGAACCCACATGACAAAGAGTGACTCCCTGCCCTCCTTCCGGGTCTCCACCCTGCCTCTGGAGTCACACCACCCCGACCCAAACACCATGGGCGGGGCCAGCCACCGGGACAGGGCTCTCTCGGTGACTGCCACCGTAGGGGAAACCAAAGGGAAGGACCCTGCCCCAGCCCAGCCTCCCCCAGCTAGGAAACAGAACGTGGGCAGAGACGTGACCAAGCCATCCCCAGCCCCAAACACTGACCGCCCCATCTCTCTTTCTAATGAGAAGGACTTTGTGGTACGGCAGAGGCGGGGGAAAGAGAGTTTGCGTAGCAGCCCTCACAAAAAGGCCTTGTAACGGGGAGGGCCCAGGGGCAGGACTGTGGAGACCCGTCCTGAACGGGCGACTGTGTCTTGACTACCTTTCAAAACCAGCACTGTGTGGGAATGTCCGCCAGGCAGAGCTCGGAGCCTCATTGAGACAGGGGAGAGAGAAAGACAAAGAGGGGACCTTCTTCCAGATGCCTTCCCAGTTGTAACCGGTAAAACTGTTACCAGATAGTGTTTGTACAAAAAAAAAAAAAAAAAAAAAAAAAAAAATTACCTTTACAGTTGAGGGTTGTTGAGGAAAATGATTTTCTTTGTAAATATATAGCATCGTGTTTGGTTTGGGATGTAGAGTCTATACCTGGCTGCTGATTGCGTCGTTTACTACAGCTTTTTTTAAATAAGATTTTTGCTTTACCATTTATCATAATGTAGTAATGAAGCAAAATGGTCAAAACTGGGTGTGTGTGAACAGAGATACACCCATATTCGTGTATATACACATCCACCTACATGTTTTGGTCTGTGGTTTAAGAGACTATTTCAAGGTTCCATTTTTATAAGCTAAAACATTCTAAGTTAAGATGGAAGAAAGCCCTAAACACAGTAGATTCTGAGTTTTTATGTGTATTTTAACCAGAGTTTCTGATAGTACTGTATCTGGCTACCTATATTTCCAGATCTAAAGCAAGAACTACTCTAAGTACTGCATTTGGAATCCTCCTCCATTAGGAATGGCCAGGACAAGTGGAGCTAGCCATTTTCATTACACGGCCATCCCAATGGACACTGGATCCCTGGTCCAACTGTCTAAAAGGCCAGTTGTTCCTTTCTGTGGATGTGGATGTCTGGCCTTCACCTGAGGTAGAGCGGGGACTATAAACACACATCAACTTTCTTTCTGTTTGCTTTCTTTTCCTTCTTTTCAAACTCTTAAACTCAGGCCTTTATGCTGTGAGTGACTAGTCCAAGAAGCACACATTTTGTAGTAGTCCTGCACCAGCCCTGCTCTTGAATAAAAAGGAAAATTACTGGCTGCACCCAAATCTTCTAGTACTTGAGTAATAAGCATCAGGCATTGGAAGAGGTTTTAAATTTGCTTTTTTGAGGAAAAGAACTGGGGGTGGATTTTGGCATCGTAGCATATCGATTAAAGAATAATCAGGACATCAGATACATTTTAATACATAGCTGGGGCCTTATGTTGTAGATGAAGCTTGCTGTTTTTAGCAAGTTCCTGGGTTTCACATTCATTTCTGCTGCATCTAGTAGCTCCACACATTTCATAACCTGATCTCTTTATTTGTATGCAAAAAATACTGTCTTAATACAGAGCAGCATTTTTGTAACAAAGAGACTCGCTGGAGCTATTTGGTGCTTGAATGTGACCATCCTTTTTACTTTTGCTAAGCCTTATTTAAATTTTGTATACCGTGGAATATGTAGAATTTGTCAAATCATTTTAGTGCTGAAGGTTTTTGATTTCTTGTTTTTGTTTCTGTTGTTGCAGTTTCTTTGGTGGCTTGTTTTGTATTGTAAGATGGCACTTGCTGATATAAATACTAAGGCACTAAGAGAAAATACAGATAAGTATTTATAAGTTGCTTGGGAACCATAGCAGAATTTTTTGTTTGGTTTTGTAAGAGAAAAAAAATTACCAATAAATAACTGATCTAGCACCCAAACTCTCTTGGGGGATGTCTTAGTATCTTCACGCTATAAAATTGTTCATCTAAGCACAGCATCATCTTATGGCCTTATGGATTGTAAATCTTCTAGTGAGGCTATAAACTCCACTCTGAAAACAAAGGCATAACTTAACCGACTGCTCAGTTGTCCTTCGTTGTAAAATGAATTGGCTTTGGGAAAAAGGAAAAAAACAAACAAAAAAAGAAAAAGAAAAAAGCCTCCTCCTTGCCCCTAATTTTTTTTTCCCATATGGTTTTAGCCATTCCCCATCACTATATTGTGAAGCTGTAAAAATATATATATATACTTTACAAGAGTTTACTAATGGATTTCAAAACTGGTCTCAACGTTTATAATACATATCTGTGTTTGGCAGTTGTCATAACCCAATCCTACATTCAGCCATCGGGACAAGTCTGTCGGGGAGGTAGTTCATGGTTTACAAGCCTTTGCTTTTTAACTGTCCAATTTCCTTTAAAGCACAACTAGCTATTTGTTTACAAATGATATTTTTATGTATATTTTGTATAGTGTATCATCATTTTTGCCAAATATGTTTTTCATTATAAATGAGTAAAGAGTACTTAAGGTTGCATTCATGTATTACATGTTTGTTGTTGTAAACCTCTCCAATCAGCTGGTAGAAATTCTCCTCATTGTGTTCTATTTGGTCAGTCTCTGTGTGATTGTAGGATGTGCTCCTTGGTAGTACTCCCAGCTGTAGATTTACCAGCTTAAAAGTTTGTTAGGATCTGTGCAATAAAGTGTTTGCAGTCTTATTTTCTCTAAGAAATTCCTTATGGACGTCATAATTGTTGTATATTGAACAAAATATTTATACTTATGCAGTTGCATAACATTGAAATAAAAATTTAGCATGAAAAGATAATGACTCGTAAGTTTTTTTCTAATATACTCATATGCATTCCACCTCCAAAAAATATTACTGATTATTACTCTGGTATTATGGAAAGGATAGGTTTTTACAGATTACTTTTTGCTGAGTGGAACAGTTTGCCTTTTTTTCTTAAAAATGTACACAAATATTCTTCAACATTAAGTCCTTTAGCTGGGCATAGTGGTGCTCACCTGTAGTCCTAGCTATTTGGGAGTCTTAAGGCAGGAAGATGGCTTCAGCTAGGAATTGGAGACCAACCTGGGCAACATAGACCCTATCTCTACAAAAACTTGAAAAGTTAGCTGGGTGTGGTGGTGTACGCCTATTGTCCCAACTACTCAGGAGGCTGAGGTAGGAGAATTACTTAAACCCATAAGTTCAAGGCTGCAGTGAACAAGCTATAATTGTGCCATTGCATTCCAGCCTGGGCAACAGAGTGAGACCCTATCTCCAAAAAAAAGAAAAAAAAAAAAGATTAAGTCCTCTTTTAACTTCTTCCTATTTTTTTCTACCAACCTTTTTCCTTGCCTGCAGAACTTACCAACTTCTACACTCACACTCACCATCTTCCCACACTCAGGGGGTCTTGATTCTCCTTTCTCTGTGACACCACCACCACCTCCTCTCATTCTCTCACGAACTTGCTCCATCAATTACCATAGTCTGCCTCAGCATTCTCTTTTTCCTCCCCAACTGTCTCTTTCCTTTCAGAAAACCCTTTCTTTACCTGGCCTTTTCCCTCTGTCCCTTCTCAGGTGACATCCTACAAGAGGAGTCTGCACTTAGTATTTTTGGGTCTTCACCCCTTTGAAACCTGGCTCTGTCACCCATGCCATCAACATCGCTCTGGTAGAGGTCACCAGTGACACAGCTGACTCTAAAGCCCTCTTGTCAAGACATCACTTCAGTAGACCATCTTGAGAACCGGTCTGTCCCTGACAGCCCTCTCTCCTAGTTGTCTTCAACCTGTTCTTTTTCTCTCTTTAGAGAATTTCTTCCTTGTCCTCTTGTCCCTTTAAATACTGGTGTTTCCTGGGTTCGTCCTTGGTCCCTGAGCATTTCAACTTGGCTCAGGCACCTCACACTCAAAATGTCCAAAAATATGCTTATTTTGGTGCCCCTTCTTTCAAAGCTCACTGTATTCCCCATCTTTTCTCCGAGTCAGATCCTAGATTTCTGCCTAAACTCTTCTTTCTTGCCTTACATCTTAAAAAAAAAAAAAAAAAAAAAAAAGCTTCACTGATTTCACAATATACTCTTCTGTGCAATCCATGTCCCGTCACTATTGTGCTACTGGCAGCCTTAGTTTGGTCTCTATCATAGTCTCTCTCCAGATGACCTCAACAGCCTCCTAACTGGTTTTCTTGCCTTCGCTCTTACCCCTTCTAGTCTGTTCTTCACAATGTCCCTAGAGTGATGTTGCTCAAGTGTAAGCACACCATGTTACTACCCTGCTTTAAACCTTTAAGTAGCACCCATATTCTTCGGGTAAAGGCCAGTTCCTTAAATGTATCCTTACCCTAGATAACTCCAGCTCAGCATGTGTGCTGGACTCAGACATCTGGAGGAAGCCTTTTGGAAAGGCCTGGACCGACCTGTGGACTGTCTTTGCTTCACTGTGTATCTGCCTCATGGCACTCACTGCGTTATTTTGGAGTTACCTTTCTACATGTGTATCTTCTTTGCTAGACTTCAAGCTCCCTGGTTCTCTGTCTTGTTTTTTACTTCTAGGACAAAGCACATCGGAGACATCAATAAGTATTTGCTGATATGGTTAGGCTTTGTGTCTCCACCCAAATTTCCTCTTAAATTGTAACCCCCATAATTCCCACGTGTCAAGGGAGAGACGAGGTGGAGTAACTGAATCATGGGGGCAGTTTCCCTCATGCTGTTCTCATGAGAACTGATGGTTTTATAAGGGGCTCTTCCCCACCCTTCGCTCAGCACTTCTTTCTGCCGCTGTGTGAAGAAGGTGGCTTGCTTCCCCTTTGCCTTCTGCCATGATTGTCAATTTCCTGAGGCCTCCCCAGCCATGCTGAACTACGAGTCAATTAAACCTCTTTCCTTTATACATTACCCAGTCTTGAGCAGTTCTTTATAGCAGTGTGAGAACGGACTAATACATTTGCTGGACCGAATTGAACAAGAAAGGAAGTATTAGTAGTCGCTACTGTTTGTAGCACATTTACTAGAAGCCAAGTAACACACTAAATACTTTATTTCCATCTTCTTATTTAATCTCCGTGCCATTTGAACTATACGTTGCTTCATTTTATAAATTAGGAAGCCAAAACTTGGAAAGAGGTTAAGTGACTAACCCTCGTGATTGGCAGGACTGAGGCTTGAACTCAAGCGATCTGACTGGACAGCCCATACATTTAACCTCTACCATTAGACGAGACCTTCTTCCTCCCACACACTATTCTACTACAATATAAATTGCAAGATGAAATGGGACAGAATCATGACAGTGTTTTTCACTGCCTGCGTGATGTAGTTTTCCCTGCTTAGAGGAACCCACTCTGCTAAGATTCACAGTTTTTAAAAGTAAGTATGGAAATGGTCATTTTAATGGGACTTGGTATCATGCTATGCAGAAAAGTCGGTCTTCACCATAAAAGAAAAAACCCACAAAGGATATTAAGTACACACATCACAGAGCCAATAATGGCCATAGCAAGAGCTATTAAGTGAACAACCAGTTTAGAGCGAATACATAAAAGAAACTTTAAATGAAAAGCAAGAGATTGAAGTTTTAAAGGTATTTACCTTGAGCTCGACCAGGTAAAACTAATGAGGTCATTAAAGGGCAAACAATTAGACATGCTCTTGTGGGTCTGTCCAGTCTGGGGCACAATTTCTTGTACTGTATTTTCAGCATCCACGTAGTGTTATCTTATTTGGGATTTTAAAAAATTGAAATGTAGCTAAATATGTGTTTGGGTGTATAATATTTCCCTAATAAACTGAGGGCTACCTCTTTTAAGCCCAAGGCATTTTTTTAAAGAGACATGGGTTGCCCATGCTGGCCTCAAACCCCTGGGCTCAAGGGATCCTCTCTGCTCAGCCTCTCGAGTACCTGGGACTACAAGGGTGCCCAGCTCTTCAAGGCATTATTTTTCCTTCTTTATAACAATGTAAGCACAATGTGATGCAGCCTACAAAAATTACAAGTTCTCGTAAATTTGTTTCAGTTCATTGTAGATTCTGTATATTAGCCCTTTGTCAGATGAGTAGGTTGCGAAAATTTTCTCCCATTTTGTAGGTTGCCTGTTCACTGACGGTAGTTTCTTTTGCTGTGCAGAAACTCTTTAGTTTAATTAGATCCCATTTGTCAATTTTGGCTTTTGTTGCCATTGCTTTTGGTGTTTTAGACATGAAGTCCTTGCCCATGCCTGTGTCCTGAATGGTAATGCCAAAACAAACAACCCCATCAAAAAGTGGGCGAAGGACATGAACAGACACATCTCAAAAGAAGACATTTATGCAGCCAAAAGACACATGAAAAAATGCTCACCATCACTGGCCATCAGAGAAATGCAAATCAAAACCACAATGAGATACCATCTCACACCCGTTAGAATGGCAATCATTAAAAAGTCAGGAAACAACAGGTGCTGGAGAGGATGTGGAGAAATAGGAACACTTTTACACTGTTGGTGGGACTGTAAACTAGTTCAACCATTGTGGAAGTCAGTGTGGCGATTCCTCAGGGATCTAGAACTAGAAATACCATTTGACCCAGCCATCCCATTACTGGGTATATACCCAAAGGACTATAAATCATGCTGCTATAAAGACACATGCACACGTATGTTTATTGTGGCATTATTCACAATAGCAAAGACTTGGAACCAACCCAAATGCCCAACAATGATAGACTGGATTAAGAAAATGTGGCATATATACACCATGGAATACTATGCAGCCATAAAAAAGGATGAGTTCATGTCCTTTGTAGGGACATGGATGAAATTGGAAATCATCATTCTCAGTAAACTATCGCAAGAACAAAAAACCAAACACCACATATTCTCACTGATAGGTGGGAATTGAACAATGAGAACACATGGACACAGGAAGGGGAACATCACACTCTGGGGCCTGTTGTGGGGTAGGGGGAGGGGGGAGGGATAGCATTGGGAGATATACCTAATGCTAGATGACGAGTTAGTGGGTGCAGCGCACCAGCATGGCACATGTATACATATGTAACTAACCTGCACATTGTGCACATGTACCCTAAAACTTTAATAATAAAAAAAAAATTACAAGTTCTGCCTTTTGGAGGTGGCATGATGTGGGGACATGGGGCAAGACTATCAAGAGGACCAGAGAATTCATGAACTAGAGATAGGAATTAAAGTAGGGAGAAATCACTTCTAAAAATAGTACTAACCCTCCCACAGGGGGCAATGGCAGCTTCCCTTGGCTGTTGAGCACTGAACTGCCAAGCATTTACAAGAAGAAAAGGGGTTGGCTTGAAGACTTCAGGTGAGGCAGCACATCTCAGCTCTAACATGCACATGATTCATGTGGGATCTTGCTAATTCTGGTTCAGAAGGCCTATGATAGCGCAGAAAATTCTAACAAGCTCTTCTCAAATGACTCAGATGCTGCCTGCCTGTTGACCACATGAATGCCCTGCCTGGCCACACCAGGGAGTTAGAATCTCTGAAGATTGGGCCTAGGCATCTATAATTAAAAAATAATAAAATAACTTCCACAGGTGATTCTAATGTGCATGCAAGGTTGAAAAGCAAAAACAAATTTCCCAGGTAGAGGATGATACTTGACTCATTCTACCTCAACATGAAATCATCATGAACAGAACTTGAAGACATTTCCCATATAACTGCTGGTCCAGTTGAGCCCTAAGGACCCTTTCCACTCAAAGTGTGGTCCTCAGACCAGCAACATCTGCATCACCTGGGAGTGTGTTAGGAATGCAGAATCTCAGTCCCCTGACCCCCTGCCTTCCCCATCCCTGGACCTGCTGATTTTCTGCATTTCCATGATAGCCAAGTAATTTGCTTGCCCTTCAAAATTTGAGAAGCATTGTTATCACTACTCCCCAAGCTTCCTAGAAGATGAGAATTACTTGGAATATTTGTTAAAAATACAAGTTTCTAGACCTCATCGCTGATCCACTCACGCAAAAATCTCTAGGACAAGGCCTGAGAAACTGGGTTTATAATCAGTGGACATGAGGGGCAGGTGATTCTTATCTGGGAGGCATGGGCAATAGTAATATAAGAGTATATTTACCATCCGTGCTCAAATTTGTCTCCAGCTAAAGTCTACTACGATGATTATTGGTGTTTTTTAAGCCCTTGGGCATAGAAAACTCAAAAACCATTGAAACCATCAGGAAGACAGCAACCTAAACACTTATTGTCCACCTACTGTGTGTATGTGTGTGTGTATACATATATACCTACTCAGTACTAAGCATGTGTGTATACACGCACACATGTATGTGCTTAGTACTGAGCAAGAAGCTTTTCATCTGCCCTCTGACTTAAACATCAACACAATTCTCAAACCCGGTGGTGCCATTCCCATTTTATAGATGAGAAATCAGGCCCAGCCAGGCTATGTCGTTTGCTTAACATACACCCTGGAAAGAGAGCTTGGATTAGAATCTGAATTTTTCTGGTTCTGAAGCGCTTGACCTTTCTCAGTATTACCAGGTGTCATGTAATTGAATTCAGATTCAGGCCCCTCTCTGAATAATCTAAGCTATCTTATTTCCTCTTTGCATGTAGAAAAATCATATGGTGCTAAATTATGAATTTGATGATTGGTGGGAAACCGTTAAGTGAAGGAAGCTAATCGTTCTCTGTAATAGGGCCTCTTTATCAGTTCTAATTAATCAGTAGACAATTTCTCATCTAGCATTTTCGGTTCACAACACAAATGTAACATGAAAACGTGTAGCTATAGTAACTACAGAAATTTGCTTCCTTCATTCTAGGCCAGGCTTTAAGAAAATCTATGGTAGGGCAGTTCTCTAAATTTCATTTCCCTCCTGCCAGGATGTTTTTATTCCTCAAAGCAATCATTTTGTGTTATTCCTCTCTTTCTCTACCCCCTACATGTCTCATATATCTAGAAAATTTGGAAATGACCAAGGCTTTGCCAAACCTTGGTTTGATTACGTTTTGTATGCTGAAAGCCAATCAGCCTGACCCATGATGAAGTTCTCTGGCAGTTGAGACACCTCAGACCCTGCACTGGAGTCATTAGCACTATTCCTTATAGGAAAACACTCAGCAACATCTCACTGATTTCTGTGACCCAGCATTTCAAAAGACAAGATCACTATCTCTTACAACATCACTGGCTGATGTTGGGGCTGTCAATTCCAATACTTGTAGGCAGGCAAGCACTTGAAAAAGGGGATGGGTCCCAAGAGTGAAGTTCTCTGTACACTCTGTGACATGCCAGTTTAGTATGTCCAGACATGGGAAAAAGATCTGTTGCATATGGTTACAGGTTATCACCCCACACAGCTTGACGAAATGTCTATTGCTCTTGTAAAGCTGAAAGCCTCTAACAAATAGTCATCTGCCATTTCATTAAGCGCTGCCAGGAGATGGCTGTCAACATCTGGGAAAGGAAGAATGAAAAGATGTTTGCAAGGCCTGCAGCAAGCATGTTGCAGCTACAAAGTCTGCATATGTCAGGCTGGCATCACCATATCCTCCAGCCTTAACCTGTCTAAATAAAAATCATTTGCCTTAAAGTTCTGTCCTTTTGGAATACGTATGCTGTGTTAAACAGTGCTGTACTGAAGTAATTTTCCTGAGTTGGAGACATATCTACTCCTGTTGGGGCTGGAGGCAGTTCTGTGGACACCCCATGTAATGCATGTCCTACTGCCCCATTCAAATGGGGATCCTTAGAACAGCTATGGCTCCCTCTGTTCCCTCAAAGCTTGGGCTTTACCATTTGCATTTGAAAACACAAAGACTTAGAAAAACACTGCCTCCTTTTCAGTACCTGTACATTCTCACAACCGATGATCTCTGTTTTTTATCTTTTTAAAAGCAAAAGTCTTCCTTAAAAAATAATTCCTTTTTCTCCTTATTGCCCAGACCTGGTCATTGAAGCCATGTTGGAAATATAGATGAGAAGAAAGTATTTGAATCCCTGAAATCCTACCAGCCACTCTGTTTCTTTAACTTATAGGTATTTTTTTGTTTTGCTGAATAATGAATTAACAGTGGGCATGCTCTTTAGCCCACTCTTCTGCTCTTCCACTTGTGTCACCAAAACACCAGGGGTTTGGTCTAGGTCCTGCTGCTCACTGCACAAAAAGCAAACCACTGAGATGACAGGTGTCACCAAGGAAGAAGGCTTTAATTGAGTGATGCAGCAGAGCAGAAGAAAGCTCAGTCTCAAATCCATCTCCCTGACCAACTAAAACCAAGGGTTTATATAGCACACAAAAAAATGTAACAATGTGTAAGAAAACAGGAACTTGGGAGGGGCAAGGAAGCAATCATAGTGAATGAGGGGTGGGGCATCTGGTGTGGCAATCTGGTTTCAGTTCTTTGATACTTTTTGTGAGAGGCCTGAAGGTCATTTCCTGAGAAAGGAACTCAGATAAAACAGATATGTTTCAAGCTTTTACAGCAGAAGGGTCCATATTTATGTTTATCCAAAAGCAACTGTCTATGAAACTCTTGGGCCAGTGTCACTTGAATATTAAAACAAATATATTTCAATGTTTATAAGCAAACTTCTGCAATATGTATAATGGCTGCATGGTGTCTCATTATACCTTTGAGCCATACCACTTTATTTCCTGTGGTATGCCTTTCTTTCAATAAATGTGTTTCCTTTCTTTCAATAAATCTGTTAGAGAGCCTCAGGTGCAGACCATGGAGGCCATCTTACTCTTCTGTTCCTGGCACATCAACCTTGGCCTATTCTAAGGTTCATTTAATTATCCCAACAGCCCCTTCCATTCTCCACCACCACCCCATAAGCAATTATGTTAATGGTTTATCTTTTTGCTTTTGTTCCTGCAAAATGTATGTATCATTGTTTTCATGCATGCTTGTTTAAGTTACATGGATGACCATGTTAACATATTATTTTATTGGCTGGGTACAGTGGCTCACGCCTGTAATCCCAACAATTTGGGAGGATGAAGTGGGTAGATTACGAGGTCAAGAGATCAAGACCATCCTGGCCAACATGGTGAAACCCCATCTCTACTAAAAATACAAAAATTAGCTGGGCATGGTGGTGTATGCCTATACTCCCAGCTACTTGGGAGGCTGAGGCAGGAGAATCGCTTGAACCTGGGAGGCAGAGGTTGCAGTGAGCCAAGATGGTGGCACTGAACTACAGCTGGGCGACAGAGTGAGACTCTCAAAAAAAATATATATATATTTTTTATATATACACACACATATATGTACACACACATATATACACATATATAAATACACACATACATATATATATATAATTTTGTTTTTTCACATTAAGTTCTATATGTTTATGATTCAGCTACGTTGCTATGGCTGCATCTAATACACTGCTTCTAACTACTGTCTAGTGCTTCCTGTCTTGAGCATCTTCCCCATTTTACTCACCTACTTCCTAGTGCAGAACACTCAAATTGCTGTGAACTTTCCCCTCCACAAATAATGCTGCAATGAATCACTTTGTGGACATATGATGCTTTCTTGGGAAAAAAACCCAGAGCAGTTTGTGGATAATACATTTAATTTGATTAATTGTTGCCAGATGGTCCTAGAATGGCTGTACCAGTCTACATCCCCATAATCAGGGCATGTAGTTCCTAAAACCCCACAGCCCCAACTACACTATCATCTAGCTTTCTCTTTTTGCCAGTCCAATAGATATAAACATTTATCTCATTTTAACTTGTATTTCTCTGATTGCTAATAGAATCAACATATTTTTAGTGTTAAGATGTTCCACCTAAGAGCATGGAGTATCTCCTCATTTATTCAGATCATCTAATATCCTTAATCATTTATCTATTGTTGCACATTTAGGTTCTCTCCAAGGAAGAGAGAAAGAGAAAAAGGGAGACCTAATTTATTTAGAAAGCCCATTAATCACCATAAAGGGTGGAGGAGGAGATGGAATGGATGCTCTGGTGGCCACTTGTCCTCTGCTTACCTTTGCAGGATCCAGCCAAGTGCTCAGAGAACATTAACCAAAGATGGGGAGGATTGGAGGACGGTGTTCGATGAACTTCACGAACTTCACTGCTTAATCATTCATGAGCAATAACAGCTTTTAAATAGAATATGTAGATTAATTCTTGCCTTTATCAAGTTCCACAGTATTCAATAAATGATTTCAAATTGTCAATAGCTAGGATAAAGTGCAGTGGGTGAGAGTGGGTGGGAGAGCAGGGTGGCTTTAGGAGCAGGGTCTTGGAGGATGGCGGTGACGGCAGAAGGGACTAACGAGCCGCCTGACCAGGACGTTTCACCCCTGGATTTGAGGGTTCCTTAGCGCTTTTTCCCCATTTTGTTAAGAAATTTCCTCTTATGGGATATGGAGCAATTCTCCAGCTCATTTGACTCATGGGGCCTAATATATACTTCTGCTATTGGTTGATAACATTAAGATAAGGGAAGTATTTTACATGGCTGAGAGTTCAGGGCCAATCCCACTCTCACAGAATCCCAATATCTAGGGGTGAAGCACAGGAATCTGTTTTGTAAAGAAGTCCCCCGATTATTCTGATGTTAAACTAGAACAGCCCACTGGGCTTATCCATTCCTCCACAGCCTTCAGGCTAACTCCCACCATGTTACACCTTCATACTCTTAACATGTCAGGCAATCAACTCCAGCCCAACACTTGGGACCCCCCAGTCATGACTTGCTAAGAAACAACCACATCCCCTCTTGCTATAATTCAAGTTTCTATTCAGCATTCAGGGCCAAACAATGTCAGTTACCCCTCTTGCACACTATAGTAATATAGGAAAACATTCAAGAGCCATTTGTTTCATACTTTTATAAACATCAAAATTGCAAACTACACTGATTGGAGAGTTGGACAAATAAGAATGGCACGACAGTTTTCTGTCTTGGAATTTTACAGATATTGCCTGTGTTCAAGGGCTGTGCTGTACTAAGCAGTGGCTGCTGGCACAGGGAAAGGTGTAATTCTCTCCTGGGTTGTAGGAGTTGCAGCTCATGCAGAGAGTCCTCTGTGATGGAGGCCAGTCAGCTTTTATGGACTTCAGTGCTATTTGCTCCAGTACCCTTTGAAATGCAGGGTCAGCTCACTGAGCTACATCGTGCAATAATAACACATTTTTATAGGAGTAGCTTGTCAGAGCAGCAACAACATGCAATACATAAAACCAATAAACACACCATGTTACAGAGTCTATCCTAGTAAACAGGTTAAAGCAATAAAATTGACAGCAGCCATCAACAAGCTCCCTTTCTGACTTTGTGGGGTGAATTTACTGTTGCTTAAAACAGAGGAGCTGTCACAAAGCCTTAGATCAGTTACGGAGCAGCAAGCTGCATCGCATGGAAGGGAGCGGGCCTGAGAAGTGAAAGCAGGATGGGCAATTATGCTTTGCTAAGGCCTGGGCCCCTTTCATTGTTAGTGTGATGTAATTCACATCAGAGGTTTTCTACAGAATTGTTTCGTTTTTCCAAGTTACATATTAAATATTATGGAGGGCAGTATGTCTATGGGTTGGTAAATCAGCAATTAGTATTTTCCATCTGCAGCTTAAATCCCTAAGGCAAGAAAGAGCTTACCTGTGACAGAATATGCAGGGACTCAATGGGTTGGTGCTGTCTAAGACTGGATTCTTAGAGTTTGGACCTTCCACATTTTACATGGAATCATTTGGCTGGGAACCCTGAGCCAACCTCAGTCCAACAGAATCTCAGTATCTGGGGGTGAGGCCTGGGAATCCATTTTGTAAAAACTTCCCTAGGAGATGCCAGTGAAAAACATGTGGGAGGCCCAGGAAACCGTGGAGAGGTCAGGAGCTAAGAGTCAGCAGCATAGGCATGGTGGCAGAACTAGGAGCTAATAAAGGCTCAGGGATCAGCACATATTAAAAATATATTGAATCTTGGCCGGGCACGATGGCTCTCATCTGTAATCCCAGCACTTTGGGAGGCCGAGGCGGGCAGATCACTTGAGGTCAGGAGTTCAAGACCAGCCTGGCCAACATGGTGAAACCCTGTCTCTACTAAAAATACAAAAATTAGCCAGGCGTGGTGGTGGGCGCCTGTAATCCCAGCTACTCAGGAGGCTGAGGCAGGAGAATCGCTGGAACCTGGGAGGCGGAGGTTACAGTGAGCCAAGATTGCACTATAGCACTCCAGCCTGGGCGACAGAGCAAGAATCAGTCTCAAAAAAAAAATTATATATATATATACACACACACATACACACACATACACACACACACACATATGGAGAGAGAGAGAGAGAGTCCTTACTATGTCCCAGGCATGTTCTAGGGTATCTTTAGGCAAAGACCCTCTCATGGCACTTGTATTTGGGAGAGACAAGACAAGAGAAACTAATTAAAACAAATGAAGAAGTTAATTCCAAACACTGATAAGCATTATAAAGATAATAAAACCAGGTGAGGCATAGAGGTTGCTTTGGATTAGCTAGGTCAGAGAAGAAATCCCTCAAAGGAGAAAATATTAGCACTGAAATCTCAAGATGAAGGAAGGAGCCATTTGGAGGCCAATGGCAGCATCTTAGAGGCAAAGGAAAGAGCAAGTGTGAAGGCCTGAAATCCCTGAGCAGAGAAGAGGTTCACCCACTGCTGTTCCCTGCCTGCCCTGCTTTTCCTGGGGGCGAAGAGACAAAAAGGATGACCCCCAAGTTTTCACTCTGTTATGATGTCCCACTAGTATGCCTTCAACTTAAGGACTAATATATTCTGATTGGTTGGATCCATTTTTATTTTGTTAGCTTATCAGAATTTCATAACTATAAGTTACCATCTCTATCTCTACCCTAAAATTGGTTATTGAACAGAACAATGCACCACTTGAGTCCAGGAGCTCCCGCCAAGCTTGTCTGGCAATCAAGACTTCAGAAGATACAGGCCTGTGTGAGTATGGCCCTTTAAGCCTAAGTCATGACATTGCTCTTTGTCTATCTGCATTCAGTGGTTCAGGCCCCTGTCCATGGCTGGTGTGACCTTTGGTGACATCCCCAGCCTCAACAGAAACCACTTCTCACTAAGCCAGCTTTACTGTGTTCCCAACAGCTAGCATGCAGGGATGCCTTCTTCCTCATTTTCACGTAAATGTGCTAATTCAAATGCTCTCCGAAGCAAATAGGCTTTTAAGGGCAAGCCTGAGAACCAAACCACGATTTATTTCACAGTTCTTCTGGAAAAGAGACTTCTAAGAACCGGATGCCCAAATGAGAAGAGCATTTTGGGTCACAGCCCACCTGCAAGTTAGGATCTGTAACATAAGAGCCAGAACACCAGATAGGCAGAGAGAGCCTGCCTGGTTTCTGAACTGAGTGAGGCAAATGTGGAAGAAATTCTAAACCTTGGGGGTGGGTTCTATTTTTTATAGCCATTCACACCCTAGGGGCATTACAGAGACCTTACAGACCTAAGGATTAAGAAGATTAATGGAGTCGATTTGATACCAAGTTTCATTTCTCAGCCTTTTCTTTTAAATTTATTATGCTTTTCTTTTCTTTTTTCATTTAAAATAAGGATTGAGACTTTGTCCCCAAGTAAGTTTCTCAAATGGCTACATTACTGAGAACCCAGACCCAAGCACAATGCTGTAGTGGGGGTGGGTAGTGGGCTGGCTTCAGCTCTGACAAATTGTGGGGGCTGATGATCTCCTTTCAGGGGCGGGGTGTGTGGTGCTGGGAGGGATGTCGGTGAGTAGAAGGGGAATGGCCTCCCTGTGGGAGACTCCGGGGCCGGCAGTCCCTGCCCAGTCCCTCCCTCTGCTTCCTCCCACTCTTCCACATGCGGAAAGGGCTCTGTGCCTCTCACAGCAGCATCTGACCCTCTGGACTGAGTCATTCGGTGTACTTGCCTAGAAGGTTCTTTAGCTCTGGGACTCACAGGAGTAAGAAGCTCAGAAAAGCACAGTGAGTCCCTGCCCAGTTCCAGGAAGCAATCTGAAAAGTCTGGTCTGGTCACCAGCAGATGACAGTTCTTTCACTTAGAGCAATTTTGCTAAGCACACTTATTTGCTTTCTCTGGAAACCTTCAGCACTAAATGTGTTGGTATTTCCACCTGAGAAGGTATTTAACTGCAAAAAATAGCAGAATAGCCAACAATAATAGAAATACTATGAGAAAGAAAATGCCTATGGCTGTAATCCCACAGGAAAGCTTGACATCAGATAGCTTAACTCCCCTTAGAGATGGCGGGTTTGCACACGTGGTCTCCTCCGAGCCTTCAAGTTTGTGCAGGTTTTCTTTGTACCATGTTAAGAAATGAATATTCGAGCAAGTGCAGTCCAGGGGGTTATGACTTAAATTAATGGTGCTCTGCTGGGACAAGATAGGGAGGAGACGGGGTGAGATGATGTTAATGCTGTTGGCAGCCAGATTGAGGTAGATTCCCTTAAGATGGCTAAGAGAATCAATGCTGTCGCATGTCAGGCTGTTGTGGCTTAAGTCTACATGGCTCATTTTTCCCAAGCTGTGGAATGCTTGCTGGTCTATAGAGAGGAGACCACAAGAGGACAAAATCAGAACCTCCAAGCTGCCCACGGTCTGAAGTAGGTTGGTCTTCGTGATAGTCCCATCTTGAAAGTGATTCCCTTTTAAGTTGAGATGCCGGAGAACTGGTAGGCCTGCTAGAAGATGCTGATTGCTGGTATCAAGGAAGCAGTAAGTGAGATTCAGAACCTGAAGGAAATGGAGGTTTTGGAAGGGACTTTGTGGAGCATTAATGTGTAAGCGGGTAAATGCCAAATCGAGGAGTTCTAGCTGAGGACATTCTTTGAATGCCTGACTCTGGAGACCAAGAGGCTCATTGTGGCTCAGGTTTAAGGTTTGCAAGTGGGACAGGTTTTTGAGTTGCAGACTGCAGCAGTCAGAAGCCTCTATGTCATTATGGCTTAAATCAAGTGTCTGAAGGTTTCCTAGTTTCTCCAAGCAGCCAACACCAAGGTGAAGTTTCTTCACGTTGCCTCTGATGTAGAGGTGTGTAAGGGAGGGGAAATTGGCAGCACTGATTTGACACAATTGATCGAAATGATTTACACTGAGAACTAATTTCTTGAGCAAGTTCAGACCCTTCATCCCAGAGGGTAACCCTTTCAAGTGAGTTGCTGTCAGATCCAATTCTTGGAGTTGGGTGAAGCACTGAAATGTGGTGGATGAGATGTCAGAGAAGCGGTGTTCCTGCAGGTTGAGGCTCTCAACAGACATTTCACAGAGTCCCTTGAGCATGGCTGAACTAATATCTTCGTCATCAATGTCCTCAAATGTTCCCAGCCAGAGAGACTGAGTAGTAGAGTTCTGCAGACCATTGAATATAACAGACAAATTTGGAGTTCCTCCAAAGTTCAAACTTTGGAAGATCGTTGAATCAAAAGCCCCAAGCTCAATACCTTTAACATTATTGCCATTGAAGTTCAGGCTTAGGTTGATGGCCTGCTCCAGAGACCTCATGTCTTCTCTAGAGATGTAGTGTATAGCATTATTCTGAAAATCCAGTACTTTCAGATTCCGTGCTGGGAAGTCTTTGGGGAACTTAATGGAGGAAATATGGTTGCTTCCAAGATACAAGCTTTCCAAGTTTTCCAGATTGTGCACTGGAATAAACTCGAGATTGGATATTCCCGTTTGGATTAAGAAAAGATGCTTCAGTGACTTGGGCCCATTAAGCGATGTTTCTGCCATGAATATCAGGGGATTTCCAGTTAACACAAGTGTGCTTAATTGATGATGGCTTTGAAAAGTGTCTTCATGTATCCAGTTAATCTGGCACCTTGAAAAGATAATCGTATTTAACAATAATTCATTTGAAAAAAGTAAAAAAATACTTTACAGTGACACACATTAACAAAGTCATCTTTTGTATCATTCAAAATCAAATATAAGAACTTTCTTCAATATCAACAGATGGCCTATTGAAGGAATTAATGAGTAGCCTCACTTCTGAACACGCCAATCTAGATTTTTTTTCCAGGTATCTCACCCCTTAGATTGAACCCTCAGAGGTTTGTGCCTGTATTCTAAGGAACCATGGGTCATTTGATTGTGGCAAAAATCAAATTATTATTTACTGTTTTAAGTAATACAAAATATATCATATAGAATGCATAATAGATAATATATGGTATAAAATACATATATATATACACACACAAAAATCTGTGTCATCCCGGGCAAGTTACAACTTTTCTCAACCTCTGTATTTTCATCTGAGAAAACCATCCTGGTATTGCACCTAAAAATACTGGATCACACACACACACACACACACACACACACAGATGGCCTCCTCATCTAACCATAAGTTGGATGATACTACGCACCATGGAATCTCACACTGGTGCTTTTAAAGATGAAGCGGTAGTATGGATGTGGACATCCTGTCCACAGAAGCTGAAGTTGAAGGACAAAATAGAAGAAGTAGAACTGCCGCAAAGGGTGCAGACTGCAGGTACACGCAGAGCCTGTCCCCTCTTACACACACACACACACACACACACACACACACACACACACGCAGTATAGCCCTTTCATTTTCTTCCCTTATTTTCTTGTAATACTTCTTCCTACTGGTTCTCAAACACTGGCTCAGCATGTGGAATCCCAATTATGCCACTATAACAAAATAATGGAACTCATTTTCCAATTTGTAGGGGGGAAAAGTAGATGGTGTGCTTTTCTCCTAGAAATTTTTCTTAAATGTAATTACCCAAAAATAAACTATGCCAAAATTTAGCATAGTTTGGCATCTGATTTAGTACAAGATTATTTTCATTTTTGCTATCAGTATTCCTTAGAACTGCTTCAACAGTGCTATTGATGCAACTGGTTTGAGAGCAATCCATTTTCCTCTCCATTGGTTGATGTTTATTTAAATTACATTTCACCCACATAGGAGTATTTCATGGGGAGGCATAAACATGTAGTATAAGCAGATTGTCCCTGGGCCCCCCAAAAAGGTCCTGCAAATAAATTAAGCACATACTGTATTTTAACTTAAATAAAATAAAAGAGCACACAAATAACTCAGATACATACCTAGTTAAATCCAAAAAGGTAAGATTCATGAGTCTGCTGAAGGTTCTATTGTGAATTGTAGGCAAAAAATTAAAGCTGAATTCCAAAAATTCTGTTGTGTTTGGTAGAGTGTCAGGGATTTCACTGAGACCTAAATTTTCACAGTTATATGTTTTGTTGGCTTCTTTCTGATGGGAGAAACAAAGTAAATTAATATTAGACTTAATAATTTTATAGACTATCTAGCAAAATTATATATGTTTTACCTTCCGAGCGGCAATCGTACTTCTAGTAATCTTTACCAAATATACACTTGCCAAAAACAAGATGATGAATGCACATTGTTAACTGTAGTACTTTTTTTGTAATAGCAAAATTGACAATAACCAGACTATTCATCAATATAGGACTACTTGAACAAAACATGGTACATTCACAAAATGGAATCCTCTAAAACTGAAAAAAATAAAAAAAACCCTCCATATATTGATATGGAGTGATATCTGGGATATATTTCAAGGTGAAAAAAGCAAAATGCAGAACAATATATGTAGTGTATATAGTATACAGTATGTAGTATAATGTACAGAGTATGCCTTTTGTGTAAGAAAGGTGTGTGTGAATTTTCTTATATTTGTTAAAACAAACCATGCAAAAACCCAAAAACTGATTGCCTTTAAGAAGAGGGAAGAGACCAGATAGAAGAGCAGGGATAAATGTGAGACTTCTCTGAATGCACTTGGTTTTACAGTTTTGATTTTGGTTGAATGGAAATGTTTAATTTCAGTTTGAAACAAACAAATCGACCTTAGATAAGCATCACCAAAATAAGACAATCAAACATTACATACTTTCGTATGTGAGACAATGTGAGGTATACAGCATTGTCTATGAAGTATTCTTGCCAAAAAAATAATTAAACTTTAAACTCATCAAGATTTTAGGTTTAACTTCACATCTCAAAGTGATATGGTGGATTTAAGTGGGACATTCTATGGAACAACTGACTTTGTTCTATCTGTGTGTGTGTGTGTGTGTGTGTGTGAAAGAGAGAGAGAGAGAGAGAGAGAATGAGAGAGGAGATAGTGCTTGTTAAAAGATACAGAGATATAAGATCTACTTAAGAGACATAACCATCAAATAATACAGTAGACCTCATTTAGATCCTGATCCAAATAAAGCAGTTCAAAAAGGCATTTTATAGACTGTCAGGTAATTTTGAATGAGGACAGTATTCAATGATATTAAGGAATTCTGGATTTTGTAAATGACAGTGGACTTGTGGTTATTTAAAAGAAATGTTCTTATTCTTTTGAGAAGCATATTTAAATATTTAGGAGTAAAACAGCATGATGCTGGAATTGGCTCTAAAATAATCTGGCAAAAAAGGAGGAGAGGAATGCAGAGATGAAGTGAGTAGGCAAAATGCTTATGATTGTCGAATATTGAGATTCTTTGTTACTATTTCTGTATATGTTTAACATTTTTTTCTTAACACAGTGCTTAAAAAAACTAGCAGGGTGGCATAGACCTGAGGCCTTGCAATCTTGAAGTATGAATTAATTTTAGATCTCTGTATTTGTAGGCTGCTGATACCAGACAGTAGGCTTTTGGGCAGAACCCTACACATAAGTACAGATAACTTCCTCATCCTGTGCCCCAGGGTAGTCATGTATTCTGAAGCCTGCCAATCATGTCCTAATACAAGTTATGTGTTGAACTAAGTAGGTAAAAATGGGAAGTGGTTTTTTAGAAGCCTGTAGAACTGTGGGGTCATTATTTATCTGGCTAATGCTTTAAGATGAAGGGTAGTGGGGAAAATAGGAAGGTCTGACAGGGCAGGTATGAAAGTCTGATGGAGTATATTTTGCCTGTGGAGTCTCCTTGGAAAGATATGAAGGAAAGTTCCTGCTATGCTTTGAATATGTCCTCCAAAGTTCATGTGTTGAGAACTTAATTGCCATTGTAATACTAAGAGGTGAGGCCTTTGGGAGGTGATTGGATCATGAAGATTCCACACTCATGAATGAATTAATACTATTATTGCAGGGTGGGTTAGTTATCGCGGGACTGGACTCCTGATAAAGCAAGTAAGTTATTGGGTGGCCGAGGTAGGCAGATCACGAGGTCAGGAGTTCAAGACCATCCTGGCCAACATAGCGAAACCCCGTCTCTACTAAAAATACAAAAATTAGCTGGGCGTGGTTGCGCATGCCTGTAATCCCAGCTATTCAGGAGGCTGAGGCAGGAGAATCGCTTGAACCAGGGACTCAGAGGTTGCAGTGAGCCAAGATTGCACCACTGCACTCCAGCCTGGCCACAGAGTGAGACTCTGCCTCAAAAAGAAAAAAAAAAGATTGGGGGTAAGTTAGGCCTCCATTTGCTCTGTCCACATGCTTGCTTTCACCTTCCTCCATGGAATCACACAGCAAGAAGGCCCTCACCAGATACCAGAGCCAGGCTCTTGGACTTCCTAGCTCCCAACTATGAGAAATAAATTACTTTTCTATACAAATTACCCAGGCTGTGGCATTCTGTGAAGCAGCAGGAAACCGACTAAGACAGTGACCTTGGAAGCACAAGAACAAGGACATCCCAGGACCTTGGGCCAGCTCTCAGATCATCTCAGGCTCCAGGTGAGTTCATTCACCCTTCCAGCCCCTGCCTTTCCTTGACACATAGGGGTTCACCAGAAGCCCCACTGAGACTTCCCTAGGCTGGAAAAGATCTACTCTGTTACGGACTCCAGATCAGTGTCTTTTCTTATGCCGAGTTACAAACAGATCTGCTTAGTGAGAAACAGAACTGCACACATCTTGCTTTGCTTTGAAGCAGGAGGCTTTTGAGATGTCACCATTGTAACCTCATTTTCTTTCACTCCAATTTCTGCTTAGCGATGCACTTTCTTGTAGCCACAGACATGCTCATCTGCAGAAAGTCACCAGTTTTCTTTGATATTGTGACAACATTATAACTGTCACTGATGAAAATGCTTTATTTATATGTCCTTGTAATTTATTCTTCATTTTATAGACCCAAAGTCCTCCAGGCACTGCCACAAATCCACATAATGTCCTTGAAATGCACACTTCGCATTTAAAACTTAGATTTAGCTGACTGGTGGGGGAAAAAACCACGTGTTGCCAGACCTATCCTCAGTGCCCATGAATATGGACGACCCAGAGAGAATATGTATGTGCAGCTGCTGCCCCAGTAGTTGCAAAGGTGCTGATTAGCTTAGAGGAGACATTTTGCTTTTCTCGTCTCCTTTGGCATAACTGATGTCACATACGGTTGGAGAAAAGGGACTTCCTCAGTTTGTCTCACTCTATTCCGGCCCTACAGCAAAAGGCTCAATGCTGTCATTTCCCTCCTTCTCCTGAATATATAAGTGCCCATGACACCTAAATTATTCTGTGCCTCAGCCTTTTGTGTGCTTTACTAAGCACTTTACTGCCCTAATGTGATGCAGAAGATTGAGAATCCAGGAGGAGCTCTGCTAAGCCAGTGGCCTGAGTGAGCTCCTTGAAAATAGAAAGCAGGTAAATGAAGTAGCTTGGTTTCAACCCAGTGAAAAACTGATAACGAGTGGATGACGCTACCAAGAGGATCAAGGAGGCCACCATAAGCCTGTGCCATAATATTGAATCATCTCTGGTTAGGTGGAAATGGCAATAGATCCTGTGCCTTTGATTTCTAGGAGAAAGAGGCAAGTGACAAGAAACACAGCTGATAAGAGAATTTAGAAACCAAACACATTTTAGAGAATGTCTAGGGCTCAGCATACACGTAGCCCTTCCCTTATAGCTTTTATAATCACAATTGTATCATCAAAATGGCCACGATGATAGAGGCACCAAAGCACCACATGCTCTGGAATTATCTAGGAAGCATTAGATTGTTTTCAGACTATTGTAATTTTTTAAGGCAAAAGGTACACACACATGCACACACACACACTATTCTTCACATTCTGTTTGATTGAGAGTACACTACTGACATCATGACCCTTAAGCCCTATACACCAATGTTTATATATCCTAAAAACAAGGATATTATATGACTATAGTGCCATTATGAAATTCAAGATATTTAATATTGATACAATGTAATTATCCAACATACTGTCTATATCCAAATTTTGCCAATTGTCCCATTATTGTTCTTTATAGTAATTTTTGTTTTTCCAATCCAGGATCACACATTGCATTTAGTTGTTATATCTCCTTAGACTCCTTTAATCTGAGACAGTTCCTCAGCCTTTGTCTTTCACAACATGAATGTCCTTTGAAGAATGCAGGCCTATATTTTGCAGAATGTCCCAGTTATGGGTTTGTATGTTCCTCATAATTTGACTCTGGTTACACATTTTTGGTAGAAATACTGCATTAGTAAGGGTGTGTCATTCTCCCTATCAATATTCAAATGAAACATTTTTGAGCATGAGTTCTGATAGCCAGGGTTCCAGAACAGCACAACGGTAATGCAACAGAGAGTGAAAGGACAAGATGCAGAGAAGGAACACTGGGCCCCAGCAGACAGCATGGCCACCGCCAGGACCACGTGCTTCTGTTACTTTTTCCAGGCAGACACCCACTACCATTGCAGTTTCTCGGATCTCCACATGACCATTTCCTATAAACCCAGCCTTCTCTTCCTAGAGAAGTCTAGAAATGTGGTTAATTTCCAAAGTCCCTTTCTCACCTCTCTGCTTCTGCTGGCTCCAGTGCAGATGGGACTTCTTGATGTGAACTCACACAGCGAGTAGAGCTGTGGCAAGGCCACGTGGTATTCATGACAATTGCCTCATGCCCATCACTATTCTAAGTCAAGGGGCATTCGCTTGGGACTCACTGTGCACTGGGACCTGTGTCATCTGCTTTGTCTCCAGCTCTGTCTCAGACCTGTGCTCCCAGAGCTACATCTGTATTTGCAATCCCTTTTCCCTCTAGGTATTCATTTGCATTTTCTCAATCAGGCTCTTATTTTCCTCCCTTCTGCTGTATATCTAACTCCCTCTCATCCCACTGTATTTTCTTTCCTTGCAAGTGTTGAAACATTTTCTAATTTGGAACTCTGAATTTCACTCAAGTGCTTATTCTCACCTTTTCGGATTTCTCATCTGCGCTTGACACACGCAGCAGCCACCTCCCCATGCATCAGAAGTCTGGGACACTGACCTCCAACGCTTCCTCATTAAGCATGCCTCCATCCAAGATAGAGCAAGTCGACTGAGCCAAATCCCAGAGCAACAATTAGTCTCTGAAAACAAAACAAACACTCCCTAGAGAGCACATTCCTGTAACTTCATTGTCAATCTGATTCCTCCAGGCAAAGGGCATTCCAGTTACATGCACTTTATTTTCTGTTTGTCTGTAAAGTCAGACTGCTTGGGTTCAAATCCTAGCTCTCAACCACCAAGCTGTGTTCTCTGAGCCTCCCTTTTCCTCAAATGTAGATTGAAGTTAGGAACTTCGCCTTGCAAGTTTACTGTGAGGATTAATGCGATAATGTGTGTCAGCACTAAACAAGAAGAGTTAGCGTTTAACTGGATCATCACAACCTCACATCATTATCGAAAGCTATTGGGAAGCCCTTGTGTCTATGAACTTGGAGTTCCTTTCAAAAAAGAGCTCTGCTAACCAGTCCCCATCCCACACCTAGGGACTGAAGGGCTCACTTCTATCACAGTTTTGAGGGAAAAGGATGGCCAAGCTGAGCTCACTTGAAAAGGGGAGGCATGCCCACATTCCCAAGTAAATATTTCAAGAGTGCATCTAAAATGATGCCACAATCCAAATCACAGAACACGAATTCCAGCTGTTCTTTGCATATTTATCAGCTTCCAAAGACTTGATACGGGTCCTAATATTTTTGCTTAAGTCACACATATATAGGGACACAAACATTCACAGAGAGAGAGAGAGACAGAGAGAGAAAACATGTAGCATTTGACAATGGAAGAATCTATGTAGCCTGTAGGTGTTCACTGTAATAGTCTCAGAACTTGTAGGTAGGTTTGGATATTTTTCCAAACAAAAAGTTTTATTTAAAAATTAATCTTGACTCCTACTTGTATGTAAAAAACAAAAACAATTTTGATCCATCTAAATGTGAAACCTAGAAATAGCAAATAAATACAAAACAATAAAGCTTCTAGAAGAAACATGGGATAATATCACGGTCTTGAGGTAGGCAAAGATTTCTTAAACAGGACAGAATTGTACTGAAAATACAGGAAAAAAATAAGTTGAGGTATATTAAAATTAAGAACTTTGGGGCCGGGCACGGTGGCTCACGCCTGTAATCCCAGCACTTTGGGAGGCCGAGGTGGGCGGATCAGGAGGTCAGGAGATCGAGACCATCCTGGCTGACAAGGTGAAACTCCGTCTCTACTAAAAATACAAAAAAATTGCCAGGTGTGGTGGTGGGCGCCTGTAGTCCCAGCTACTCGGGAGGCTGAGGCAGAATGGCGTGAACCTGGGAGGTGGAGCTTGCAGTGAGCTGAGGTCACGCCACTGCACTCGAGCCTGGGCGACAGAGTGAGACTCCGTCTCAAAAGAAAAAAAGAAAGAAAGAAAGAAAAAAGAAACAGTACTGCGTAATTTATAAAGAAAAGAGGTCTAATTGGCTCACTGCTCTGCAGGCTCTACAGGAAGCACAGTGCTGGCATCTGCTTGGCTTCTGGGGAGGACTTGAGACGCTTACAATCATGGCAGAAGGCAGACGGGGAGCAGGCACGCTGCATGGTGAAAGCAGGAGAGAGAGAATGACAGAGGAGGTGCCACTCTTTTCAATGACCAGATCTCAGGCTCAGGAGAACTCATTATCACCAAGACAGCACCAAGCTGTGACGGAGCTGCCCCCACACGCCTCCCACCAGGCCCTACCTCCACCACTGGGGATTAAAATACAACATGAGATCTGGGCAGGGACACAGATCCAAACTATATCAGATCCCAAGTGGCAAACTGGGCCTAAATTTTAAATACAGCCGAGCAGCCACTTGCTGACTAGAGGTCACACATGTACTCTGAGTTTCTGAAAACCCCCATCTCTGTTTAATTTTGGAACTTTCTGATCTCACCTGAACCAACCAATCAGGGCTCAGCTTTATCAACCAGTCAGGGTCCAGCTGCACCAACCGATCAGAACTAAGCAAGTTTGAATCCTTCTGCTGCGTAAATGAATTTGATTGGGAAGCTGAGTGGGAAAATTTCTCTCTATGGAGGCCAAGTTCCTCATTTGTTCCCTGGAATGCACCTTCCAAAGGCTACGTGCCAAAGGCCGTGTCTCCTCAGTTTGCGAACTGTTCATTGGAATAAAGTCTCCTTCGTCAAATTCCACCTCAGAGAACTTTTATTCACAGGCTTAATAGGGTAATGGCAGTCACATGAACATGCAGACATTATGTGGTTAACTATGCATGAGCTGAAGGGGGAAGAAGAAAAGAGGAAAGGAAAGCAGCTTGGAAGGGTGAGTAAAGTTCGGGGTAATTTACCCTTGAAAAACGGCCAAACCCTTAAGTCAAAAGCAAGAGTTTATTCTTTTAGCCACCCCTCCTTTTATCCCTTGCCAGCAGCCTGGAAAGTTCCAGAATCTCAGGAATAAGTTCCATTTTTCTTTGCATCCCCCAGCTCCCTCCCTAGTATCCACACAGTAGCAAGGGCTCCCTAAACAGCCTTCGAATCTTGTTCTTGAGAACTCACTCACACGTGATAGATGAAACAAAAGAAAATACAGATCTGATGCTAACTGAATAGCTGACAAGGTCATTTAAAATCAGACTTCTTTCAGAGGGAGGGCTGCAGGAATGTTGTTGTATTGGAAGGTTTCAGTTTCATCTGGCTTATCCAAAAAGGAAAGACTTTGCTGCCACACAGGGCTAGGCTTGCAGGCCCTAGAACACTGAGCACCACTCCTGAGACATGAATAGCACTGAAGGCCCCAGAACAGGCAGCCAAAGGACTAGGGGGCCTCCCGCTGATGCAAGGATTTCAAAGTTAAACTTGTAGGTGTATAAGAGTGGGGCATTTAAAACAGCCTGCTTCCCAATGAGGTGGAATTAAATGGTGATGTTATCCTATTGGAGGCTGTCTCCTGGAGGTGATAACCTATGTTCCTGATCACTGGGGGGATGGTGCCCTTATTCCTACCCACTTGTCATGCCTCCCAAATGTCTGTATGACATTGACCTGAAACCACCTTTGCAAAATTATGACAGCAAGAGAAATATGACATAGTTGACTCCATCTTACTTCTAACCTCCAGTTTCTCCTTGGTCATTCCTGGGTGTAGACCAAGCTGAATTTGGGATGAATTTAGTTTATACTTTAACCTTAAAGCAAGGATGGTAATAGCCCTTCTTAAAACAAAAGCACCTTTTTAAAACTAAAGAAAGGTCACCCGTTAGGATTATGAGAGGGGCTTGAATTTGCCTAAGATGTTGGCATAGTTACTCCTTACTGTTCAGGAGTCATGTGGCCAGAGGTCACAAGATTTGTGACTTCCCCAATTACTCCTGTAGATAACATCTATTATAGAATCTAAGATTTTTTTTTGAGATATCTTTCAGACTAACCCCACCCAGACTCCTGACTCACCCCATCCTGCGGCCTCACCCAGAGGTGGACTCAGAACTAAGGACCATTTTCCAAAACCTTATGACTTCTTCCCCAACCAGTCAACATTTGCCATTCCCGTGTACCCTGCCCACCAAACTATCCTTGAAAACTCCTAATCTCCAAGACTTTGGAGTGATTGATTTGAGTAATAACTCTGTCTCCCACCTGGCGTGGCCAGTCTCACATCAATTAAACTTTCTTTACTGCAATGCCGTAGTCTCAGTGGATTGATTTTGTCTGGGCAGTGGGCAGGAAGAACTTGTCAGGCAATTACAGACCTTCCAACCTGAAGGGTGAGGGGACAGCCTTCTGGGGCTGATAGAAATGTCTTACTCTTCTCCTTCTGTTATGGGCTGAATTTTCTCTCCCCCACCACCAAATTCATATGTTGAAGTCCTAACCCACAGGACCTCAGAATGTGACTGTATTTAGAGACAGGGCCTTTAAAGAGGTCATTAAGGGAAGCTGAGGTCATATAGGTGGGCCCTAATCCAATCTGACTGGAGTCCTTAAAAGATGAGGACATTTGGACAAACAAGAAGACACCAGTGCTCATGCACACAGGAAAGGCCATGAGAGGACACAGAGAGAAGATGGCCATCTGCATGCCAGGGAGCGAGGGTGCAGAAGCAGCAAACTCTGCCAACACCTTGATCTTAAAATTCCAGCCTCCAGAACTGTGAGACAATCAATTTCTCTTGTTTAAGTCACCTAGTCTATGGTATTCAGGGTTTTTTTGGTTTGTTTTTGTTTTTTGGTGTATTTTTGGTTTGTTTGTTTTAAGACAGAGTCTTGCTCTGTCGCCAAGGCTGGAGTGCGGTGGCACAATCACGGCTCACTGCAACCTCTGCCTCCCGGGTTTGAGTGAGTCTCCTGCCTCAGCCTCCCGAGTAGTTGGGATTACAGGCATGTGCCACCATGCCCAGCTAATATTTGTATTTTTAGTACAGATGGGGTTTTGCCATGTTGCCCAGACTGGTCTCGAACTCCCAGTCTCAAGGCATACACCCACCTTGGCCTCCCAAAGTGCTGGGATTATAGGCGTGAGCCACCACGCCTGGCCCAGTCTGTGGCATTTGTTATGACAGCCCAAGCAAAGCAACACACACCTTCCCAGCCTTCATTTCTCATTGGCATGATGCCTCCTCTTGGCCTGCTGCTGATTCCATCCTAATGCCAGACCAACAAGGCTCTGCTCACCCAGCTCTGAGCCTTACCCCAGTGCTGGCTTTGCTCTGCTCTTCCTGATCCTCTGATCTCCTTCTAGTCCTGCCCCAGGGCAACTCCACATCTGGCTATTCCTGGCTCTTACTCTTCTTTTTACCTCAACCCAGACCAGCAGCTCACCAAGCCACCAAGACTCATGGTTCCTCCTGTATGCAGCCCTTGTCTGACAGGCCACGTGGTATTGATCACTTGTGGGGTCAGAGAAAGTGGGAGGAAGTTTGAAGCATTTTAGAGGATGGCAAGAGACGGAGGCCCTTCTCCTTTTTCTCTCATTATCCCCTCCAAGAACTTCCCACAGGTTGATAAATATTGCTATGGTCCAAAACAGAAGGTGCAATTTGGCTCTATTCTCAGATTTTCCTCCTATGGGTTAGTAAAACAGATGGAAGGCTGTCCAAGTCCAAGAGAGAGCCAGACTCATTCAGAGTGATCTTTTCAATGCTCGAAAACCTGGCACAGCGCTGTCTTTACTAATTCTCACCCTGAGAGGAGACCAAAGGACTCATTGGGATAGAGGCCATGTGAGAGTGGGGATGTTAAACCAACAGCTCCCCTAGGTTGAGGCAGGTTTAGGGGTCTGCTTTGTGCACACAGACCCTATTAATATCTTATGACCCACTTGGGATTATTTGGGTGGAATTGTTTGAAGAGGAGAAAAATTCTCTTTGCTTCCTATTAAGATGCCACCAGATGATCCCCTGGCAGAGTTCTTTGGCTCCTTTCTCACAATAATGAAAAAATTATATATACACCTTATTTCCTTTTTAAAGACACTAGATATTGGGATGCCAAGGCTCAGATTGGACTGCGTGCTAAATCTCAAAATTTTCAGACAGTTTAATCTGCATAAAGACAAACAGTTTGGACTCACCTCAATGCACATCTGATCCCAGGAGGTGATGACTTTACAGCCGGCAGAAAACAGCACCACCCAAAAGAAGCAGCTGACGTCAAACGCCATCACAGGCTAGGATTGCTTGGTGGGTTTACCTAATGCTTGGAGCTGAGAAATGGAATCAAACTGTGAAGGCCCTGGCAATTTGGCAGCCAGAGAGGTACTCAGAAGGGTGATCTTGGAACAAGAAATGCTGTTGACTGCTCAGCATTCTGTGGCTCTGTGCTGGAAAAAAAAAAAAAAAAAAAAAAGGAAGTCCCTTTTGCATACCACCCATCTTTGCCAAAAATAACTGAGGACCCAACCCCAGAATGGCCCGTTGCATTTCCTGGCACTGAACATGAATCAGTTGTGCAGTCCTTTTGGGCTGATCACACAGACTCTCATTGTGATGGTTCCAATTGACTTTATGCCAACTTCAAGCATTTGGCCAACTCCAACAGCTTCTGGTCCTTTTCCCCGAGAGAGGCTGTGGAAGCTCTACTCACCAAGGAGGCCACTTTCTTAGTTGTCCTAGGTGAGTGAATAGAAGAGGTGTCAGAGAACATGGAAGGGCAGAGCACTCTGCAGGGGCAGACTGAAGAACTGAGCCCTTCAGTGGCACCTGCTGAGCTGGGAACTGGAGCAGGAGGGAGCAGGCTTGAGAGTGTATCTGCTCCTTGAGCCTCAGCTGCTGCCTTGGCCACCTTGTCCATCCCCACCTCTGGTCTTCGTATAGGGGGAAGATTACTTCATCTCTTGACCTGGCGGTTCAGGCTTGTTAAAGCAGTTGGGGTGGACTCTCTTGTTCCCTCCTAACCTGGCCTGGGGAAGTAGGGGACACTGCCATAGATAGAGCAGCCTGGCTAAAGGAGAGTAGAGTTAGGGATGCCAGCCTTGGCTCTATTTCTTCTTAGAAATAGCTTTGAAGCAGGATTACAATTACCCTTATTATGGAGCAAGATGTGGCAATGATTAAAGAAAGCCAAAGTTCAAACATTCCTCAATAGGCTGCATTTAGCTACCTGTTCTGTCTGTTCTTCAACCCTCTGGCATACAGGATATATTTGGTGTTACTGTTCTCCCACTCCATTTCCAAGAGCCCAGTTCTTAGTATCAGAGTTCACAATGACTTAACTACTGCTACTACTACTACTACCACCACCACCACCACCACCACCTCTACAGTATTACTATGATGAATCAAATGACTATAGTATCTGCCATTTATTGAGTCCTTACTATGTGTCAGACACTGGGTCAGGTTTAATGCAGTTTTTTGCTGCATTTTCCTATCCTCGAATATTTCCATATATTCTATAAGAGAGATATTATTATTTCCCTCATTTTATAGATGTAGAAACTGATGCTTAAGAGAAATTAAATGATCTCTCCAAGCCACACAATTAGAGAGTGGTAGATTAGGGCTTCAGATCCAGAAAATCTCACTGCAGAGACTATGCTGCTACTCTTCACAGTTTAAGAAAGGACTTTGCCTCCTGAAGGAGCTGAAGAGTAGATGGGGCGAAGAATGTTGTTCATCTGGAGATTTCAGAAAAGATGCTAAAAAGCAGAGGGGATTGGAGGAAATATGTACTTGGCAGTCTGCTAGGCCTGCTACACATATTTGGGCTTTTCCTGGTCACCCTTAAAATGCCATCTTCATCAACAAAATCATCTCTGAAGATGCTATCAGCAAGACACAGTCTAAGCAAACCCAGACCAATGACGGACCACCTTGCTTCAAATAAGACATCCATCAGTGTATATTAGGAAGAGCTGAGAACTGGGAAGAGTCTAGTGGTAGACCGCAGATCCTTGCTTACCAACTGAGTGACCTTGGGCAAGTCATTTCACTTCTCTAAGTCCGTTTTCCCATCTGAAAAACAAGAATTATAATTCCTCTTCTGCCTACATCACAGAGTAATTATGAGGATCAAATAGGATCATGTATGTGAAAATGCTTTTCTTATCTTAAAGTCCCACATAAATATGCAGAATGTGAGGCAAAGACTGAGTAACGAATTCCAATGTCGTGTAAATATCACTCTCAGGAAATTGTCTCCTGCCCCAGAGATGTTGAAAGGCATATTACTTTCCTTCTTAAAGAAAGGTCTGATGGCTCAGTTAAGGCCATCAGATTTTGTCATTTTCTTAAGCTATATCATTTGCATATGATTTACATGTGTTTGCATAATGAATTCAAAAGACTCACTGCAAGTATATAAGAGTAAAATAAAATGAATGAATATGAGTGACCTTCTGCCACGGTATTCAAATCACATATTCAGGGCATAATACCCTGAAATATGAAATAGATTAAAATGTAAACTATTGCAAACAGATGAGAAGATAGGTTTTAGAGTTTAGAGGCAAGAATGAAACCTTATTTGGTCCCAGAATTTGGATATAAAGAACCACATCCTCTTACAGGTCACCTCATCCAAATGATGTTCATGCCTGAATTCTCTCCTACACACCCCTAATTCACCCCTCTCTGTAGACAAAAACATACTCTCTGAATTATTTTTCAGTCTATTATGAAATGCCTCAGGTGACAGAAAACTCATCATCCCTCACCCCCCAATGGTTTTGGCCAAGTTTGACTGTTTAAAAGGTTTTATCTTATATTGAACTGTTAAAGTCTCCTTTGGCTAACAGAGTAAGTTCAAGGCCTTTTCTACCTTCAAGTATTTGAAAATAGCTACCATGTCCCTGAATCGTTCTCTTTCTAGGTTAAAAATCTCTAGTTCCTCAAACTATGTCATAAATTCATGTATTACAACCCCTAGCAGGCTGTTTATCTAAATGTTTTCCCAATTGCCCAAGAAAAGCACTGACTTGAATTTTAATCCCAGCTTTGCCACTCACTGGTTGTGTGTCACTGGGGCAGTCTCTCAGTCTCAGTTTACTTACCTGAGAAATTATGGAGTTTAACTAGCTTATCAACAAGGTACTTCTTTATTTAAAACTCCATTACTCTATTTCAAAACTATGATTTCCAATTTACTTTTGTAACAGAGTTTTTGGCTTGAGCCAATAATATTGAGTTACACTTGATTTTTGTTAATAATCTGCTCTTTCTTTTTCCAGGTAGTCTCACATCTTCTTGGCAAACAAAAATTAGAGAAAGAAGTTTGGCGGAGTGATGGGCACCATGATTTCTGCATTCCCAGTTGACTCATAGTGCCATTAAGGGATCAAACTGCCAGCACCCATGCTGAGAAACAGTTCTTGCAGAGATATGGAGAGGGAGAAGAGAACATGAGAAAAGGCACCAGAAATGTATTTATTTCTACTGATCAGCATCCATTTCAGTGAGGAAACAACAGACTGTGGGCCCCAGAAGTTTTCAAAAGTTCAAGCATCCTTATATTAGGTATTAACATATATTTACATACAAATCCCAAATCATTGTTTTTGTTGTTGTACTGTCTTTTATTCTACTACATTTGCATGCAGTTTGTCCCTTGTGGTCAGCTATCTCCCCATGGGTGACCCCACAGAACTACCCAATTTCCTGTCTGGTGAGGCCCATACATTCACTTCCTTGTTGCCATGTATTTATAATCTGGGAGTGATTTGGGGTCCTATAACTCTTTATTTGGCTCTTCAGGCTCTTTCCTGGTGATAACTCAAAGGCTAATGTACTTTCTTTCAAGGATGTGCAAACCAAAATATGCTTTTGTGATCTAAGTTTAGCAAAAAGCTAGATATTTTTAAAATAATTTCATTAGGGGATTAAAACAATAATTTATATTATATCTTATGGGCACCAGTTGGTATTAAACTGACCTATATTTTTCCCCTCTCTACATTTAGTTGTAGTTCTGCTTTTTGTTCAAGCCTGCTTTCCTGCCTCCAGATGGTTATGTTTATTTGCATCTAAAATTTTACGTGAATATTTTAAATATTGTATGGTCAGTTTTACTCTTTATCATTATATTTCCCAATATATGTTTGTTTATCTTATTTTATTATTATTTTTTTCAGACGAAGTCTTGCTCTGTCACCCAGGCTGGAGTGCATTGGTGCGATCTCAGCTCACTGCAACCTTGCCTCCCAGGTTCAAGAGATTCTACTTCCTCAGCCTTCTGAATAGCTGGGATTACAGGTGTGTGCCACCATGCCCGGCTAATTTTTGTATTTTTAGTACAGATGGGGTTTCTCTATGTTGGCCAGGCTGGTCTTGAACTCCTGACCTCAGGTGATCCGCCTGCCTCAGTCTCCCAAAATTATGGGATTACAGGTGTGAGCCACCATGCCCAGCCTGTTTATTTTTTAAATCAAATTATTATAACCCAAGGTTCAGAGCAATAAGGGCCCAAAGTCAAGCCCACCTCTCTCTGAGGGTTATTGTTGTGCTGCTTCATGAGTGCACCAGAACAAAGCTATCTGTTCCTCTACTCCTGCCTTCTTGTCATGCTGCTTTTGCTTCTGTCTTTGTGGTTGATGCTGCTTGTGAGGCTACCAGGCTAGACAGAGCAAGTGATGGTGATGCTCCTTTCACACCTTGAGAGGAGACAGGGCTTTCCTCATGTCTGGCTTGATTTTATAGGGGAAGAAAGACTTTTCCTCTACCCTCTTTGGTTCTCAGACTGGAGCCTGTGAATTGAACTGACAAAAGACAGATTAACAGGAGAAAAAGCACAATAATTTTATTTGATGTTAATATTTTTGTGTGGCACAAGGGCTTCCTAGAAAGACAGGAAGATCCCAAAGCGGCGGTTAGACCCAGAGGATTACATACCATTTTAACAAAGAGCAATCAACTGTGGAGATGTTACAAGACAAAGGAAAAAGGGATTTGAGCTAGGAGCAGTAAATTGTGGGAAAGTGACTGGGATATATATGGGGAAAATTAATGAAAGGTAAAGGTTAAGTAAGGTCTGTTTTGACTCCTTGTCTCCAGTGATAAGAATATTCTCTTATTCCAGGTACAGGAATGGCACCTTTCTCATGGGAAATTTATGTCCTGTTTTTAGGTAAAAATGGGGAGGGCAGGAAGCCTCTCCTACATCTGCAATTTCTCAGTTACTTTCAGGTCAGAATAATCAACACATCAAAGTGGTGAATTTTGGGGTGTTATGTTCTGGTCCCCTTCAATTTCAAGCTCAGCTGTGTACTTTTGAAGTTGGACAGGCTTGTGATGCTGACCCTCATCCAGAACTTGACTATTTCTCTGCACTGTTTTTTGTTGTTGTTGTTGTTGTTTTTTTTTTTTTTTTTGGAGACGGAATTTCGCTTTTGTTGCCAAGGCTGGAGTACAATGGCACAGTCTTCGCTCACTGCAACCTCTGCCGCCTGGGTTCAAGCAATTCTCATGCCTCAGCCTCCCAAGTAGCTGGGATTACAGGTGCCTGCCATCATACCCAACTAATTTTTTGTATTTTTAGTAGATACGGGGTTTCACCATGTTGGCCAGGCTGGTCTTGAACTCCTGACCTCAGGTGATCTGCCTGCCTCGCGCTCCCAAAGTGCTGGGTTTACAAGCGTGAGCCACCAGGCCTGGCCCTCTCTGCACTATTATTGGCACTGCTGCCAATGCCACCACCAACAGTGCAAGCACAGTACCTTCACATGACATAGAGAATTTTTTTGTGACAGAGGTGAGCTGTCTAAGTCCTTTCATGTGCCTCTGAGCCCAAATCTTCTGTGTTTCCATACTCAGGGGAAGGGGAGGTCTTTACCTGTCTTATCCAAGGACGTTTGCACTCCCTGTCCCAGGATTTACCTCTTCCCAAGATGAGTGATTTTGGAAATATCCATTCTCTGGGCCTTCATTATAGCAATTTGAAAACTATCTGGTGTTGGAACATTTCCCCAAATCTGGGTTTCACTATTTTTTGTGGTCATCTAGTTACATATATATAGTTCTGAAAATATGTGTAGCATGTTAGAATATTTGTCAAGCTTTAACTTTCAATTAACCATAACATCAGTGCCGTTCACTAACTTCTCTTTCATCTGATGCATTTTTTGAAGGCAGAAATGTTAAAGGCATCCTTAGGGTTTTTCTCTCAAACTGTAAATGAATGTAATATTAACAGGAACTGAGATACAGGGACTAGAATGAGTACAGGGCTGGGAATTGGGATTCTGAGATAAACTCTCAACTCTGAAATAAAATAGTTTCAATAGTGGTGCATTGAAATCAGAAATTTTAAGCTAAAAATAAGTTTTAAAATAATCTAATCCAGCCCTGTCATTTTTTCATTAAGAATGTAAGTGAACAACCTATGAGTTTAACAGTCCCAAAAGTGGAGATTACTTATATTATTATTCAATTTACTTATATTATTATTTACTTTTAGCCCTTCAGGAACATTTTGCACACCCTGTCTTATGTCAGGCTTTTTACTGTGAGCATTGTATTAGATTAAATTTCCGCAGCCCTTTATAGTGAGCGTGGGAGGAAAGGATTGCCCAAGCTAGCTAAGAGGTAGGCAACAACTTCCGTAAATGGCAATGTGGCATCCTTCCTTCATTCTAGTGAACCTCAGAAATGTCCCATCAGTATGACTGGGAGCATTTGTTACAGGCAGGATGGGGTAAGGGAACCTTTTGTTTGTTCCTCTGCTCGATGTGCAGCCCTGTCTTCCTCTTGTGAGCAGGATTAGCAGCAGACAAGAGTTCAACAGCCTTCATGGGTTTCCATCTTCAGACACAGATACCTATTTGATCTTGGACATATCATTAGACTCTAAGTGTTTCAACTTCTTCTACAAAAGAGAAATACTGTCTCCCCTGCTTACCTCTGAAGGGTGCTTGTGAAAGAAAGGACTATAGAGAATAACCCATAAAGGACTATAAAGAATTATTTTTATTTTATGTATTAAAAAAATTTTTTTTCTGGCTGGGCATAGTAGCTCACGCCTGTAATCTCAGCACTTTGGGAGGCTGAAACAGGCAGATTGCCTGAGTTCAGGAGTCCCAGACCAGCCTGGGCACCATGGCAAAACCCTGTCTCTACAAAAAATACAAAAATCAGCCAGGTGTGGAGGCACATGCCTGTGGTCCCAGCTAGTTGAGGGGCTGAAGCAAGAGGATTGCCTGAGCCCAGGAGGTCGAGGCTGCAGTGAGCTGAGATCGCACCATGGTACTACAGCCTGAGTGACAGAGTGAGCCCGTGTCTCTAAAAAAAAATAAATTACAAAAATAGTAATTAAAAAAATATTTTTATAGGCAGAGTTCTCACTGTGTTCCAGACTGGTCTTGAACTCCTGGCCTCAAGTGATCCTCCTGCCTCAGCCTCTTGAGTAGCTGGCATTACAGGCATAAGCCACCATGCTTGGCAAGAATTACGTGTTATTTCTAGCATAAAGCATGCGTGAATGACCAGGCTGATTTATTGTCCATATTCAGTTTGTGGTTTTAAGGAGCAGCTCCTCAGGAGGCAAAGTAAAAGGAAGAGCAAAAATAAAATATATGTAGGTAATACAGACTATATGCCAGGTACTCTTGTAAACACTTGATGTGCATTATTTATCACATATAATTTCAGAACTACTTGTTGATGTAGGTCCTTTTTTTTTTTTTTTTTTTTTTTTTTTTTGAGACGGAGTCTTGCTCTGTCGCCCAGGCTGGAGTGCAGTGACACGATCTTGGCTCACTGCTAGCTCCACCTCCCGGGTTCACATGAGGTAGGTGCTATTTTTATCCCAAATCTATAGATGAGTGCACAAAGGTTAGAGTGGTTCAGAAATACATGCAAGTTCACAGGTCAGAAAGTGGAAGTTCCAGGGCTCCTAACTCTCTCTGTCTGATCCCAGACTCACTCTTGCTTCTCAAGAAATCCCCTGGCTTGTAGTGGAAAGAATCCCAGAACCCCAGCCATATGGCAGGAAATGTGTTCAGCGCGGACTTCTCAGGCGCTCAGGTTTGCCTTCAGGCCCTCCCAGTTTGCAGTCCTCTCTGGGGATTCTTTCTGGCACTTATCTGACAACCACATTTCATAGGATGGAGAGGGTATTTGGAAGAGATGTCAGCCTTAGAAATTTAATCAGCTGGGCCAAAAGCAATCAAGATGCCATCTGGACAGGCTCTGACTTCCTGCCCAGAAGATAAAGACATCTGGACTTAGTAAATGCCAAGGACATGCTGACTTGGTCCCCAGGCCCATGGGCCACTCCTCACTTCATGCAGCTGTATTTTCTTAATTGCACAGAATCTATGGGCTCTGAGCTACTGCCGGGACCACTGAGTGCCTATTGCTGTTGACCACCAAAGTAAACACTGCAAGCTGTAGTGACTTTCCAGTGCTAAGGAGATGGAGTGACTGCAAAGGCCACAGTAAATAGGACTCTTTAATGACAGGGCAGGAGGAGGCTGCCCCAGGCCCAATTTATTGCTGATACAGAGTCTCTGAATTAGGGCACATGATGACCGCTGATCGTTAAGTAGGGCTGTGAGGAAATGTTTGTACATATGAAGAAGCTAATTAAGGTGGCTTGCCAGATATGCATACTCAATCTCTGCTTATTGAGGCTTCTTCCTCCTGTGAGGGAGGCTCTCCCCAATCACATAAGATCTCCAGCAGTCATCCTGCATGTGAGTGCCCTGGGTAGAATATGAAGGGGCTCGGGGACGAGCTTGGGAACTAGAAGTAAATGGTTAAGATTCGGCAGAGGGTTTTTATTGTGGCAATATCTGAACATTTGCACATATTTTCTAAACATCTTTCTAGAGATGACTTGAGTCTCACATACGTGTTTCTATTTTAAAGCAGAGTTTGGATCCTTCCAATAAGTGCCCAAAGCCACCAAATTTGGTATAGCTGGGACTAAAATGCTTTGCTTTTCCCCAATAACTTCCCCAGAGAAAAGTGCTACTTGCTCTAAGTAGACTCGTGAGATTTCCATTTTATAAATAACACTGATCAAAACTATTGTAAATAGTTCTCTTTCAGCTCCTGCATGGCTGGAACATATGTAAGATTTTTAGGTTTTTGAGATTTGCTAGTTTGGGGCAATTTACATTTGGGAGTTTTAATTTCAAAATAATAAAAAATACCGAGTGTTTCCCAAGTTTTCGATTCTAGCCTAAGATCTGGAAACAACTATAATTTCTGACTTAAGAACAAAACCAAACCAGCCCCAGTCGCAGAAATCTATCACTTTATTATGTGGAGATTGATGGGGAGTTGGTCAAAACCTTGCTCAATCCCTGTGACCTCCGTGCTCAGGAAAACACATCTTCATTATTTTTCTTTGATTTTTATAGGTTGCATTTGTTTCTTTGCCTGTCGTTCATTTCACTTCGATTGCATTTTCTTTCTGAAAGTCTTTTTCCTGTAAGGCCAGTTTGGTCAGCATTCAGTTCTTGCTTTAATTGGGCCTCTTTAAGCTTTCATCCCCTCAGATTTTTATATTCGTTTTTATTGTTGAACCTCACTTTAAGCTGTGGCTTTTCATTGTCATACCTTCCCATTTGTTCCTCATTCACCAGAACTTTGTTTCTGTGGGATCATCATCTTTCTTGGTCTGTGGAAGGCCCAGGTAGCACCCATTTGTTTTCTTCCCTCAGTGTCTCGTTGGGGCCCACTCATCTGAGTCCTTGGGGTTGCTCAGATGCCTGATCATCTCAGCAGCCAGCACCATCAAAGAGGAAACCTGCCTGAGATCCCGGCTCTGAGCTTCTTCCAGTTCAGGGTCTGGGACCTAGTGTCCAGCTGAGGCACCGTGGGATGTGTTTGTAGGAGGTAAGTCAGGGAGTGGTGGGCTCCAGCCCCCTGAGATGTGACATGCCCCACAGCCCTGACATTGGCCAATGTGGTAGGCAGTTCACCTCTGAGGTAGGGCAAATCTAGCTTTTTGACTTTTTCCCCAAATGAGATGCAAGATATGGAGCCTATGGAGAAGAAAATAAGAAGCTAAGAACTGGTGTGTCTTGGGTTTTCAACCAGAGAAAAAATCCAGTTTATATGGCAGAATAAGCATATACCATGATCAGACCAGCCATAAACAGACATCAAGGTAGCGAAAAAGTCCTTACAGAGAGATGCCATCAGCAATGGCCAAGTATGGTGATATTCTAACATTCTAGTTTCAAATTCTAGCATAGTTTTTCTCGTTGGAACATAACTACTGTAGTTCCTGTTGCAGTCTATAATTAATGAACAAACAAACAAAAAAAGAAGTAAAAAGAGGAAATTGTAAAATTTCTGTTCCCACCTTCTAAATATAGTTTAATTTGCTTTAAACAAATCTACCATAACACTTTTAATTTGTAGAACTGATAAACATTAATTTATCAAAGGACTCATATTATTTGTGACTGTGCTCACAGACTAGAGTTCCTTGTAGAATTTCTTTCAACTGTAACAAACGTGGTGCAAGTTTTTTGATGACTTGATTTTTAAAAATTTAACTACACATATCTTGGCTGTATAAAGCGAGGCTGACTTGTAACTTTGAAACATGCACATTAAATAGTCAAGAGTCAATAAAGAAACTGAACAAATGACAAAAAATGTTTGCTTCAAGTGAGTCAGTCATGACAAAACTACTCTCAGAATTGATTTGGAGATAGCCTAGGCTGTGGTTTTTCAGAGAAACCTGTACAGCTGGGTGGGGCACTGCGGTTTGCTAGTTTCTGGAGAGGTCAAAATGTGAAGTCAAAATGGTGTGCTGATACGGGAAATGACTGAGCTCCATTGCAATTCAGACCTATGACAAGCGGTTAAGGCACCTGCTATCCCCAGGCCTCAAGCTCTGTGTGGGTGCAGTGGAGCTGGATTCTTGAAGAGCTGGTTGTTTTCCAGGGCAGGAGATGGCCTGCTCCCAATCCAGAATTCTAACAAGAAAATAGCCTGGCCATGGCCCACACTTCCCAAATAGATGCACCTTTTTTTTTTTTGGATTGTCATCTTTTAAAAAAAAATACATATACTTTCATCAGCAGAATTGAATTTGGAAGGTTGCTGATGTTTTTTAAATTAATAGAATATGAAGCATTTACCATTTTCATAAGAAAGCTCATTAAAATTTACCTTTTATCCCCCTCTTGTCTGAGAAATGAGTATCTAGCACATAGTGCTTACTATTGCCAGGTACTGTTCTAAGTATTTTAGAGATGCAAACTAATGTAATCCTATGCCTAGACTCTGAGTAGTCTTTTCTAGGCAAAGAAACACAAGGAAGCTAAGTAAATTGCCCAAGGTCATTCACTGTATGGATGGGTTGGGGCTTGAACCTAGGGAGTCTGGCCCCAGAGATCAAACAAGAGAAAGAAGGCATCAGGGAAGCCCGAAGAAGGGAAAAAAAACCCACCAAAACAACCAGTTTTGCCCAATGCTTTGAAGAAAACTTTTAATCCTGTCTCCTTCCTTGCCCATGAAAAATGTCCATTTAGTCATAGTCGGAGTCAAGGGCAGAGCGAGGTGGGAGAGTGCCAGCCCGATGCTCTGTGACCCCATCCCAGCCTCGTCCCCTAGGCTTTCTCTTAGGCAGTGCTCTCCCAGCCTCTGTCATCTCCTTAAACATGGGTCTCCTTGCCTGGGCGAACCCTGCACATCCTTCTGAGCAGCACTGCCCAGTAGAAATGGGAGCCACATATGCAACTGTAAGTTTTCTAGTAGCCCACCTTAGAAAGAAAAAAAAAACCACGAAACAAATCTGTCATTGCTTTCTTCTTCCACATTTTGCTTTTTAAACTTCTGTTTTAAGTTTTTTACTTTAAAAAAATTCCCAAAAAGGAGACAGAAAACAGCTCCTGGAAGAATTTACAACCAACTGCATCGGGGTCTGGGAAACTGGACCAGGGTGGGGATGAGTGGATGGGAAGGGGTCCCCTTTAGTCACTGCGGCCTCACTGGAAGACCAAGGGAGCAGGGATTCTTCAGTCAAAAGGGAGGCAGGGAAGAGAAGTGGGAGGAGGTGGGAGTTGGGTGGTTGGAGGAGATGAACAGAAAATAAAATGTCGTTGTCTGGTTAAATCCAGAGAAAAATACCTGGCCCTGTAAGGAGGGAGGATGCCCTTCCAAGGGGATGGAAGGGGTCTGGAGGGAAGCAGGGTAGGGAGGCCACCCTGAGACCCTGGGCAGGCCCTGGTGGAGGAAGCGGGCAGGGGCCTCCGGGACTGTGGGACACACTAGCTATTGTGTTCTTGTGCCATCACCCTGTGTGTTCCCAGAGCAGCTCCTTGCTTCATTTTGCTTTCTCTTAATAAATGACATGGCAGTCCTCCCTGCCCCAAAGTGAAAAATTAATTAATTTCAGGAATATATTTTATTTAACTCAATATATCAAAATATTATTGCAATCATATAAAATCAATGTAACTGATGTGAAATATTAATGAGATGTTCACCTTCTAACTTTATACTATGTCTTCAAAATCCAGGGCTTGTTTTACATTTCCAGCACATCTCAATTTTGGCCCTATATTTTCATTGGAAATATTTGATCCGTATTTAGATTTCATAAAATTCATAGCCAAAAAACTAGATTGACATAACCAAGTTGTTCCAGGCACACTTAAGAGTTTTTCAACCACTGAATCGAGTAATAATGTTTAATGTTTAAACAAGTTAAAATGAAATAAAATTCAATATTCAGTTTCTCAGTCTACATTTCAAGTGCTCAAGAGGCACATATGAACTGGAGAGAAATGAAACCAAAAAAACACGGGCTAGTGAGTTCAGATTAAACAGCCACCTGAAATCATCATTGACTGATTACTCTTCTTGCTGGCTACCTCGGCACAGCAAACTGCAGGCAGGCCTGGAAGCTTGGGTTTTTGGCATGGAGTGTTGTCAGGTTCATTCCTACACGGTAGGCAGTGGCAGGAGTTATTTTGCAAATGTTAACCCTGCCACCTAGTGACCACTTTCTGAATGTCACTTGAAGATTACCACCTGAAAATTCGTGTTGACCTCAGTCTTGCCGCCCTTCCAGACTTTCTCCTGCTTGGAGGCCCCATGTGGCACGGTGCTGCTGATGTGTCATAACTGTTTTGGGGCTGCGTTAGCGATCCCTGGAGGATATGGACTGAGCTGTATCTCCCTTTGTTTTCCCACAACAGTAAGGTGCTTGGAGATTAAGGAGCACGTCTCAGGAGCATCCTATGTGCCGAGGAGATGGCTTCTGTCTCCCCAAGGGTTAGAGTTCCCAATTTCTCTTGTGTGACTCAATTGTAGCACCTGAATCTTCTGTTTGTTAATATGTGTCCCTCCTCCATTGAACTGCGAAATCTGTGAGGTCAGGGACAATGTCTTTCTTATGTTTGAGCCCCATCCCCTAGTTTGGTATCTGTCTGACAACTGTCAGGGGAATGAATGGCCGGATGGCATGGCTATAAACTCCCAGTCTGCCCGGCATTCTTGCCATAGTTCTCCAGATGGGGCATCTTCCCTTTTCCACTCTCAGGATGAACTGTGTCATCTTTACGTTTCTTCACCCCTTAGCCTCCCCCTTCTTCCATACATGTTCAGCACATGCTTAGTATATGACCTTGCCTTGAATTTTGGAAATAGAAAGCTGAAGTTAGGAATTCCTTAATTTACACCCACCAAACCTTCAAACCTACCTCTCCATGTGCCAGCACATGCACCTGGATGCCCTGCCACACCTTCCAAGTGTGCTCTGAATCCCCGGAACCACTCATTGGGATCACCTGGGGAGATTTGACAATGATTGATGCCTGGGTTCCAAAGCAAAAAGTCTGATGTCTCACGTCTGTAATCCCAGCACTTTGGGAGGCCGAGGCAGGCGGATCACGAGGTCAGGAGATCGAGACCATCCTGGCTAACACGGTGAAACTCCGTCTCTACCACAAATACAAAAAAAAGAATTAGCTGGGTGTGGTGGCGGGCACCTGTAGTCCCAGCTACTCGGGAGGCTGAGGCAGGAGAATGGCGTGAACCTGGGAGGCGGAGCTTGCAGTGAGCCGAGATCATACCACTGAACTCCAGCCTGGGCGACAGAGCAAGACTCTGTCTCCAAGAAAAAAAAAAAAGTCTGATGTTATTTGTCTTGGGTTTAGGCTGGGTGTGGGGATTTTTAAAAAATGTCCCCAGGGGATCCTAAACTACAGCCAGGATTGAGACCTGCTCTCTGAATCCTCTGTTTCTGCCTTCTCAGGCTTCAGCAGGTAGCCCCACTCTCACCTGCATTTCCAACCATTTCTGTTTTTGGGTCATTTTCCAAATCATATGGAATTGCCCTAAACTCTGCCATATGAAAATAAGAATTAAAAAAAGCTTTCCTGGATCCAATATTCATAGCAACTATCTGCTTTCTTTATGCACTTTCCAAGCCAAACTTCAAGAATAAGTCACCCACACAGGCTGTTTCTGCTTCCTCCTCATCGTTTTCATAAAATGTACTCCAGATTGGATTCTGTTCCAGGGATGATCACCCTGTCATTCAAAACGACTCACCTCCCTTGGCCTCCAAGACCCCATGTTCTCCTAGTTTCTTTCTCAGGCTACCTTTCCACCTGATCTCCCAATGTTGAGAGTTCCTCAGGACACGTGCTTGGCTGTCTTTCTTTCTTACTTCACTTCCCACAGCTTTTCAGTCCCTGGGACTTTGGAACTTCAAGCCTGTGCTCAGACCATTCTGTCAGTCTCATACCTGCATATCCAAATCCCTATTCGGCCTTCCTTTCCAGAGGCGTGTGCTAGACATCTCAGATTTCATGTTCCAAATGGAACTTTAAAAAGTTAATTAATTAATTAATTTATTTTTTGAGACGGAGTCTCGCTTTGTCGCCCAGGCTGGAGTGCAGTGGCGCGATCTCGGCTCACTGCAAGCTCCGCCTCCCGGGTTCACGCCATTCTTCTGCCTCAGCCTCCCGAGTAGCTGGGACTACAGGCACCCGCTACCACGCCTGGCTAATTTTTTTTGTACTTTTAGTAGAGACGGGGTTTCACCATGTTGGCCAGGATGGTCTCTATCCCTGACCTTGTGATCCACCCGCCTTGGCTTCCCAAAGTGCTGGGTTTACAGGCGTGAGCCACCACGTCCGGCCTAAAAAATTTATTTTAATTTATTATTATTTTTTTGAGACAGAGTCTCACTCTGTCACCCAGGCTGGAGTGTGGTGGCACGATCTTGGCTTACTGCAACCTCCACCTCCTGGGTTCAAGCGATTCTCCTGCCTTAGCCTCATGAGTAGCAGGGATTACAGGTGCACACCACCACACCCAGCTAATTTTTGTATTTTTAGGTAGAGATGAGGTTTTGCCATGTTGGCCAGGCAGGTCTTGAACTCCTCACCTCAGGTAATCCACCTGCCTCGGCCTCCCAAAGTGCTGGGATTACAGGCGTGAGCCACCATGCCTGTCCCCAGATGGAATCTTGATACACCACCCCCCCACACTTAGACTCGTCTTGTATAATAGTTCCTATTGTATTAATTTCCTATGGCTTCTGTAATAAATTACTAAAAATGAGCTGACTTAACCCAGCACACATTTATTTTCTCATAGTCCTGGAGGCCAGAAATCTAAAATCAATTCCTCTGGGTTGAAATCAAGGTGTTGGCAGGGCTGTACTCCCTCTGGAGCCTTAGGGGTGAATGTGTTCCTTGTCTCTTACTGCTCCTGTTAGCTGCTGGCATTCTTTGCTGTATTAGTCAGGATTCTCCCAAGAAACAGAACCAATAGGATCAAACTGTCTCTCTAGAGAAGACCAATGCTCCAGCTCATGCAGTCACGTAAGAGAAATTCCCTCTTACTTGGCCTTTTTCTTCAACTCCAATCTTCAATTGATTGAATGAGGCCAGCCCACTTTGGCGAGGATAATATACTTTACTCAGTCTGTTCATTTAAATGTTAATCTCAACCAGAAACACCTTCACAGTCACATTAAAAATAATGTTTGGTCAAATGTCTGGGCACTCCATGGCCCAGTCAAGTTGACACATAAAATTAATTGTCACACTTGGCTTGTGGTAGCATCACTCCAATCTTGGAGGCCAGCATCTTCAATTCTCTTTCTGCCCTGTCTTTACATAGCCTTCTCCTCTGTGTGTGTGTGTGTGTTTTAATCTCCTTCTGCCTCTTTTTTATAAGGATACAAGCGACTGCATTTAGGTTCCACCTAGATAATCCAAGATCATCTCCCCATCTCAAGATCCTCAATTACATCTACAAAGACTATTTTTTTTTCCAAATAAGAGAATATTTACAGGTCCCAGGGATTAAGACATGAATTTCCTCGGAGGACCATTATTCAGCCTATTACATCAATTCATACAACAGCAATTTTATCCGCCCAATGTCTTAAGCCAGAAATTTGGAACTCACATTTGTCATAAAATTCTCCTCAACACCATTTAATCCAGCCATAACTCCTGTATTTTCTTTTAAAAAGTCTTTTTTTTTTCAAGATCACTAGGTTCTTATAAATAAATCTTAATTCTCCTCAGTAATTTCCCTCTCCTCTGCCACCAACCTAACCCAAAACATAATATCTTTCCCATTCTTTTTTTTCTTTTCTTTTCTTTTTTTTTTTTTTTGAGACAGAGTCTTGCTCTGTCACCCAGGCTGGACTGCGGTGGCCCGATCTTGGCTCACTGCAACCTCCACCTTCTGGGTTCAAGCGATTCTCTGCCTCACCCTCCCGAGTAGCTGGGATTACAGGTGCCCGCCACCACACCCGGCTAATTATTGTATTTTTAGTAGAGACAGAGTTTCACCATCTTGGCCAGGCTGGTCTTGAACTCCTGACCTCGTGATCCACCTGCCTCGGCCTCCCAAAGTGCTGGGATTACAGGCTTGAGCCACTGCACCTGGCCCCCATTCTTATTTTAATCGTTCATTTATGTCCATTGTAATTTTCTCTTTATTTGTGATGATGTTAAGTGTCTGTCTCTAGTCACTAGATTATTGGCATTGTGAAGGCAGGACCATACATGTTTTGTTCATCATTATATTTTAGGTCTCAGCATAGTGCTTAGTACAGAGTAGATGCTCAATAAATATTTAACATATATATTATATATATTAATAGATGGATGGCACCTTTTCCACCATGAGGAAGCTTCCAGTCTGGTAAAGGGACCATTAAATATATATAATTTTTTTTTTTTTTGAGATGTAGTCTTGCTCTGTTGCCCAGGCTGGAGTGCAGAGGCGCTATCTCGGCTCACTGCAAGCTCTGCCTCCCGGGTTCACGCCACTCTCCTGCCTCAGCCTCCTGAGTAGCTGGGACTACAGGCGTCCACCACCATGCCCGGCTAATTTTGTGGTATATTTAGCAGAGACGGGGTTTCACCGTGTTAGCCAGGATGGTCTCGATCTCCTGACATCGTGATCTATCCGCCTCGGCCTCCCAAAGTGCTGGGATTACAGGCTTGAGCCACCGCACCCAGCCTAAATATATTTTTTAAACCCTAAATTACTTTGTTGATTTAAACTGTTCCTATTGAGAACCATCTATATGCCAGACATTGTATTAAGCTCACAGGATCCACTAATTAACACATAATATGAAATTCCTTGTTTTCACAGAGCTCTACCTTTTAGCTTGGGAGAAGACAGATAAAGGCATAATAAATACATAATAAATGCATTTTATGTATGTATATGTGCTTAAATAAAACCTTAGAAAGGGAAAAGTGATGTGAGAAAAATAGAGCAGTTTAGAGAAGAGTTGTATACATTTGCAATTTTTAGATGATGCAGAGCTTTTTGAGAAGTTGAAATTTGAGAAAAGGCCTGAAGGAGCTGAGGAGGTGGGTGAGTCATGAATGCATCTCGGGAAGGAGTTCCCCAGGCTGAGGGAGCTGCACCTGAGGAAACCCAGGAGGCAAAGGTGGTCCTGGTCAGGATGATGAGGAGGTCCGTGTGGCTGGAGCAGGTGAGCTAGGTGGAGAGAGGCCGTAGATGAGGGCAGAGCTGCTGCGGGAGCCAAACGTGTAAGGATCTTTTCGGGCAGTGAGAGGACGTTGGTTTCTCACAGCAGAGAAGGGACATCATCTGACATATTTTAAAAGTATCTCTCCGGCTCCCTTGTGGACTGTAAGGGACCAAGAGTTGAAACAGGCACCCAGGAGGAGTCCTTCCAGCAACTGAGGTGAGAGATGATGGTGGCTCGGACCAGGGTGACAGCAATGGAGGTGCTGAGAAATAATTAGATTTTGGATACATTTTGAAAACAGGGCCAATAGGAATTTCTGACAAATTGGATATGGAGGGGTGGGGGTTTGGGGGAAGAGAGAGAGAGAAGAGAGAGGTCAAGAATATCACCAAGGTTTTTGGCTCATGTAACTGAAAGCTAGCCTAAATTCAGAGTTTTATCTGGAATTCTACCCCAAACATCTTAATTCCCTAAAGTCACTGGAATGGCTCAACAGCGCTGAACTTTCCAGACAGCTGCATGGAGTTGTCATCCATCCTTCTCTGGAGAGTGTCTGATCCCTTCTCTAAACTTATGCCCTGCTCCTCTCCCCTATCTGTGCACAGAGGACTTGGTCCGATTCTACCTCCGGAACAATGCTCAGCCCACAGCCCTCATTCCCTCCGTGATGAACAGTAACTGTGGACTTTTGACCTTCCTCTTGAGCTTGGTCTGAGTCTTGGCATTTACAACCACGGCTCTAGGTAAGGACATGCTTTGGGGTGTCTTTCTGGCCCTTGCCTTTGCGTTTGCGCATAGGGCTCTAGTGGCCCAATTATGTTGTTGCAGTAAAGTTTCTCCTTGCTCTGGTCTGGAGCAGTTGAGGTCATTCATCCCCTGGATCTCTGTTGGCACAGGTGGCTTGGCCGAGTGCCACTTTAGGTAACTGTGACCTGTTTACTCAACTTCTTCCTGGAGTTTTGATATTCTTGTTGTCAGGGCCTTTGAGAAAGTTTATACGATGGGCTCAGTGAAGAAGCCGCAGCTGTTCTGAAATTAGGCTCCTTTCCCCGTGAATGTGCAGCTATGCGGGTGTGTGGATCAGGTGCACAGGGCTTTGAGGAATGTGGCGGAGACTCAGTGGCAAGAACAGTTGTCTGTGATTGCTGGGCCTTGTTTTGACCCAGTCCCTCACCCCACATAAGCCTCTCAGCGAGGAACATGGAAGGGTCAGGCCTCTCACGTTTCCTCCCCTGTGAGATTGGATCGCCACTGTGATGGCATTTCTCCCCATCTTCAGTTGCTGGGCAGACCCTGCGTGTGTGCGCACATGTCCATGAGCCCACAACCCTTGCATATTTGCAACAAAAGTCTCTGGGGAGAATGAATTTAAATGGACTCTTGACTATTTGTTCTGGAGCGGCACGTGTTTACTTAAGTCACCAGCCTCCTTCCTAAATGCAGTCACGAGCTCTCCCAAACTCCACAGACACCCAAACAACCAAATATTCAGAGAGCCCGTGCCCTTGCCCTGCTTCAGCCCCACAGCCCCGCCTGGGTTGCTGGTCTGACCCGGCTGGGCAGGGTGGCTGTGAGCTGCCGGTGTGGCCCCAGGCACCTCAAAGGGTCCTCGGTGTTCAACAACAGGAAGTGCTGGCAGGCTTCCCTCGCTAGGGAACTGAAAGTGGTGACAACAGAGGATGTGTTCTTCAGGCTATCAGATAAAGCCCTCTGCACTGAGAACTGCTTCTGACGAGGAACAGAGACTTCACTGGTCTCTTCCCCATGCCTTGCCCTTGCCCTAACTAACTTCTGAATTTATATCACCTGTGAGTTCTGCTCTAATTCAGGGACTTGGGCGGAGAGGTTTCGGACAGTGGCCAAAAGCAAGAGACTGTCTGCATGACCCTTTAGAAACACCCGTGACCTGGTGCAGAGCTGAGCCAGCTTTGGCCACACTGTTTGGGATGCTGACTCAACGCAGCTCATTATATCTGATTGAATTTATCTTTCATTACTATGCAATCAAATTAAAGGGCAAGAAGGGATTTTTCTCTGTTTTCTGAAAGTGGTTGCAGCAAAACCCACTATGAAGCATTTATTTCTTGTATTGTTTAGACTGGGCAGAATCAGAGGGAGGTAGGTGTGTGACTTCATTTAGGAGAAGGTGAGCACTGATGGCAATATTTTCTTCAAATGCCACACATGAAGTGGGAGAGGTGACAGCCAAGCCTGCAGGGACTCTGTCTCTGAAAATGTGAGTGGAACAAAGCACCTCTGGGCTCTGGATCATTTTCTTGTGTGCTCCTGGGGTCTAGTTGGTTTAAACTCTTGAAGGCTGCAGTGTGTTTTTTGATATACCCCCATGTGAAGGGACATTTATTTAGCATAAACTATGGGCTGGGCACTGTTCTAAGGGCTTTGCATGTATTCACTTAGATTTACAAATTACTGAATATTGTTAAGAACAAAACCTAAGGAGCACAGGAGTGTGCACGGTGTTCTTTTGTTCCTATAAAAACAGCAATCATTCCATTGCAAGTGAGGGAAAAGTGGAAGGGTACCCAAGAAAATGGTAGAGTGATTGTCTTTGAGGAGATGAACTCAGGGACTGTGGTGTGGGGAGGGAGACTTTTCATTGAATACACACACTGCTCTGTTTGAATTATGTTTGACCATGTGGGATGCATCCTTGTTTCAGTATAAAAACACTGCATTTATTTTTAAAGGGAACAAAATGAAAATTTTATAGGCCAAGGCAATGTTGTGGGTCAGATCCTGGGGGCTGAATCCTGGAGTAGGGCAAGTCCAAGGCAATACTGTGTGTAGAATGGTGGGATGGGAGGGGGAACTCTGAGAACTATTTTTCTTCAGACAAAAAGACACAAAAGAGCTTGCTATCCTGGTGACGAAGAAATAGTTCTAATCTCAAACTGGAAGCTAGAAATTTAGGAAGGAGAACTCAAAATAGTAGTAAAGTCCACTTGATATGAACCAGTGTCAAGGTAAAACGAGAAATGTGAGCCCACCCCTGTAACTCACCCGCTATGTATGTGTTGTTCTAATTCCAAGATTTCCTCACTATGCAAGTCAGGCAGGCCTCACTTTCCCATCCTACCAGACTCAGACCCAGCTGATGAAAACCTACAATGTGCCTGTTACACATACAGTCAGAACACTGGCCCAGTCGTCTGGTCCTCAAGTATATGTATTATAGATGGAGGTTACTGAGCTAGGGTTGTGTGGAAGCCAAGACAGATGGGACTCAAAGCCTGCCACTCCTGGAAACCACTCTCTATAAGGATAACACATGCATCAGAAACTCTAATGGAGAACTGACGGTGATTAGGACCACCAGAGGAATAGGTAGAGGGGAATAGGGTTTCAGAGAAGAGGAGGATTACATTAATCAAGAAGCAATTGAGACATTCAAAAAGGGTTTTGCTTGCCATTGGAATTTTGGTAGAGGGAAGGAAGGATATTTCATGCAGAGAGAGTGGCTTAAGCAGGGAGAGCCAGGTGTGTTTAGGGCACAGGTAGAGAAGTGGTTGAAATGCATTGGAAAGGGAGTGGAGGGAGAGCAGCCTGGAAAGATAGGGAAGGGTAAGCTCACAGGGGGTCTTGAGGTTATACATTCTGTATAAGCAATGGGAAGTCATTTCATTGTTCCAAGCAGAGGAGTGACAGGACTTGAGTTGCGGTGCAGCAGAGGGGAAGAGGTAAGAATGAGGGTTTGGGAAATGGATATGGACGCTTTGGAATTCACGGTCCAGCTGAGAGCTAGTGAGAGTAGAAGCAGAAGGAAGGAAAAGAAGCCATTAATGACAGATTTTTCAAAAAGAAGAAAAGAGAAATGAAAATTCATTGGGTGTCAGAATAGAGGGAGCAAGGGGTGAAGTTTTGCACCTGGTTTATCAGGAAGAAAGGGCTGGAATAAGCAAGTTTGGAGGCAATGGTGCCAAGGAAGGTGATGAGTTAGCACAGGGATTTTGGGGGTCTTGCACACAACACAGAAAAGTCTGAGACTGGAGCTGAGCAGAGGAGCTAGATATATTTTTGGGAGTGACCTCTGTAGTTGAAACAGTCCAAGCCCAAAGAATAGATGATCTTTGCAATTAAAGATTTTTGAAAGGGGAAAAAAGAACATGATCTGGCAAGGTAAGCCAAAGAAAGAGGAGACAAGACAGAATAAGAAGTGGAAGGTGGAGTCATGGAATCATCATAGTTCTGGCAGTGCAACACAGGAGTTTGTGATAACACTTGCTACATGCACAGAAGTTTGAGGAGGATGAGATGAGAAAGGCCACTGTTTAAGGCAGCTCAGAGGTCACTGGTGACCTTTAAGAGAACTGTTTTTGGAGAGCATTGGGTGAAGGAAACAAAAGGTTTAAAGCATAGTTTGCAAATTTCAGCACCATAGGTTGAATTTGACAAGAAGTATTTTATTTGATCCTCAACACTTAAAACATCAAATAAATTTATAACATTTAAAAATTGGTAGCTTTCACATAAAAATTCATAATTCCAAACACGCGTGATCTGGTCCCTCAGATCGCATGGGTTTGGAATATGGGCTCTCATTCCTCTGTAGCTGGAGCTCTTCTAGCAGAGGCATGGGTTGGGGAGGTAAGTGGAGTTGCCCCCTCTGTAAATGCAGGACCAGCCCAAACTGGGCCTACTCTGTTGATAAGGGAATGTCAAGTTACCTTGTAGGTAGAACAGAGCCAAACTGCAAGTCATATAGCCTGGGCTGGCTCAACAGAAAAACACCTAACAACACCTGGAACCAACAATTCCTCCCCATGGAACCAGGAAGACTGTGACATGACTCAAACCTGAATACTGGAACCCTTTCAAAAGTGAAGGGGACATTGGTTCAGAAGATTTGGGTATAAAATCCACCTCAAAATACTTTACTGTAAATGGTCAAAAATTTTTTTTTTTTTTTGAGGCGGAGTCTCGCTCTCGCCCAGGCTGGAGTGCAGTGGTGCGATCTCGGCTCACTGCAAGCTCCGCCTCCCAGGTTCACGCCATTCTCCTGCCTCAGCCTCCCAAGTAGCTAGGACTACAGGCGCCCGCTACCATGCCCGGCTAATTTTTTTTGTATTTTTAGTAGAGACGGGGTTTCACCATGTTCGCCAGGATGGTCTCGATCTCCTGACCTCGTGATCTGCCCGCCTCGGCCTCCCAAAGTGCTGGGATTACAGGCGTGTAAATGGTCAAATTTGAATCCGTCCAATCAGGCCCTTCTAAGCCAACATTCCGAAATCCTCTCCCTTGCCCTATGACCCCTTAAATCTTGCTCTAGACCCCAGATTGAGGAGGCAGATTTGAGCATCTCCTGTCTCCTTGCTGGCCAGTCTTGCAGTCAAGCCTTTCTTTTCTCAAAAGCTGATGCCACAGTATTGGTTTTTTGCGCATCTGGCGGCGAGCCCCTTTGCTCTATGACACCTCCAGTGTGCCCCAGCCCCAGCTGGTCTGGCTCTCTCAACTCCACTGCCTGTCTGTTTGCACTTCTGGTGAAAGCATGTGGAGGTGGCGAGGGAATACAGGTTATTTACACAGACGATGCCTTTGGATGTTTGGAGATGATGTGTAAAAAAGAAAGAGGATAGTAAATCAGGGTCCTGGGGAGGAGAAAATGTGTGTGTGTTTGGATAAGGCCGACTCAGGCCCTTTCTGGTGTTTCCCAAGGGGAAGGACTTAAATAAAGAATAGGGGACAGAAGAGATGAGAGAGAAAATGACTGATAAACTCATAATTCGATGTGGGAACTAAGAAAGAAGCAGCTTTGGAAAGGAGGAGGAACCTCTGCCTTTGAGGTAGGAAAGAGCAAAGCACAGAAATGGCTCAGGTTGGGGCAACTTTAAGAAGGAGAGGAGAGGGTCAGGTGTGGGGGTTCATGCCTGTAATCCCAAGACTTTGGGAGACTGAAGTGGGAGGATCGCTTGAGGTCAGGAGTTCGAGACCAGCCTGGCCAACATGGCGAAACCCCTTCTCTACTAAAAATAGAAAATTAGTTGGGCGTGGTGGGCACATATAATCCCAGCTACTAGGGAGGTTGAGGCAGGAGAATCACTTGAACCCGGGAGGCAGAGGTTGCAGTGGGCTGAGATCGTCCCATTGCACTCCAGTCTGGGGGATAGAGCGAAACTCTGTCTCAAAAAAAAAAAAAAAAAAAAAAAAAAAGGGAGGGAGGGGATGCAGGAGAAGAGCTGGGATAATGTTCCTTGCTGGGCATGCTAATAAAATGGGGCTTCGGTCAAGGTGACTCAGCACATGTCGGGGGGATTCTGGGGCAGAGCAATAATTTGGTGGTCCTCAACTGGATCTTCTTTATTTGTCCAACAGCCATTTTGTGATGGCAAGGAGATGCCAATTTTCTCTTTAAAACATTGCATACCTATGTTTTACATACACTGAATATAGTATATCACTTAGGTGAAATTGTCTTTCACCTCACATGTTTTCTGTAGTGTTAGGCACTCCCATTTACTACATATGGAGAATGTTACATGGACAGTAACATTTTTTTCAAAAGGTATTTAATGGCTGTTTTGTAAAATCTCACATCCATGAGAGCAAAACATTTTCTTTAGTTCTTTGGTCCACTCTCTCTCTCTCTCTTTTTTTTGAGACCGAGTCTCGCTCTGTCGCCAGGCTGGAGTGCAGTGGTGTGATCTCGGCTTACTGAAACCTCTGCCTCCTGGGTTCAAGTGATTCTTGTGCCTCAGCCTCCCAAGTAGCTGGGATTACAGTCAGGCGCCACCACACCCAGCTATTTTTTTTTTTATTTTTAGTACAGATGGGGTTTCACCATGTTTAGTGAAACACCAGGATGTTCCACCAGGAGATCACCAGGATGGTCTTGATCTCCGGACCTCGTGATCCACCGAGCTTGGCTTCCCAAAGTGCTGGGATTACAGGTGTGAGACACTGTGCCTGGCCATTTTTTTTTTTTTTGAGATTTTTTTTTTTTTTGTCTGAACCAGACAACTTCCTAGGAGACTTATTAGAGTTAATTGCATTGAGATAATAGAGTGAGCAACTGTGACTGGTAAATGAGACTGCAGCTTGCATTGTGCAGTGTCTGTATTTCCTTAGCTCCTCAAGTGTGCCAGGATCACCAGATCTATTCCCAAGATCTGTGATTCTGTCTGCGCTGAACCATCCAAGGTGCTGGCGTCTGCCACAGAGAAAGGTCTTGTCGTGCAGAATGCTTTTAACTTTACACATTGGTAAGAACCAGGAGTGGGCTGCCATTTGGCTGGCGATGTGAAGAGTGTCATGTGGAAAGCTGAAGTCACAGACAACATATTGCAGATTTATTTCCCTGTTGGTTTAGTTCCCCTTTCTGATATATTGGCAGCTGTAGTAGCTGGCCCGCTCCTTCATCTGAATTTGGATGGGGTTTGGGCTCAAAATGGAATTGGTTTGCTGTCAATATTGCTGAGGATGCAAAAGGAGGTCTCTTCAAGGTAAATGAAAGGACCACAAAGCCTCAGACAGGAAGCTGCAGATCTGTGGCAAAGGCAGAGACCAGAATGATTGTCTCAAGAGGCTAGCAGGGTGAGCGTGACTGAAATGACAGGCCTTGCAGGCTCCTGTGGGGCCAGACTTGCGTGTGGACTGATGGTGGCCGGGGGTGGGGGATGGCTGGGAAGGGAAAGAAAGAAAACTAGAAGTATAGAAGTACGGGAAGCTGTAATCAGATTTTGGAATTCTAGTCTCTATTATTGTTGTAGTGAAATCTTTTCAAAGTCTCTTTTTTTAAAGCACAGTTTGGAGGCTGGGTGACTCAAACTTGTAATCTCAGCACCTTCAGAGGGTGAGGCAAGAGGATTTATTGAGGCCAAGAATTTGAGACTAGTCTGGGCAACATAGTGAGACCCCTGGGCCACATACAGAGACCCCATCTCTAACAAAATAAAAAATTAGCTGGCTGTGGTGGTGCAGCTCTAACTACTCAGGAGGCTGAGAGGGGAGGATCACTCTAGCCCAGGAGTTTGAGCTATGACTGTGCCACTGCACTCCAGCCTGGGTGAAGAAAGAAGACTCTGTCTCTAAAAAACAAAAAAGCAAAGTACAGTCCTATAAAATGATAATTTCAAAAACACTTGGTCTATGATATGTGAATTGCTCCGAGGACTATCACCATAAAAGTTTCATGTCACTAAAACACTTCCTGTTTCCAAATTGCCTTTGGTCTGATGTGAACATCCAAATTGTAATACAGTTGTGGCAACCTCCAAAATAATGCATTTCTCACATGATGGAACATGACACATCACTTTACCTTTCATTTTACTTTTTTTATTAATCATAACTGAGTAGCATTGGTCACTTATACCTATTGACGAGAGAGGCAGTCTTTCTGGATATATTTACATCTTATTAAAATCATATAATTAGCATTCGAAGAGGGAGGAGACACATCATGATGATTATGGCCATGGGTTAAGCTCCCTGGGTCTTGGTTTCCTTATTGTAAACTCCGGAGACTGATGGTGGGTGGGCTGGAGAGTTTCTAAAGCACCTTCCCCTTTTTAAATGTCTGAAAACATGACAAAAGCTAAGATGGTGTTTAGGACTGCGTTTGAATGTTTCTGATAAGCAGGCAGGAGCACAAATGTCTCAGGTTGGGATTTGTATTTGCTTGTTTTTTTTGTTAGGAAAATAGGCCATTTGTATCATTACCTCAAAAAACTCTTGTGAACTGCAAGAAGGCAATTATTGTCCATTACATGTTTAAAGCTCCCCGTAGCTGGGATGTACATTTCTAGGCTGAATACAATAGAGCTCTTTAGAGAACACTGGGAGGCCTTATATAATCAGTGTGAACAATATATTTACTCTCATTTTGTGGGATTTAGGATATGGCATTACTACTTTAAGTGATTCTGGAGGCTGTGGGTTTTGCTTCCTTGTTTGCTATGGATTGTGTGATGTTACTGATGTCCAAGATCTAGTGCAAGAACCTATGAATGGCATGTGTCTTCCCTGAAATGATTCCACTCTATGGTCCCCGCAAGAATGGAAACTTTCCCAGGGAACTTTTTAAGGAATGTTTCAGGCCCCGATTTCTGTGGTTTTACTTATTTCCCCTTTTTGAAGCAGTCAGCTTTCAAGCATTGCCCTTCTGCTAGTGATCACTGGCATATTGCTAGCCAACATGGGTGAACCCTGAGAGTAAGAAAACCTTGCCGACTCCAACTGGATACCCCCTTTAATGATCAGAATCCCACACTTTCCAAATCAGCATGTTGATCTAATCCACAGAAATGGTGTGGTAGCCCAATTTTTCTTCTGTCTACTTCCACCTCAGAAACTGAATTGGAATGTGTCTCCTGCTGCTTGCACTTACTGAAGGTCATAAGGAAATAGTTGATGAATTCTGGTTACCTGATATTTATTTACCAGGTCCCCTAAAACCTCATTTCTGGTGCGCAAGTCATCTGAATCCCATAGCACAATATGCTGTCATTTGATCAACCACTTCATTACCGCATATTGTGAATAGCTGGCTTCTCATCCTGCACTAAGAAAGTCCTTAGTGCAGTCCACTTTGAAAATGGGAAATAAGGCTAGGAGCATTGGCTCATGCCTGTAATCCCAGCACTTTGGGAGGCTGAGGTGGGTGATCACCTGAGGTCAGGAGTTCAAGACCAGCCTGGCCAACATGGTGAAGCCGCGTCTCTACTAAAAATAAAAAATTAGCCAGGTGTGGTGGCATGCACCTGTAGTCCCAGCTACTGGGGAGGCTGAGGCAGGAGAATCACCTGAATCCAGGAGGCAGAGGTTGCAGTGAGCCAAGATTGTGCCACTGCACTCCAGCCTGGGCAACAGAGTGACTCTGTATCAAAAAAAAAAAAAAAAAAAAAAAAAAAAAAAAAAAGGGAAAAAAAAAAGAAAATGGGGACTAGAAATCAAACAGAGTTCTCTTTTACTCTGTGGGTCTGAGGTTAGATACCCTGAGAATTTTTGGTACCTAGTGATGTCAAAGTTTAAGTTTTGAAGGTATGGTCTATGAGTGGCAAGTAAACAACAGGATAGGTGTAGTTGTGTGTATATATGTGTGTGTGTGTGTGAGAGAGAGAGAGAGAGAGATTTGGAAAGATAGGGCTATGAAAAGATTTTCTTTTAGCCATTTTGTTGAGTTTCCCTGTAGAAGGCATGGTTTAGAAATCATTGCACTATATTCTGATTGATAGCTTTATTAATCATATATGTGGCTATTGTGGAGGTACATGGCCCTGCATTGTTTTTATACAGCTTCCAGGTAGGGTCTAAGCCAGGAGGAGAGTGACACACTTTCCTCCCAGAGTCTCTCTAACAAGTGTATGGTGCATGATAGAAGTGCCTCACTGTAGCTGGGAAAGCAAGATTATTATTATTATTATTATTATTATACTTTAAGTTTTAGGGTACATGTGCACAACGTGCAGGTTTGTTACATATGTATACATATACCATGTTGGTGTGCTGCACCCATTCACTCGTCATTTAACATTAGGTATATCTCCTAATGTTATCCCTCCCCCATCTCCACACAGGCCCCGGTGTGTGATATTCCCCTTCCTGTGTCCATGTGTTCTCATTGTTCACTTCCCATCTATGAGTGAGAACATGCAGTGTTTGGTTTTTTGTTCTTGCAATAGTTTGCTGAGGATGATGGTTTCCAGCTTCATCCATGTCCCTACAAAAGACAGGAACTCATCATTTTTATGGCTGCATAGTATTCCATGGTGTATATGTGCCACATTTTCTTAATCCAGTCTATCATTGTTGGACATTTGGGTTGGTTCCAAGTCTTTGCTATTGTGAATAGTGCCGCAATAAACACACGTGTGCATGTGTCTTTATAGCAGCATGATTTATAATCCTTTGGGTATATACCCAGTAATGGGATGACTGGGTCAAATGGTATTTCTAGTTGTAGATCCCTGAGGAATTGCCACACTGACTTCCACAATGGTTGAACTAGTTTACAGTCCCACCAACAGTGTAAAAGTGTTCCTGTTTCTCCACATCCTCTCCAGGACCTGTTGTTTCCTGACTTTTTAATGATTGCCATTCTAACTGGTGTGAGATGGTATCTCATTGTGGTTTTGATTTGCATTTCTCTGATGGCCAGTGATGATGAGCATTTTTTCATGTGTCTTTTGGCTGCATAAATGTCTTCTTTTGAGAAGTGTCTGTTCATATCCTTCGCCCACTTGTTGATGGGGTTGTTTGTTTTTTTCTTGTAAATTTGTTTGAGTTCATTGTAGATTCTGGATATTAGGCCTTTGTCAGATGAGTAGATTGCAAAAATTTTCTCCCATTCTGTAGGTTGCCTGTTCACTCTGATGGTAGTTTCTTTTGCTGCGCAGAAGTGCTTTAGTTGAATTAGATCCCATTTATCAATTTTGGCTTTTGTTGCCATTGCTTTTGGTGTTTTAGACATGAAGTCCTTGCCCATGCCTGTGTCCTGAATGGTATTGCTTAGGTTTTCTTCTAGGGTTTTTATGGTTTTAGGTCTAACATATAAGTCTTTAATCCATCTTGAATTAATTTTTGTATAAGGTGTAAGGAAGGGATCCAGTTTCAGCTTTCTACATATGGCTAGCCAGTTTTCCCAGCACCATTTATTAAATAGGGAATCCTTTCCCCATTGCTTGTTTTTGTCAGGTTTGTCAAAGATCAGATAGTTGTAGATATGTGGCATTATTTCTGAGGGCTCTGTTCTGTTCCGTTGGTCTACATCTCTGTTTTGGTACCAGTACCATGCTGTTTTGGTTACTGTAGACTTGTAGTATAGTTTGAAGTCAGGTAGCGTGATGCCTCCAGCTTTGTTCTTTTGGCTTAGGATTGACTTGGCAATGCGGGCTCTTTTTTGGTTCCATATGAACTTTAAAGTAGTTTTTTCCAATTCTGTGAAGAAAGTCATTGGTAGCTTGATGGGGATGGCATTGAATCTATAAATTACCTTGGGCAGTATGGCCATTTTCAGAATATTGATTCTTCCTACCCATAAGCATGGAATGTTCTTCCATTTGTTTGTATCCTCTTTCATTTCATTGAGCAGTGGTAGTTCTCCTTGAAGAGGTCCTTCACATCCCTTCTAAGTTGGATTCCTAGGTATTTTATTCTCTTTGAAGCAGCTCTGAATGGGAGTTCACTCATGATTTGGCTCTCTGTTTGTCTGTTATTGGTGTATAAGAATGCTTGTGATTTTTGCACATTGATTTTGTATCCTGAGACTTTGCTGAAGTTGCTTATCAGCTTTAGGAGATTTTGGGCTGAGATGATGGAGTTTTCTAGATGTACAATCATGTCATCTGCAAACAGTGACAATTTGACTTCTTCTTTTCCTAGGTGAATACCCTTTATTTCCTCCTCCTGCCTGATTGCCCTGGCCAGAACTTCCAACACTATGTTGAATAGGAGTGGTGAGAGAGGGCATCCCTGTCTTGTGTCAGCTTTCAAAGGGAATGCTTCCAGTTTTTGCCCATTCAGTATGACATTGGCTGTGGGTTTGTCATAGATAGCTCTTATTATTTTGAGATATGTCCCATCAATACCTAATTTATTGAGAGTTTTTAGCATGAAGGGTTGTTGAATTTTGTCAAAGCCTTTTCTGCATCTATTGAGATACTCATGTGGTTTTTGTCGTTGGTTCTGTTTATATGCTGGATTACGTTTATTGATTTGCGTAAGTTGAACCAGCCTTGCATCCCAGGGATGAAGCCCACTTGTTCATGGTGGATAAGCTTTTTGATGTGCTGCTGGATTCAGTTTGCCAGTGTTTTACTGAGGATTTTTGCATCGATGTTCATCAGGGATATTGGTCTAAAATTCTCTTTTTTTGTTGTGTCTCTGCCCGGCTTTGGTATCAGGATGATGCTGGCCTCATAAAATGAGTTAGCGAGGATTCCCTCTTTTTCTATTGATTGGAATAGTTTCAGAAGGAATAGTACCAGCTCCTCCTTGTACCTCTGGTAGAATTTGGCTGTGAATCCGTCTGGTCCTGGACTTTTTTTGGTTGGTAAGCTATTAATTATTGCCTCAATTTCATAGCCTGTTATGAAATATTTCTGCCTTCATTTCATTATGTACCCAGTAGTCATTCAGGAGTAGGTTGTTCAGTTTCCATGTAGTTGAGCGGTTTTGAGTGAGTTTCTTCATCCTGAGTTCTAGTTTGATTGCACTGTGGTCTGAGAGACAGTTTGTTATAATTTCTGTTCTTTTACATTTGCTGAGGAGAGCTTTACTTCCAACTATGTGGTCAGTTTTGGAATAGGTGTGGTGTGGTGCTGAAAAAAATGTATATTCTGTTGATTTGGGGTGGAGAGTTCTGTAGATGTCTATTAGGTCCACTTGGTGCAGAGCTGAGTTCAGTTCCTGGATATCCTTGTTAACTTTCTGTCTCGTTGATCTGTCTAATGTTGACAGTGGGGTGTTAGAGTCTCACATTATTATTGTGTGGGAGTCTAAGTCTCTTTGTATGTCTCTAAGGACTTGCTTTATGAATGTGGGTGCTCCTGTATTGGGTGCATATATATTTAGGATAGTTAGCTCTTCTTGTTGAATTGATCCCTTTACCATTATGTAATGGCCTTCTTTGTCTCTTTTGATGTTTGTTGGTTTAAAGTCTGTTTTATCAGAGACTAGGATTGCAACCCCTGCCTTTTTTTGTTTTCCATTTGCTTGGTAGATCTTCCTCCATCCCATTATTTTGAGCCTATGTGTGTCTCTGCATATGAGATGGGTTTCCTGAATACAGCACACTGATGGGTCTTGACTCTTTATCCAATTTGCCAGTCTGTGTCTTTTAATTGGAGCATTTAGCCCATTCACAATTTAAGGTTAATATTGTTATATGTGAATTTGATCCTGTCATTATGATGTTAGCTGGTTATTTTGCTTGTTAGTTGATGCAGTTTCTTCCTAGCCTTGATGGTCTTTACAATTTGGCATGTTTTTGCAGTGGCTGGTACCGGTTGTTCCTTTCCATGTTTAGTGCTTCCTTCAGGAGCTCTTCTAGGGCAGGCCTGGTGGTGACAAAATCTCTCAGCATTTGCTTGTGTGTAAAGGATTTTATTTCTCCTTCACTTATGAAGCTTAGTTTGGCTGGATATGAAATTCTGGGTCAAAAATTCTTTTCTTTAAGAATGTTGAATATTGGCCCCCACTCTCTTCTGGCTTGTAGAGTTTCTGCCAGGAGATCAGCTGTTAGTCTGATGGGCTTCCCTTTGTGGGTAACCCGACCTTTCTCTCTGGCTGCCCTTAACATTTTTTCCTTCATTTCAACTTTGGTGAATCTGACAATTATGTGTCTTGGAGTTGCTCTTCTTGAGGAGTATCTTTGTGGCATTCTCTGTATTTCCTGAATTTGAATGTTGGCCTGCCTTGCTAGATTGTGGAAGTTCTCCTGGATAATATCGTGCAGAGTGTTTTCCAACTTAGTTCCATTCTCTCCGTCACTTTCAGGTACACCAATCAGACGTAGATTTGGTCTTTTCACATAGTCCCATATTTCTTGGAGGCTTTGTTCATTTCTTTTTATTCTTTTTTCTGTAAACTTTTCTTCTTGCTTCATTTCATTCATTTGATCTTCCATCATGATACCCTTTCTTCCAGTTGATGGAATCGGCTACTGAAGCTTGTGCATTCATCAAGTAGTTCTCGTGCCGTGGTTTTCAGCTCCATCAGGTCATTTAAGGACTTCTTTGCATTGGTTATTCTAGTTAGCCATTCGTCTAATTTTTTTTCAAGGTTTTTAACTTATTTGCCATGGGTTCAAACTTCCTCCTTTAGCTCGGAGTAATTTGATTGTCTGAAGCCTTCTTCTCTTGACTCGTCAAAGTCCTTCTCCGTCCAGCTTTGTTCCGTTGCTGGTGAGGAGCTGCGTTCCTTTGGAGGAGGAAAGGCACTCTGATTTTTAGAATTTTCAGTTTTTCTGCTCTGTTTTTTCCCCATCTTTGTGGTTTTATCTACCTTTGGTCTTTGATGATGGTGACATCCAGATGGGGTTTTGGTGTGGATGTCCTTTCTGTTTGTTAGTTTTCCTTCTAACAGTCAGTACCCTCAGCTGCAGGTCTGTTGGAGTTTGCTGGAGGTCCTCTCCAGACCCTGTTTGCCTGGGTATCAGCAGTGGAGGCTGCAGAACAGTGGATATTGGTGAACAGCAAATGTTGCTGCCTGATCATTCCTCTGGAAGTTTTGTCTCAGAGGAGTACCTGGCCGTGTGAGGTGTCAGTCTGCCCCTACTCGGGGGTGCCTCTCAGTTAGGCTGCTCGGGATTTAGGGACCCACTTGAGGAGGCAGTCTGTCTGCTCTCAGATCTCAAGCTGCATGCTGGGAGAACCACTACTCTCTTCAAAGCTGTCAGACAGGGGCATTTAAGTCTGCAGAGGTTTCTGCTGCCTTTTGTTTGACTATGCCCTGCTCCCAGAGGTGGAGTCTAGAGAGGCAGGCAGGCCTCCTTGAGCTGCGGTGGGCTCCACCCAGTTCGAGCTTCTTGGCTGCTTTGTTTACCTACTCAAGACTCAGCAATGGCAGGCGTCCTTCCCCCAGCCTCGCTGCCACCTTGCAGTTTGATTTCAGACTGCTGTGCTAGCAATGAGCGAGGCTCCATGGGCGTAGGACCCTCCGAGCCATGCGTGGGATATAATCTCCTGGTGTGCTGTTTGCTAAGACTGTCAGAAAAGCTCAGTATTAGGGTGGAAGTGACCTGATTTTCTAGATGCTGTCTGTCACACCTTTCCTTGGCTAGGAAAGGGAATTCCCTGACTCCTTGTGCTTCCTGGGTGAGGTGATGCCTCGCCCTGCTTTGGCTCATGCTCGGTGTGCTGCACCCACTGTCCTGCACCCACTGTCCTACAATCCCCAGTGAGATGAACTCGGTACCTCAGTTGGAAATGCAAAAATCATTCATCTTCTGCATCACTCGTGCTGGGAGCTGTAGACTGGAGCTGTTCCTATTCGGCCATCTTGGCTCCACCAAAGCAAGATTATTATCCTTGTCTCCAACACTAGCATAATGGTGGAAATCCTCCCGCAAATTTCTATGGCATGTATTTTTGACTACTTTATTTAAATACATTTGAAGTGGTACATCCTTTTTACTTTCTGCTAGAATTGTGAGGGTATTAATCATTCCATTCAGGTTTGACTTCTGAATCTAAATATAATGGCATCTTAGAATCTAGGCAGAGTGGAAGATCAACCTGGCACCAGGAAGACCTGGGTTTGACTTTCTCTCCCCCTGGTCATTGATTGAATGACCTTCTGCAAGGTACTTTGCTTCTATGGTATCTATACACCTGGGAAAATGGTGCCTACCCTTAAAAAAATTCACAACAAGATAATTTCAAATAGGGGTATCTACAGGGAGTTGTTTTTACATGAGTGGAATTGTAGATATAATTACTATTATTCCTCCTTCTCTCCCGAGGCCTGATTTGTCACCTGACTTCAGATGTTTCAGCCACTGCCCGTGATGTTGGACTGACCAGTAAGGCAAGGCATGATATTGTTCTTGAGGACAATGATTTCTAAACTAGAAGTAGTGTGAACGAACATCCCTGTCTTGTTCCTGATTATGGAGGGGAGCACATCCACTATTTTCACATGAAGTATGATGTTAGGTGGAGGTTTTTCACAGATGCTCTTTGTCTTAATGAGGAGGCTCCTTTCTATTCCTGGTCTGCTGATAGATTTTGTGATGAATGGATATGGAATCTTGTCATCAGTTTCGCTGCATCTATGGTGATGAGTCTATGGTTTTCTCCTTTGTTCTGTTAATGTGGCAAATTGCATTGGATAATTTTTGAATATCGAACTAATCTTGCATTCCTAGGATGATACCCATTTGGTCATGAGGTATTATCTCTTTTATATGTTGCAGATTGCTATTTACTAATATTTAAAGACCTTTGAATCTATGTTCATAAATGATATCAATCTGCAAATTTCTCTTTGTAATGTCTGTCAGATTTCCATATCAGGGTTAGTCTGGCTTTAGATTTTCTGAAAGACCATGTAAGATTGATATTATTTTCATCTCAAATGTTTGATGGAACTCATTAGTAAAAGTTATCTGGGCCATCAGCTTTCTTGGTGGTAAGGTCTTTAATCACAAATTTAATTTCCTTAATAGGTAAACTAGATAATAAATAAATTTAATAAACTCAATAAAATAAATTTAATAAATAGATATATTCAGATTTTTGTATTTATTCTTGTTCTTTCATAAATTACATTTTCCGGGAATTTGTTCATTTCCCTTAAATTGCCAAATTGATTAGTGTAATTTTTAAAATAATATGCCATTATTATCTTTTAATAACAGCTGTAGTAACTATACTGACACACCTTTAAGTCTGTTATTGATAATTTGTATTTTCTATTTTTTTCCTTGATCAACCTTTCTAGGAATTTTTAAATTTAATGAATGTTTTAAAACACAGTGTTTTCTGTTTGCTGTTTGTTAGCTCATCAGTGTCTGCTTTTGCTGTGGCTGGATGGTTGGCTAGTTTTAATTTGTGTTAGAGATCTGCTTCACAGTGCTGTTAGGGGATTATAATAGCGAATGAGAACTAACAGCTAATAATAAGCTACTTACCAAACTTCCTAGGGGACAGGTCACTTCCTTTACACAGATCATCTCTAATCTTCCATACTAAATTCAGTATTATTTTACCAATTTTGCTAGGATGAAATGGAAGTTTGAAAAGGTTGCATGCCTTGCCTAGGGTCATACAACTAGCAGTAGCTGACCAGGAGTTGGGAACCTGCTGCCAGCTAAGCCTGTGAGATTTCCTCTCTACCATATTGTTTCTCTGCAGGGCTTGAAGGGATTCTGGTGAGTTCATGGATTTGATTTCTCTTGTCTCCAGCTTTTTCCTAGCCTTCCACTCTCACTCATGTGCTCCTCAGACAGAATGTCCTCTACCCTCTGTCAGAACATATCCCTACTAATTTAAGCCCCGGTTAAACACTCAACTCCTCTTCAAAGCAAGTACCGACTCAACCTCACCTGACTGTGATAAACTGTCCAAGTGCAGGTGTTCTGGTTCCAAGTCTGCAGATGAGGCCTGAGAGCATGATTTTATCCTTAAAGATAATTCAGTTAAGTAATACAAATTTATTAAACACAAGTTAATTTATCATGGTTTTTAATGACTTATACTCGTCTAATTCCAAAAACTATACCAGACAGCTTAAAGCAGCATGCATAACATTGTGCTAGACTTTATTTATATTAGTCCTTGTCCCCACAAAAATCCCATGAGGAAGGGATTATTATTCTTTTCCAAGTTCATATAATGAGGAAGGAGCAGGTTCAAATTCATGCCTCCTTTCTCCACTGCCTATGCTTTTTATCACATCCTGCCTATTTACTATTTATACCATAGAGCAAGAAAGATAATTAAAAATATAAATCATGCAAAAGTTGTTTATAATATTGAAACTGTCTTTGCAAAAGTATGATGGAGACAGTGAAAGAGATCTAACTTAACCAACTCCATCTTGCTTCTAACCTCCAAGCTGTCTTTGTTCATTCCTGGGCTTAGGCCGAACTAATTTTGGGAGAAACTTAGTTTATGGTTTAAACAAACACAGTAACAGCCCTTTCCCAAAGCAGACCTCCTTCTTGCCTGGGGACTAGATTGCCTTTGTAGGACTAACATTAGCTAGAAGATTAGAAGTTATGGTTTAGGAGTCATGCAGCTGGAGGCTTCAAGATTCTGACCCTCCCTAAACTGCTCCTAAGATCAGTGCTTGAGATATTTCGCAGACTCTGTACTTGATGGATCAGCTGGCACCACCCGGATTAATAAACTGGCCCACTGATCTTTTGGCCCCCACACAGGAACTGACTCAGAGCAAGAGGACAGCTTCAATTCCCTATGATTTCATCTCTGACCAATCAGCACTCCTGGCTCACTGGCTTCCCTCCACCCACCGAGTTATCCTTAAAAACTCTGCTCCCCAAACGAACGCTCGGGGAGACTGATTTGAGTAATAATAAAACTCCAGTCTCCCGCAGAGCCTGCTCTGGTGAATTTTTCTTTCTCTATTGAAGTTCCCCTGTCTTGATGAATCGGCTCTGTCTAGGCAGGGGGCAAGGTGAACCCCTTGGGCGGTTTCAATATTAGTGACCAGATTCTACCTCTGTTACATTAATGTTTGGAGATTAGCACAAAAACTTGCTTTGAGCTTCCTAGTAGGAAGGAAAAAAAAAAAGAGAGAGAGATAGACCTATGTGCTTACACATTTAAACATATTTAAACATAAATTTATGGTGGTAAATTTGATGAGGAACTTTACACTGAATTAAAAAGTCAGACTATAGTTCAATGAAAAATATTTGAAGTCACTGTTACTCAGTTTCAAAATGTTTTAAAAGTAGATTGTTTAAATCATAATCAATCCTGAATAACACAGTTTACTAAACGTACAGAGCTCAAATTAATAAGAAACAGCCAAATTTCTACTCACTTTGTGCTGTGTAGACCCTGCTAGTCTCCTGTGCCTATTCAAGAATCTGTGGTGGAAATACAGGCATTAGAAAGAAAAGACGTGGGTTTTCCTCCTGGAACCGTCACCTACCACCAGATGGGCACGTGGCACGTTAATTGCTGCCAAATCTCCCTTGCTTCGAGCATCCTCTACCTCTATCTCCAACCCCTTGCAAGAGTACCTTCTCTGAGCATCTCAGATTGGAGTTTCCTTCTTCCATCAGTTTCTGTTTTTCCTCTTTCCAGGATTCCTTACAGTTTATGGTCCATGGGAAGATTCCTACTCTTGTCTCTGAATACATATATATGTATATGTATGCACGTACATGTGTGTGCATATATATATATTTGTAAGTATGCACATGTGTGTGTGTGTTTCTATCATTTCTAAGGACCTGGAACAGGAGAACACTGTGTGTGCTTAGTTCACCTTCTGTACCTTTCAGAGCCTACTTTCAAATAATTACGTAAAGGAGCTGTGCAACTAGAAAGCAAAAAAAGTCCTATAAAAAATAGATTGTTTAAAGCACTGAATGAAATCCCATGCCACCCCTGCTCCTTTAATGGACAAGTTCTAGATGCCAATCTGTAGATGATGTCACCTATTTGCAGAAAAACCTATTGATCACAAGGTCCCTAATATGTGTGTGTAATATAATAATTGTATATCACCATTTTGTCTATTGTTATATATATTTTTTGTCTTCACCTCTGGATTATAAACTCCTCATGGGTGGAGACCCCTTTTCTAGATCTCTCAGATCCTTTTGGGAAACATATCAGAAGCAGGCCCAGGAAATTCTCACTAAATACTGGTAGACGCTAGTCTAAAGTACTTTGAGGCCATGACAGGAGACATTTAGTAAACAGGGGGGAAAAAAGATGACTTAGACACCTGGTGGGAGAGACAAATCGTGCAAGAAGGAAACAGGCTCGGCAGCCTCGCCGTCTGCTTGCAGGACTTCTTATTTAGGCTTCAGCAACCTCAGAGGGAGAGATTACAGCGCTTCATGCTGTTCCCCTCCCCTGCCCGGTGGAAGGGACACTTGGTGGGGTCATTAGGCAGCTGTGATCTGCCATAACTCCAGGTCGGGTGGATGTTCAGGCAGATATTTGTTTTTTGAACAACCAGACAGGCTGTCTCCTGAGATCTGACCAAAACTGGAACTTGGAGGAGATTCAACTGGCTTTGGTTCAAACCAGAAAAACTGAAACAATGCTAATAGCCCGGGAAGGAATGGCGGGAAATGCTTACTCATCTTCAGCCCATAGTCTATAAACTCTTAGCATGAGGATTTGAGTAGCCTGGGGTCCCCTGTGGATACCGTCACTATGCAGAATTATGAATTCAAGTTCCCTTATGGGGAAGAATGATAGCTAAAAATTTATAATAATAACATTAAGTGATATTGTACCTATGTGGACATGTCATGGCCACAGGTAAAAATGACAGCAGCGCATTCACAATGTGGAAGGTTCTTAGGCTGTAGACAATCAGACCAAACTCCCTCAAGAAATCCTAAGAATGCCATGTATTGAGTGTTGACCATGACCGAAATGTCAGGCACATCTAACTGTCTGGACTCCAGTGGGTGACAAATAAAATGTCTCTTAAGATGGAAATAAAATGGAGGGGCGAATTGGCACGAATGTTGTTTATGTTTGTCAGTGCTTTGGAAGCAGGTGGCCTGTTCAAGCTAGTGGCAGCCTGCTGTGGCCCTGTGGACCTGGTGCCTAATCCTCGTGCATTATACAGTCTTCCATTTGTGTCAGAAGATTTCTAGCTTGCGTTAGTTTGTGCTGGCTTGAAGCACAGCACCAGGCAAATTCTATGGCTTCTATGTCTCTCTGTCTCTGTCTCTCTCTGTTTCTTTCTCTTTCTGTCTCTGTCTCTCACACACTCACACACATACACACACACACACGTATGAGGGAGAGCAAGGTGGAACAGAGAATGTGGTTTAAATTTCACAGCCTCAAATGAGAACTTCTTTGTTAGTGAAAAGCAAACAGAGCAACCTGCACACAGGGTCAACGTGCTCTGGAATGCAGAATTGTTTGTCCCCAGTCAAACAGCCGCCTGATGTTGAGTTTACATGATATTTCAGCAAACCGAAACAATGAGGACGTTTACCATTAACTCCAGGCCTTAGCCGTAAAGTCAGGATGTAGATCAGGGTCACTAACTCTGATCCTTAAGGATCTCAGCAAACGGCTCTACCCAGCTACTTAGACCAAGTCATCCAAGTTTATTAAACTCCTAGTCTTTTGCCACAGACTCCATGGATGCAAAGCTGGACAGACCCAAGCTTTTTCATAGGGCATGCCTTTAAGGACCCTGTTGAGGTCCAGCTGAAGACAGAAAAGCAAACAGTGGTGATGTGATTTTTGTTAAAGTGATATTCATTTTAAACGCAATGTCCAGTTTGACTATAGCAGAAGGAAGTTCAGAAAAGTTTCTAAGGGGAGGTAGCATTTGAGTTGAAACTTGAAGGAAGAGTAGAAGTTTGCCAGGATGGCACACTGGAGGTGATGGGGTAGGAGCGGAGGTGCATGCTGGACAGAAGGTGAAGTAAGTGAGAGGCGTGAGGAGAACAGTCATCCCAGAAACTGCTACACATAATTTAGTATTGTCAAGGTGGAGATGGGGATGGCAGGGGATGGAGGTTGGGAAGGTGGTAGCCGGATCAGGAAGGGTGTTCTGCATAGATCAGCCTGGGTTCTCCGCCTGTGGAAGGAGGGATGCCAGTGAAATATTTTGAGCAGAGGGAAAGACTTGGCCATCTTTGCTTCTTAGAAAGATCAGTGGCCTCAGGAGGACAGGTTGCAGGGTGGGTGGCTAGAGGAGGTGATGTGGTTCTATAGGGAAAGGGAGGGCAAGTTTGCAGCGCACACTGGCTGGGAGCCTCTGAGGCCCAGTTGAATGATCAGAAACTGACACAGGTAGCTATGGGGATTGTGAGGAGGAGAGTGGGACAGTGGGAGTGGGATGGTGGTCAGCCCTGGCTCTGAGCTGCTCCAGGGCCTTACCCCTGCCTGGCTTCTGACAGCTGTTCTCCCTGCTGGACAGTGGCTTCACCACTGGCCTGGGGCAGCAGGGGCTGGATAACCAGGTCATGTCAGCTTTAAGAGGGACATCTGACATATGCTTCTCTGCAGTTTCTAGAGTTCAATGGTAGGTTTTAACAAATATTTGCTAATTCAATGGAGTCAAACTCTGGTATATGAACTGGGAGTGCAGTCATGAAGAAATCACAGCAAAACCCTGTCCTTGAAGAACACATATTGCAGGTGATGAGACAGGAAATCAGCAATAGAAATAAAACACATAGAAAGTTAGGTGGTGAAATGTGCCATAAAGAAAAAGTTAGGTTGGGAAGGTGGTTTGCAATTTTAGATGAGGTGGCGGAGGAAGGCTTCTCTGAGCAAAGACCTTCAGGATGGAAGGGGCCATGGTTTTGAGATGTGAGAGAAAAGCATTTCAAGAAAAGGGGAGAATTTGTGCCAAGATCTCGAGCTGGGTATGCACTTAGCATATTGGGGAACAGCAAAAAGGCTGGCATGGCTGCAGGGGGAGTCTGTGGGGGCTGGGAAGTGGGGTGCTGGCACGTTGTATAGGCCCGAGTGGACTTGGCCCTCCACTCCGCATGAGATGGAAAGTCAAATGTATTCCGCTGACCCTTGCTGTGCACAACTCTTTTCTCCTGCCCTTCCAGTTGCAACTCACCCATGCTCAATGTGGGACATTTTGTAAGACAACTGGCCTGGACACATGTAAAAAAGTCACTATCATTAAAATAAAAGGTAAGAGAACTGGTCTTTATTAAAAGGGCCTAAAGAGCTATAGTAATCAAACACCATGCTTGAGTTTTTGGGATAAGGAAAGCTATTGGAATGTGGACTAACAGTAGATGATATTATGAATTACTCTTAATTTGTTAGGTGTGATAATGGTATTAAAGTCATGTAAGAGAATGTCCTTATTTTGAGAAAACAAATGCTGTGAAATATAGGAGTGAAGTGTCATGATATCAGCAACTTACTTTTAAAGGGTAAGGCCAACACACACACGGCCACACACACACATAAGATCAAATGGATACATAGATAGATAAAGCAAAAAATGCTGAAATATGAGCATTTGGTGAGCGTAGGTGATGGGTGTGTATGTATTTGTTGTACTAGTCCATCGCCTTTCATTTTTGAACATTTTCATATTAAAAAGTTGGGGGAAAATCATCTATGCTATGGTCTGTTTCTTTTGGGTCTGTTTTTGGTTGCTGTTATTCTCATGAGTTTCTGTCCAGCCCCCTAGGTCATTTATTTACTCCAGATGGGAAACGTTTGCTGCGGGAGACTCAAAGGAGACACTGAGTGCAAGGATTTGGGTGAGGTGTCAGAGTGGGTGGCATTCCAAACCCTATTGGGCTGGTGGGCCCCTAACAGGACAGGACTTGGAGTGAAAGGATGGCGGATGACTCACGATTTTACGAGACACTTCCAGGACAAGGAGAAGGCAAAGGAGAGATGCAGCCTTGGAGAGCCTAATTCCTCTCTGGAGTGCGTGCTTTTCCCTGATGTCAAGATTCTAAATTATTCCACTGTTTACCTGCTGCGTGACTTGACAAAAGGGTAATGTGATTTAGAAACTCAGCGGTCATCCAGAAAGTCTATTTTCAGCCAGGCGGTTACCAGGCAATGTCAGGGGATTGGACTCTGCTATGTTAAATCCCAAATTTAATCCAGGAGCTGATGTGTCTGTGAATATCAGAAAAGCACAACAGCCTTTTGCGTGGGTCGTATCAATTCCATACAGTATTTTCCTTGCGGAAGTAAGAATTAACACATCCAGAAAGCTAGGCTTAGCACCTTTGGATCTCCTGATGAAAATTTCAGCATATTGTTAGGATGTGAGCATTTATATACATACCCTGCTCTGCCTGCTACACAAGACAGAAAAATAAAAAATTACCCTGGAAGAATAACTTAGATCTTGGAGAAAAGAAGAATGCAGGTGGCAATATATAAAGAATTCCCTGAAGATACAGTTTGCAGCCTTTTCCTTTGTTTTAAAAAGTCTTTTGTTTTGCTGCAGCAATAGAAATAAAATATAAACATAATTTGAAAGTAAGAGGAGAAGCAGAAAGATAGTCTTTGTTCATAGGTTTGTCTGTTTTGGAGACGGTAATCATAATGACAAACCCAAGGACAACTAATATTTATTGAGTGCCTACTGTGTGCCAGGCATAATAAGCACTTTATACCCTTAACTAATTTAATCCCTGTGACAAACCTATTAGGAAGCTGCTATTATTATCCTCATTTTAAGGGAGCTGAGGCCCAGAGAAATTAAACAACTTGTGCAAGGTCACATGGCCAGTAATTAACAGAGATAATATTCAAACTGTCTCTTGAGGTAAGCTAAATAAAACTCTATCCTATTTTTTGTAGAGCCATATATCTTTATTCTCTCCTTTCACTATGGTAAAGTTTGTTCTGGTCCCTCTGTAGGATTACAATATGTTGAAAATGCGGGTCCCACGTAATTCTACCAAGTCAGATCACTAAGTAGCCTTGTCAGGGGAGGGGTTCCCAATTCGTGACTCTGGACCTTGGGGCATCAATGATTTATTGTTATCACTAACAATAGCTCGCTATGTGTCATGTCTTCTGCTACATATTTTATGTTTTATTTCAGCTTTTAAAAAGATTTTCATGATTCATGATTGTTGTAAAGCAGGACTAGGCTGTATGTACATATTTGAAATGAAAGTTTCACAAAACATCATTTACCTTTACTATGTGTGACACACTTTGCTATTTTTCATTTAATCTATTTTATTTAAACATGCTGACTGTGGCCGAGTGCAGTAGCTCACGCCTGTAATCCCAGCACTTTGGGAGGCTGAGGCGGGTGCATCACCTGAGGTCTGAAGTTCGAGATCAGCCTGGCCAACATGGTGAAACCCTGTCTCTACTAAAAATAAAAAATTAGCCGGGTGTGGTGGCACGCACCTGTAGTCCCAGCTACTTGGGAGGCTGAGGCAGGAGAATCGCTTGAACCCAGGGGGCAGACTTTGCAGTGAACCAAGATGGTGCCACTGCACTCCAGCCTGGGAGCCAAGAGCAAAACTCTGTCTCAAAAAAAAAAAAAAAATGCTGGCTGTGACATGCTAATTGATTTTATGTCTTCCTAAATGGTTTAAGAAAACACTTCTTTAGCTCATTTTGGTTTTCACAAGAATCTTATGAAGTCAATATGATTTTAATACTCATTTTACAGATGAGAAAACTGAGTTAATTTGCTCAGAGTCATGCAGAGAAACCAAAGTCCATAGCTTATACTTTGCATTGTATTCCTTTTTCAAAGCAGATTTAGTTATGTTAAAGAAACAGCTTTCCAAATTCTCATGTACTTAGTGCATTGCCTGAGGACTGAATAAATACAAGATCTTGCACATATGTGTGTATGGATACTGTTCTGGATCTAAAATATACAGATGGTGTTGTGATTTATAAAAATAAAATATTCCTAAGTACATTTAAATTTACTGTAGGTTTAGTTATTATGCATGTTTTCAATCAAATGATTAAAAATTACAGCTTCTAATACACAACAATCTAAGAAATTATTTGAAATTAGAATTTCTTTTTTTCCCCAGGAAATGGATTGAAAGACAGAGGCCACACTTCAGAAGAAGTAGGCTTAACCAGAGATTTATGAGTTACAGTTTTAGTTTCACCAAACTTAGCATGTGCATCAATTATTAGTAGACAACTACAGCAGTATTAGAATATAGGAATTTGTCATCAATAGAAATTGCTGATATTTTCATATCATCTCACAATGTTGCTAATATTCAAAAATATCATCCATGCTCATTATCACATCAAAATTATGCTAGTTATCAGATCCACATTAGATATTAATATTTAGTGCATTGATAAAAAACCGCTTGCATTAGTATATCACAAAATTTGTTTTGTAATATTTTGATTGATAATTAAATTTCAATATAATTTTATGCATTCAAATACATTATAAAAGAAAAATAGGAATATAAAAAGGATTCGCTGGCCTCACCAGATGTCCAAAGTGGGACACGGCTCCAAAATAGATGAAGGCTTTAGCTAGAGCAGGGGGAGGGGCTTCAACATAGCTGATGGTCTGTGGATTGCCTCTTTAGAACTGAGTCATCTTCCTGGCTACCCAACAGCAACATCAATTATTGTGAACCATCTGGCAAAGGGGCAAATGGGGTGCCATTTCTAGGAGAGATGGAAATTGATGAGGCACAGTGAGTTGTTTGGTCCTTTAAGTCTTTCTCTGGTCTCTAGTCTGCCCCTCCTGTTTCAGTGTCACGTCTGTGTTGTCTTATTCCCCATGATGTGCCTCTGCCTCTTGTATTTACCACACAAACTCATGCAAGGAACTGAGAATTAATCACTGTGTTTTGCTGAATTTCAGTTAAGAAACGTCAACATGGCTTATTGGATGCTCATTGTTCCTGGTCTCAACAAGAAACCAACATGACTGATTTTTTTCAGAACAGGGTGGCAGAAGCCTACATTTCTGGACTGAGTCCTGGCATTAGTCTTCTTAAATTATATTGCCTCACAGAAATAAAAGGCTGGGGAATTGACCAGTGGTTTAAATTATCTCTAGGCCAGCATTGTAAAGTGCTGTGAACACTAAATAATAAATAACAGACCTACATGCTCACAAAAGTCTCTGCTTTGATGAAGCCTTGTGATGGTTTTCATTTGTGGTGTTAAATTTAGCCATAATGTTCTGTACATTTACAGAAAAACAGATTATTGTATGATCTATGAATTTAAATGTTTGACAGAGCAGAATTATTTTTATCTTGGGATCATAAAAATACACTAGCTTTAATTTACCTCTGAAATTCCTTTGAGATGGTATAAACTACATGCTATTATCACAGTTATCTTTCTTAAAAGCAAACTGAATTACTCTCTCCTCCTTTACAGTCTTCCATGTTCCTCTACTGTCGATAGGTTGGAGTTGAATGTTTTTAGGATGGAATCCAGTGTTCATGGTCTGGGATCTGCCTACCTCTTCCACTTCATGGTTGACCATTTCCCCACATGTATTTCTATTTTAACCTTACTAATGGTATTTTGCATTTTCCTGCACACATTTTGACTTCTCCAACTTGCATGACTCTGCACAGGCTATTCAATCTTCCTTCCTGCTTTACTTCCTAGACAACACCTATTGGTCCTTTGAAACAACTCTCAGGCTTTACGTTCATTCTGAAGACTTCCTTTATGTTGACCTCCATTCACTGCTACCCATCCATTGTAAGTACGAGAATCTGTCTGTGTTCTCCTGTTAACTGACAGTGTTGATCTGAATGCATTAAAATGGTTCATTAGCACAAAAACAGTGTCTTCATCTCTATTTCAGGTGCCCAGGATGTGGCAGAGGCATATATGATGTTGAGGGAATATTGCAGTTACACTTACCTAACTGATGGCATGTTGGGAGGATGGAGTAGTACAATTTAAGGATTTCATGCTGTATGGATCACTTCTTGTACCCTTTCTTACATCCTCTTAGCCTACCTTTTGACTCCAGGCATTGCTGTGATAACTGTGTGATTGTAACCTATCAGCCTCTCCCTTCAGCTGCACCACCAAACTCTCGCTTTCTGACCTGGGGCTTCTCTGAGGCTGTTGTTGACTTTGCAGAAACCGGGTTAGCCATTCTGCCCTATGCACACACCACAAGTGGGAATGAATGAAAACCCCATGGGGGCAATGATGGGAGCTGACGATAGTACTTCCCTTGGCATCCCTTAGAAAGACATACGAGGGACTCATTCGGCAAGGCAACCCAAAGCATCCCAAGAGGGGGGCGCCTCACTTGCCTATACCAGTGATCAGCTCAGTAAAAGACCTCTGGATTGGCTTTCCCTCCCCCTGTTTCAGTCTGCCTTGTTCTTTCCTCCTGTTCTTTGGAATCATTTCCCAAAGTAAACTCTTGTCTCAGGCCCAGCTTTTGGAGAGAACCCAGACTAAGACAGCTTATTTAAAATCAGCTTTACTCGGCCAGCGCGGTGGGTCACGCCTGTAATCCCAGCACTTTGGGAGGCCGAGGCGGACGGAGCACGAGGTCAGGAGATCGAGACCATCCTGGCTAACATGGTGAAACCCCGTCTCTACTAAAAATACACACACACACACAAAATTAGCCAGGTGTGGTGGCAGTCGCCTGTAGTCCCAGCTACTTGGGAGGCTGAGGCAGGAGAATGGCGTGAACCCGGGAGGTGGAGCTTACAGTGAGCCGAGATTGCGCCACTGCACTCCAGCCTGGGCGACAGAGTGAGACTGCGTCTCAAAAAAAAAAAAAAAAAAAAATCAGCTTTACTCAGTTAACTTTTTCTTAGATTTAGAGATGTTTGGAAACTATTTGCAAGGCTCATAAAATAAACACTAAATAAAGATGGTATAGAAAACAAGTAAATAGGGTGGCATCCATTATATTGTATGTAAATGTGCTATAAAGTATGAAGTGTTTTGTGAATTAGGCATTCTTCTTTCTTCAGTCAGGAGACAGACTCAGACAATTGCTTAGTTTTGATAAAACATTTCTCCATAATTCTACAGCTGTGTCTTAGATGGTAACTGAATAGTAATGTTTTGATTACAGCTTTGCAGATGTTGAGGCCCTAGACACAGCAGCTTTCTTCAATCAAGTGGTGAGTCCCTAGAAGACACTTGTCTTTCCTGTAGGTCAGTGCAAGGATCTTGAGCATGAAACCCTACGCTCAGAGCAGTGAGCTGGAAGGCTTGCTCCAGTGTGTGTGTGTATGTTTGCATTTGTGTGAGTGTGTGTGCATGTGTCTGTGCCTGCATGTGTGTATGTTTCTTTCTGTGTAAGCACAAAGTATGGATTCCAGTGTAATTATTTTATATACCACCATCTTTGGATTACAAATAGAAAAATGACATTTCTTTTGGGAATGGAGAGTATTGGACAGTGAAATGGATATCTGAAACCCTGTGCATTACCAATCGCTTAAACTACAGAATTTGTGTATCTTTTGCAGCTAGAAGAGACATTCAAGTTCACTCAGTGTTACAGATCTAGATCGTTTCTAACAGACAGCGGCACTAGAACCAGGCCTTTGGAGGCCCCTTCTCATGGTCCTTCTGGCATATCACACAGCCTTCTCTTAATGATCCTGCTTTTAAACCAGAGGTCAGCAACCTTTTTCTGTAAAGGGCAAGATAGTAAATTATTTTGGCTTTGTAGGCCAATGGTCTCTGTTGCAGTTGCTCAACTCTGCCCTTGTTGTGCGAAAGCAGTGGTAGAGGATACTTAAATAAACGAGTGTGGCTGTGTTCCAATAAAGGTTTATTTACAAACATAGGTATAGGTCTGACTTGGCCCACAATCTGTAGTTTCCTGAACCCAGTTTTATACCATTGAAGTTATGACAATTTCTGTTTGATGGTCACTAACAGGCTATTGGGTCTTAGAAAGTCAAAGCTACCATCTAGCCTGGTGGTAAGGTGAGCTGTTGCATCACAGTCCCCATGACTTGGCTTCTTTCCAGACCTGGGTATGCTCAGATCTCCAGCAGCCAGGAGAGTGGGCCTGGCTCCCACAGTACTCCAGTTTCCAAAAGGAATCACACATTCCCTTCCTGTGCAGATAAAAGAACAATTGGACCATGAGAGAACTTACTGGAAAGTAATGCAGGATCACCAGGAAGGAACAGGAATTCACTCCTCGGTCACAGTCTTCATAGTCTGATTGGGAGTCAATCAGGTCTAAAAAGGTCAGTGAGAATGTATGTCTGACTTTGGCAGGCTTCCAGCGCCTTACAGTCATGGAATAGTTTGTTGGGTTGTAGTTTTTTCCAGAGCCTATTCAGAGCTTCCTTTGGCTGCTCTATCCATGTCGGCTTCCTCACACCGCCACCCCACCACTATTTTCCCCTCACTTATTGTCTGTCAATGCAAAGCTATTGTTCCCGTTAACTAAAATCACCAATAAACAAATATTTTTTTTCTCTCCATTTCATCTTCCATAAAACTTGACTTTCAGGTCCTTTCCCCTGTACCCTCGTCTCTGGGAGCTGGTCCCAGGTCTCAGGCCCTAGAAAGCAAACATCTTCCATAAAAGGTCAGTGCAGAGAGTTTAGGTGAAACCTTATGCTGATGCAAATGGGCTAGATGATTGCTCTGGTGATTGTGTAGATTAATGTGTGTACATGTGTGTGTGTACGTGTGTGTCTGTGTGTCTGATTCTGACCTTTAAATTAGGCTTCTTCCCTGGGCCCCTGCTGAAGGAATTTCTTTCAGCAGCCTGGGTGCCATTGGTTAGCCTCCAGGTAGACATTATCTCTTCATTGTTGTCAAGTCTTCATTCTGTCCCTCCCATTTTTCACCATGTGAATCCACCTTATGATCTGTTTCAAAGTTGAACAAGATGAGAACTTTCAAAGGCTGGATGAAGAATGGAATTTTCAATGAATTTAATGACCTAATTCTCAAAAAGGTACATACAAAAAAAAAAAATTAAAAAGATATCTGCAGTTACTTGTTCTTTTTTTTTTTTTTTTGCCCTGATTGCATCATCTCTAAAGTTGCCTTTCTTGATGATCAACTGGCGAGATCTGTAAAGGGGCATAAGTTGCTAATGGGTCCTTGGAGTTGAAGTGATTTAGGGAAAAAAAATCCTACATTATTATTATTTTCCCCAAGTAGCACTCTGATGCCTGGGGAGAGGGATGCTGGTAGCTGTGTGAGAAGCGGCAGAAATGAGGAAGGAAGGAAGGAAGGAAGGAAGGAAGGAAGGAAGGAAGGAGGGAGGGAATATTTGATTATTTCTTCATAAACAACCAATTCCTTTAGCACCTGCTATGGTTCCTGCCGCTGTGAGAGGAATATCAATGGCTTCAATATTCCATTGTTTGTGACTGAGAAGCATTTGCCTGCTGTACTGGGCTGCTTAGTTTTTTCAGACTGGCCACAAGGCAGAAAATGTGGCAGATATATAAAAGGAAAATGTTGGCCAACATGCCCTACATCAGGTGAGTTTTCTGTCTAAAGCCCATTTTGGAGTTACTGCCTCTCCCCTTTTTGTTTCTTCACAGCCTTTTGTTGATTTTTAGTTACATTTCTTTCCCCTGATGAGTGGCATACCCTTAAGTGTGCAGGTTCTACTGTTCTGCTCACATTAACACTTCTGTTAGTTTTTTTGTAATAGCCTACTTTGTTTTGATAAAATCATTACTTTCTTCAGCAACACTAATGCAAAGGAATGATTCATGAATACAAATGAAAGAAACAGCTCACAAAACAGGAGAAAAGGTGAGGAAAGAGAAGTTATGTTGGGTACTTGAAGTAGATCATTACCACCAGGTGGCGCTATTAAAACACCTCATTTTAAAATCCTAAACAGGGTTGCAAATAAGGAAAATGCAAAATTAGAGTCCTTCACAGAGAAAATACTTTTTATCAAAGAGAGACAGAGTGTGCGTGTGTGTGTGTATGTGTGTGTGTGTTTAGAACATAATTGTTTTAGGAAGAAGTAAATATTATGGGAAGTGGTGATACTTTTTAGAAAGGTGGCTCACAATTGATATTCTTGTAAGTTAAATACTAAAGCTTTTGAATATAAATATATTTAATTCCAGCTAGACCTTTTCTAGAATCTTCTGAAGCATGACATTGTAGACATCAGAAAGATGGTTTACTTTTACCATTCCACAACCCACTTTCATTCTACATAGAGAGCTTGCACAGTGGGGGCATTTATGTGAAAACAATTAGTACCCCATTAGGGGAAACATGAAGCCTGCAGGTCTGAGATGTTCTTGACTGCTTTGGGAACTTGGCATGTAGAAAGCTGGTAAATTAATACTCCGTGGAAGAGGATTCTTTACTTTAAAACATGTTGTCTATTATGTGACTCCGTGCTGCTGGTACCATTGTTATTTAAAGTAGACATTTTCATGTTTGTGCATTCTGTATGTGCATAGGGTATCCATTTACTGACAGAGAGATGAAAAGCTGATAATTCACATGTTTGTACATCAAAGATAGGGTGTTGATATAATGGTCCAGATAATCTTACACTTGAAGAAAGGCCAGGAGTAGAAAGTGATCTAACACAAAAAAGCATTAACGCCCTGAATTTTACATTGATTCTCCCTTATTTCAGCCCCAGAGCAACTCTCTGAATCAGATGATGCTGATAACTCCATTCTTAAGGCGAGGCTCCAGGAAGTTAAATAAGTTGTCAGTTGTCACAAAGCCACACTATATGACAGAATCAGGAGTTAAGCTCAGAAATTATTCCAGGGAGAAAAAATGCAATAAAATGAAAGGGAAAAGGCCTACGTTGTTTTGCAGTTTGTATTTAGATAAAATACTGTGGATAGCTTTGAAAGAAAGTGGAAAGAGACATACATATATATATTCATTCTACTTTTCTTATGTAATTTTTATCAATTCTATCTCAGCATACTATAACATATTCCATCATCCACAAAGCAGGAAGCCTGGGAAGACTGCTGGGTTTTTCTATACCTGGGGAAGAAAATACAAGTTGCTCATGAAAGTTGTAGCTGTGATAGCTCCCACATAATTCACACTACAGAGGCATTGACCCAGCTGGAAATGCAATGCATTATATAGAAATCAGCTGGTCCCTGCCTGGAAGAATATATGTTAATGGGAATATGTGACTCCAAGGAGAGTGCCTGGTATATACTAGACATTCAACATGTTGGCAGGATCTGAGCCTACAGCAATATAAAACCGACAACTTTATATTGTTTTGAAGTATCTGATGAACTCTTTATTTCTTGTTTCTAATTGAATTGTATTTAGATAGCGGTTTTTAGCCAAATTTTGCAGAGACGCTTCTGTATCCACCTGGGAAGTTATATGGGGGAAAGATTGTGTATAGGGGGCAGTGGTGTGTGTGGTGGGGGAGTGGGCTTCGCCATCCACCCTAGCTTATGTTAGAGCAGGTGGGCTATTTCTAATACATGCGACATTTCTAATACTGTGCTTGCATATTTTGAGTACTTAATTTTGATGTCAAGTCCTATAATACATCAGGGATTTAAGTGATTTATTTGAAACAATTCGTCACTTAAAAGATTATACTTAAAAGATTCAGATCCTTTATGATTTTTTAAAAATGATAAAAGATCCCCTGTGTTCTATGGTTATCAGAATTGAAGGTGATACAATATCTGAAAAGAAAAGAAATCATTATACGTCTCAGAGAGAAGTGTCACAAAGGAAATTTAATTCCTAATTTGATAAAAATGAAAAGAATCTGATTCTTTGATGATAAATCTTGAATCAGCTGGAGGCTGATTAATATATATAGAAGTAAGAGCAACTAAAAAGTGTTTTGACAGAAGCAGAAGACCTGGGGCTTATGTTGAAGTTTCTGATTATGTCCTCTAATGGTTCTGAAACATGGCTAGGAATGCCATTTATTTATTTGTTTCTTTGTTCACTTATTCATTCATATGTATTCTGAGGGGGAGTCTTTTTTTTTTTTTTTTTTCTTTGGAGACAGGGTCTTGCCTGTTGCTGAGGCTGGAGTGTATTGGAGCAATCACAGCTCACTGCAGCCCAACCCCCTGGACTCAAGTGATCCTCCCACCTCAGCCTCCCACATAGATGGGACTACAGGCACACACCATCATGCCTGGCTAATTTTTAAATTTTTTGTAGAGACCGGGTCTTGCTATGTTGCCCAGGCTGATCTTGAACTCCTGGGCTAAGGGAGTCTTAAAAGGTGTGCTGTTCATATTCTAGCCTAGTAATTGTGTTTGCAGTCATTGGTGTCACAGAAGTGCCACCTGCCTGTTGTTTCACTTGCCCTGTTACCACTTGCCTATTTTGCTAATGGTTTGCTACAGTTGACAAATGGTGTGTTTTGGTCTAGCTTCCAGCTCCCAGAGACCACAGGAAACACAGACAGGTACATGCTTGATCCTCCCAAGCTGCAGACATTCCTGGGCGTGTGTTGGGCAGTACACACTGTACTTCCTGTGTCATGCCCACATCCAGCTGTCAGGCCCTTACCCCTGAGGGCTTGGGGGATACATGGGAGAAGTTTGTTGATTTGGGCTCGAGGTCAAGCAGTCTATTTTAGAAACCTTAGGAGACTTAGTTTAAAAAGTATTAAAAGGTCTCATAAAAGAGAATTGTAAGGTTGGCTAGCAGTTGATTTGTTATGAGATGGAAGAGTCATACATTATCTTGGTATTTAATCAGTTAATAAATTGTTTCAATATGGTATATCCTTTTTTTCTTAAAGCAGTTTTCTTCCTAATAGCAAAGGATGCCAAGATTATTGCAATCTTTGGTAATCTCCTGTGAAATATGCCCTTTGCATTTCTTTTTATGAGTTTCCACCCTTGCCAGTATCAAGAAACAACAGAGCAGGGGAAGAAAAACATTTAGGGAAAATCACCAAATGCAGAGTCAGGAATCAAATTGAGATTTTCAGCTCCAAGTCTAGAATACCATGTTGACATTATAAATAGCCAACTAGGTATTTAATAGCTTATCACTAAGAGCTTGAGATTGTGGCTCCGGTTTTGAGACTCACATACGCCAAAAGCCAACTGTTAGGGAGCGACCCCTAAGGTGCACATGTATTACTGATTTATTTACACAAAACCTCATTCCATAAAGGAAATAAAGTGGTCTGCAACAATAACATGCACCGTGTAATAATGGTAGAATGTCATACCGAGGAACCAAAAGATAAAGATCAGGATAAAAGGCTGATACGAGCTTAACCAAAGGACTTCAAGTATGTTATGAGGGCTCAGACAGCTGTTACAATCCAGCCTCATATCTGGAAGCAAGCCAAACTGAATTCAAGTGTGAAGGGGGCCATGAGACAAACAGTAAGAAGCACAGAGCTTTCTCTGACAAAACATTTCATCTCTGAGTACTCAGAATTTTCGTTGCTCCTTTTTTTTTCTTTTTTCTCTTATTTATTTTTATTATACTTTTAAGTGTTAGGGTACATGTGCACATTGTGCAGGTTAGTTACATATGTATACATGTGCCATGCTGGTGCGCTGCACCCACTAACTCGTCATCTAGCATTAGGTATATCTCCTGATGCTATCCCTCCCCACTCCCACCACCCCACAACAGTCCCCAGAGTGTGATATTCCCCTTCCTGTGTCCATGTGATCTCATTGTTCAGTTCCCACCTATGAGTGAGAATATGCGGTGTTTGGTTTTTTGTTCTTGCGATAGTTTACTGAGAATGATAATTTCCAATTTCATCCATGTCCCTACAAAGGACATGAACTCATCCTTTTTTATGGCTGCATAGTATTCCATGGTGTATATGTGCCACATTTTCTTAATCCAGTCTATCATTGTTGGACATTTGGGTTGGTTCCAAGTCTTTGCTATTGTGAATAATGCCGCAATAAACATACGTGCACATGTGTCTTTATAGCAGCATGATTTATAGTCCTTTGGGTATATACCCAGTAATGGGATGGCTGGGTCAAATGGTATTTCTAGTTCTAGATCCCTGAGGAATCGCCACACTGACTTCCACAATGGTTGAACTAGTTTACAGTCCCACCAACAGTGTAAAAGTGTTCCTATTTCTCCACATCCTCTCCAGCACCTGTTGTTTCCTGACTTTTTAATGATTGCCATTCTAACTGGTGTGAGATGGTATCTCATTGTGGTTTTGATTTGCATTTCTCTGATGGCCAGTGATGGTGAGCATTTTTTCATGTGTTTTTTGGCTGCATAAATGTCTTCTTTTGAGAAGTGTGTGTTCATGTCCTTTGCCCACTTTCTGATGGGGTTGTTTGTTTTTTTCTTGTAAATTTGTTTGAGTTCATTGTAGATTCTGGATATTAGCCCTTTGTCAGATAATAAAATAAAATACTGGCAAACCGAATCCAGCAGCACATCAAAAAGCTTATCCACCATGATCAAGTGGGCTTCATCCCTGGGATGCAAGGCTGGTTCAATATATGCAAATCAATAAATGTAATCCAGCATATAAACAGAGCCAAAGACAAAAACCACATGATTATCTCAATAGATGCAGAAAAAGCCTTTGACAAAATTCAACAACCCTTCATGCTAAAAACTCTCAATAAATTAGGTATTGATGGGACGTATTTCAAAATAATAAGAGCTATCTATGACAAACTCACAGCCAGTATCATACTGAATGGGCAAAAACTGGAAGCATTCCCTTTGAAAACTGGCACAAGACAGGGATGCCCTCTCTCACCACTCCTATTCAACATAGGGTTGGAAGTTCTGGCCAGGGCAATTAGGCAGGAGAAGGAAATAAAGGGTATTCAGTTAGCAAAAGAGGAAGTCAAATTGTCCCTGTTTGCAGACGACATGATTGTATATCTAGAAAACCCCATTGTCTCAGCCCAAAATCTCCTTAAGCTGATAGGCAACTTCAGCAAAGTCTCAGGATACAAAATCAATGTGCAAAAATCACAAGCATTCTTATACACCAACAACAGACAAACAGAGAGCCAAATCATGAGTGAACTCCCATTCACAATTGCTTCAAAGAGAATAAAATACCTAGGAATCCAACTTACAAGGGATGTGAAGGACCTCTTCAAGGAGAACTACAAACCACTGCTCAAGGAAATAAAAGAGAATACAAACAAATGGAAGAACATTCCATGCTCATGGGTAGGAAGAATCAATATCATGAAAATGGCCATACTGCCCAAGGTAATTTACAGATTCAATGCCATCCCCATCAAGCTACCAATGACTTTCTTCACAGAATTGGAAATAACTACTTTAAAGTTCATATGGAACCAAAAAAGAGCCCGCATCACCAAGTCAATCCTAAGCCAAAAGAACAAAGCTGGAGGCATGACACTACCTGACTTCAAACTATACTACAAGGCTACAGTAACCAAAACAGCATGGTACTGGTACCAAAACAGAGATATAGATCAATGGAACAGAACAGAGCCCTCAGAAATAATGCCGCATATCTACAACTATCTGATCTTCGACAAACCTGAGAAAAACAAGCAATGGGGAAAGGATTCCCTATTTAATAAATGGTGCTGGGAAAACTGGCTAGCCATATGTAGAAAGCTGAAACTGGATCCCTTCCTTACACCTTATACAAAAATCAATTCAAGATGGATTAAAGACTTAAACGTTAGACCTAAAACCATAAAAACCCTAGAAGAAAACCTAGGCATTACCATTCAGGACATAGGCATGGGCAAGGACTTCATGTCTAAAACGCCAAAAGCAATGGCAACAAAAGACAAAATTGACAAATGGAATCTAATTAAACTCAAGAGCTTCTGCACAGCAAAAGAAACTACCATCAGAGTGAACAGGCAACCTACAAAATGGGAGAAAAATTTTTCGTTGCTCCTTAAATCACTCATTTCACTGCACACTAGACAGCAAAATAGTTTAATCCTACTAATTTGTCTCTATATCAAATCACCACTCATTGTTAGAGAAAGGGGCCTAAGCAGGTAAGTTTTGTTGGCCAAAGAAGGTCAGGTCAGGAGCTTAGCACCTGGAAGCTGAGTCCAGGCAGGCAACCCGAAAGGCTTGGAACCTGGGCAGGGAGACAGAAGTATGAAGCCAAGGAGCTCTGATGACAAATGTGATCTACATCACAGTTTTTGTCTTTGTTTTCTAGCATTGGTCCTAGTGTCATTGATTGCAAAGTACAAGTAAGGAAAGGATTTATAATTGCTTTGTAGAGAAATATATACTCTCAGTTCTAAGAAAAGAAAGAAAGTAGCTAAGAGTGCTCTCTTTCTACACAAGAAGATACAGAAAACTTTTTGATGTTAGGTATAACAGGATCATTCTAATAAGTCCACGTTAAGACCCAGGGAAACAAAGAATTCAGGTGAGCATGATTTTATTTCCCAGTGATATAGTTTGGCTCTGTGTCCCCACCCAAATCTCATCTCCAATTATAATCCCCATGCAGGGAGGGAGGGACTTTTAATCCCCAGGTGTCAAGGGAGGGAGGTGATTAGATCATGGGGGTGGTTTCCCCAATGCTGCTCTCATGATAGTGAGTTCTCACAAGATCTGACGGTTTTATAAGGGGATCTTCACCCTTTGCTTTCTCCTTTCCCTCCTGCTACCATGTGAGACATGCCTGCTTCCCCTTCCGCCATGATTGTAAGTTTTCTGAGGCCTCTGCAGCCATGCAGAATTGTGAGTCAATTAAACCTCTTTTCTTTATAAATTACCCACTGTGAAAATGGACTAATACACCCAGTCCTTCACAAACTTTCATGTGTCAAATTGTGACGCAAGGAACAGGTATCTGCAAATGACCTCAGGTGCCCATTTTGTGTTGCCTTGACAAAGATTCACTGGTACTGAGGGCTTACCCTCTACTAGCGGGAGATGCTGTGCCCAAGCTCAGCTTCTCTCATCTGGCATCTATACCCAGACCACCTAGCATGCAGAAGTCTCTCTATACTCCCTGTAAGAAGGCCACTTTCTCATGTATACCCTTAAAAACGGTATAGAGATGGGGGCGTGGGTTCCTTTAATGGAATGCAAGCCATGCTGCTTGTCCAGCAGAGTGCCTTGGCCCACATGGGGACAGTGGGTGACCCCAGCCTCCTCTGCTGTTGTGGAGCCTAGCTGTGCAAGTCTCCATTTTCTACACTAAAGCCCTTTCCTTAACTCATACTTTGAGGCTTCATGGCGTTCCCTCTAAGCTCCACGCATGACAGGTTGCAATCCATAAGAGACTCAAATTTAGAACAACTGTTCTGAAGCCAACAGAAATGGGAATCTTTTAGAGCCTAGGTTTACATTGTGACCCAGAGGTCTGTTGAATAACAGCAAAATGGCATTTTCTTTATTATTAAAAATTCTCTTGTGTTCAGGGTTAATTCTCATCATGAAGCTAAGTGACTCTTCTTAGGCGCCATGATTTAGCCTCACAGGGTAAAATGCTCCCTCTACTTAAATTCTCATCTCATTACTGTTAATTGTGTTTTTCTCTGTAGGTAAGTACTAACTAGGCCATAAAAAGAAGTGCTTCTGGTCAAATTTCATATTGACTCTGAAGTGAATGATGTGGCACACTGTAGAAGGCCTTGTCAATGCAATCGCTGTCACTAATGATTATTTCTCCAGCTCAAGGAGGTGCTCTGCTGGGCTGGCTGCATGCTGAGTGAATTCTTGCATTGGTGACAAACACAGGCTCTAATGTCATGAAAACAGTGCAGTCTTATGCAAGTGTAAGTCATCACTGGGTTAGTATTCTTTTTATTGTTGTTGGAACATTGGTTAATTCAATTCTGTCTCTGAATTGAACTTTAACTAGGATTTGTTTTTATGACAACTAAGAGCATTGCTCATAAATGAAGAAAAATGAGGATTGAAATGGTTCTCACAAGTCTTTCTTTTAACGTTGTGTCTGAATATAGTAGAATTGTGTGGTTCTTGTGGTTGTTTCAGCACAGTTTACTATGTAGGTTCAAATAGTTCCTGAGTCCATAATGTCCCCGAAAATAGAACATCTGCTTATACGAAGCCTTATATTGCATATTAAGCCCATTTAGGTGTATTCAGCTCTATATATCTACCACTTTCAACATTAACAAAGGATTTTGAGTTTTAGACAAAAATCTAAATCATTAAGTGGAATAAAAAACAGTGCTATTTAAGTTGAATTGCTATAAACATAAATATTATGTAATAGATCGAGGATTATACATTGCAGGAAGATTTTATTTTTGTACCCCTAGGTGCACAGAATTTTATTGATATTCATCATAATCTTTGGTTCAAGAAACATATGGTTCAATATTTTTAATAATATAATGAACATCCAGGAACCCACTGCCCAACCCCAGAGCAAGAACATCGCCAAAAGTAAAATCTATTGTTACTATTACTCTTTATTAACTTGTATTGTCCCCTACTTGTTGTTTTAATTATCATCATCATCATAATTTTATTGAGGCTGAGCAACACCAGCACATAGATTTTTGAAATATATCAGTTATTAAATTTTACTCACAAGCTATGTAAACTGCATGCTGCAGAAGATTAAGCTAATACAACCAATACTGCACATTTGTGGTCAATCAAAAAATATCACACTCCTTTAGGAGTTCTCTATTTGCAACTGTAGCCTAAACTGCAGACCTTGTGAGAGAATTCTGCTCCTAGCAGGTATCAATATCCCACATCCCTGAGCCTGTGTGACTGTGTAGTTGCCATCTCGGTTCTTCCACCTATTCATTTATTCAGAGGAAATTTTCTGAGCATCAGACACTGGGCTTTTTACCAGGGTTTCAAACACAAAATGGGGGAGGCCTAGTTGCGGAGAGATTGTTGTAATTTGACGTAATAAGTATGAGAAAAGCTGTGTGCTAAGGAGGTGGTTTGAGCAGGAGAAAGGAAACGTACTTCTTTCTGTTCTGGGAATGTTAGGGAAGGCAGCCAGAGAAGTTGATGTTGACATGAGGATTTTCCTGATGAAGAAGAGGCGGAAGTTTAACACAACACTGAATAAAGTTACTTTAATGGAGAATGGGGAGGGAGATTTGAGATGACTCTTCTTCCTCCTCTGAAAGCCTGCTAGCTTTGTCCAGTTGTTTTCACCTGCCACTAGTCAGAGAAGGAAAGACTTCAAACTTCAAAATACTCTGAGACCCCATCCCTTAGTTGGGGTTTCTTTTGTGCAGATGCTATTGGAGCTCAGGTTTTTTTGAACAAATGGAAAGATATACTTGTACTGTCTCAGAATGTGCCATGTATAAATATAATGAGCAGCAAGCATATAGTTGGGAGAAGCCACTGTGGATCCAACATCTTTACTAACCCCAAGGATAAAAGACTGTCCTATAATTATCAGTGATATTACAGTGCCGTTCCAGAAGTAGCTGCCCTTCTGTCTCTTAAGCAGGTACACAGTTTTGTCTTTTCTCCAATGGAAGTACAAAATGCATTTGGAAAACTCCCAAGAACCAAACAGAGCCATGTCCCCTGAGTCTCCTACCTCATCTGCTTACTGGAGGTAATGGGGGAAAGACTAGTAACCAAGGATTAGAAAATCACATTTGGAGTCTCTATAATGATGCCGTGGCAACAATTCTTTGTTTCTTATAGTAATTGAGTCAAAGGCTTATAGTAATATGATTCTACAGCCAGAGCAGACAGCAGATTTCTGTGGACCTTACTCTCTCAATTAGATTTCTGTGGCTTAGCCACAGGAAACCATCAGAGGTTAAAGACTTAATTTTTCTCAATGGTGTGTCCTGAAGAAAAATGATCAGTATGCAGTTTTCCTACTGTCTCTATGTCTTGTAACATTTTAGTTTATCTTCCCTTTCCTGCCATTGTCATTATGGCTATTATTATTATGGTTGTGATAAATGGGCTGATGGTGTCCTTGTTCTCACTTTCTGGGATTATCCTCTAGTTTGAAGAGTCTGCCCTGTGTGCTGGGAGACACACAGTTCATCCAGACTGACCCCAAATCTTCTTTAATGGGCATGGGTTAGATTCACAAAGTTCATTTTCTCTTCCCCTTCATAAACCTTAGTTTTAAAATCACCCCCATCTGGTGGTAAATAAATTCATTCAGAAGATTCATTTAAATTTCCTCTCAGCAGATGGAAACAATGGACTTTTGTGGACTGTGCCGAAAGTTATTTTCAGTTTTCAAAAACACCAACCAGTACTCGTGGGCAAGGGTAAGATATAACAAGACAATGAGTGGTAAGGTGCAGGGCATGATCTATTTGATACTTGGAAGATGCTTGGAGGGTTCTTTTCCATGCTTTATAATCTTGAGAGCATTAGAATGGTGTTACCTTATTTTCCTTCTTCTGACTCCGTGGGGGCCCTATAAGGTGAAGATTTGGATATTCTGCATTTTGCCGAGCAATGAAAACTTAACCGTCAGGAGCTGTGCCCTGAGAACCGGTCATGATTTGTAATGACACCTGCAGAAAATCATAGGGAGGGCTGGAAACCAGAAAACCACGATTCAATTTCTGCATCTCCCTTTGATTCCAAAGGCAAATGGCACAGGATTTTTTAAATTCATTTCACTTATTGTGATGATTAATTTTATGTGTCCACTTGACTGCCCAGAGAGCTGGTAAAACATTATTTCTGGGTGTGTCTGTGAGGGTGTTTCTGGAAGATATTAGCGTTGGAATTCTAATAAAGAGGATCTGTCCTCACCAATGTGGGTGGGCATCATCCAATCCATTGGAGGCCCAAATAGAACAAAAAGGCAGAGGAAGGATGAATTCTCTCTTCTCAAGCAGAAACATCCATCTTCTCCTGCCCTCTGACATCAGAGTTCCTAATTCTTGGGCTTTTGGACTGCAGGACTTAACAACAGCAATTCTCAGGCCTTTGGCCTTGGACTGGGAGTTACAGCATGGTCTCGCCTGGTTTTTGAGCCTTTGGACTCAGACTGAATTACACTCCTGGCTTTCTTGGTTTTCTACCTTGCAAATGACAGGTGGTAGAATTTTCTGGCCTCCACAATCTTGTGAGCCAATTCCCATGATAAATCTCCTTTGAGGTGTCTCCCACTCTCTTTCTCTCTTTCTTTCTTTTCTTTTCTTTTCTTTTCTTTTCTTTTCTTTTCTTTTCTTTTCTTTCTTTCTCTCTCTGCCTCTCTTTTCTTGTTGGTTCTGTTTCTCTAGAAAATCCTTACTAATACACTTATGCCAGTTTTTTGTTTATTTATAGAAGTGAGTGGATGACTCAGGTTTACCTCTTCTACTTTGTGAGACAAGGTACAGAAAGTTCCTGTTCCTCACACCCACTAAGGGTGGGGAAAGACATTTATCACTATCTCTTCCCTTCTTTCTTAGGACACAAGTTCACAGAAAAAAAAAAAAACCATGAAAAATCTCCCATGAGTTATCTTTGAGTTACCCAAGAGCTTCAATAAGCTTTCCCGAGTTCCTTACAAATCCTCACACATTGGATTCTCTTTGCAACATTATGATGTAGGTGTGATTATGATTCCCGGTTTGTAGACGAGAATACTGAGGCACAGAAGGGTAAAGTAATTTTCTTAAGTTCACACAGCTAGTGAGATGTGGAACAGGGATTCAAACTAAATAGTTTATTATGGATACCCCACCCTCAGTCTCTACACTTGGCTGGTTCTTCTCTAGTATTTCTTAGATAAATATATGCCACACGTCTGTTTAAAAAGCAAAGAAGCCGACATGCACGTACAACTTCTTTATTATCTGAGGTGACTGGTAATTTTGTGCCCACCGTTTTCCAAGTACAGTGAGCCCTGATCCTAACTAAGGCCACTGACAATTTGGAGGGTGCCACAAACAATATTGTTGGCTGTTTTGTTGATCAGCCTACCCTTCCTAAGATTTAGGAAAATTGTGTCCATAAGCTCAAACCCCAAAAGTATTAATGAATCAAAACAAAATGAACAGGCTTCTCAATTGTAAACTCCAAAGGAAAGTATAGAATAAGCAATGGCGGTGTTTTGATAGTCAAGGTCAAAGAATTCATTTCCTTTTTCAGAATGAACCACTTTTACTGTGTCAGACTTTATAGTCTTGTATAATTTATGTACTCCCCTGATGTTGGAGGTTCATGGAAATTCAATGAAATTGCTCTAGGAAACCATAATCATCGATTTATTGAATTTTGGATCCTCCTCTGGGGATTATGTTTAATGCCCCCTTTTACAATTCCAGTGTTCTATGTGACATCTGAGCAATGAGTATTTTCCCCTAATGTGGTATTAAGATTACAGACCCAAATTGTGTTGATGTGTAGCAAAATGACAGTTATTTGTTGACTCATTTGACTGTCCTTGTCTTGGACTCTATGTTCCAGTATAGGGTAGGAAATAAATTGCTGAAATGTCTATTCTCTCTGAATTTCAGAAAACAAATTGCAACAGAGACCTATCCCAAATTAAGTGTACTTCCTGTTTTCCACTTAATTTGGAAGTTTCATTTAATCTAATAATAATGCTTTCTGGGCATGAAATTCCACAGCTCCCCGCTGTAAAAGACAACATAGGTAAAGATGCTAGCTGGTGAGTGAAAATAGCTCAGAAATGGGTAAAAAGCTAATGTATCATGAGTATCTACTGTGTGCTAGGAATGATACTAGCGCTTTATAGTATAAAGCCAATTCTCAAACCAATCCTATTAGACGGTTAGTAATCACATCATTTTATGACTAAAGAAAGCAATATTCTAAGACTTTGAGTATTTTCCCCATAGGTTCAAGTTAAATAAGGACTGAGGCTGAGATGCAAATATGGGTCAGCCTGTTGTAACATGTGTTCTTCTTCCATCAAACAATGCCCACCACGAGTCAGAAGATCTGGATTTGTTCATTCATCCATTTATTCCACAGATTTTTTCTTGAGCACCTACTATGTGCCAGTTACTCTTCTAGTCTCAGCAGTTCAACAGTATTCAAGATAGAAATTCTGACTTTTCTAAATCCTTGCCTTCAAGGTGGTGATGAGGGGCAGGTTGAGGGGAGACGATACACAATACACAAATAAATAAAATTTATAATATACGTTCTTATGAAAATAAAACAATGAGATTTCCTCTAGATTGAATGGTCAGGGAGCACCTTGTTGAACAGGTGGCATGGCGAATTTGATCAGAAGGAGCAGCTATCAGGGAGAAGAGCTTCCAGGTAGAGGGCACAGCTTGTATAAAAAGACCCTAAGGAGGAAATGTGTACATGGGCAACTGAAAGAAGGAAAGGGTGGTGAAGCACGCTGAGCAAGGGGAGAGCAGGCAGGAAATGTGGCTGGAGAGGTATGTGGTGCTCACATCATGTATAGCCTCACTGGCCAGAGGAACATGTTTGGACTTTTAATGTGTTACAGGAAGCACCTGGAGGGTGCTAAACAGAGGACTGATATAACTTGTTCATTTCTGAAATCCAAAGAATGGGTTAAAGGGGGAAGTGTGGAATTGAGAGGACCAGTTAGGTAGTTATAATACTAACAAGACAGACAAAAGTCGCTGGTGCCTCCACCAGGGTGGTGGCAATGGAGATGGGGAAAAGTGGACTATTTAGAAAGGAATCCTGGAGACAGACTCATCAGGACTAGGTGGTGCCTCTATATGCTAAGTTTTGTTGCACAGGAAATGGGGGACTTTTCAAAGTAGTATCGCTGGGCATCAACCTTGTAAAAATGAAGACTAGTTGGATTCCAGTTGTTTAAGTCTAAGTTTCACAATAAGCAGTTGTAAAATATAACAGGGAGGAGGTTCCATTCACATAAAAGCAGACATGAAGAAAGCGAATGCATTATTGAGAGAAGACAAAGAAAACCCGAATATGTAGACACACTTTGCTTTTCCTGGAAGGAACAATTTACTCAAATTATAAGGTTATCAGTTCTTTCGAAATTATACCAATAGTGTAACAAAATTCTAACCATAAAAAATTTTTTTTGAAAACAGAATAATTTTTAAATACATTTAAATGAATAAACAGTTGGTAATAATGAAGAGAAAACTGCCATCTGAGACATTAATATGGCTTATAAAGCTATAATAATGAAAATAGATAATAGTGGCATAGGAATCAGGACAAAAGTCTATGAAATGGAGCAGTAATTCTAGATATAAACAGAACTATATATAATGTTTTAGTATAAAATACAGATCTAATTTTAAATGAGTTATGGATTGACAGATTGTATAGTAAATATTGTTGTGACATTTGGCTTAATAAATTACATCTTACATCAAAAAATGCTGCATAATTTAAACATTTCAATTTAAAAAATAGTTTGGAAGTACAAGAAGAAAATTTAGGTGAGTATTTTTATAACTTTGAAGTAGAGATTCTTTTTAAAGATATCAACAATAGAAATCAAAGAAGAAAGACAAAAATTTAAGTTATCTGCAATTAAAACAATTAAAAATTAAAAGAAAATGAAATAATCTGGGGAAATATACTGGACACATTATTTTGGCAAGCAATTACTATACAACAAGCCCTGAAAGAAAAATAAACTATTGACATGAGTAGGGATTTCACAAAAGGCGTGATACTAATCCCAAAGAACATAGGAAAAATGTTTCACCCAGTAATAATTAAGGAAGACAAATAAAGCGTCGGTGAGATCTTATTATTTCCCCATTCAAATTGGCAAAGACGATAAAATGCCTATATCCAATGCTGATAATTGTGTGCAGAAAAGGGGGGTTTAATACATTGCTGTGGGAATGAACATTCATATACTTTCGCCAGGGAATTTGGCAATATGTGAAAAATGTACATTTCGTTTCTAGGAATTTATCCTAAAGAGATAAAAGTGTGTGTAAGAATGTACCTGTTAGAATATTTATCACAGTACTCTGTATAAGACCCATGATGTCCAAGAATTGCTTACATACATTATGGTACAGGGATAACCATGGAAACCAGTATTAAATATGATGTGGTAGAAATGTATTTATTGATGTAGAAAGACCTCCACAAGGTATTTCAAATGAAAATACAAAGCTTATACAACAGTACATGAAGCATGATCTCCATCCTCCTTTTTTGTTAAATTGTGAATATATGTAGAGTGTATGTTTGTAGAAGAGATTTTGTAAAGTTATCCCTGAGCGAATATGGATATACAGCTGACCTTGAACAACACAGAGGGTAAGAGAGCTGACCCCAACCACAGTTGAAAATCCTAGTATAACTTTTGATTCCCTCCAAATTTAGCTATGAATAGTCTACTGTTGACTAGAAGCCTGACTGATAGCATAAAGAACTGATTAACACATATTTTGTATGCTATATGTATTATATACTACATTCTTAAAGTAAGCTAGGGAAAAGAAAATGTTAAGAAAATCATAAGGAAGAGAAAATATATTTACCATTCACTGAGTGAAAGTGGGCCATCATAGAGGTCTTAATCATCATCATCTTGTTGAGTGGGCTCAGGAGGAGGAAGAAGGGAAGGGTTTTGGGCGTGCTGTCTCTGGAGTGGCAGAGGGGAAAGACAATCCACTTGTAAGTGGGCCCATGCAGTTCAAACCATGTTGTTCAAGGGTCAGCTATAGTTGTTTTTGTTCTCCTTTTTAATGTGGCTAATTAAAAAAATTTCTATTATCAACCTATTTGAAAGTGTGGGCTCTGGATTCAGGTGGACCTGTGTATATCTTGACACCAGGAGAGTTAACTAACATAACCTGAAGCTTTCAACTATAAAACGTATATGCAGTTGTACACAACATAATGACATTTTGATCAATGACAAAATGCTTATACATAGGTGTATCATATGCTTATACATAAGATTATAAAGGAGCTGAAAAATTTATATCACACAAATACTTACCATTGTGTTACTATTTCCTTACACTATTTAGTACAGTAACATGCTGTGCGGGTTTTCAGTCTAGGAGCAATAGGCTGTACCATATAGCCTAGGTGTGTAGTAGGCTATATACCATCTAGGTTTGCATAAGTATACTCCACGATGTTTGCACAACAACAAAATTGCGTAACAATGCATTTCTCAGAACATATCCCTGTCATGAAGTGACTCGTGACTATATTTCTTATTTCTCGCCTGTGTCAAAGAGTGTCACCATGCAGGTTGCCAACAGCCAGGGCAATGCAATGATCACTTTGGGAGGATGATAAAACTACCCTGAAATTACTGTTTCAGGGTATAATTCCTGAGAGTGCCACATCCTCTACAGTTTCAGTTGATCAGCTGGGAAACTAGTTGATTTTGGAGAAAAATAGGCTAGGAATAGCATCTGTAAACACTTTTAAGTAGTTTTAATGTTTTCCTACATGATGGATAAGCAAGATATAGCATATTAAAGCAACAGCGAGAGAATTTAAAAATTTGATTTGCTTCAAAGGGTTTGTGATACAAACACAGTGCATGTGATTCCTTCTGAAATATGCCCTGAAAGGGGCAGGAACCAGTCTGTGGGTTATTTATCCCCAAAGGTGTCTTTGTTCAGACCCATGGTCACGCCATTCATGTTTCAAGAAATAATATTTTCCAAAGTGGTGCCTCTTAAGCTTTTGTTTAGTTATACTTCTAGTTCTCTGGGGCTGAAGGTAAGAAGGGAGGATTAATTATGCCTCAGATGAATGTCCTTTTGCCATTAAACTCTTGGCTCCTTACTCTGCTTTTCTTCTCTTGCTCAATTTCTTCTTTCTTCACCTTATCTGTGAAACACATTAATCTCCTATTATCAGTTTTTCATGCAGTAATAGATAGACTTGACTGTTATTGAGGAATGCTTTATCCACACTTTTTTCATATTTTTCATGTGCATAAATGCATTCTCCCATCTGAAGGTTGCAGGGAGCAGGGTGATCATGAGTTATAGAACCTCTTTGTCTAGCCAAGGAATGCCACCAGAATTTTTAAAGGAGCTTCCCCTCTAGTCCTTTAAGCTAAGAAAGTGGGTGAGTCTGGGAATGGCCTGTAGATTTTTTTTTTTTTTTCCAACAGGCATTCATTTTAGTTGCAAGAGAAGAACTGGAGCCAGTGAAATATATACAGGCTGAGAAGTGGCTTATTTGAGTTAATATGGAAAAATAGAAAATAATGGGAACTAGGTCAAAAATGGCAAAAGGGATTATAGCTTAAATGGAGACAGGCTTCCAGACAATGAAGGGAAGAGGGTCTGGTAGTAATAGTGTCTATAAACCCATACCCACCAGCTTCACATCTGGTGGTAAGTAGGAGGCCAAAGGAATACTGTGATGAATCGACAGATGACAAAAATGGAAATGAGAAAGAGTTGTTAGGCTCTGCGGAGCTGGATGGACGTACAGAGGATGAGGAGGGCTTGAGTTAGGAGAATGCAGGGGAGCTTCTTTTCCAGTCTCTTCATGGGTGGCCAGGTGATTGACACACAGGAGATGAGAGGGAGGCAGAATGGTAGATGGAAGGAATGGTGAGAGGATGGGCATGGGATTTCCTGTTGCAATGACCTGCTGGGAGTTCAGGTGTCACCATCTGTGACTTCTTCAGATACTCCAGTTTTTCCCCCTGTAAGCCTTGTGGCTTTCCTGTCACTGTTAATTTGCAGCAGTCTCCTTGAAACCAGACGCCAGGAAGAAGTCAACTACTAAGTAGGGTCCTTCTTAGCTAGGACCCCTGTATCTTCCCTAATATCCTGTTACTCAGTCTTTTTCCCTCCAGCCTCCTGCCTCCCAGGGAGGCCATGCATGCTCAGACATGACAGCCTTTAGGACTTTAGCACTGATTCTCCAAGCTTTGCCAGTCTTTTCCATTATTGAACCAGGACACATACCAGCTGGGTTTAAGAGAGCAGCTGGATGCCTTTCAAGACTCATCTGAACTTCAGCTGCAGTGTATTTTTTGTGTGTTTGTCTACATTAGGGATGTCTGTTCATGCTGGGAAGCTGAGCAGGAATCCTTTCTTTTCTACTTGCTCTGCAGAACGCCATGTGAAGGAGTATCCAGTCAATACTCTAAGGTAGTTAGGATTCCTACAGAAACAAGGGAATGGACTGTACAAAAATAACCGAAGGATCAAATATAGACATGCTGAGCTCTGGAATATGAATTCAAATGTGGCTCTTTGGCATTTGAAACCAGTACGATGTCCCAGAAGGATGAGGAAAACCCAGTCTGTAGAGTGCTTTTGTCAAGTCAGTCCCCAGCAGGGTTGGGTTAATGCTCTGAGGCTTCCTAAGGTGTAAGAGAAATATCAAACAGCCAAGCTTAGCAAGGTCCATCCTAAGGGAGGGGCATGAGTTCTCATGGATCAACTGAAATGCTCATAGTTCCTTTACCAGTAATGACTTAGGCACTGGCCCCCAAATGTGAGGACAATTCTTACTGTGAGGACAATCAGATAGCTCACATGGACTGTGTCTCCTGATAAGCCTTCATGACAGTTTGATGCCTGGTTATATGACAATGGATGTTGTGATTCTGAGATTTCTTACATGTTTGTCTTTCAGAGTGCTTCCTAGTTACCAAGATATGCAGTCTCAGCCAACTCTTTAAAAACTAAAGTTAATTTATTCAATTGGAAATAAGCACCATCTAAGGCATTGAGAGATAAAGCCATGAAGAAAAACCCCATAGATTCTTGCTTTCAAGTCTCAGACATTCTTGTAGGTGGTGAGGGGAAATGCATAATTAATAAGTTATTGCCTAGATAGTATAATAAATGGTGATAAGCACTAAGAAAAATAAAGGCAAGAAGGGCTTAGAAAGTGTAGGGAGGGTTGACTTTGATTGTCTTAAAATATTCAGGTGTTTAGCAGTACACAGACACAATTTTTGATGTCTTGGTGATTATTTTCAAGTTATATTCAGTTTGGGTGAATAATATGAGATTTTCATAACACATAATTTTCAAAGCACTTTCATGTTTATTATTTCCACAAACTTTGCCTTCACCAGTCTCATGTAGATAACTATCTTGCTCCATTCAGGCTCAGATTTGAACTATATTAAAGGTAGTCTTTACAATGTATTTAGGTGATTACTGAAAAAATGCTGTGTTCCACCTTATGACTGTCTCATAGTGAACTGCATCAAGCATTCCTTCAGGAAGCCTAAGAATGAGACATCTCCCCAATGGCCTGGTGGATTGTTAAGAAGCTCTGGAGTAGGGAGTTGTTGAACACATCGGCATGCCAGTGTTCTATTACATGGCCTGGGATATTTTTGAGGATAATCTTCTTCCTCCTTCATGGATTTGGATCATGTAAGTGACAGAGAGACCCTGCAGACCATCACAGTCACATATGTGTGGACATTTCACAATGATTGTCATGCCCAGCCTCTGATACTCCAGCTCAGCTGTGCATTTCTCCTTGGTTGTCCTACTTTTCATATCAAATTCAACTTGTCTAAATGAAGCTCATCCTCCTCTGCTGGACCCTTTCCATCTGGCTTTTCCTTTCGAATCTTAAATCTTGGAGGATTCTTTACATCCCCTACCACACCTCCCCACCAACCTAATTAGAAATCTGCTCATTTTCCTGTCCTTTCTTCTAATTGCCTGTGGGCCAGTTCAGGACTTACAAACTCTGAACACACATGTGGTGAATGGTGATAGTCTCCACCTCTCTGGTCACCTCAATGTCAATTTCAATCTTCTGTTCCTTCTGTTTGGCCTCCCATCCTCTGTGGGCATAAACCTCATGCCCTAATTAGACCAATCTGAAAATGCCTGGCAGGTTTCCATTTTCTGTGCGCTTTGCTTATCACCCCTCCTGCTGGTCCCCAGTTAGGAGAATAAATTTCCCTTCTCTCTGTCCTCTCTAAATTTGACTCATCTTTCAAGATCTTGCTCAAATACAGCCTTCTCAAAGATAGGGTTGCTAGATAAAGTACAGAACACTCAGTGACATGTGAATTTCAGATAAACAAATACTTTTTTTTTTTTTTACTATAGGTATTTCTTAAACATTGCATGGGACATGTACTAAGAAAGCATTTGTTGCTTATCTGAAATTGAAATTTAACTAGGCATCTTATATTGTAATTTGCTGTATCTGGCAACTCTTCTCCATGAAGTACTCTTTGACTACTCTGTCCTTCACAGAGCTTGGTTTTCGTCTCAGTGCAGGGCCTGCAGCACTTACAACCTTGAATCTTTTTACAAGAAAGTAGAGTGTAACTAGAAAATTAAAAATGAGCACTGGAGCCAGGTGCAGTGGCTCATGTCTATAATCCCAGCACTTTGGGAGGCTGAGGTGGGAGGATCTCTTGACTCCAGGAGTTTGAGACCAGCTTGGGCAACATAGGGAGAACCTGTCTCTACAAAAAATAAAAATTCAGCCAAGCATGGTATGTATGCCTGTGGTTTCAACTACTTGGGAGGTTGAGATGGGAAGATCACCTGAGCCCAGGAGGTTGAGGTTGCAGTGTGACATGATCACACCACTGCACTCCAGCCTGGGCGACAGAGTGCGATCCTGTCTCAAAATAAATAAATAAATAAATAAATAAATAAATAAATAAAGCACTGTTTTTATTCTTTAATTCAGATGTTACTGAAAATCTACTATGTTCCAGGAAGGGTGTAAGGCAGTATGGACACAAGGATAAAGCATGGTCTTTGTTCTCAAGAATCACCTAGTGCAGCAGGCCCCACCAGCACACAATTATGTAGTAGCATATTGGTAGCCACTGGTGTTCACTATGCTTGCATAAGCTTGAACTTGAAGGATGACTAGATGTGGGGGAGCCAGGACGAAGGTCATTTTGGGCTGAGAGAGAAATATGTGCAAAGGCCCGGATGAGGGAGAAATTATGGAATGACCAGGAATTTGAAAGAAATTCATTGTCACTTGAGGGGGAGTGTGAGTCGTATAAGATAACGCAGTGGTATGTCTGCAGGTATGCTTGTTAAACATTTACCAGCATATCCCTGAAGATGAGGTTTGGAAGGTGGACAAAAAACCAGATCATGAAGATGTTGCATGTCATGCTCAGGAGGCTGAGTTTTATCCTGAAAGCCATGGAGAGCTATTGGACCATTTAGGGTAGAGGCACGCTCAGATTTAGGTTTAGAAAGATAACTCAGAGAATGGACAAGATTGGCATCAGGGAGACAAACTGACAGGCAGCTGCGGTGGTCAGGCCAGAGCTATTGAGGGTGGTGGCATTGGGGTGGAGGCAAAACATTCAAGAGATGCTAAGGGTGTATCATCAACAGGGCCCAGTGGCCAAGTTGGATATGCATGGTGATAAAGGGGGAGACCTGGTCTTTTCTGGCTTGGGCAACTGTGGGGATAGCAGACACATGCCTCAAGTTAGAGGATATGGAAAGATAAGCAGGCTATGGGCATGAGGATTATGAGGAGCTCTGTCTAAACTTGTTTTATCTCATATTTGGCATTTACTATATTTTTTGTTGTATTTTGTTACTCATCCTTTTAGGTGGACTCTGATCCTTCTGAGGTCCTGGATCAGATTAACCAACGTGGGTATGCCCCGCACCTTTCACTCATTACCACCCCTCAAAAGGTCACTTTGCCAAACATGAGTACATGGCCCCCACGCTAAGCCTGTGAGCAGCTGCAAGCCATATCATCTGCACAGTTGAGCACGGCAGGAACTTTGAACCAGGACCCAATTTCACCCTGAGGATGTGCTTCTCCTCTGAGGGGAGCAAAGCCCCTGGCTTGACCTGGCTCCCTTCTGGGAGGGAGGACCACGTCTCAATTTGACAGCAGGAGGCTGTAGGTCAGTGGGGTGATGACCTGGCCCTGGGAGACCTGCTCTTTCTCTCAGCAGAACCCCATAAATCCTTCAAAAGGAAGTAAGTAATTCCCTCGGGATCAAGAGAGCCCTCCGCATTCTTGAAATAAATGAAGGCAAAATGTACAGGGATTTCTGAGAAAAGTAAATGTGGTGTGAGCATGATCCCTGGGTGTTACTATGCACAGAAAAGGCTTTTTTTTTTTTTTTTTCCCCTCTCCTGAATGGTGTTCTTTGCTCTCAAGTGAACTCATGCACTGGATTTGGTCCAAGTACATTTTGTTTCTTGATTTCCAGCCAGGCTTCTCTCAGTTGTGATGCATTCTCTTCTTTGCTTCCCTCCTTCCCCAGTCCTGTTCTCTCTTTTTATAATGCTTTCAACTTTTCCATGTGACTGAACCAACACAGAGGAAAACCCACCAGCTTAGGTAGGGCTTCCACAAGAGTGGGGCCAGAGGGACTTCTTTGTGAACGGCCAGCCCCTCACGCAGCCCCGGCCTGCACGGCGAGGTTTGTCTGAGGCAGCTGAAGCAGAAAGCATTTGAACTCTGCCCTCTACCAAATGATTTCCAGATGTGTAAACCCCAGCCTCCCGCTGCACTCTGACTGTAGCCCTGCCAACGTACATCTGCAGATTCCTAGTGCACAGGAAACTTGAAAGAGTATCTTTACAACATCTGCTGTCTTTTCCCAGCTCTCCCTCTCTGCCTTCTCGGACTTTGCCCCGTATTTTATATCCTCTCTTCAACAAATCCATTAGAGAACTGCTGCACAGCCCTTCTTGGCTCACAGATGCCAGCTGTCTGTTTCACCCCAGAGCCTGTTCTTGGCTCTCTCAAGCACCACTAGAATCATTGACCGAAGCACCACTAGAATCATTAAAGAAGCTTATTGGGCTCATGGAGGGGAAAAAAAGGACCAAGTTTTCTCCATTGGATTGGTGCCAGTCTACAAGCTGCAAAGGGAGATTTAGCCATAAGGAGGTCAGAGCAGAGCCCTAAAGATGGAAACACGAGTTTGCATGGAGAGTTTGCCTGCTATACCTGAGAGAAGGTGAGGTCTGCTTATAGGGGGAACTTTTTTCCATGGACATTCAGTTTCTTGGAACAAACAAGGCAGGCTTCTGTAAAATGGGAAGTATTGATGTACAGAATGAGTTCCTTGCCTTCCCCTTCCCTAGGGCATGCTACCCATCAAGCTAAGAGGCCAGAAGAAGATCTTTTTATAATGTAACTCAAAGGAGGGGAGAAAAGAGCCAGAGACCCTTTTAGCATAATGGAGCAGATGATTTTTACTAAGGCGTGCACTCTCACCAGGGAAATGGCTTGATTGCTGTGTAAATAGATGCTTGACCTTCATCCTGCCATTCATCCATATGGACCCTAAACGCTCTCCAGCTCTATCCTAGGGGACATGGAATGGAGGCAAGTGTCAAAATCTTGGCAAGGAAAAGAGGGTGCACTATAGAAGGGAGCAGAGAATTGAATGGGCCTATGAGCTCAGGAGCCTTGGGGAGGAACAGTTATAGGTGAGAGGCCCCCACCTACATGGGACCTATGCCCTAAGCATGCAGGCCTACCTGGGAGGCAGTGAGCTAGCTGGGTTAGGGAAAACTGTTCCTTATTGCCACCCATGGTGGGTCTAGTGTGGCTTAAGAGGTGATTTTCTGGTCCCTGGTAAGACCGTCTCACCCTCTTATCTGCAGGACATAATAGTAAGTGGGTGACATTTATATTTTCGGCTTCAATAGTCCCAAACACTTTAGACAGACTGAGGCTCTCAGATGAAGCCCTATGACTTGGCTGACTTGCTGCCACAGTAGCCTCCCTATTTACAAAAACAAAATCCACCAAAACACATTGGCCTTGTACTTCAAGCAGGAAATATAAGAAAAACAAGGGGAAGAGATAAAGCAGGTTTTGGAATTCCTTTCCTTCACCCATATCTTTCCTTACAGGTTTTCCAAAGACATTGGAACACCCCTGTAGCCATAGTAGCTCTTTTTTAAAGAGGAGAGGAATCTGTAGATTCTTTCACATGAGGGTGGGTGAGTAAAAGTTAAGCAAACAATTCCCTTGTGCATGATTATTTAGCTTATGGTGAACCTATGGTTAACTGTGGAGCTCTGATACTCTGGCAACCTCCTAAGGGTAGAATGCAAACTCCATTTCTAGGCAGCATTGCTGATGATAAAAATGACCCCGATTGGTAGATTGCATCTGGACTGGGAGGAACCATAAACAAATCATAATATCTGCCAGGGACGCGATGCTTTGTGCTTCCCTGAAAGTGGTTACGTTTTTAAGGTGCATCTTGGGGCAATAAAAGCAATGTCTAGGGAGTTGTCTCAGGAGATATTGGCTCCTTTGAAGAGTGAGCTTTTTAATCAGGTTAGCCCTCACATCTGCCCAATGTGGAACTCATCCCTCATACCTGAACTGCCTCTGGGTGGAAGAAAATGCTGGATGGCTGTGAGTTGAGAGGATTTGAAATGGAACACAAAGTGTATTTGATACTCCTAAGCCCAGGGTCAGACAGATTCTAAGCTAGTCCTGGGTGATGATCTCTACCTCCTAGTATTGTATAATCCTTCCCCTCGAGTAACTTGCTTCTAACAGATAGAATATGCAATATTGAAGGTGTTACTTCTGTTACTAGGTTACAAAAATTGTGATTTCTGTCTTGTTAGCAAATTCTTTCTCTTATTGGCTTTGATGAAGTAAGTTGATATGTTAGAGAGGCCTACATGGCAAAGAACTGAGGACACCGTATCGTTCACAGTTAGCAAGCAACCAGAGTCTTCATTCCAGAGCCTTTGAGGAACAAAATCCTGCCAAAAACCACATAAGTGAGTTTGGAAGCAAATCTTCCTTTAGTCAAACCTTCAGATGAGATCTCAGCCCTATCTGACACCTTGGTTGCAGTCTTGTGAGAGTCTAAAAGTAGAAGTCTAGCTAAGCTCTCCCTGCATTCTTGACTCTCAGGAACTGTGAGATAAAATATATATATATATTATATATATTATTTTAAGGTGATAAATTTTAGGGTAGTTTGTTACTAGGATGACCAACAGTGTTGGTTTGCCTAAGACTAACTCAAGACTGTCCCAGTTCTGGCACTGATAATCCTGAGTTCCAGTAAATCCCTCAGCCTTGGACAAACTGGAACAATTGTTACTCTATTTGTGATAGACAATTAGTACATATATGCATATGTTATTTCTCACTTAAGCAAGTGTATCTTCAAGATAGACTCCTAGAAGTGGGTTTTTGGGGTCTAAACAGTAAAGTCACCTAGAATTTTATGTTTCTAAATTCCCCTTCATAAGGTTTGTACCATTTTGTACTCCCATCTGCAAGATGAAAATGCTTGTTTCTCCATGGTCTGCTGTTTTCATTACCAGTTTATTTGATAATTAAAGCAATTTAATCTTTTATTATCTAAGTGTAAGCTGATTCATAGTCTCTTAGAATAAAGAAATACATTTAAACATTAATTAACACTTGTAGAATTGAACTGCATGATTTATACTTTATTTCGATGAACGCATTTCACTGAATATACTGAGAAACAAATTTAACTGAATGTAGTCAGACTGTCATTGTGTGTGTGTGCATGTGAGTGTCTCCTCCACCTCCTTCCCCCGTAACTTGGTCTCATATAACTGATTGGTCTTTCAATTTCATAATCATTCTGTTACTCTATCATGAGTATAATTAGCTCAAATGCCATGTTTACCTTCAGTAGTGGATTAGGACACCAAAAGAACATGTGATGTGGTAGAAGAAAAGGTAGTGGTTTGCGTGGACCCTTTTGTGATTGCTAGCAGAGTTGCAAGTTCAAATGTCTATATCGTCAGGCAGATAACTCAAGGAAACGAGCATGGGTAGGTTGGGAAGCCAGTGATCTGTATAGCATATGCCCTGTCTAAGCAATCAATTGCAGCCATCCTGTGGCCAGGGAGAGATGCAGCCCAGTTTGCTATTGCAGTTTTTCAAGATAAACTGGGATTAGAGTTTTAGGAAATCTTCAATTGTGACTCCTTACAGCAGAAAAAGAAGAACACAAGATTCAGCAAAAACCATATCTATAGGCCGGCACTGATCTGCAGGCTGCCAGTCTGGAGATGTGGAAATGTGGAAAAGAGAAAAATAAATCAGCGTTTACTGAGCACCTGTGGGCCATTGTTTCTCACCTAATGCTGGGATACATGCATTATTAACCTAATTTTCTGATCAGGACACTGACGCTCACAGAAGTTAAATAACTGGTCTAAGATAATCTAGCAAACCAGTGGCAGATCCGTGGCCAAGTCTTTAGATCCCTAAGTCTCTATTCTTTTCACTCTACCAAGCCATGGTTGGCACCCTCTCTGGTGTAAGTGATCTTTCAGTTTTCTTTAGAAAGCATGTTCCAGAGCTGAAATAAAAAAGCAATATCCCCGTTCCTCTTAACTTTGTTATCCAGTGGCATAAACCACACAGATACACTTGCGTTTGCAATTGTTTGGGAAGTGTTCTTGGGTGGTTCCCTGGGCAACACTCCATGGAGTGTCATCCTCGGTGTGTGTACAGTGGCTTGTTTTCAGCTGGAAGGGCAAGGAACAAAAATCTTTCAGTTTTTATTTCCCCTGTACTGGTTTGAACCCCCTTCTAAGAACCATTATGGGGATGAAGGAAATGCAAACACAGGTATAATTAGATTCTAAGCCCAGCATAGATGAGTGGTTCTGCCTTAGGCCCTGTGCCTGGCAGGGCTTGCGATTTTGTTTATTAGCCTCCTGTTTATAGTCCCGGCATTCCCCAGATTACTTCCCCGTCAGTCTGGGAGGTGGTATGAGTGGAGGATTTGTGAAATGGTGTGAACGGGGCTCTTGTAAACAGAAATGATGATGCTGAGAAGGTTCAGATCCAATGGCAATCAGTTATACTAGCTGCTGGTCCTCTTTGCATTTTATAACCTAATGAGGTTCTTTTATTATTTTTATCATTTCTTTCAGTTATTCTTTCATAAATCTGCTTTTGAGCTCTTCAATCAGCAATTCTCCCTATTCTTCCCACTCATCTGGGGCCTCATTTTTTTTTTTAAGGTTTTGGAACTTGTACCTTTATCCCTGTTTTGTAGATTTAATTATGTTTGCAATGATTTGGAGAAAATTGTCTGCATTCTTTATAGTCCAAATAAGTCAGCCTCTACAAAATGCATAGTTATGTAGTTTAGTGGGATGTGTTCTGATGTTCTTTGAGTGCATTGAGTATTAATATAAGAGGATGGGCGAAGTTAGTAATTTGGCTGCTAAAGTAACTTTTTCCTGGTTTGCAGCAAGTAACAGAGCTGGGTACTCTTTTCATGCAGTTCTGGAGACACGGAGAAGTGTGACTTGTAACTTACATGATTGTCTTCATTTTCTGTTTAACTGAAAAAGAAAAGTGAGATCAGCAAAGTAAAATAATAGAAATATCCTATGACATCAGCAAATGTGTTTTCTGAAAGCTGAACCAGGCGAAAAATCATGCTATCAACAACTTTTCATTTTTAACGTTCTCTCTCTATTTTTCGGTATCATTTGGTAAAGTTAATTAGACCCTGGAATAAGTTAGGAATTGCTTTGGATTGCTACTAAGTGAGAGATTAACAAAATAAGGCCTTGTGTGTTTCCTCTCATGTGAAACAGAAGCAAGGAGTCTAGGACTGTGACAGCAGCTCTGCAGTCATCGGGAGCCCAGGCTCCTTCTGGGTGTTTTGCTCCTCTGTCCTCAGTGCTTGCTTGCTATGTTTGAGGTTACCTCACTGCCGAGAGATGGCTGCTGCTGGAGCTCATTCCATCATTTCTGCCTTGCCGGCCTCAGGACAAAGGAAGGGAGATGGAGATAGGCACTGGCGACCCACATGAATCAACTTCTTTTGAAACATTCAAAACGTTTCCCTGAAACATTCACTGATAACTTCTGCTTCATTTGCCAGCAACATGCATCTATAAGAGGGGTTTGGAAATGTCGTTTTCAGCTGGGCACACTGCAAGGCCTAATCATGCAGGTGGCGGTTACTAAGAAGAAGGTGGAACAGCTTGGTGGGTGGGGAAGTAGCAGCTTCTGCTGCAATCCCTGTGCCTGACTCCTGGCTCTCCTGCCCATTCCGGGAAGGCCTAGCACTCTGGGGGTGATGGTGACGGTAGGGAGGACAATCCAAGCAACAGGATACCATGGTGAGTACAGTATGAGATGAACTCACACAAGGCCTGCTTCCGTGGCCAAATTAGCCATGTATACCCATATCCTTGTATTACCATATCATTACCATGTGGTGTATTAGTTTCCTATGGCTTATGGCTGCTGTCACAAATTACCACAAATTTGGTGGCTAAAAGCACAGATTTTTTTTTTTTTTTTTTTTTTTTTTTGTACAATTCTGAAGGCTAGAAGTCCAAAGGCAGTTTCACTGAGCTGAAATCAAGGCATGTACAAGGCTGTGCTCCCTCTGGGGAATAATATAGAGGAGAACCATTTCTTGCCTCTTTCAGCTGCTTGCAGCTGCCAGCAGTATTGGGCTTGTGGCTACATCACTCCAACCTCTTCCTTTGTCTTTACATTCTTCTCTGTGTCTCAAAACTCCTTTCCATATACAGATGCATGTGACTACGTGTAGGACAGACCCAGATAATTCAGGAGAAGAATGCCTCTCAAGACTAATAACTCAATCACACCTTTTGCCATAAGGTAATATTCACAGGTTCTGAGGATTAGGATTTGAGCATGTCCTTTGGGGGCTACCATTCAGCCCACTACATCTGAGGAATAGTTTGTACACTAAAATATCTTGTCTGGCATCTATGTAGAAATTTTTTCTCACTGATAACCCTAAGGCTCGTTGGTTTTCTTCCAAGTATATGAAAATATATTATACATATATGATCAAAATCATACTAAGAACCATATATTTACCTTCTTGTATATGTTACAGACATCAGGTAGTGTTAAATTGACTTGTCAGTTATTATGACCTTGGATTTTTGGTTCTGGTTGTTTTGTTATTGTTTTGTGTATTTTTTTCTTAGGTTTTTTTTTTTTTCTTTTTTTACAGTAAGGTTTATCAAAGTATAGTTTACACACAATAGAAGTCACTCATTTTAGGCATACAGTTCTATGAGTTTTGAGTAATATATACAGGTATATAGTCCCACCAAAACCAAGATATAGAGTATTTCCATCATCCCAAAAAGTTTCCCCATGCTCCTTTATAATTAATCCCTACCCTCCCTGGAAACCACTGGTCTGATTTTACTTCCTACTTCTTTTGCCTTTTCAGTAATGTCATAAAAATGGAATAATAGAGTACATGGCCTTTGTATCTCATTTCTTTCACTGAAAATGATACTTTTGAAATTCATCCAGGTTGTTGCATGTATCAGTGGTTTATTTATCCCTTTTTCACTGCTGAATAGTATTCTGATGTATATATGTACCACAATTTATCTATTTCCTAGTTGATATTCATGTGTTGTTTCCAGTTTTTGACAATTATGAATAAAGATGCTATAAACATTTTTGTATAGTTTTTTGCATGAATATATATTTTCATTTCTTTGTGATAAATGCCTAGGAGTGGGATATTGCTAGGTTGTATGGAAAATGTATGTTTGACTTTCTAAGAAACTGCCTAAGAGTTTTCCAAAATGGCTGTGCCTTTTTGTGTGTCACTGGTAAAATATGAGAGTTCTAGGGCTTTGCATTCCTGCCAGCCTGTGGTAATGACAGCTTTTTGTTGTTTCCTTACATTCTAAGAAGGGTGTAGTGTTATCTTGCTATGATTTTAATGTACATGTCCCTAATGACTAACAATTTTGTGCATCTTTTAATTTGCTTATCTGCCATCTGTATCTCTGTGATGAGTGTCTCTTCAAATGTTTTTCCCATTTTTCAATAAGATGGTTTATTTTCTTTTTATTATGTTGTGAGAGATCTTGATGTATTCTGAATAGCAGTCCATTATCAGATATGTGTTTTGTAAGTATTCTCTTACAGTCTTCACTGCTGTTTCCATTTTCTCAACTTTTATACAGCAGAAACTTAATTTTGATGAAGTTCAGTTTATCAGTTTTTTCTTTCATGATTCATACTTTTCTGTCCTATCAGAGAAACCTTTGCCTAACCCAGTTTTGCAAAGATTTTCTCCAATGTTTTCTTCTAGAAATTTTGTAGACTTAAGATTTTATTCTGAGGTATGTGACCTATTTAGAGTTAATTTTTGTATGTAGTATGAGGTATGAGTTAAGGTTTATTTTTTGCATACGGATGTTCAAATTTTCCAGCATCATTTGTTGGAAAGACTATCCTTTCTCCTTACCTTCACACCTTTGTCAAAAAAACAATTGACCATATATCTGTGGGTCTTCTGTTTCTTTGTGTGTGTTTATCCTTTCGCAAGTACCACACTGTCTTGATATTGTCTTGATAAGAAATCTTGAAATTAGGTAGTGATAGTTCTCCACCTTTCTTTTTCAAAAGTATTTTGGCTATTTCAGGTTTTTACTTTTCCATAAAACTTTTAGAATCAGCTTGTCAATTTCTTCAAATAAGTCTTCTGGGATTTTCAGTGGGTTTGCAATGAAACTATAGATTAATTCAGAGAGAATTGGCATCTTAACTATATATGCATATATACACACATACATATGCATATATAGTTAAGTTACCAATTTGAGATAGGTATATATATATGAGATAGCGTCTCACTCTGTCACCAAGAGAGACTGCTTGATGAGATCACGGCTCATTGCAGCCTAGACCTCCTGGGCTCAAGTGATCCTCCCACCTCAGCCTCCTGAGTATCTGGGACCACAGGTGAGCACCACCCACCCAGCTAATTTTAAAACTTTATGTAGTGACAGGATCTCCCTATATTGGTCAGGCTGGTCTTGAACTCCCGGGCTCAAGGAATCCTCCCACTTCGGTCTCCCAGAGTGGATTACAGATGTGAGCCACTTTGCCTGGCCATCTTAACTATATTGAGTCTTCCAATTTCTGAACATGTTAGGCTCTCCTCTCTATTTATTTAGGTCTTTTTGTAAATCTACTTAAAAACATTTCAATTTGTAATTGTTTATTTTTTGTATATAAAAATTACAATTAAAAATATTGGCCTAGTATTCTAAGACCTTGGTAAAGTCACTTATTAATTCTTGCAGCTTTTTTGTGTGAATTCCTTAGAATTTTCTATGTAGGAATCATATTTTTCTGGATATAGAGGCAGTTTTATTCCTTGTGCTGCAATCTGGATGCCTTTTATTTCTTTTGGTGCCTTATAGCACTGGCCAGGACCTCTAGCAATATGTTAAATAGGAGTGGTGGGAGTGGATATTCTTGCTTGCTCCCAACTTTAGGGGAGAAGTATTCATTCTCACAACATGAAGTATGCTATTAGCTGTAGGCTTTCCATAGATAACCCTTATCAATGTGAAGAAGTTCTTTTCTAAGTTTTCTGAGAGTGTGTCTCATAAATGGGTGCTAAAATTTATCAATTCTATTTCTGCATCTGTTGAGATGATGATATGTTTTTTTTTAGCCTGTGATATGGTGATTTTTTAATGTTGAGCCAATTTTTCATTTCTGGGATAAATCCCACATGGTGATAACATATTATTCTCTTCATATATTGCTAGTTCAATTTGTTCATGTTTTGTTAAGGATTCATATTTTGTTACATTCCCGAGGGATATTGGTCTGTAGTTTTCTTGTAATATCTATGTTGAGTTTTGGTATCAGAATACTGCTATTTTCTCCTCTGCATATTGTTAATTCTACTCATTTGGGAGGTTTCTCAAACTGGCTTTTGTATTCTGTTTTGTTCTCCATCACTTTTAATCTTTAAACAGGTCACCAGGATACCTTCCCCAAGTTGATCTTTCTATATATGTTTTTTTCTAATGTGAATATTAAACATATACCATACATAAACACGTTGAAAATATGTTATCATTTACCCTCCTATTTATAAACTCTAATATCCCTAAAAATATCAGTAGCAAAGGGAGGAATAGTGTAGGGGGAGAAACAGTGTTTGTGTAAGAGCATAGGGCTTCTGTCCTGGTTTTGTTTCTACCTTTCTATTTGCCTCCACTGATTGTATAAGATCTGTGTTCTAGAAACTGTGTTTAAAAATACTTTATGTACTTTGCCTCATATTCTTCCTTACATAATTCATATAAAGAATTTGTATTTTTCCACTTAACAGGTGAGGAAACCAAGGGCTAGATGCGTTAGCTTGTCCAAAATAATCCTCTCAGTAGGAATTTGAAGCAAGGCTGCTCCATCCCTACCAGCTTTGGCATTTAAAGACAGAGGGGGCCGCCCTCACTGGTGTCCACTGACTTGTGACTGACAATCTTCCCTCCATGCAGTGAGCCTGAGGAGGCCTGGCCCAACTTTCCCTACCACATCTTATTTCTGGCATTCAGTGACATGCAAAAGTTTCCAAGAAGAGTAAATTGTAAAGCAGATGGCATAATATTTCTCTTTTTCTACCCATCTCCTCTTTTAGACCCAGCAGGTGAAGCTCCCTACCGGGAGAGGGGAAATCCCTGTGGGATGGTAGAGCTCATGAATAAGAAACCTGTGACCCACAGAGCCGAGGAAACCTCCCCCAACACACACACTTGAGGCCAACAGTAAGGACAGAGAACCAGGGGCAAGGAGTGTGGGAGAGGGAAGGGTGAAGTGAGCCAAAAGTATGCAGCAGCTCAGTGGGTAGAAAAGGGGCTAGGGAGAGGCAGGTCTGAGATACAAGGGCATTTGGTGCATTTCCTTCTCCCGGGTCTCCGTTATGCAGAATGTGTGGCCCAGAGACATAGAAGCCATGGGGCATCTTTCCAGGCACTCAGGGGTGTGTCCAGTATGCTCCCCCTCCACAAGGAAATTAACAGAGCCTTAATGGGTAGAAAGCATCTGTAATGAGAAAAACTTGGAATTATATTAAGAAAACTTTTCCCCAACCATGAGGGGTGCCAAGAGACCAAAGAATGACTCAGACAAGTCCAGCTTGGCAAGTAGGTGAGATTATTAGAACTTACATATGAGGTGCTCCGAGATGGCAGCAGGGCAGCTATACATATCCATGCCACCTCCCATTCCTAAGCTGCTTTGAAGCTAATATTCTGACTCTTTGCCTATTGTGTGTGTGCGTAATGGGACTGTTTGCCTTGGTAGGTTCTCAGATACTATGCAGGACATTTGGGTTCTCAGGAACACCTGCTCCTCGGCTGGGCACCATGGTCTTGGCTCACAGCCTGGCCTTCAGGGTTCAGGCAGCAGATATACACCCTTTAGTAACTGGGTGGGGGAACTGTCACACGACAGCACCTCTTGGAAAAGGCTAGGATTTAGAATACAGAGGCTGTGGAGTAGGGCATTTGTTGGGGTTCGAAAAGCTGGGAGGTGAAACTGCTCAGGGAGGCTCCCTCCATTTCTCCAGTACACAGTTCCATCATGTTTTTCTGAAAAGCTGACTTGATAACATTCATGGAGCTGCTCATCTCAACATGGGAAACTGAGCTAATACGGCTTCCTCTTCTTAAGACCCATTCCCACTGACTGCCTTCAGTGGCATTTCCATAGACCTCCTACTTCACCAGCCTGGAGCCAACCCAGGCATCAATTCCTTTCTTAGACCACTCTCTTCCACCCTGCAGCGCCTCACGCTGTGAACACTCCTGGGTTACCCACTGCTCCCGTGGCACTGTGGCCCCAAGTCCCTATTACTGGCCCTTGGGGACACCTCACAGCATTTCCTCTCATCCTAAGCTCATCTCTGCCATTTTTCATTCCAGTACATACATTCTAATTGCCAAGATTTCCTGAAAATGTTTGGAGCTTAAGGTCTTTTTTTTTTTTTTTTCTTTTGAGATGGAATCTCGCTCTGTTGCCCAGGCTGGAGTGCAGTGGTGCGATCTCGGCTCACTGCCAGCTCCGTTTCCTGGGTTCACGCCTTTCTCCTGCCTCAGCCTCCTGCGTAACTGGGACTACAGGCGCCCACCACCTTGCCCGGCCAATTTTTTTGTATTTTTAGTAGAGACGGGGTTTCACCGTGTTAGCCAGGATGGTCTCGATCTCCTGACCTCGTGATCCGCCCACCTCGGCCTCCCAAAGTGCTGGGATTACAGGCATGAGCCACCGTGCCCGGCTGTGCTTAAGATCTTAAAGTGGCCAGACCCAGCCACCCTTCTTATTTCCTCAGTGGGAAAAAAGGATGATTTTCTGATCATGCAAAAATGTGAAGATGAAGAAAAGTGTAAGTGGAAATGAAAGTCACCCATAACTTAACACTCAGAACTACCACTAATATTTTGTTGAATTTTCTTATTTCTCATTTTTCTTTTTAAAAATGTATTTTACAACCAAGGTTTGTATCCTATTTTTGTCACTTAATATTTTTTATCAAGAATATTTCCTCACCGGGCGTGGTGGCTCACGCCTGTAATCCCAGCACTTTGGGAGGCTGAGGTGGGCGGATCACCTGAGGTCAGGAGTTCGAAACCATCCTGGCCAACATGGTGAAACCCCATCTCTACTAAAAATACGAAAATTAGCCGGGTGTGGTAGTGCACGCCTGTAATGCCAGCTACTCAAGAGGCTGAGTCAGGAGAATCGCTTGAACCTGGGAGACAGAGGTTGCAGTGAGCCGAGTGCCGTTGCACTCCAGCCTGGGTGACAGAGCAAGACTCTGTCAAAAAAAAAAAAAAAAAAATTCCTCTTTCTTTAAATATCACTTGAAGATAAATTTTAAACGGCTACAGAGTATTCTATTGTATAGATGCAAAATAATTTAGTCTACTATTGTTGGATATTTGTATTGCTTAAAGGATAGATACCCAGAGTTGGGATTATTGGGAAAAATAGAATATTTTAAAGATATGTATTGCCAAGTTTCTTTACAGAGAGGTTGTCCCAGTGTGTACCCAGAGTAGAGGTACATGGGATGTACATCCAGCCACAACAGCCAAGGGTTTGGTTCTATGCTTGCCAATTGTATAGATAATTAACAGCGATCCCTTGAATCAGTCAGTTCATTAGTCAACCTATGTGCTTATGGCTGAGCTCTGCCAATTACTATTTGGATGACCTTTGGTATCTGGCCTTTCTATCTATAACAGCAAAATGGAGAATTTTAAAAATGGGTAGAGTCTTTATAGTTTCTTTGCTTTCATTTCAGATGGTTTGATAAATAAAATAAAAACTGAAAAATATTTTTATAAACCATAAAGCATCATCCAAACATAGTCAGCACTGCTACATGGCCAGTAATCTTTTTGACTTTGGGGTAGAAGGGACGCAAGGAATATATGGAGCATCATTCTTATAATTCAAGAGGTTTAACAATTGGTAATATTCTACATGTGGCATCATTACAACAACCATGTGTCCAGGATTTCCTGGAAATGTCCTCCCTCTCCCTGGAAAGTCCATGTGCCAGACATTGTGTCTCAATTTTTGGTTCTGAAATATATTAATTACAGACATAATGTCTATTTTATAATGGGAAAGTTTATAAACCTCATTGAAGTTAATAGGTTTAAGGATGATTTCTGTAATAATGTAAATTGTTTTAGTTTTGAAAGATGAAAAAGGATAGTTGCAAAAATATATTACTTCCTTTGCTTTTGGTGAGTCTGAAACATTGTGTGTATGTGTGTATCTGTGTCTGCATATGTAAATATGTACATACACATATATTTTTGTACATATGGATATACACATATTTTTTAATTGGCAAAAATTCTCTCCTTTCAGATTTGTAGTACTTGATTAGTTTCATTTTCCTTCCTTTAATATAAAGTTGATTTCAAATCAACTAAGCACAAATGAGTGTTTTCACTCAAGTGCCCTTCCCTTCCTCCTTCCCCCTTCCCCCTTCTCCGTTCCCCCCTTTCCCTTTCCCTTTCCCTTTTCCTTCCCTTTTTCCTTTCCTTTCCTTTCCTTTTTCCTCTCCTTTCTTCTTTCCTTTCCTAACTTGATCCAGCCAAGTGAAAATCATCCATCTCGGCCAAAAGTTTGTTGGCAAACTAATAGTATCCTACAGTGCCATCCTGAAAGAAACAGTTTTTGCTGAAGGTAAAAGTTTTATAAAAGAAAGCATTTTCATAAAGAAAGTAAGTCCTGTTTTACTTTGTTTCTGTGGCATTGCTGAGTTGGACAGCAAGTTTAGCTCACTGATGTCCACACAAGTAGGTACACCGAGGAACAAATGTTATTCTCATGATGACTCCAGCAGCTGTGATCATGGTGAGCTCTGATGCCAACCAACAACACGGTTCAAGATTTTGATAGGAAATGTGTGCATTGTGTCTTCTCAAACACAAACATTTTAAATGACTGCATCATTAAAAACATCCTACTTGTCTGTCTACTTCTTCCTGGTCTTTTCTGAAGTAAAACCTAAGCAGAAACCTCCTAAATTAGTTGTGTTTTCGAGGGCTTATTGCTCTTACTGTACCTGACACAAACGTATACAAAGTCAAACACCTAAGTTCCTAGCCTCAGGGATCTCCACCTGGATTCTGGGGATTCTTTGGATAGAGATTCTGGAAATTGGATGAAGACGTTGAAAGGAATTGGGTTCTTCTCATCCCTGCCCACCCACTCCCCTCATTTATCCTACTCCTCCTCTACCATCAAGGACCCCTTGCATCCTTCCCTAGGGAACCTGGATATCCTGGGAGGAACTGGCTTTGAAGGCCAGACACTCCCCACACCCTACGTCCTCCAACTCTCCTCTAAGCCCAGATGGGAGTGGTTGGACCTAGATTATCTCAATATAGATAATTTACTGAGTAGGTAAGTCAAGGAGTATCCCTTGGTTAGGCCTTATCATTCCTGCCAAAGTCCTGGAAGTGGGAACATCAGGGAAACCTTGTGTGGAATCAAGATCTGGTGGCCTGGGACCACTCAGTCATTGCCAGATTCTGGCATTCTCCTACCTGAATCCACCTTTGGGCTAGAACAAGGCCAAGGAAAGAAATGAGACTCAAGTGCCCCAGCCTGCTCCACAGAGGCCCTTCATTGCAGCAATTGTCAGCTGTGGTGTGGGAGGACAGCAGAACCTTTGTGAACCATACATTCCTGCAGAGTTTATATACATTTTTAATTGGTAAAAATTAAAAATATATTAAAATTATATATTAAAAGTTAAAAATATATTTTGCTCCAGCCCCGACTAACTCCTTTGTTAAATATCATGGCCCTGGTGAGCACTGTTTTTGACTAACAGGTGTCACATCCCTTAGGTGAGTTGGGGATGAAAAGAAGTTGAGAACAACTTTGCTAGTGGACTTTGTCATGCCATGGGCTTGTGATCTTTGCCCATTCCCAAATCACTCTAGGCTGAGCTGCTAAGTCCAGGAGCACGATAGGCAAGGACTTATGTAACAGGAGAACAAAGCACCAAACACTCAGAAGGATGACTTTAATATGGAAACCTCTCTTTTCTGCAAATCTGTGCCCATGCAGCCGCCACAACAAATGGGGATATAAACAAAGCCAATTGTGCTGACTTCACAGCACCCATAGATTGCAGCCTCTTCTCAGATTCACTTTAACAAAGGGATAAATCGAACTTGTTGTCGGCTAACAATCCCACATTGTCTTCCCTCTCTCTCGCTACATTCTCAGAGCTCTAAGAAGCACTGAATGCTTGGATACAAAACCCCATGTGACAGTAGATACATGCCAACTACCCCAAGATCCAGACTTGCTTGACACTTGATCTGAACATGACCATAACAGCAGCATTACAACCTTTAATCCAAGTAATGTTCATCTACGGAGAGTCTTTTTATCAACAAGCCTAGTCCAGAGGTCTCTGCCCTGGCAGGCATGTGGAATGTCTAACACATTACTCAGCTCCATGCCACAAACTGGGGGACCATTTTCCTCTTTCTTCCTCCTCAGTGTTTAGTGGATATAATCACACGTTTGTGTGATTACAGTGTGTTATTTACCATGAGATAATAGGGTGGCCAAAGCAGCTTGAGTGCAGGAATTGAAAATGCACAGATCATTTACTTTAATGGCTGCACAACCTTGGAAACTGTCAGAGGGTCAGAATTTCATGACAGAGTAGCTTATCTCAGGTCTCAGCGTCCAATAGGAACGTGGCCTCTGGGTTCTCTGCCTTGGTGAAGGAATCTTTAATGGGGAAAACAAACCTCTCCCCTTGCGGTCCCTGGAAAGGCACCAGAAGGCTCCCTTTTCTTATCTGTCCTTCTGTGATGCTGCAGAGAAATGGACAACATTTTGTAAAGAGCCAGCTCTTGGGCTTTGTGAGCTGTAAGCTCTATATTCAGTTCTTCCAATGTAGCACACAAGTAGCCATAGAAAACACAATACATGAATGAGGGGGGCTGTGTTCCAATAACATTTTATTTATAGACACTGAAATCTTTGAGTTTCACATAATTTTTCAGCATGACAAAATGTCCTTCTTTTGATTTTTCAGCTACTTAAAGACGTAAAAACCATTCTTAGCTTACAATACGTACTAAAATAGGTAGCAGACTGGTTTGGCCTGCAGGCTGTCGTTTGCTGACCCTTGTCTTAGAGCATCTCAAGATGCGACATGGAATTTGGAAAGGAAACCTCCTGCAGGGCTCCTTCCAGCCATGAGGATCTGACATTTGGGTAGAAAAGCCTTATGCCTGGCCTGAAGGAGCTTGGCCTTAGTGTTCTCATCTTTTCTCTTGGGCTACCCTTATTTCTGTAGCAGTCTGATTTAGGAATAAACTAATGATAATGAAGTCCTCAAAGGAACATGAATTCACGTTCAAACATTTTTACATTGTGACTTCTTTTTTTCTCGAATTCATTGTGGTTTTGAAACATTTTATTCCTCTTTAGCCAACTGTTCTGAGAGTGTTGTTGGCTTTGAAAATTGTAGCAGTTTCAATGAGATAAGCTTGTCAGATTTTTGAAGCAAAGAAAGGTGTGAAAAGTCACTGAATATCAACACACCAATGGGGCCACTTTAGGTTCTGCTGAGTGCCCAGTGGAGCCCACTTAAAAGCTTTGTCTCTTGTCCATTTCTCTGTTCTTGTGTCTGCATAGAAAAAAACCTTTCTTCAGATATCTTTTGGTTTTCAGTGATATATTGCTTTTGTGAAGCTTTCAATGAAAGAAATAGTTTTGAACATCTATGTGTCAGGTTCTATACCTGAAAATACAACAGACCCTTTGGATAAGATTCCTTGTGAGAACTTAACGACGACTTATAATTTTCTTTTGTGGAGCTGAACAACCTTTAATATGCCTTTAATTTTGTTACCTCTGAGGGTTTCAGGCTCCCTGACCTCAGATAAAAGACCAGTATATGGGAATAAGAAAAGGTGAATTGATCACAAAAGGCCTGTCTTGCCTTTGCCTGCACTGAATCTGTCCTTACAAAGGAGCTAAGAGAGATAAGCCTACAAGATGCTGTCATCCTTCTGTCAGAGACTAGGGTTGTACCAACACAGGTCCCTCTCTCTGAATTTTTTTGGCAAAGAAAGACAGAAGGCAATAGTTTAGTCCTTTTAAATGCACATAGGTTTGAAAAGGATTTTGAAGCACAGTTTAGTACAATTAGACTGAAAGTCTTAATGTCGTTCTTCATGAAAACGTTGCATGGCTTTGAAAATGCTCAATAGCTTTATCAGCCACATTCAAAACTTCAGCAAGCAAGCAAGGCCTTCTCCCTCAGCCTGCCTGGTTCAGACACACTGAAGGGCCCAGTGCTGAGATGAGTAGCCCTGGGCCAGGGAGCAGTCCATGGACCCAAACAGAGTCCAACCCTGGACAATTGTTAACAGGTTTCAGGGTTATTCTCAGCAAAAGGGAAGCAGCTTTTCTATGCCCCCTACACTCAGGTGGGTGCAGGCAGCCTTGAGTGCAGACAGTTGTTCCCAGCCTAGTGGGAGGGAATATTCACAGGACTCGGACATTTTAAGGCAGTGACTAAGAATTTGCTCTTCCTCAGTTTCAATTTTACCTGTAAATGTACATGATGATTTCTGCCGACAGTGACTGGCACAGAGGAACTTGGAAACACAGGAACTTCAGGCACTGACACACACTTCCTGGTTCGTTCTGACAACCTATTGTCCCTATCTGAGAGTTAGTCCTTATGTTTTTTTTCTGTGTCCTCATCTCTCTCTCCCTACCTCACATGCATGAACACACATACATACACATGCACACACAAATTTCCTACTTGACCTGTGGCTAGACATAGTGGTCATCCATAAACTATACAACACATTGACCGTATGTAGGTGGTGGGAAGGCCAACCTTCAATACTAATCTGAGCAACTGCACCCTCTAATCCCTGAGTACTGTTCCTCTCATTGGCTGCCACACAAATACTATTAAAGGTGGTTTGCATTTCTATTCCCTGTTCCACCTCCTACCAAGAAATAGAACGATTGGTTCCATGTAAGATGTGAAAAGCATTCCTATTATATCCAATATTGACTGAGTGATTACTACATGCCAGGCACTGAGCTAGAGATAAGGATTTGAGTGATGAGACAAAAAAGATTTGCCACTCCCTGGGCCACAGATTACATGTGTAACTTTCTTGGGCAAGTATCTGAACTTCTCTGGGCTGAATCTCTAGGATTGGCACCTGCTCTGATAGTCTAAGAATTCAACAGAAATGGGAAGCAGGAGGGAAAGTAGCTTTGGTGTCAGAAGCAGAAATGACTCCTGGAGAAATGTTTGTTCAGTAACAATACTATCCAGAGGAAAGAATGAGAAAACAGTAAATGAGGTTAACAGCCACCTGGACACGAGGAGAGAGCAGCCCATTGTGAAGGGAATTGACCAGAATTTGGAGATCCCCTTCAGAAATGGATCATTTGCCTCTTTGAAAATAAGGAGCTCTTCCACCTGCACAGGTTGCTTACAAGGGGAAGGAGAGGAGTTTTCCTCTTCTTCGGTTGGTTGTTGACTTGGTCCTCTGTCCCTTCTTTGAATAGACCAAGGGATCTAAGTAACTTTCAACAAGTGGATGCTCCTTGAGTATGGAGGGCTTGGAATGGAAATGAAGCGTAGGAAGAAAAGTACAAGTCTTGAAGCCACTAAAAGCAGCCTTCAGTCACACTCTTTAATGACTTCTTGGGCCATCCTAGGCAAACTTTTAAATCTCTGTTTGTCTTTGTTTCCTCCTTTTACAAAGGGGGCTAATAGGAATTCTTCCTGTTTGGATAAGGATTTACAGTTTTCATATGTGTGCTCATTTAACTTCACATGGGAGGTAGGTGGAAAGGAAGACAGATGCTAATTTGTTCAAATCCTTTGATAATAGGCTGTCCTGTGAACCGTTAGCTATAAGAAGCATTTGAACTAGAGTCCTAGTCTATTTGGAGCAACTTTTAAATTGATCTTTTAGGAGCCTTTCAACCGTGAGGTCCCTTTGAACTTATAGCCATTCTAAGAGTGGTTATCATAAATGTAATTACCCACACATAACACAAGATTCCAGCTCTGCACATAACAAGAGATAGACTTATCTCTAAGAAGTGTGTCACTGTATTTCTTCCAGCTGGTACAATAAGCTCTTGGAAGAATTAAACACTACTGAGACAGGCATGGGGCATTCTAGATGCATTGAGCTTGTACTTCCCAGGTGGCTGGCTTTGTAGATAAAGCACCTAGCACAGCATAAGTGGTTGGTTCTTCCATTTAGTTTGTCTCTAACCCTTCAGGATGAACTTAAGAATGAAACAGCAATTTCTTTATTCTCCATCCCAATAGAATTTTGAAGGATTCTTGCTGTATTGTGCATGGAAAGCCCTCATTAGCAATGCAAGCACTTCAGAAGGCAATGAGTGACTCATACAAGGTCCAGAAATAGTACTGAGGAAAACTGCTTTTATGTAATTTTTTTCTCGGAATGTCATGCTGTGAATACTTATCATCTCAGCAGAGACAAGTGGGAAAGATCACATCTTCCTGGGCCTGCAGGGATGTTCTGTCTCTCAGAATCATGTCACTGCCTCACAGGCCTCCAGGAGCCACCAGAAATTTGAAGGAAGCTGTTTAAGCACAACAGGGGAGTGAATAAATGCAGGGTATATGTAAGCAGTAACTCATCTCTTCAGTTTTAATAGTAATGCATTCAGCACGTTTCCTTCGGTTTATATTTTGTTAGTCTTGTTTTTGCTCCCTGAGGTAGACTTAAACATTTCAGAAAAAAATTGTGTTAAAATATGAATGATACGAAAATTACCATTTTAGTAATTTTTAAGTATACTTTTCAATGACATTAAGTACATACACTTTTTTTTTTTTGAGACAGAGTCTCGCTCTGTCAGCCAGGCTGGAGTGCAGTGGCATGATCTTGGCTCACTGCAGCCTCTGCCTCCTGGGTTCAAGCGATTCTCCTGCCTAAGCCTCCTGAGTAGCTGGGATCACAGGCATGTGCTGCCATGCCCAACTAATTTTTTGTATTTTTAGTAGAGTCGGGGCTTCACTGTGTTAGCCAGGATGGTCTTGATCTCCTGCCCTTGTGATCCACCCCCCTCGGCCTCCCAAAGTGCTGGGATTACAGGTGTGAGCCACCACGCCTGGCCAAGTACATGCACATTTTTGTGACACCATCACCAACATCCATCTCCAGAGCTTTTTCATCTTCAGAAACTGAAACTCTATACCCATTAAATAGTAACTTCCCATTTTCCTCCCCTCAGTCCCTGGCAATCACCATTTTGCTTTCTGTTTCTGTAAATGTGACTATTTTTAGGTACCTTATATGAGGGGAATCACACAATATTTGTCCTTTTGTGATTTGCTTATTTTACTTATCATAATGTCTGCAAGGTTTAGCCACGTTGTAGCATGTGTAGGACTTTCATTTCATTTTAGTCTGAACGATGTTCTCTCATATGTATATAACACATTTTGTTTATCCATTCACCCATCCGAGGACACTTAGGTTGCTTCCACTTTTTGACTATGGTGAAGAATGCTGCTATGAACATGAGTATAGAAGTATCTGAGACTCTGCTTTCACTTTGGGGAGTTATATACCCAGTGGAATTGCCAAAAATAGATTCTTGAAAAGGGAAGATCCTGAGGGAAGTAGGTGATAAAATTTTTACTCCATCAGTAAATTAGAGAAAGGGCAGAAGTATATGATCCAGGACTCTGAACCTAGTGAGATGGATGGAGGCAGTCACACAGCCAGGGTAGGGAAGGAGAGAGGGGCAGGCTTGATCCAAAAGGAGGTCAAGCTATTGGCAGGTTGAGATTTAGGCCTTAAAACATTCCTTGGAGAGGCTGTAGCCAGCTTAGAAGGAGCTCTTGAAAGCTGAGCCAGGGTCAGCACATCCAGGGGCCATTTGAGTGGGTACTACCAGGTGCTCATTCAGAAGACTGACACCAGATCTCTCTCCTTCACTGCTGAGTGAGGTCCTGTCATGGACAGCTCTGCCCATAGCCCAGTGATTACCCAGCAGCAGGATGTCTGCCGGTTTTCCCTAAGCGAGAAAAAGCTGTGACCTCGAAGTGTTCTGAGTTGAAAGCTGTCTTGGAGTGGAAGGGATGGACACATTTCCTGCAGCTTCCTGGATTCAACTGGCCACTGGGAGTCAAATCAGACTCTGGAGTTTAACACATGGTTTCTAAGGAGTCCCCAAAGGGTGACTCTGCTGTGTGCAGCATTCCCAACTGTGAAAAGCATGTGGGTTGGAAGGCGGATGAGATGGGGGTAAGCATGGAAGTCATAGCAAAAGCTTAGGATGGTCACCCTTGGTGGACTGGACTAGTCTGACCTGGTGCTAGAACCTGTCCTCCCTGGGGCAGGCCCAGCTGGTGCCCCAAGGACTTGCATTTTGTTCCATGCAGCCTCTTGCATTAGGCAATGACCATAGCACCCTGGATAATGACCAGTCTTGGAAAGATTAGCATTCTACATACTTAGTTTTTGAAAAAAATTATGTAACTGGTGTTCTACTTTTTCCTAGAATCTTTGCCTCTCTAAGGACAAGTCTTTGCTCTTGTAAAGGGAGAAAGGGATCCAAAAAATATTGGTATGCAGTAATTTTTGATTAGCATCCCTAGCCAAGTGATAAAGATATATTACATGCTCCGAAATTCTACAATAGCCCACCCAAATCCCTGATTCATTGCCTGAAGGGGCCCTTTGCAACACAATAGCTTACACTTCAGGCCCAGATTTCAAGAGGACCCATTAATCAGTGATGTGAGGTGGTGAGCGAGAGGGTTTGGCCCCATGACAACTTGGAAAGTTTGCCATGATTTGGAAAGAACAGCAGCCCACATTCTGAATAGAGAAAGGGAAAAGGGGACAGAATTCTCTGCTGAACAATAATGAGAATAAGATGGAACTGCTTCAAAAAGATGTCCATCCAGCAGTAGACGAGTACACCTGTGCATATGGCAAATGTTGGGGACCAGGCTTGGTCATGGTCACGTCTGGGAACAGACTGACAGGGATCAGTGGGATGCTCACTTTAAGAGTATCTAGGTAGCTGTCATAAGAATGTGTTTTATTCAGAATAAAAAAAAAAATCACTGTGTTTGTAAAAACAAGGATGTTCTTGTTTAGTTGTCTAGGTTTCTGACATTTTGACTTGTGGCTCCTAGAGACTTGAGTGGCAGCGGAGATATTAATTTTTATGCATGTTGGGCATGAGATATAAACAAAGTGGATATTTCCTTTATGATTCACAAAGTAGTGGAAAGGATTCTGCTTTAAGAATCGGGCAATGGAGCTAACTCTGCTGCCCTGCTGCAACTCTGTTTGAAACTATGATGTATTATTTTACCCATCAGGCCCTCTGCTTCCTCACATCATTATGGGGTGGGAGTGGATGGAAGGTAGCTGGGTTAGATGTCTTTTATTCATGACCCGGAGGGCTTCAGAGATCTTGCCAGCCCTCTGGAATAGTTTATAATATGTTATGTCTTTGTGGATATAAATATTTTTTCTCAAAAGAAGGCTTATTGCTTTTATCACATTTTCTAAAGTGGTCTGTGGCTCCCCAAATGTTCAGAACTCTTGTACTAGATCGCTAAACATCTCCTCTAACTCTTACAGTCCTTGAATGTGCTCTTGTACATCTGTGACTCTAAGGTTAATCCGGTTTATTATGAGAGGTGACCGTGATGGTATCTTCCCTAAATCTGTTTTGTTTCATTGTAATGTGAGAAAAGTTTCAGGAATGTGAACTTTCCTAGTTCATTCTCATTTTCTGGACTCAGCTGACCTTTCTTGGGAAAAATAATAGAAAAGTAGGAAATGGGCATCTTTAGCTCCTTTAATCTCTGCAACTCCTGGTTGTGTCTGCTCATCCCACCTCGCAGGGTCTCACACAGCCCCATTGTGAAACCCAAGCAGATTTCTGCTCTCAGCTCTTTTCTCATTGATCCCTTTCTGCCTTCACCCCACCCTCACTGCAGTTTTCCACCCAGATAGATGCTCCTTGACTTACAGTGGAACTGCATCCTGATAAGTTAGTAGTAGATGTTCCTTTACCAGACACAGAGGGGATCCCGGAGGTATTAAAAGGTTGATCCACTGAAGGTTGAAAATGCATTTAATACACCTGACCCATCAAACATCAAAGCTTAGCCTAGTCCACTTTAAATGCACTCAGAACACAAATTTATGATTGGACAATAATCATCGAGCAACCCAGTACACTGCAGAGTATCGGTGTTTACTCTTGTGACTGGGAGCTGTGGCTCGCTGCCACTGCCCAGCATCATGAGAGAGCATTGTACTGCATGTAGCTAGCCAGAAAAAAGAGGAAAATTCAACACTCAACGATTTCTATGAACGCGTATTTCTTTTGCGTTGACATAAAGTCAAAAAATTGTTAAGTTGAAGCATTGTAAATCAGGGGCCATCTTAATGCCCATTCTACATCTATTCTTTAAACAACTGACTTTAATTGAAAAGCTACATGGGGAATGATCTTTGAGCAGGCGAATCTTTTAATACCTCCAGGATCCCCTCTGCGTCTGGTAAAGGAACATCTACTACTGACTTATTGACCTCTGCACGTGCAAAAGGAGGTGGAGATGGAGGGATGTGTTGTTTCTGAAGGGGAGAGTTCCTGGTGCAGATTTCTTACTGGCTAAACTTGCTGGAAACACCCACAGAAGTGGCACATCAGACCATTCTGCCCACAAGCATTTTAAAATAAAAATGAAATCAAATGGTCCTCTGTTCGACATACACAAAATTCACTGTTTCAAAAGCACTTTCAAGATGATTTTTGTTCCTTTAGATTTCTCATTCCAAGGATTTTGCCCCACCCAGCAGGGGAATTACTGAGTATTCTGAGAACTGTGTCTTCTGCCCTGAGAGTGACCTTCTCAGTGTAATGCCATGCCTCAGGGATGGTCACAGACAGAGCATGGGTCTTCCTAATGGAAGTGAGAGAGTATAAGTGGTAGGGGGAGGGTGGAGAGAGAGTTTTACCGATACTACTATCTCTGTTCATTAGCAATATTCACAGCTTCGCTTTCTTTGATTTGTGGGAAAACTCTTTTTGTGAAATGACACCTGAGACTCCAATTCTAAGGCACAGGGTGAAGTAAACTGATAGAGAAGTTGATAGGGCACTGCCGTTACAAGTTACCTTGTACCTGCTTTGCAAAACTTGCTGAAGTATGAGCTGGATGGTGCAATAGTGAGATCTTCCTGTGTTCTCTCACAGGCACCCTGATTTTGTTTTCAGAGGATAAAAATTCATTTTAAGCCATTTGAAATTCTGAAAACCATGGAATTTCTTTTTTCTTCTCCTTTCTAAAACAAAAGTTCTTCTCCATCTAAGATACATTAAATGTATAATTTTTTTAAAGGAATTACTTTGTGAAAACAAGTTCATGGATTCAATTTCAGACTTCTTATTCTTAATGTTTCCACACCTATCAACAGGAACACATGTGGCCCCACAATTCACCATTTATGCAGGCTGCATTTCAACGTAGGGGGCAGTTAACCTTTTCCCTTCCATTTGGTGATTCTCTTTACCAGCTTTCTTTATTTCCTGTAGAATATTTTAAAAAAGAAAATGTGGGAGACATTTCTATTCACATCACATGTTGTCAAAGCCCTCTTGTGGGATGTGGTTTAACTCTTTAACAGTGGCCCTGTGATAGCTAAAAATTTGATGTTCAGCAATTACTGCTCTTTGGGAACTCCAAGTACATCCAGCATTGCAGTTTTTTTAAACAATTGGCTCTTTTTTTCTGGGTCCATTTCTCATCTCACTTGGCTCCCCATAGAGTTATGAGACAGGCCCTCTGTTTCTACTGAAGTAGAACAACTGACATTTATGGCTCAGCTGGAAGTAGAGAGGTGGATTGACTGATTCAGGCTTTCATTTTTTTTTTTTTAACTGAAAATGTGATATGGGTTTGTTATGTTTGCTTAATCTTATTTCAGGCTCCCCTATAAAAATCCTGGTGGGAGAAAGAAAGCAGAGCATCAGCATATGTGTTGAACTTGGAATAAGAAATTTTAATCCTTGGAAAAATGGTATTGTGTAAATTCCAAGTTGTAACTCGTCCCAATATATTCAGACAGTGGCAGGAACATTTTATTTTTTGTTTTTATGCTCCATTCACACAATAGTGCATTAAAGTGGCCTTTTGAATGCTTATTTCCCTTAACTTTTCTTTAGGCCTATATTTATTTTATTTGACAGAAACCCTACTGCCTTATATGAAGTAAAGCAGATGTTTTGCATTTACAGATGGTGCACCTGACAGTCAGAGGTTGAGCAGGTTTGCTAGTGGCCAGCTGTTTGCTTGTGCCCTCAGCATCGGTATATATTTTGACTGCAGAGAGAAAATAAAAGGCTCTATTGATTGGGCACTTATGTGCTAAGCCCCGTGCTGCACAATTCAGGTTCGCTGGTGAATTTAGGACTTACAAGATCCTATGAGGCAGGTCTTCTTAACAGCCTACCACTTTATTGTTGAGGAAACTGTGGATCAGAGAAGAGAAATAGCTTTTCCAAGGTCACATTTGAAGTTAGGAAGCAAAGGGGGTGTCTAAGTACAAATCACTACTATGTTATATCACTTTTACTCAAATGTCAGATGGAGCCCCTCTTGCCACTTCAAAATAAGATTGCCTTGAAATCTACCCCCATCCAAAAATCTGAGGAAAAGTTCAATAGCATTGCGTGTGTTCATGGGATGTATCATCTTCAGGAGAGGTGGTTCAGCTGAGTGATGAAGAGCCTGGGGTCTGGAGCATGTTACTCAATCTCCCAAGCCTCGCCTCCCCCATCTAGAACATGGAGGTCAGAATAGCTTCTACGTCAGATGGTTGTCATGAGGATGAAACTGGTTCTTTCATGCCACAGATATTGTGCCTCAGGGCAGTCCTTAGCCCATGGCCATGCTTGGGAGTCAGCCCTGTTGAGTATTGTGGATGTCACTTCTAGACTGGCTCTCCTGCCTCTGCTTCAGGGTATGAATGGTCTCATCCTTGGTACCTGGGTCTCACCAGTGTCAACCCTGACAAAGAGCTTAGCCATTTTGATTTTCATAAAACTACCCCGATTTCTCCAGGCCCCACCCCCTCTGTGTGTATGTGTGTGTGTTTTAGGTGTTACCAAGGGTGTGAGGGAATCAGAGAAGAATGTTACATTTTCACATCTCAGTAAAGCACATGACCTCAGTTGAGAGTTAGATGTACTTTTTCTTAAAAGTCCACATTGTTCATGTCATATTTTTGATTGCCTTGTCTCCTGCTAACCCTTGTCCTCACATTCTCCTATCCTACCTTCTTAAGTTGTTTTCATAAAGAAACAGTTTTCTAAAGATAATTCTGGAGCTATCTGTTAAGGTAATTTCTTTTAAACTCTAACACTGACTTCAGGAAAGGGAAGCCTTTTTGTTGTTGTTGCTGGTTTTTTCCTTCTTTTCTTTTCCCCTCCTCTTCCCTTCCTTTCTTTTCTCCCTCCCTCCCTTCCTTCTTTCTTTCCATCTTCTAAAACGTAAGGAAAGTGCAAAAGTAACTGATTGGGTATTTTCTAATATCAAGAAAAATATGTGTCTTGAAATGTGATTTTATCCCTTTCTAGTGCTATTGAATTTTCAGAGATGTTTTTCCTTCTTCTGCTAATTACCTCTTGGAAGAGTGTATTTATCATACTCACCACCTAGCTCAACACAGACTGATGGTGGAGCCACTGCAGAACTGTTATCTGAGAGCAAGTTGCTCCCCTCAGCGGGACATCCTCAGTGTGCCCCCCACGCACGATTTCATCTCCCCACTGGCTCTGTGGTGCTAAAGCAGGATGGCTGGCGAGGGGCGGGATGCTCTTTCTAGATGGCCTCCCTCCCCTCAAGATAGGAGCCCACTGCCTTGGGGAAGAGAAGCAGGAAAAAAATGAATAGATGCCGGTGGCTTAAAGAGAGGAGGGAAGAGCCTGGACAAAGAAGAGAGGAAATGACTATAGCTGGACTGACCTAGCAGAAGTGTGGTTAATAGTGTGTGTGTGTGTGTGTGTGTGTGTGTGTGTGTGCGTGCACGGGCATGCGTACACACACACACACATAGTTATGTAACTATTTTTCTAATTGCATAATTAATACATGTAAAATAATTTGGTTAGGAAAACATGAAAAGAAACCCAAAAGAGATCAATAAAAATATTCATAATTTCACCCCCCAGAGAAAATCTCTGCTGAAATGTTGCAATATTTTTTTGCAGTTGTCTTTTGGTGACTATACACACACAAATATAACGTATATTTTAGATCAGAAATGAACATACATCTGCTCACTATCGGTAACACTATTTAGGACAAAGCAGAATAAATATGTCTTTTGCCTGACAAAGGGAGCTTGCTCCCTGCTCATCATGATGTTCTGGGAGCCTCTGCTTCTTTCGAGTGAGCTCACCATTTTGTAGAAGTCACTCAGCTCAGTCATGTGTATCTCATCGTTTGCTTCCCTACTCATCCTCCTGCATCCACTCTCTTCACCCTTTAGTTAATTCTAAATATCCTCAACTTTCTGTGCATCATCTGGCCTCATCTGGAGCTTCACAGATTGAAGTGCCTATTTGCAAAAGTTTTTACACATGGATGATCTGCAAGAGACACCTACTGTTTTTTCATAGGTGCCTGTGAAATGTATCATTTCAACATTCAAAAGTAAAGCAGGATAATATCCAGTTTGGAGGTACAATCTCTGAAGGCAGGCAGACGTAGGTTTGGGTTCCTTTTTTTAGCCACAGTTTTATCATCAGCAAAATGGTAAATTAAAAGTGAGAACTTTACTCTGAATTACTATAAAGATTCAATGAGATAACCTGGGACATGTGCTCAGTACAACATGTGGAGAGTACTCAATTTGTGAATATAATGGTTCAGCTGTAAGATCGTAGAACAAAGTAATGGGCAGTGTTTGTATGATATTTTCCCAAGGTGAACCAGACGAGATTGAACTTCCCTGCAAATAACTGACATTGAGGTGAGCTGAAGTAGTTGTAATGGTGCAATATGATAGTAGCAATAGCTACCTGAGTACTTCATATAACCCCAGCACTTCACGGCATTTCATTTAATTTTCACGGCAATCCTATGAAAAGGTTACCAGCATTTTGTCAGTTAGGATATTTGAACCAGTTAGGAAGCTGGTTTAAATGATGAGAAACCATGACAAGAAGTCCAGAATTAGATCAGTCTGCAGAGTTGGTTGATTCAGTAATCCAAAATGTCGAGTGAAGTCCTCATCCTTTCTCTCTGTTCTGCCATCTCCTCCACTGGCTTCACTCTAAGGCTAGAAGCAAGATGGCGGCAGCAGTTTCAGTCATCACAGCCAAACATAGCAAAGTCCAGAGTGAGACCATCTGTTCATGTGCCTCTCTCTTAGAAGTGAGAAATATTTCTCCAAATGTCTGCAGCAGATTTTTTCTCTCTGTTTTATTGTTTAGAATTTTGCCCATTTATGAACCAATCATTGGGAAAGCAAACGGAATTACTCTTAGATCAATCAGGTCTACTCCCTTCTGGAGTTAAGGGTGGGATAAGCCCCTGTGGGGCTCATGGCTATATGAAAAGGGGCAGATACCTGTCAAAACTGGAGTTTTGTTATGAAAGAAGAATGAAAGCAGTATTGGCACCCAACTTAAAGGATCTGCTCTATTTTTTAAATGAGGAAATGGCAGTCAAGAAACTTAAGTAGAGTGTCTGAAATCCTGTGGCCAACAAGGGACAGAGACAAAATTGTAATCCATGATTCATCTGACTCTAATGATTACATATATCTCTAAAACAGGTAAACCTATAGCTTGTCCTGTGTTTTTGAAAATATTCAAGCCTTGAGACTGCATTAAGCAAGATTATTTTAGGAGGTTGTAAAAGCTTATGGACCAACTGAAGCTAACACTTTGCAATGTAGGATGCTGAGAAGCCATGTGCAGCCAGCGTGATCTGGCATGGAGCCAGAAATGGAGTGGCGTCTCTGGAGAAGCCGTGGGGTGAAAAGGTGGATACTTCTACAGTGACAGGTCATACAAAGAACATGTGTGGTCTTGTCCCAGAGTCCAAGCTGTGGCAAGGATAGCGAGACAGGAAGTAGTGTCCCCATTACCCATCAGTGATGTTTCCAGTACCAGCTTCCAGGCTCCCTATTCTTCACAGATGTTTACTGAGCTGTTTAACAAGAGAGCCAATAGAGAGAAACAGTCTTCTCATCAATATGCTTGGTGAAAAGGAGAGTCAAATGTTAGCATGAGGTCCGAATTAGAACCAGAGTCCCCTGGCCGAGTGCTCTAACCACATTCCTGTCCCTCTCACAGCTCCATCAGCTGCCCCACTTTGTGTTCCCTGGGATTCCATCCTTGACCTTTCCTTGACTTTATGTGCCCTCCCCAACTATCTTCAAAGACAACCTGGATGCCAGTGACATTTAGTGACATGTTGCAGACTCCTGTCTTCTGCGTAAACTCTAGGGCTTGGTCCCACCTATCTTTGTGTGCCTTCATCTGATTACTTCATAGGCTTTTCAAACTCAGTATGTCCAAATACATCTGTATCTTTCACCACTCCCACCCAAAACACAAGAGAAATGTTTGTGTCTATTCCTTCTGGCTGTTGGTCCAAGAATAGAATCCTTGGGCTCATTTTGACTCTGAAGTCCTAACAGACATCTCAGTAGTTGACACTTCCTGGTCGTATTCAGCCGTCTCCATCTTTCCACCTGTTGACTCCATCCTAGTTCAGGCTTCATCCTTTCATACTTAGGCTATTTCAGTAGTCTTTGCCTTGTCATCCCTCCTTTGATCTTTCTGCCCCATCAAACCCATATTCCACACTGTCACTAAGGGTATCTTTCTGAAACATAGACATGGGCCCACTACTTCACTGAGTAAACTCTGGAAGTGTTCTCCAGTGTCTACAGGGTAAAGTTAATCCTCTTCAGAATATCATATAGGGCCATTCACAGTATTGTCCCACTTTATCCTTAGAGAATTTTCTTATCCTTTAAAGAACTCATACCTATCTTTTAAGACTCAGCACACATATTCCTCCAGATTTCCCAGGTAGAACTAATCATTCCTTTTCTGTGGTCCTCCATTGCTTTGTGCACACCCTGGTGCTCTGACACTGTGCTTGGGGCATTATATTGTAATGCCTCATTTTTAGGCTGTGCCCCTCTAAACAGTGAGGATCATGTTTCTCTTTATATTTGCATCTCCCATTTAGCTAGTGGTACTTGGAAGACAAGTGTTGTTGGAAAGGAAATAACTTCTTTCAGCTATGTGCGGTGAATGTTCATAGCGAAACACTAAACTAATCAATGCCTGTATTTCAGTTGTTCTTTTACTTATTTTTTAACCTTCACATTGTTCATGTAGGAAACACATAACCTTTGTAACAACTTTAATTTTTGGTAGTGATCCTCACCCTTAGACAAGAGGGTAGATGGAGGCACTCCTTCCTCCTTGTTTCTAGAACATTATGGCTCTATACTATTATAGATAGGTTTAAAATCTTAAAAGCTATCAGTTTTAAGTTCATATCATGTACCAGACTTTGTTCCTCATTGTTGTACATGTATTACCTCATTTATTTTAATTATTTCTATAACTCAATGACCATAGTACTACTCTTTCTGCAATTTACAAATGAGGAAATTAACGCACAGAGAGATTAAGTAACTTGACCAAGATCACACACTCAATAAGTGATGAAACAGGGATGTGAGTCCAGGCTGTCTTGTGCCAGAACCAATGATCTTGACCACTAATGGCCTCTGGAACCACTAATGACAGCCTTCTTTTTATCTTATAGCCACAGTTAATCATTTGTTTTCACAAAAGATGTGACACCTCAATTAAAATCATTAGTGGTCAGGAGCAAATGTGAATATGTTTGAATTTCTTGCTTTTGGCATCTTCTAGCTGGGACTCTGTTCTAATCAACACATTCTTCTACTGATACATGGAATCAAGGCATTTCATCTCACACTCACTTAAGTTAACAAATGATCACTTCTCACGGATGTGGGTAACAAGAGTTCTGAGTCATTAATTTGCTAAAATGTTTTCCCCATTGTGAACTTTAAATCTTTTCTCTTTTATCCTCATAATAACACACATATTTTTACCCCATGTACCCTAATAAATAACAGAGAATCTTGCTACAGACTAGAAATTCACTGACTCGGACCTTGAGGAGAAAAGTAAAGGGAATGCACTCCCAACCAACAACCATTAAAGGCAAAGGAGGAGAAGGGCTCTAATTATTCTGCTGGAACTGGAACCCATGGTTACAGGGTTCTGAGCATTTGAAACCCTCAGGCTGAAAAATCACTTAACTTTCTGCTATGTGTGTGTGTATTGTGGGGCTGGATTATGCGGAAGGAAAGGAATAAAATAAAATCCATTTCAAATTCAGAGTTCACCATCATTTTGCTTACACTCTGGAGAGAAGAAAAATGATCCTGTCACTTTAAATATAGCATAGACTGCCATATAGATCTTATTTTTCGTTCTTTCATATTTTCTTCCCTTTCCCTCCTACCATCCCTCCCTCTCTTTGCCTCCCTCTCCCTCTCTTTGTATGTCATTAGCTCACAGTTTTTCCTTGTTCTGCTATTGAAGTCACTTTGCTGTTTCTTTGCATTTGTTTTGGGATCATTCTGCATGTTTGTGTGCTCTCTCCTTATCTAGAAGGCCCACCCTTTGTATCTACTTGTTTCCTCTCCACACTACCCACTTAGGATACAATTTTGGGTATGAAAATATGTGCTAAGCAGCGGCTTGGGAACAAATTGCCTCTGCAGATAGCCAAAGCCCTGCACTCCTGGGCCAGTGGTTGAAGAATTCTCCTTTCATGGTGTACAGACTTTCTTGTTTTGTGGGTTTGCATTTTTGCCTCTAATCAAGTGTCTCTGTTTAAAATCAGTAAGACTACATGAGGGCTGATTCTGAGAATTAGAAGGCACAGGGATGGAAAAAGTCGTAAATGTGTAGGGCTGGGCAGCCCAAGGTCTGATTTGTTCAAATTAAGTGAGATAAACCCCATGGAATACTTAGAAGAGAGATCAGCATATTCAGGCACTGACCAATGTTTTCTTCCCTTCTTTTAATTGCTCCCTCAATTATTTTTCTCCATAAACACTTAATATCTGCTCAAGCTTTCCAGGGGGAAGAGTGCATTTTTGGGGGTAGGTGGGGGTGTAAGGATGGGATAGCTTACAAAATGCATAGATAGAAACTCATTCAAGCCCACTTGGTGATGTGATATTGTTTGTTAGATTCTACACTGACAAGTTTTCATTTTTACTCCATGTCATGGGTTGATTTTGGGATATTTAAGTCTCATTCTTTCTGTAATATTTAAATCTCAATTGTTCCACCTGGGGAGGTAGAAGGACAGAGAACATACAAAACATACACACAAAAAAAACCCCTCTGATGAACACAGGTAGAATGCCATGTAAAAACCAAGGCAGGGATATGGGTGATGCTTGTGTAAGCCAAGAAATGTCAAAGATTGAGAGCAAACCACCGGCAGCTGGGAGTGAGGCATGGAACAGATTTCTCCTCACAGCCTTCAGAAGGAACCAACTTTCTGACACCTTGATCTCAGGATCCTAGCCTCTAGAACAGGGAGACAATATATTTCTGTTGTTTAAGCCAAAAAATAAAAATAGAAAACAAAAATAATCCTCTCATGATTTACTGTTCTGTGGAGCTTGAAGGGGAAGAGACACCACGTGTTAGAATTCCCAGCCCAGTGGTCATGAGTTTCTCACATGCTGGGTTGCACAGGCCTTCCCTATATGGTCGAGGTCTGTTGAGAAATTCTGAGTGTTGGAGGCCTTTCCAGGGCCGCCCTCAGGAGAGAGAAATCCTGCTGCAGGGTAACTCCCTAAGATTAGAAAAATGTAGCTTCGCTGGCCAACTGAAGCAAGGAATGATTCATTTCCTGTCATTAACAGAGTGAGAAAGATGTCGTTCACAAAGTTCTTTAAGCTGGAAAAGCACATTATGTGAAATACTCAATTTCCTGATGGATGGCATCAACTCTCCTAACTTGCCTTTCAGCAGCAGCGTTGCTTCTGGACAGTTCCAGATTCTGGGGGCTGTTGGGTCACATGCTAACTGGCTCAGGTGCCTGATGTGCAATTAGTTGGGGGAGAAAGGACATTATGCTAACTCAACCCTGGGTTAAAATAATGACCTCGGCTATCCCCTGGATGATGTATCGATGTTTAATCCTCAAGTTGCTATATAACATTTCTAAATATTTAGCAACCAGATTGCAAGTTAAAACTTTCATGTTCAGGCTCTTCTGGTTAAAAATCAGCTAAAACAAAACAAAACAAACTAAAAAACGAAAGACCAAAAACTCAACCTCGCATTTAAAATTGTGCTGGTTATTATTTGTAGATAATCCCTTCTTGGTGGACTAATCTTTTCCCTCGAAAAACAAGTTTACATCACATAGTCTATTTAGCTTACTTGCTGATATTGCCAGATTATATAATCATAGGTTTGAATTGATAGAACACTCCTTTTTAAGGAGCTGAAAGAATTTAATCTTCTTTCCTATTTAGTTGCAGAATGCCCACAGGAGAAACAAGATGGCAACTAAATTTCCTTTTTTACAGGTGCCAAAAAGCCTATAGTTACAGAGAGGGTAAGTAATTTGCCTAGGATCACACAGCTAGAATTGGGATGTGGTATAAAAACCTAGGTGCTGTTTGCAGTTTAATGCTGCCAGCACTTGGCACTGATACCCCATCTTGAATGACTAATAATCTCTGTGTATGAAGTACCTGAAGAATATGGCCTAGGCTTTCTATCCCTGGGGCTTCCAAATGATACCTTACTTCATCACCACAAGAGTTTTATGATGTTGGCATTTTTATCCCCATTTCACAGGTGAGAAAATTGAGGCTCAGGGTTATATAGTGGGCAGAAGTAGAGATAGGGTTTGAACTCCAATCTACCTGACCACGTTATCCACTGCCTATGTAACATATATAAGAAAAGATATCTGGACATGAAACATACAACAAGCAGTGGTTCAATGACATCCAGGAGTCAGTGTTCTGGGAGAAACTGAAAAGTAAACATTTTAAATAAATGTTTATTTTCTGGCTCCTGGTTATAATAAAATTGTTAGTTTGTGTTTCCTTTTAGCCAGAGTTAATATTCTAAAAGGAAGTGAGAGTTGCAGCTAACAGAGTTTTTATATAAGAGGGAAAATAAAAAGAGCACAAAAAAGAAAGGATGGTACTTGAAGACAACTTCCATGTAGTGTGGTATTGGCCAGTCCTGAATGGCTTTGGAGAGATCTGATTTTGGGCAAGGACACTGGACAGAGAGGGAGAAGGGGTAGGGAAGGCATCACTGGCAAGATATAACTAGACTTCACGAGCCTCAGGGCCCTCCTCACCTCAGTCAGAAAGACAGCAATACCACCTAAATGCCAAAATCCCAGAGGGGAAACAGTTAAAACCCAAGACACTCAAGGAGAGAAGGGTTTTGGAAATGTCAACAGGAGAAAAAAAGATTTTCCTGACTCAGGCCCTCTTTGATGACCTAGGAAAACTGGCTTGGGAATCAAAGTAGGGTGAAGTATGGTCCTGGTATCAGCATCACTTGGGAGCTTCTTAGAAACCAAATGCTCAGGCCTTACCCCAGACCTACTGAATCAGGAATGTTGCGTGGGGCCCTGCTGTCCAGGTTTGAGTCAGCCCTGCAGGTTTTGGATGCACCTAATCTTTGAGAAACACCACTCTGGAACATACAGAGGTGAGCCCTGGGCAAAACGGTGAGAGAGAAGCTTGTCCCAGGTACACCTTTACATTTATTAATGTGATTATTTGATTCATAGCCATGTGCCCTTCTAGGCTGTAAGTCAGACTGTGTGGCACACAGGAAGATACATTACTCAGCTTCCTTTGCAGTCAGATTGGAGCCATGTGATTGGGTTCTGGCCAATGGAATGTCATGGAAGTGAGGTCATCCATGTCAAAGCCGGGGTCCTGGTTGGTATAGGGCCAGCCTGTATGAGGACTCTGAGAAATAAACTTACATGAGGTAACTGCGATCTGGGGGTTGTTTTTCACAGCAGCTTCATTTCCCTGATTAATACAGGTTATGAGCAAAAAATTGGGCAAGGTCTGATCCGTTTTTGCTTTTGATTATATTCAGGGTGATCGTTGAAATGTTAACCAATGCTGTGTCAGTGGGACCAGTCACTCTACACAGACACTGACCACAGGGCTTATAGGGTCCTGCAGGACCTCTGAATTGCCATAGTTAACCCTTTAGATCAGGGATTTGGGGGAGCTCCAGAGGTTCAGAGGGAGAGGGCATTGGCTGGGACAGTATAGAAGAACTTCAGTATTTTAACAACCCATACAGCCGTACTGGTGCATGCCAATTGTATCACTAATATTCAGTACAGTCGTGATACAAGTAGGCAGACAACAAATACTTTTTTGAATCAAAACCAGATAATTTGAACATAATGTAGTTGGGGTCCTACTGAGCATTGAAGATAACAATTGCAGACATCTGTTAGGAGTCTCCCCTGGAATAAATTGTCTACGGAATCTACAGGCATCCATGTGGGCTCCATTTTACCCACTTCCTTACTCTAAAAGATGGATGGAGACCTCCATTTAGAATGGAAGTCCTTGGCTTTGTTGGGTTTTTGAATCCCTTTGGTGTTTAATTTGAGCTCCTTTCCTAAACAAATGCACATATACCCATAAATATAAGGATGTGGATACTGTTTTAGGGGGTTCGTATGTCCTTTGGGCTCCATCTCCAGGAATGAAAAGTAAAACAAGGAGGAAAAAAATTCCTGGAAGTGGCTAAGTGTGAACCAGGACCTAGTTGCCTTTGAGCATAGAATATGTGTAAATTGCAAAACCAGGACTTAACAAGGTTTCTGCAACATCTATAACTTTCATGACATTTTATTTTCTCGGTTCCTGTCTTCTCATCTGTAGTGAATAGCAATATAAACTCTTAAAAAAAAACAGAAAAGAGTGTTGCATCTTTGTGTAGAAATGGGTATTAGCATTCATGTCATAATTTGTAAATTGAGTTTGACTTATATATCAAGGCAACGTATAAAAATGCTGCACGGGGTGCTCAGGCACTTCCTTCTCTGTCTCAGCTTCTTAGAGCTACAAGAGGTTCCTCATGCTTCCAGACCTTGTTTATTTTAACATCCACTATAGGGGACCCGTCTTCCTGTTTCCCAACTGGATATAAAAACTGTTGGATGGTGAATCCTGCAGATCTGACGGGAGGAATTTCTGGCTAGTGGGAGGTGGAATGATTCACTTACTGATGTTAGTGCAGTGAGACAAATCTCATTCATAAATGTTCTCTCACTTGCAGCAACTTTAGCTTTACTACGTTTTTATTACTGGATCATTCCAGAACCTGATGAGTCTTTGGCATGATCTAGAAGGATGTGAGGACACTTGCTATTCCACAATGCCCTATTTAAGGAATAGTGGGCACTCCAGGGACCAGAGCTAGATAGTCATCCTGAAACAGAGATCAGGGTTATGCTTGACAAAATGAAGCATCAGTTTTGTTTTTTTTTTTTTTTTTTTTTTTTTTTTTTTTTTTTTTTTTTTTAGGATGATGTAAGTCAAAAATCAACTCCCATTGAGGTTAAAAAAAGTACTGGCTGCGTAGCCCTGTTGCTGTCAAAGGAGCCCTCATTTTCTCAAGCCTGAGAATTGAGTATTTTAGGGAAAGAACTTTAGAGGCCTTCTGCAATTTGCAGATGAGCTTGAAGTCCTGGGAGATGAAAGAACTTGCTAAAGGCCAGTGTCTGTCCAGGAGATGACAATACTGCCGCTTGGCAAGGGCAGGTTTTTTGTGGAGAGGTGTAATAGGGAAAAGGTGAAGCATGGCCAAAGGAAGGGGTGTGGGTAAGTTTGGAATGGATTTGTGCTTAATCCTGGGAACCATAAAACATTACTCAAGATCTCTGAGAGTGAGGGAAAAAGTGCCAGGATTTGTCCATGAGATAAGTTGAGAGGGGAACAGAGAGGGCACATGTGGTGAATGTGTGGAAACAAATCACCTGGTTAGTAATTTTGCCTTGAGCCTACCATGAGTTTGGTGCTCAAACTCAGGGCAGTCCTCACCCACACACCCCAGAGGGGTCCCCTCCACACATGATGGGCTGGCCAGGGAGAGCGAGGCTGAGCCAGGGACAGGGGTGATCAGGGAAGGAGGACATGGTGCCAGGAATAAGAAAAGCAAAGTAGAGGCCAGGGGTGAGGGAATAAACAAAACTGGAACAAGGGAGGATGCCAAAGTTCCTAGAATCATGATCCGTCAGGAGCTGAGGAGCTTGTGGGATTTGGAGATCCTCACAGTGTAGCTCATCAAAGTCAGGGCACAAAGGCAGACCACCAGTCTCCGGAGAAAGAAAAGGTGCTGGGCCTGGGGCACGGGCATGGTGTTCTGTGCCCACTGACTCATTGCCTGCTGAGTCTCAGGGAGGTTTAGTTATTTACACTCAATTACACATCTTAACTCTGCAAATGTTGGCACTAGGATGTAGGCCTCTCTTCCATTGATTTTAGTTGCAATCAGATAGGAAAAGGAACAGATTAGTGCCTGACATAAAGTTAAGTCCTCAAAAATGTTTAGATGCGAGCACTTTGTTTGTAATGTTGGTAGCTCACTGCTATCCATTTCACATTAGCAAAGAAGTCGTTTCTCATGTTAACCTGGGAAGGTGGCACTGAGTAGAGATGGTGGGGATAGAGCTTACAAAGAGAGAATTTTGATGGGGCTCCCTGGAGGAGTGAGAGAGTACCACGCCTGAAAAATTGCTTGTTAGCTGGTGAAATAAATGTTCTTGGATTACTCAGTGCAGGAAGTGAGTTGCACAGTAGATAATGAGGGGGAATTTCCTCCCCAGCTATGGCCTAGTGAAAATGTAGACCAAGCCTCAGTAGTCAAGGTGGTTAAGGGGCAAAGTGAAGGGAGAAAGACGAAGAGGGGCGGGATGGATGCTCTCAGCTAGAAGCACAGTGGAACCTCGTCTCAAACAGGAGATAGCACATGGACTGGCATTAAAAGTCCTGCTTAGAGCCTCTATGTGAGGCCCCATGAAAAAGCTTATTGCCTATATGTGACATTTTAATGTGATTAAAATGAGCCTTGACAAAGTTGAGTCAGATGGGAGTCAGGGAGTGGGGATGGCCTGTGCACTCCAGCTTTTTGTGAAGTGAAGAGAATGTATATAAATTCTCTAAAAAGCCTCAGCAGACCAGTAACTGCAGATTTTGTATAGTTCTAATGAGACAGCATTTTAGTTTGGCAAACACATCAGTGCTATGTGTCCCCAAAGCCCAGTGGTATTTGACTGCTTAGTTTTTGAACTCCGAGAAGTGGTACAGCAATCTCCAGTGAGCACAGGAGATTTCAGATCACCAATAGGTTTATACAAGGAACATCTTAGCACATGGCTTAAGAAAACCTCACACTAATTATGTGCTGAAAAAGGTCATTGTGCGGAATTTCCTAAGAAGAATTCCAGTGTTTCCAACAGAGAGGCTTGCAGCCTGAGGCCATTGTGACATACTGCTGTAAAGCCAGTTTTTTGTGCAATTTCCATGGAAAAGTGGGGAAGAACTCTATAGCCATGAAGTCTATGTGAATTTGGAATGCTGCTTCTTCTAGCAGAAGCTCTTTGGTAATGAGATTCTAAGGGAGTGATGTATATGGAAAAAGTGGGCGGATTTTGAAGATTTAAAAATAACACATTCTTGGGGTTCATGTGACTCTACAACTCTGTTGTGTGGTTTCTTTGAAGTGCTGGGTCTTTGGACTGAAATTTAAATTCATCTCACTGTGGCCTTTGGAAACACAGCATTAAACCTCTGTCATGCACGTTAATGCTGGGGCAAAAGAGGACAGAAGATAATTGTATTCCTCAATATTCACACTATTTTTAGATTAGGGAGGGTGAGCACTCATTTTAGAGGGTGTATGTTTGTGTCACTTTTCTGAATCTTATACAGGATGCAGCAATCATGCGATGATCGCCAGGTTGCACAAGATCACTAAGGCCACGAGAGGCAGTGGATGATAACTTCAGTGGGTTTCGGGTATCTGGGGTATCGGCAGGCAGAAAACCTATACATGTCTCTAGGGCAAGGTCTAATTGTATGTGCATGTTAGTGAGAGGGTTAGTCTTATTTCAGTATATTTTGTCCTGTGGTTATGTAGGGCTGAAGTTACCTGTATAGACAGACTTATCTGGCAGGGCAATAGCTCTAGAAGGTTTGAGGTGAGCAGATTCTATGTCAGAGCAAAGACCCTTTTTAGAGGCAGTCACCAGTGAAGGTGTTTTCTAAAATAACATTAAGACTTCTCACTTACTGTGTTGACACCTACTAGGGTTTCTGTTACTACTATAATTGGACTTCTGAGACCAGGGTCCAAAGCCCTGAGTGCCCTGGGAACTGACTTCCAGCTTTGAACATGGCATTACTTCTCTTCAGCCAGCCATACCTCTTACCTTCCTCCTACTGTTGACAGAACAATTATTGATCACCCATTGGGTGTTTCTCATCATATTCTCTGGTTGCTTTATTCCTGGTAGTGCCTCAGCTTTTCTAGGATGGAAAGTGAAAGGCTTGTTCCTTGGTCCCATGGAGGGTTTTTCTATTTGCTGGTGCAGCCTGTAGAGTATAGAACGTAGCACAAAAACATAAGTGCTATTTGCCAAATAATTCTAGTTCTTCTCCCTCCTGCGTACTTGTGTGGGCTGCATATCTCAGCCCCCTTGTGGTTGGGAGGGGTCATCTAAATAGGTCTGGCCAATGAGTTGTGAGCAAAGCAACATATATCACCTCTGAGTTGGAATATGTCATTGTCAATGTGAGACCCTCCAGAGCTCTCCCTTACTTCTGGGAAATGCTTAAGATAGTGACCTGACTATTATAAACAGCCCTTCTGCTGACCCATGATAAGATATCTTCAATGCTTAAAGTCACTAAAATTTTGGGTTGTTATTGCAGCATAACCTGACTCTTCTAGACCAATTTAGACAGTTCCCTTTTATGAGATTCAGGATCTTCTTCCCTGTTGGGGAGTAGCCTGTTGTGATTTTAGAGGTTTCAGAAAGGCTATTCTACTTCAGAATATCACCACCTCTACATATCTCCTATACCAGCCCCTGAGGTTCCCACACCTACCTGAAGTTATGTGACTTAGGGCAATTCATTCTTTGTCTTTCTGAGCCTTTGCACTCCAGAATGAAAGATTGGAGGAGATGACCTCCAGGGCCACACACAGCTGGCTTTCTCTCAAAGGCAAATTGTTCTCCTAGGCACCTATTCTGGTAAGACTAACAGCCTGAGATGGGCTTTGCAGAGTTTATGGATCCTTCTTTAAGGACACAAATGTTTCTGCCCTTTGTTCATTCTAACATCAAGGTCTTTGCATGTTTTATTTCTTCTGCCTTAATTACTCAGGCTCAGGGATCTCAATTGTCATCTCCCCAAGAGATACCCAGTGTGACACAAGTTACTCACTTATATTACCCAGTTTCATTTTCACCAAGGCCCTTAATAGTGCTTGCAATAGTCATATCTGTAGATTATTTTATCGTGTAGAAAATAAACTGCACTAGAGCAAGGAGCTTGTCTTTTTCATTCATGGCTATATTTTCAGTACTTACAACTGAGCCTGGCACATGGTGGCCCTCAGTTGATACTGGTTGAATTAATGACTCCCATACTAGTTTATCCCATGCTAGGGGCTGGATAAAGTAAAGGGAACAACAGCCTGAACCGTGTGTGAGCAGGCCCAGATGTCACAATAAGCAAGCTGCCATCCATGTGCTTGCTCTTCTGGGCAGAGTCTGTACACAAGAACTGGTTTGTTGGGAGCCTAATAAAAACAAATAGAAGCATTTCCTCTGGTGAGTCCTACACCTGGAGAACCAAATTCATAGAAGGTATTCCTGTTAAGGTATAGTTTGGGTGTTTGACAGCAAAAAAAGGAACAGTCCTACAAGCCCGAAGAGACTGGGGGCCTATATTCAACATTCTGCTTTTTTTTTGAGAGGGAGTCTTGCTCTGTTGCCTAGGCTGGAGTGGAGTGGCACAATCTCGGCTCACTGCAAGTCTGCCTCCCAGGTTCACGCTATTATCCTGCCTCAGCCTCCCGAAGTAGCTGGGATTATAGGTGCCCACCACCACGCTCGGCTAATTTTTTGTATTTTTAGTAGAAATGGGGTTACATCATGTTAGCCAGGATGGTCTCGATCTCCTGACCTCATGATCTGCCCACCTCAGCCTCCTAAAGTGCTGGGATTACAGGCATGAGCCACCGCGCCTGGCCTATATTCAACATTCTTAAAGAAAAAGAAACTCCAACCAAGAATTTAATATCCAGTCAAACTAAACTTCATAAGTGAAAGAGAAATAAGATCCTCTTTCAGACAAGCAAATGCTAAGAGAGTTCATCAGTACCAGACATGCGTTATAAGAGGTCCTTAAGAGACTGTTAAATATGTAAACAGAAGACCATTACCAGCCACCACAAAACACACTTAAGTACATAGACCATTGACACTATAAAGCAACTACACAATCAAGTCTGCATAATAACCAGCTAACAACATGATGAGAGGATCAAATCCACACATATCAATATTAACCTTGAATGTAAGTGGGCTAAATGCCCAAATTAAAAGGCACAGAGTTGCAGGTTGGATAAAGAAGCAAGACTCAATGGTATGCTGTCTTCAAGAGATCCATCTCACGTGCAAAAACACCCATAGGCTCAAAGTAAAGGGATGGGGAAATACCTTCTAAGAGACTGAAAAATAAAGAAAAGCAGTGGTTGCTATTCTAATTTTAGACAAAACAGACTTTAAATAAAAAATGATCAAAAAAGACAAGGGCATTACATAATTTTAAAGAGTTCAATTCAACAAGAAGACTTAACTATCCTAAATACATATGCATCCAACACAGGAGCACTAAGATTCATATAACCATTCTTAGAGACCTATGTAGAGACTTGGGTAACCACACAATAGTAGTGGGAGACTTCAATACCCCATTGACAGTATTAGACAAATCATCAAGGTAGAAAAATAACAAAGATATTCAGGACCTAAACTCAATGCTTGACTAAATGGACCTAATAGACATGTACAGAACTCTCCACCCAAACCCAGTAGAATATACATTCTTCTCATGTGCACTTGGCACATACTGTAAAATCAACCACATAATAGGCCACAAAACAATTCTCAGCAAGTAAAAAAAAAAAAAAAAACAAAAACTGAAATCATACCAACCACATTCTCAGACTACAGTGCCTGTGGTCCTAATAAAAATAGAACTTACGAACACAAAGAAACAAACAACAGACATTGAGCTGTACTTCACCGGGGAGGGGAGGAGAGGGGAGAGGGGCAGAAAAGATAACTATTAGGTACTGGACTTAATACCTGAGTGATGAAATAATGTGCACAACAAACTCCCATGACATGTGTTTACCTATGTAACACACTTTCACATGCACCCCCAAACCTAAAATAAAAGTTAAAAAAATAAAGAAAAATTAATACTAAGAAAACCCTACAATTCCATGGAAATCAAACAACCAGTTCTTGAATGACTTCTGGGTAAATAGTGAAATTAAGGCAGAAATCGAGAAATTCTTTGAAATGAATAAGGACAAAGATACAACATATCAGAATCTCTGGGACACAGCTTAAACAGTGTAAAGAGGAAACCCTGTAATGCTAAACACCCACGTCAAAAAGCTAGAAAGATCTCTAACTAACAACTAACATCACACTTTGAAACACTAGAAGAAGAAGTGCAAACCAACCCCAAAGCTAGCAGAAGAAAAGAAATAACAAAAATCAGAGCTGAACTGAATAAAATTGAGATGTAAAAAAACCAGAGGAAATATCAACAAAACCAGAAGTTGGCTTTTTGAAAGATTAAATAAGATTGATAGATTGTTTTCTAGATTACTAAAGAAAAAAAGAGAGAAGATCCAAATAAACACAATCAGAAATGACCAAAGGGACATTACCACCCACCCCACAGAAATGCAAACACCACTCAGAGACTATAACGTACACCTTTATGTGCACAAACTAGAAAACATACAAGAAATGGATAAATTTCGGAAAACATACAACCTTCCAAGATTGAACCAGGAAGAAATAGAAAGTCTGAACAGACTAATTCTGCCAGATGCATAAAGAAAAGCTGGCACCATTCCTACTGAAAGTATTCCAAAAAATTGAGGAGGAGGGACTCATTCTCAGCTCATTCTATGGGATCAGCATCATCCTGATACTAAAGCCTGTGAAAACTTCAGGCCAATATTCTTGTTGAACATAGATGCAAATATCTTCAACAAAACACTAGCAAACCAAATCCAGCAGCATAATGAAAAAGCTAATTCATAATGATCAAGTAGGCTTTATTCCTGGGATGCAAGGTTGATTTAACATATGCAAAACAATAACGGTGATTTATCACATAAACAGAACTAAAACAAAAACCATGTGATGATCTCAATGGATGCGGAAAAGACTTTCAATAAAATTCAGGATTCCTTTATGTTAAAAATACTCAACAAGACCGGTGAGGTGGCTCACACCTGTAATCCCAGCACTTTGGGAGGCTCAGGTGGGTGGATCTTTTGAGGTAAGGAGTTTAAGACCAGCCTGGCCAACATGTGAAACCCATCTCTACTAAAAATACAAAAATTAGCCAGGTGTGGTGATGCATACCTGTAGTCCCAGCTACTCTATGTGGGAGGCTGAGGCAGGAGAATTGCTTGGACCCGGGAGGTGGAGGTTGCGGTGAGCCGAGATCGTGCCACTGCACTCTAGCCTGGGCGACAGAGTGAGACTTCATCTCAAATGAATGAATGAATGAATAAATAAATACAACCCTCAACAAACTAGAGATTGAAGGAACATATCTCAAAATAATAACAGCCATCTATGACAAACCCACAGCCAACATCATACCGAATGGGCAGACACTGGAAGCATTACCCTGAGCACAAGAACGACAGAAAGATGACCACTCTCACCACTCCTATTCAACATAGTAGTGGAAGTCCTAGCCAGAGCAATCAGGCAAAGAAAGAAATAAAAGGCATCTAAATAGGAAGAGAGGAAGTCAAACTGTCCCTGTTTGCAGACAATATGATTGTGTATCTAGAAAACCCATAGTCTTGGCCCAAAGGCTCATTCAACTGATAAACAACTTTAGCAAAGTTTCAGGACACAAAATTTACATACAAAAAATCACTAGGATTCCTATACATGAATGACAGCCAAGCTGAGAGTCAAATCAGGAATAGAATCCTATTCACAATTGCCACAAAAAGAATAAAATACCGAGGAATTCAGCTAACCAGGGAGGTGAATGATGTCAACAATGAAAATTACAAAATACTGCTGAAAGAAATCAGAGATGACACAAATGAAAAAAACATTCCATGTTCATGGATAGGAAGAATTGATATTGTTAAAATGGCAATACTGCTCAAAGCAATTTACAGACTCAATGGTATTCTTCTCAGAATTAGAAAAAAAATTCTAAAATTCACATGGAATCAAACAAGAGGCCAAATAGCCAAAGCAATCCTAAGGAAAAAGGTTAAAGCTGGAGGCATCATGTTACCTGACTTCAAACTATACTACAAGGCTATGGTAACTGCAACAGCATGGTACTGGTACAAAAACAGACACACAGACCAATGAAATAGAATAGCGAGCCCAGAAATAATGCTATACAACTATCTGATCTTTGATACAGTCAACAAAAACAAGCAATGGGGAAAGGACTCCCTATTCAATAAATGTTGCTGGGATAACTGGCTAGCCATATACAGAAGAATAAAACCTGACCTCTTCCTTGTGCCATATACAAAAGTCAAGTCAAGATGGATTAAAGACTTCAATGTGAACTTAAACTATAAAAACCCTTGAAGAAAACCTAGAAAATACCATTCTGGACATAGGCCCTGGCAAAGATTTCATAATGAAGATGCCAAAAGCAATTGCAACCAAAACGAAAATTGACAAATGGGACCTAATTAAAGAACTTCTCCACAGCAAAAGAAACTATCAACAGAGTAAGCAGACAATCTACAGAATTGGAGAAAATATTTGCAAACTGTGCATCTGACAAAGGTCTAATATCCAGAATCTATAAGGAATGTAAACAAATTTACAAGCAAAAACCAAACAACCCCAGTAAACAGTGGGTAAAGAACATGAACACTTTTCAAAAGAAGACATTCATGCAGCCAAGAAGCATATGAACCAATGCTCAATATCACTAATCATTAGAGAAATGCAAATCAAAACCACAATGAGATATCATCTCACATCAGTTAGATTGGTTATTATTAAAATGCAACAGATACTGGCAAGGCTGTGGAGAAAAGGGAATGCTTATACACTGCTAGTGGGAATACGAATTAGTTCAGCCACTATGGAAAGCAGTTTGGAGATTTCTGAAAGAACTTGAAGCAGGCCAACCATTTGACCCAGCAATCCCATTATTGGGTATATACCCCAAGGAATATAAATCATTCTGCTATAAAGACACATGCATGTGTAAGTTTGTTGCAGCACTATTCACAATAGCAAAACATGAAATTAACCTAAATGCCCATCAATGGTAGACTGGATAAAGGACATGTGGTACATATATGCCATGGAATACTATGCAGTCATAAAGAAGAACAAGATCTTGTTCTTTGCAGCAATACGGATGGAACTGGAGGCCAGTGTCCTAAGCAAACTAATGCAGGAATAGAAACAAAATACCACGTGTTCTTTCCTATAAGTGGGAGATAAACATTGAATACACACGGTCACAAAGAAGAAAACAATAGACATTGGGACCTACTTAAAGGTAGAGGATGGGAGGAGAGTGAGGATCAAAAAACTACGTATTGGGTACTATGCTTATTACCTGGGTGATGAAACAAATGTGTACACCAATCCCCTGTGGCACACAATTTATCTATATAACAAACCTGCCTATGTACCCCTAAAACTAATATAAAAGTTGAAAAAAAGAACATTAAAAAAACAGATTTTTAGAGTGTCTAGCTTCTTTAGAAAACATCTATTCATTGTCAAATGTCTGTCAGTCTGTTGGGTACTAATAATATAATCCTATAACTTACAAGGATGTCAGGCAAAAAGCTGGCTAAGCAACTAGGGAATCAGCTCAATTGACAGATGTGTTCATACTGCCTATAAGCCTCTGAAAAGTCAATGAATCCAATATGTGATTCAGAAATTAGAATTAATTTTTTTTAAAAATGTGGCTTTTATGCATAATGATTTTTCATTTTCTTCTTCTGGAACATGGAGGGAATGGACAACCTAATGACTCCGCCTTTCATATCCAAGCCATCTCTAGCTATGCTGGAGGACTTTTCACCAGCCAGAGAATTCAGTTTGCATGTGATGTGGCTGGGGAGCCTGTTGAGGCTGCTCTCAGCTTGGTGCAGAGGATTGGGTTTAGCCTACTCTCAGCACAAGGGCCAGTTATTCAGGCCTCACTGTTGGCAAAGCAGCAAATTGCTCTTTTGTGGGGCTTGGGGAAGTCACAATTGGTTGTCTGTTTCTTGATGGACACAATAAAGGGACAGAGCAGCTCCATCTCCCTGAGCCCAGTACAAGAATTCACACACTTTGCCTCCTGCCTCCAGCTCTCCCACTAAGGGGCTCTCCCTGCAGAGTCAGTCAGCCAACCCTCTGTGACTCAGCTCCTTCCTTTGCAAAGTGGGCATGGTCGGATTTATTCAGGAGCCGTGAGGCATGCTTAAAAATGCCTTCAAAATGCCAGCTCCTGCAGATTATTCTGTGATTTGTGAACTGGCAAAAAGGTTGGGGAATTTCCCTTTGTTGGGTGTAGGTCTTGGCTTTCTGTGCGGAAGTGGGGCTGGCTGGCATAGAATTCCTTTGATTTCTTCTACTTCCTCTTGGGACATGGGTCACACGGAAGGCGGCCCTATCCTTGGCTGTCAGAACCCCATAAGCCCAACCATATCCTAGGCCTCTCCTTGTCTCCTCTTGTTTCTCATACAAACTCACTTCTAACTCTCAAAGGATTTGAACAGATGGTTTACATAGAGGAAATGTAGTAAATGAAACATTATATGGAAGAAATACGTAGCCTTGAAAATAGAGGAAATGAAAATGAAAGCAACTTGAATTACCAATAATTGTAACTGATCCAACCCAATAGGCTAAAGGGACACATGCCCATTAATTGCTTTGTTAGAGGCTCTCTGTTGTTCTAGTCTTCTGAGCAGTCATCCGCCATGGTGTAATAAAAGTTACACACACACTTTGAGGAACATATTACAAAAATGAAAAAGAATGATTATTTAAAAATGCCCATAGCAATGAGGTGTACTGATTAATACATTAAAAAGGGGCCAGGCCTAGTGGCTCATGCCTATAATCCTAGCACTTTGGGGGGCCAAGGAAGGAGGATAGCTTGAACACAGGAGTTCAAGACCAGCCTGGGCAAGAGAGTGAGATCCCATCTCGACAAAAATTTAAAAAATTAGCCAGGCGTGGTGGTGCTTAACTGTAATCCTAGCTTGGAAGACTGAGGCAGGAGGATAGCTTGAGCCCAGAAAGTCAAGGCTGCAGTGAGCTATGGTTATACCACTGCACTCCAGCCTGGGCAACAGAGTGAGATTCTATCTGAAAACACAAAACAAAAAAAAACATATATTTAAAAAAAGGAACAATAACCCAATGAGCCATTGTCTCTGGTAGGAGGTTGTCACCTTCATAAGATATATCGAAACAGAAAAACAGATAAAATTACTGTTACATACAATTACTGAAATGTTAACATATAAGTTCAGGGAATTACATGATATATATGACATAATATTTATTGAAAAATATTTTGTGCACATTAATTATAACTGTGTGAAAAGGCATTTATGTGTTCTTATGACTATCCAAAATGCACTCAGAATGATATACAATGATATAAATTTGTTTCAATATTTACTTATTAAAAATATAGAATTTTAGAAAAAAAATTAATAATAACCAAACAGACAAAACAAGCCCAATTTTCCAGTGTGTCTCTCTCCTGGAAAGAGGCATGAATTTTTGCTCCTCCTTTCCCCAGCACATAGTACAGTGCCTGGCGCTTAGTAAATGCTCAGTGTACATTGGCCAAAAGTTGTCAAATAACAGCCAATTACTTTAGGACCAGGCTTTCTGCCAATGAATCTATGCAAGTGTGTTGACTAGCTCATATATAACCATTTCTATTGCTGTCTTCCCCACTTAATGGTTTTATTCAGACTAGATTCACATGTATTCAGAGGGAGCTTTTTTTTTTTTTTTTTTTTTGAGACAGAGTTTTGCTCTTGTTGCCCAGGCTGGACAACTCCAGCAACCTCCGCCTCCCAGGTTCAAGTGATTGTCCTGTCTCAGCCCCCCAAGTAGCTGGGATTACAGGCATGCACCACAACGCCCAGCTAATTTTTGTATTTTTAGTAGAGATAGGTTTCACCATGTTGGCCAGGCTGGTCTTGAACTCTTGACCTCAGGTGATCCACCTGCCTCAGCTTCCCAAAGTGCTGGGATTATAGGCGTGAGCCACCGTTATATATATATATGGTTTTGGTCTGAATGGTTTTGGTGAGAAATTAATTTTCCATTCAAATAGCTAAATTTAAGAAGTCCTCAGTAGGCCTTGTCCTGGCAAAACAGTAATGAGGGAAGAATGATATCTCCTTGTCATGATCCGTGTTGTGATGCACTATGGTGACACACAAGGAAATGGAGAGCCATGTAAGGAGTTTTAATTGTTCAGTTGAAACAGACTTCTGAATACTTATGATTCCCTCATCTTCATAGAATACTGAGGTTTTCCCTGAAAGAAGTATCACTGCTTTTTAAGACAGGAAATAAGGTGGCTCTTGAGATTAGAGTAGGGAGATGCTTTCTCCACTACTCTCAAAAATGACACCAATGTCATGGGGTTGGTGGGGAGGGGACATATGAACACAGTATGGTTAATGATTGAAGCTCCTCTGTCCTAGCTCTTCTGGCCCTGGGGTTGGGGTGTGGTATGTTCTTGGTGATAATGTGACTGTGTGTGTGTGTGTGTGTGTGTGTGGGTGTGTGTGTGTGTGTCTATGTATGTATGTCTGTGTACTGAAAGTATGGTGTAACTAACTGCAGTAGCATTGGGAGTCTAGGCTACAATGATACAGAATAAATAGAGTTACAATAGAAATTTTCTCCATTTACTGGAAATCTGGGGCTCTTCATTTTAATAACAGAGATGCAGTCTTAGCCTAGGTTCACTAGGAAACAGCCCGAGGCAAAAGCTAATGTGCTTTTCTGTACTTTATGGAGGGAGTACCATTCCAGGGAAGCAAGAATGAGGAAGAAAAAAAGATGCGAGACAGGGAAGGAGGGAGAGAAAATACAATGGGGTTCATGTTACTGCATGGACTACAGCTTCATACCATGCCCAGCTGACTACTCAGCCACTGGGATGTCTTTGTAGAGGCCACGTGAAGAGGCAGCTCAGAACCACCCATACCCCCTGCACTTCTGGGTTGTGTAACTGGTCACTCTGGGAAACAGCTGGGGAAGCCAAGGCCTCTGTGGGTCCAGCCAGCCAGTGCACGGTTTCTCCTTGTCAGTTGTGGATTGAGCGTCCACTGGTCAATATAGTGGCAATGGTGGCAGTAGCACCAGTGGCAGCAGAAGTCTCAGCTTTCTTCTATGGGAACACCTTGAGCCATTGCTAGGGCTTCTGTGGCCTAGGTATAAAAGACCTGTCTAAGGCTGAGGGGGAATAGGTGGGTCCAAGCAGCACACACTGAGTCTAGTGCAGGTGGGCATATGCTGATATGGCCACAGTTCCTCTAGCTCTTTATTCAGTACACAGAACTGAAGCAAGCTGTTAGAATGCCGGTGTCAGTGGAGGGAGGGACATGCCTAGTTCATTGCATGTTTCCCAGCAGTGGACAATGATTCTGAGAGGTGACAGCATGCTGGCAGCCCTCACTGGCTCTGGCCACCTCCTCGGCCTCGGCGCCTGCTCTGGCCACGCTTGAGGAGCCCTTCAGCCCGCTGCTGCACTATGGGAGCTCCTCTCTGGGCTCGCCGAGGCTGGAGCCTGCTCCCTCTGCTTGTAGGAAGGAGTGGAGTGAGAGGCGCTGGCGGGAACCCAGGCTGTGCACGGTGCTCGCAGGCCAGCGCAAGTTCCGGGTGGGCATGGGCTCCACAGCCCCCACACTTGGAGCTGCCAGCTGGTGCCACTGGCCCCAGCCAGTGAGGGGCTTAGCACCGGGCCAGCAGCTGTGGAGCATGCACTGGGTCCCCCAGCAGTGCCAGCCCCCTGGCGCTGCGCTCCAATTCTTGCCGGGCCTCAGCTGCCTCACTGTGGGACAGGGATCCAGACCTGCAGCCCTCCATGTCAAGGTTTGTAAACACACCAATCAGCACCCTGTGTCTAGCTCAAGGTTCGTAAATGCACCAATCAGTGTTCTGTGTCTAGCTAATCTAGTGGGGACTTGGAGAACCTTTATGTCTAGCTAAGGGATTGTAAATACACCAATCAGCACTCTGTGTCTAGCTCAAGGTTTGTAAATGCACCAATCAGCACTCTGTATCTAGCTAATCTGCTGAGGACTTGGAGAACGTTTATGTCTAGCTAAGGGATTGTAAATACACCAATCAGCATCCTGTGTCTAGCTCAAGGTTTGTAAATGCACCAATCAGTGCTCTGTGTCTAGTTAATGTAGTGAGGACTTGGAGAACTTTTGTGTCTAGCTCAAGGATTGTAAATGCACCAGTCAGCACCCTGTCAAAACAGACCAATCAGCTCTCTGTAAAACAGACCAATCAGCTCTCTGTAAAATGGACCAATCAGCAGGATGTGGGTGGGGCCAGATAAGGGAATAAAAGCAGACTTTCTGAGCCAGCAGTGGCAGCCTTGTGGGGTGTCCTTCCACACCAGCCAGTAGTGGCAACCTGCTGGGGTCTCCTTGCACACCGTGGGAGCTTTGTTCTTTCGCTCTTTGCAATAAATTTTGCTGCTGCTCACTCTTTGGGTCCGCACTGTCTTTCTGAGCTGTAACACTCACAGCAAACGTCTGCAGCTTCACTCCTGGGCCAGCGAGACCACAAACCCACCAAAAGGAAGAAACTCCAAACACGTCCGAACATCAGAAGGAACAAACTCCAGACACGCCGCCTTTAATTAAGAACTGTAACACTCACCGTAAGGGTCTGCGGCTTCATTGTTGAAGTCAGTGAGACCAAGAACCCACCAATTTTGGACACAATTCTGCTGAGCTGTTAGATCACTTATTTTCAACAACACCATGTAATGGCTCTGGATATGACAACAGTAGAAACTATGGCCCTATACATGGTGGATGCTAAGATTGATTTTGTGGTTTTCTCTGTGAGACATCATGAGGACTGATTCACTGCTGGGTCCACTGTGAAGTGTTGGACTTATCAGAGGAAGGGAAAGAAAGTTACTCATCCTTGATAAGGAAGCTTGGAATCATTTAATTAGAATAGTTAAAAAATATGACCTAATTTTTATATCTCAACTTAATAAAAAGGGACCTACCCATGGTCTATAATCATCCAAGCATCTTGATCACATTTTGAGGCATGAGTGAGTTACTTTGTTAGGGTAAAAAGTGAGAACGCAGAAGGTGGAAGAATAGAAGAGGACTTAGTATTTAAATGTTCCTTGGTAGTGATTTTAAGTTAGTACAGATGTAGTGGCACCAATGGCACTCTAATTATAACTTGGTAGGGCTCAGCACATGGATTGAGACATACACATTCCAAGAATTCAGCTTTTAGCAGCATGTGGAATACACCTTAGTCACTTAGTCAAGAGAATGGAATCCATACCCTTCCCCATATGTAATGTGTTAGTTTATATGTGCCATGCTATTTTGGAGAATAAATAATAATTGGCTGTGGGAAACCTGAATGATAAAAATATATTATGTGAATAGCAATTTCATTTTTTCAATAACCAATAAATACTTATTAAGTACTCAGTTGAGTTTTAAATGGTCTTTGGTTAGGCCCAAAATAGGTTTTTTTTTTATCTTCATGTTATGTATTTTCAAACATTGAGGTTAGAGTCGATCAATGAACTTTCCATTTAGAGGGTCTGGCATTTCTCCCATGAGTCCTGTCAGTTAAATAAAAGATATTAAGATTAAAAGTCCTATAATGTCAAACAATTTCTGTCTTGAGGACTTGGTTTGTCTTCTGGGTGTATGATGCCATCGGAATATCTCACTCCTATTCTTACTGGCCTCATCATCTTGGTGAATTTATAGCTGTGGCTACTTAAGAGAGTGATAGCATTAGGCCACACAATGAATTGTTGATTTAAAATGAGTATTGATTAGAACCCAATCAATGAATAATAAGAAAAAATATATATTTTTTTCTGTGTAGAAGGAGGTTAGTGTTATTTAGGAATGGAATAATAAGCCTCTGGGTTTTGTTTGATTTCTGTTTTTCTATGTCTGGACAAGACTGAGACTTGTATTCACAGTATCCTGTGGCATCAATCACATTCTGCTTTGTACTGAGGCTGTTTTGCAACAGTCACTGAGATGGTTTGGCTCTGTGTCCCCACCTAAATCTCATCTCAAGTTGTAATCTCCACGAATTTTAATCCCCATGTGTCAGGGCAGAGATCTTGTGGGAGGTGATTGGATCATGGGGACGGTTTCCCCCATGCTGTTCTCATGATAATGAGTGAGTTCTCATGAGAAATGATGGTTTTAAAAGTGTTTGGCGGGTCCCCCTTTGCTCTCTGTCTCTCCTGCCGCCATGTGAGATGTGCCATGCTTCCCCTTTGTTTTCTGCCATGATTGTAAGTTTCCTGAGGCCTCCTCAGCCACGTGGAACTGTGAGTAATTAAACCTCCTTTTAAAATAAATTACCCTGTCTCAGGTAGTATCTTCAGAGCAGTGTAAAAATGGACTAACACACTCACTTTTTTTTTTTTTTTTTGACGTAGAGTCTCACTCTGTTGCCCAGGCTAGAGGGCAGTGGTGGAATCCCAGCTCACTGCAACCTCTGCCTCCCAGGTTCAAGCAATTCTCCTGCTTTAGCCTTCTGAGTAGCTGGGACTACAGGCATGCACCACCACATCTGGCTAATTTTTGTATTTTTAGTAGAGATGGGGATTCACGATGTTAGCCAGGCTAGTCTTGAACTCCTGGCCTGAAGTGATCCGCACACCTCGGCCTCCCAGAGTGCTGGGATTACAGGAATAAGCCACTGTGCCTAGCCTACACTCGCTTTTTCACCTAGATTTTAATCTGCTTGAGGTCAGTGATGGTTTGTAGTATCCCTTACAGAGTCTTGAATTTAGTAATTCATGCTCTTGATTGCATAATAACTGAAATTTCTAGTAAATTATCCAAGGTTAGCTAAGGTTGCATTTTAATTTCCTCAGGACTCTGAAGCTTTGTAGAAGCATTCTGACACCTTGCCTTGAATCACATTTCAATAAATATTCTTATAAACTATTTCCAAGGAGGTGAACTTTTTTGAGTGTCATATGTAAGGAACCATATGAGAATAACATTAGCACCCCCAGTGACACTAAAGATATGTTCCAAGCATGCCTGATTACAAAGCCCATTGATTATGTCTGCAAATGTCCTGGATCTTTGAAGAAAGTATAACCACTTATATACTTGCTTCCTTTGAGCAGAGTCCTTTATTTGTTTGGAAAACACTGGTTCATGTGCTACTCTGAAAACAGGGTTAAGACTAGGGAATTGACAGGGAGGATTCAGAATTGCTTCTGGAAAGAAAGGCATTCAAATTCTCTTGGAATGAAGTTTTAGTTAAATCACAACTCTTTATTTGGTCCTGCATAGTCAGCACCCAGGTTTCTTTTGAAGTATAGTCCTAGGAGCTGTTAGTACCAGTGACCTTCTAAAGTCATGCCAAGGCTTAGCAGAGAGAGAGTGCTGGAGCTCAGACTAAAGACTATGAGAAGCTTGAACATATTCTGAGGAGCCGTCTTTGTCTGGTTCTGTTTTTTATGGTTGCTTTGAGCCATGAGCCCCCAGATGTTTAGCTGAGCCTTGAAGACAGTGGTGTTTGAATCAAGGACTCCATTGGTCACCCTCAGCCCAATGGACTCTTCAATGTAAACCAGGTGGAGGACTGTATTACCACTAACATACACAACATTTGCTTCTTTTTATACCTTTGGAGGTTACATCCTTCCTCCTCATTTCAAAATATTGGATTCAAAGGGCATGTGTCTGTTTTTATGTTTCTTTGGTGATGGGATAGAGATATGTGTGATCACACGTATTGCTTTTCTCCTTTGAATCCTGAACTTTCAAACCCTTTCTAAGGATATCACAATGAGTCCAGGCTGCCTAATACTTCTTCCCCAGACCCTCTCCAGGATTTTGAGCCAAGTGTCCTCAAGGGAACTGTGTACCCATCATGCCTGAATGGAGGAGAGAAAAATGTACCCTCTAGACATTGCAGTGGATGTCATGAATGCTCAGAACATTGATGCCTTTGCATCAATCTTGCTTAGTGCTAAAAGAGTGAAATTGGAATCTTCCTAACACAAATAAATGACAAATGCTTGTGGTGATAAATACCCCTATTGCCTTGATTTAATCATTACTCATCATATGCTTGCATCAAAATATCACATGTACCCCATAAATATGTACAGCTTTTATGTATCCATAATAATTAAAAATAAAAAATTTAAAAATCTTGTTTAGTGCTTTCATTAGGGGAATCTGCCCATGCGGGTGGTCTCCTAATGCATAGAGGTTCCTCGCCACCCCTCCCTGTCCAAGGCTAGATATGAATATGCATGAATTTGACTATAATTAGGTCACAGAAGAGTGATATGATGCTGTGAATCATATCATTACCAGGGGAAATGATATATGGTACTGCTTTTGACAGAAACAATGTTTCATCCACATTTGGAGCTTCTTGCTTTCATTTGCCAGGCGATTGTAAAGGAAGGTCTAGTATAAGGCAGAAATACCTACCTTCTCTTGAAAATAGGTCTCTCTCAGGGACAGACATTATCTGGCATGGGAGGACTTGCTTTCTTGTGCCAATGGTGATTAAACAACAGCAACTAGAAAATAGCCTTGGTACATAGTGCCTGTTGCCATGTCTCATTATTGTCAGAATGTCTTAAATTGCCCAGGGGTGTTTTTTCCTTGTTGTTATAGGTTTAATTATGGCAATGCCATCCTATGGGAGAGAACTAATTAACCTTTTGTCAAGAAACAAACTCTGGTATATTGCATATGACATTAATGGCTCAGAGTGTTTCAGGGCAACTTTTTAAAGCTACTTTTCTGTTTTGTTATTGTTGACACCTTCAAAAAAAAGGTGGTTTTTTTTTTTTTTTTTTTTTTTTAGCAAATACAGTTGTATGCAACCTTTTGAAGCTGATATGGGTATTATATTGCTGCTGATAATTTTTAGTAAAAAAAGATGAAAAATAAAGGTCAATTTAGTGAACTGCAAGAGTTCCTCACAGGAGTGTTTACCATCTGAAATAAATGGAAAGGAGATACTGAAGTGAGGAAAGAGAGGGGAAGGAAGATGACATTCTGCAGATGCCAACCAAACACAAGATACTTCATATCTCCACAACCCTGCAAAGTAGGATTTATTCTCTTCTTTGTATAGATGAGAAAATTCAAAGTTCTGAGAGGACGTAAAAGTAAACTACAGAGTCAGTGGTCACATACAATCGGCATGATTTCAAAGGCTGGGCTTTCCCATAAAAACAAGTGACAATTGAGTAGTGCTTAATACCTTATGAGGCACTCTTTTGCCTGTTAAGCCACTTACTGTTGACAGTTGTTGCATTTGTGGATTACCTGTAGCATATCTTTATCTGTTTATACACACGCGCACACACACACACACAAATTATGTAAAACATATCCACACACCTTAAAGATTCATAAACACTACTCAACTTAAGAAATAGAATAGTGCCAGTATCATAGACGTCCTGTGGGTGTCTCTCCCAGAAGGAACCACTACCCTGAATTTTATGTTAACTGCCCCCTTGATTTTCTCAATAGCTTTACCACCTAGTATATATCCATAAAAATATATCATTTATTTTTTCTATTTTTGAACTTAATATAAATAGAATCATACTGATTTCTGCATCTGTATTAATGTCTTACTTTTTTAAACTTTTTAAAATTATAAATATTTAAAGCATACACATGTGTATAAAGACTATGAAAACAAATACCCATGTACCCACCTTAATCAAATCTTCATAATTTGCTGTAATTGCTTCTGAGTTTTTTTAAAAAGAAATAGCACATTGTCAGGCCGGGCACAGAGGCTCATGCCTGTAATCCCAACACTTTGGGAGGCCAAGGCGGGCAGATCACTTGAGGTCAGAAGTTCAAGACCAGCCTGGCCAACATGGTGAAACCCCATCTCTACAAAAAAATACAAAAATTAGCTGGGCATGGTGGCACACACCTGTAGTCCCAGCTACTTGGGAGTTTGAGGCAGGAGAATGGCTTGAAGCTGGAAGGCGGAGGTTGCAGTGAGCCGAGATGAAAGACGTTAGCTTCATTCTGAATTCCATTTTATATCCTGTCTTGTTTTTTTTTCTGTCTTTCCTTAGTCCCATTTCTTGTATCATCTTATATTCTTACATATTCATGTCAGCTGTCTTAACTCCTTTCTGAAAAAATCGTAATAAATAAATAAAAATAATTTTCTCAATGACCCTGTAAGGTAAACGTAACCATTACTGTTACTTTATAAAGGGTGAAGAGGTTAGACAGCTCCTTCTAGGAAGAAACAACTTCCCAGCCTTGGAGAAAATGCCTGGTACTAATGTATTTCCCTTTCCAAGAGGAAATTATGCTGAAATAGCCTGGTCAGATTTCAGGACACTCATGGGGGCCACATTTTCCATTGCGAGAAGTCCCACTTGTGAATATGGCTCTCCCTGCTGCTTCCTCCATCTAAACAATGACTAGAATAAGAACTTGGCGGAGACCTGTTTTTTTCTTCCCCTTCTTGATGGCGAGGTAGCCAGGCTCTTCTCAAAAACACATTTTTGTATTTGGGAGTTCTCATCACATTTAACTTGGTGGCTGAAAGGAAAAGACCACACTGAGGTCTTAAGCTCATGTCAAGGACTCTTGTCCAATTTACTGGGAAACTCTGGTTTGCAGGTGATGTGCTTCTGGCAAATGGTAAAGTGGAGTCTTATTTCCCAGTTCTCATTGTCCTATGTGTGTGTGTGTGTATATATATATATATCCCATAGATCCATAGAGAGAGATATATATATATCCCATAGATATATATGTGTATATATATATCCCACATATATATATCCCATATATATCCCACATATATATATCCCATATATATATCTCATATATATATCCCATATATATATCCCATATATATATCCCATAGATATATCCCATAGATATATCCCATAGATATATCCCATAGATATATCCCATAGATATATATATGCCATAGATATATCCCATAGATATATATATCCCATACATATATCCCATAGATATATGTATATCCCATACATATATCCCATAGATATATGTATATCCCATACATATATCCCATAGATATATGTATATCCCATACATATATCCCATAGATATATGTATATCCCATACATATATCCCATAGATATATGTATATCCATACATATATCCCATAGATATATGTATATCCCATACATATATCCCATAGATATATGTATATCCCATACATATATCCCATAGATATATGTATATCCCATACATATATCCCATAGATATATGTATATCCCATACATATATCCCATAGATATATGTATATCCATATATATCCCATAGATATATATATCCCATATATATCCCATAGATATATATATCCCATAGATATATATATATCTATCCCATAGATATATATATATCCCATAGAGATATATATATATCCCATAGATATATATATATCCCATATATATCCCATATATATATCCCATATATATATCCCATAGATATATATATCCCATATATATATCCCATAGATATATATATATCCCATATATATATATATCCCATAGATATATATATATCCCATATATATATATATCCCATATATATATCCCATAGATATATATATCCCATAGATATATCCCATATATATATATCCCATATATATATCCCATATATATATCCCATAGATATATATATCCCATATATATATCCCATAGATATATATATCCCATATATATATCCCATAGATATATATATATCCCATATATATATCCCATAGATATATATATCCCATAGATATATATATCCCATAGATATATATATCCCATAGATATATATATATATATCCCATAGATATATATATCCCATAGATATATATATCCCATAGATATATATATCCCATATATATCCCATAGATATATATATCCCATATATATCCCATAGATATATATATCCCATATATATCCCATAGATATATATATATCCCATATATATATCCCATAGATATATATATATCCCATATATATCCCATAGATATATATATATGCCATATATATATCCCATAGATATATATATGCCATATATATATCCCATAGATATATATATATGCCATATATATATCCCATAGATATATATATGCCATATATATATCCCATAGATATATATATATGGCATATATATATCCCATAGATATATATATATGCCATATATATATCCCATAGATATATATATATGCCATATATATATCCCATAGATATATATATGCCATATATATATCCCATAGATATATATATGCCATATATATATCCCATAGATATATATATATCCCATATATATATCCCATAGATATATATATATCCCATATATATATCCCATAGATATATATATCCCATATATATATCCCATAGATATATATATCCCATATATATATCCCATAGATATATATATCCCATATATATATCCCATAGATATATATATCCCATAGATATATCCCATAGATATATATATCCCATAGATATATCCCATAGATATATATATCCCATAGATATATATATCCCATAGATATATATATCCCATAGATATATCCCATAGATATATATATCCCATAGATATATCCCATAGATATATATATCCCATAGATATATCCCATAGATATATATATCCCATAGATATATCCCATAGGTATATCCCATAGATATATATATATCCCATAGATATATCCCATAGATATATATATCCCATAGATATATCCCATAGATATATATATATCCCATAGATATATATATATCCCATAGATATATCCCATAGATATATATATATCCCATAGATATATCCCATAGATATATATATATATCCCATAGATATATATATCCCATAGATATATCCCATAGATATATATATATCCCATAGATATATCCCATAGATATATATATATCCCATATATATATCCCATATATATATCCCATATATATATCCCATAGATATATCTATATCCCATATATATATCCCATAGATTATATCCCATATATATATCCCATAGATATATATCCCACATATATATCCCATAGATATATATATATCCCATAGATATATATATCCCATAGATATATCCCATATATATCCCATAGATATATATATATCCCATAGATATATCCCATAGATATATATATATCCCATATATATATCCCATAGATATATATATATCCCATATATATATCCCATAGATATATATATATCCCATATATATCCCATAGATATATCCCATAGATATATATATCCATAGATATATCCCATAGATATATATATATATCCCATAGATATATCCCATAGATATATATATATCCCATAGATATATCCCATAGACATATATATATCCCATAGATATATCCCATAGATATATATATATCCCATAGATATATCCCATAGATATATATATCCCATAGATATATCCCATAGATATATATATCCCATAGATATATCCCATAGATATATATATATCCCATAGATATATATATCCCATAGATATATATATATCCCATAGATATATCCCATAGATATATATCCCATAGATATATCCCATAGATATATATATCCCATAGATATATCCCATAGATATATATATCCCATAGAGAGATATATATATATCCCATAGAGATATATATATATCCCATAGATATATCCCATATATATATCTATATCTATATCTATTCCATAGAAAACCACAAAGTTGGAGGCAGGTGGAGGGGTGCAGATGGTGGTGAGGATATAGGACAATGCTTACTGGGCCAAGACAGAATTTGGACTTTTTGGCATCCTGGCTGTATTGCCACTTTACTATCTCAGCCCGATTTCTTCCTTTTTTTTTTTTTTTAGGTGTATAAATGACAGTGACTCTGTGTTTTTTTCTTATGTTTTATTTTCTTTTTAATTGACAAATAACAATTGTGTATATTTATGGAGTATACTGTGATGTTATAGAGTATAGGGTGGATTTACAGATTTACGGATTACAGTGTGATTCCACATGTATACTTAGTGGAATGATCAATTAGGCTAATTCACATATCCATCACCTCAAATATTTAACATTTGTTTTTGGTGAGAACATATAAAATTCTCTTTTAGCAGCTTTGAAATCTACATCACCATTTACTATAGTCATTATTCTGTGCAACAGGTCACCAGAACTTATTCGTTTTGCCTACTGAAAGTTTGTACCCATTGACCATTGTCTCCCCTTTCTCCCTCTATCCCCTATCCCCCAGCTTCTGGGAACCACCATTTTTCTCTGTACTTCCCTGAGTTTGACTTTTCCTAGATTCTACAAATAAATGAGATTATATGGTATTTGTCTGTCTGTGCCTGGCTTATTTCACTTAGTATAATGTCTTCTAGGTTCATCCATGTTGTTGCAAATGGCAGAATTTCCTTCTCTTTAAAGGCTGAATAGTATTTCACTGTGTATATACACTATATTTAAAAACTCCATTCATCTGTTCATATGCACTTTCGTAGTTTACATGTCTTGGCTGTTGTGAATAAGGCTACAATGAATATGAGGGTGCAGACATCTCTTTGACATACTGATGTCAGTTCCTTTGGATATATACCCAGAAGTGGGATTGCTGTATTGTGTGGTAATTTTACTTTTAGTTTTTTTGAGAAACTTTCCCACTGTTTTTCAAAGAGGATGTATTAATTTATAATACCACTAGCAGTGTGAAAGTGTTCCTTTTTCTTCTCATCTTCTCCAACACTTATCTTTTATTTTTTTGATAATAGTCTAACAGGTTTGAGTTGTTATCTCATTGTTTTAATTTGCATTTCTCTGATGATTAAAGATGTTGAGCATTCTTTATATATCTGTTGGCCATTTGTATATCTTCTTTTGATTAACACCTATTCTGGTCCTTTGCACATCTTTTATAGGATTTTTTGTTTTCCTTTTATTGAGTAGTTTGAGGTCCTTGTTTATTTGGGGTATTAGTCCCTAATTCAATAGATGATTCACAAATATTTTCCCCCATTTGTGAGTTGTTTCTTCCTTCTGTCAATGGTTTCTTTTGTTGTGCTGTGTTGTTTCCATTTTTAGTTTGATCAAATCCAGTTTGTCTATTTTTGCTTTCATTGCCTGTGTTTTGGGGTCTTACCTAACAAATCACTGCCAAGACCAATGTTATGGAGCTTTCATCTATGTTTTCTTCTGGTAGTTCTACAGTTTCAAGTCTTACATTTAAGTTTTTAATCCATTTTAATTATTATATAAGAGGTAAGATAAAGGCCTATTTTCACTCTTCTGCCCATGGATATCCAGTTTTCTTGATACTATTAATTAAAGACTGTCCTTTCCCCACCGTGTGTTCTTGGTACATGTGTAAAAAACCAATTGATCATAAATGTGCAGGGCTATTTCTGGGCTCTCCATCCTAATCCATTGGTTAGTGTGTCTGTTTTTATGCCAGTGCCATGTTGTTTTGACTACAATAGCTTTGTAATATATTTTGAAATCTGGTAGTGTGATGCTTCCAGCTTGGTTCTTTTGCTTAAAATGGCTTTGGTTATTTGGGGCCTTTTGTGGTTGCATATAAATTTTATAAATGTTTTGATCTATTTTTGTGAATAATGTTATTGAAATTTTGATAGTGATTTCATTGAATTTGTAGCTTGCTTGGGTAGTATGGGCATTTTAGCAATATTAATTCTTCTAATCCATGAACCTGGGATATCTTTCCATTTATTTGTGTCTTCTTCAATTTCTTTTATACTTTTCAGTATACTGATCTTTAGCCTCCTTTGTTAAATTTACTTATAAGTATTTAATTTTTTGATGCTATTGTAAATGAGATTATTTTCTTAATTTCTTTTTCAGATAGTTTGTTGTTATGTAAAAATGCTACTGATTTTTATAAGTTGATTGTTTATCTTAACACTTTACTGAATTCCTTTATTCAGTAAAGGAATAAATTACTAAAAATACAATTTGGCTTTGTAATACATTCCTAAATATATTACAAAGCTATGGTAGTTCCACCTTTGCGTGTGTGTGTGTGTGTGTGTGTGTGTGTGTGTTTGTGAAGTCTTTAGAGTTTTCTAAGTATAAGAAGAGGCCATCAACAGAGACAATCACTTCTTTCTTTCCTATTTGAATGTCTTTCATTTCTTTTCTTTTGCCTAATTGCTCTGGCTGCTAGAACTTTCAGTACTATGCTGAATAGAAGGGGTGAAAATAGGCATCTTTGTCTTATCCCTGATCTTAGAGGCAACGCCTTCAACTTTTCACTATTGAGTATGATGTTAGCCGTGGGCTTGTCTTATGTGACCTTTATTGTGTTGAAGAATATTCCTTCTATACGTAATTTTTGAGAGTTCTTGATTATGAAAGAATGTTGAATTTTGTCAAATGCTGTTTTTTTTGGCATCTGTTGAGATGATCATATAGTTTTTGGCCTTCATTCTGTTAATATAGTGAATCACATTTATTGATTTGCATATGTTGAATCATCCTTGAATCCCAGGGGTAAATCCCACTTGATCATGGGAAGGATTATTTTGAATCTTTTTTAATCATTTTGAAGGATTGTGGAATACAGTTTTATAGTATTCTGTTGAGGATTTTTGCATCTATGTTCATCAGGGATATTGGCTTGTAGTTTTCTTGGAGTGTCTTTGTCCAGCTTTGTTAGCAAGGTAATACAGGCCTCATAAAATGAGTTTGGAAGTATCCTCTCCTCTTCAATTTTTTTGAAAGATTTAGAAAATGATTGATATTCATTCTTTAAATGATTGGTAGAATTTATCCATGAAGCCATCTGGTCCTGGGATTTTCTTTGATGGGAGATTTTAATTACTAATTTAATCTCCTTACTTGCTTTGATTTGTTCAGATTTTCTATTTCTTTGTAATTCAGTCTTGGTAGGTTTATGATTCTAGGAATTTATCCATTTCTTCCAGGTTGTCCAATTTGTTGGCATGTAGTTGTTCATAGTAGTCTCTTATGATCCTTTATATGTTTGTGTTATCAGTTATAATGTTTCCTCTTTCATTTCTGATTTTATTTATTTGAGTCTTCTGTCATTTTTCCTTAGTCCAGCTAAGGATTTGTCAATTTTATTCATCTTTTCAAAAAACCAACCCTTAGTTTCATTGATCTTTTCTGTTGTTTTTCTATCCTGTATTTCATTTATTTCTGCTCTGATCTTTGTTTTATCTGTTAATATTGGGCTTTCTATTAATATTGGGCTTAGCATGTCCTCCCCACCCCCAGGTTCCTTGAGGTATAAAGTTAGGTTGCTTATGTGGGATTTTTTTCTTTTTTGATATGTCTTTATTACTATAAACTTCCCTCTTGAAGCTGCTTTTGCTGCATCTCATAATTTTCCTTAATTCCTCTTGTTATTGATTTCTAGTTTTATACCATTGTGATCAGAAAAAAGTTTGATATCATTTTGATTTTCCTAAATTTGTTTAGACCTGTTTTGTGTCTTAACATTTTGTTTATCATGGAGAATGTTCCCAGTGCACTTGAAAAGAATATGCATTCCATTGTTGTTAAATGGAATGTTCTGTATATGTCTGTTAGGTCCATTTGGTCTAAAGTGTAGTTCAAGTCCAATGTTTCCTTACTGAATTTATTTTTTTTTTGAGACAGAGTCTCACTCTGTCACCTAGGCTGGAGTGCGGTGGTGCGATCTTGGCTCATTGCAACCTCCGCTTCCCAGGTTCAAGCGATTCTCCTGCTTCAGCCTCTTGGGTAACTGGCATTACAGGTGCACCACCATGTCCGGCTAATTTTGTATTTTTAGTAGAAATGGGGTTTCATCATGTTGGCCAGGCTGGTCTCAAACTCCTGACCTCATGTGATCCACCCACTTCAGCCCCACAAAGTGCTGGGATTACAAGCATGAGCTACCGTGCCCAGCCTCCTTATTGAATTTTGCCTAGATGATTCGCCTATTGTTGAAAGTGAGGTATTTAATCCCTTATAATTATTGTGCTGCAGTCTATGTCTCCCTTCAGATCTCTTCATGTTTGCTTCATATATTTAGTTACTCATCCCAATTTCCTTTTTTTTTTTGGCAGAGAAATAACTTGCTATAAGAGAAGTTTGCTGAGTTCAACACTTTCTCAAAGTGTAGTCTAGAATAAAATTGCTAAATGCCTGGAGAGAGGATAACCCTCCTCCCTTCTGCATTTCATAGCAAACACTGAAAACAATTTCCCTATTTTCTGCTAAGCTTCACATGGCTTCACAATCCCAGACTATATCCTTATTCTGTTAGCCATTACCTATTGATGAGAGATGGCATACATTAGAAACATAGTCACCAATTTGGATGAATTAACCAGGGCTCTTGTCTTATGAAATACTCAAGAAATTCTGGCTCCAGAGTGTAAAAGGTCGGGGGAAAGTATCAAAGACCTGTACTTTACCTTGCTAATCTGTGCTCCATCCGTACTACCAATCATCAATTGATTAATATATATACATACATATATATAAAAAACACATGTATGTATATCTCATTTTCTCTCTTACCTCCTTTATTATTCTTACTCAGTATGTGCCTAAAATTAAAGTATATATTTATTCACTTGATTGTGTCTTTCTTGTAATAATTAAAACTTTACTGGGCAGAGGTCTGCTTGTGTACTACTCTATCTTTAGCCTTTAGAACTGCAGTTGGCTCATTATATATGCTTTAAATATTTGTTGAATAAATGAATAAATATATGAATGAGTGTAAATGAGACTCATTACTTTTTAAATTTATTTTTAATGAATCCAGAAAGAAAAAAACCTCAGTTCCACTGAATGCCAATTAGGAAGCATTCATCCATGGGAGCTGCATCGGGAAAATCCACTCTGAGAATGGAGGCACCACTGAGAATATAGAAAAAAGAAATTTAGGGACAAAACAAGCCTCAGTCCTATTGCTTGAGCCCAAGACAGAGACTGGTTCAAAACCTGCCCTACATCTGTATTTTCTAGTAATTGATCTTAAAAAAAACCTCCTGTATTATCTAAGGTGCTTTGAGCTGGAATTTTTGTTAATTGCAACTGAGGTTATTATATATCTGTAGGGATGACGTCTGTGACAAGAAAGTTTGGATTCAGAGAGGAAAGAAGAAGGGCAAAGGAGGAGCTCAGAGTAGGGCCAGATAAATAGAAACTGCAGGTACTTCAAAATTTTGTCTACAGTAGGCTGGATCTATCTTGCCTCCTCCTCCCCAATGTTTTTTTGAAGGCAATATGAGCTATGATAGGAGACAATGCTGAGCTCAAATCCCTTATCTAGCACTGTCAGGAGTGTGACCTTATCTCAGACCTAAGCTTCTTTGTGTGTAAAAGGAGGATAATACCTGATTACAGGGGTTGGGGGAAATTAATAAAATAAGCACGTGTCATTTCTAGCACCTAGACTGTGCTCAGTGATGTAAATGTTCTCTTGCTTTGGTGATCTGACAAAGGAAAGTTGAACAATTATGTCCCAGATGGATGCTGAAAAATTTATTCAAAAGTAGTTAATCCTACGTAAATGGTGTTTCTAAATTGCTGCCTGTTTTTGAAGGACTAGAGTTTCATATAATTAATTAATGACTTTCAAAATAACTTGTCAACAGCAATAATCCCAATGAGAGGAGCAAAAACTTCTTTTGGAGGAGAAACTGGAAAATTTCCTGCATTTTATTTGGAACAGCTATGGTGCAATTCCTTTTACATGCCTTTGCTCCCCTAAAACATAGTGGGGCTGATTGAAGGATACATAAATTAATTAGGAAAGACCTCCTGTTGTTGCCTAGAGCAAATTTATAACTACAGAGGATACTTGAAGTCATGTGTTTTATTCACTATAATGTTCAACAAGTTTATGTGTATGAGCTCAACTTTTTTTTTTTTCTGGAACTTTGAGTGAATGGAACTTAGTATATGGCAAGATCTAGGTGCTGTGCTACTTTCCCATGATAAACTGAATGCTTTCCCTAAAGATAGTTGATCTATTGAGTTTAATGACAATTTCCAACATTTCCTTTTTAACATTAGATTCAGGTGATCGTGCATGTTGCAATTAATTTCATTTTTGGTCAGTTTTGTGGAATGCCTACTGTGTGCTTGATAGAAGGAGGTTTTACAGCTGAATGCTCTACCCCAGAGCACTATAGTCTCTGTGGTCTATTTTGGAATTTCTCCTTAAGTTTATTACAGGAGTTTTATTTATGTCATTTGTTTCGTATATTATGCTGTTCCAAGTTGTAAACATGCCACAAGTAATTTCCCTTTCTCTTCTTCTAAGCCTTATTTATGTTCTTTGGAATTCATACAGAAACATCTTGAAGTTCTGAGGAGCTGTTACTAATGTGCCCCTCTGGGATCAGACTGATTTTGACTGTGAGAATTGGCATCTTTGAGATCTCATTAAAAAGAGCCCCACATCAGAACTCCAGACCTGGGAAATGCCATCCCATTGTTCCATCGAATGAATGCGGGCCAGACCGAGACAGAATGATAGACGTACTATAATTCTTTGAGGCTGTGGATGAACTTTTTTTTTTTTTAATACATTTTTATTTTGGAATAGTGCTAGATTCACAGAAAAGTTTCAAAGAAAATACAGGGTGTTCCCAAATATTCTTCACCCAGTTTTTCCCATTGTTAATATCTTTCCTTACCATGATACATTTGTCAAATCTAACAAACCAATATTGTTGTAGTGCTATTATTAACTAAACTCAATATTTTTTTTGTTTTTCACAAATTTCCACATTAATGTCCCTTTTCTGTGCCATGATTGAATCCAGGGTGTCATGTTGCATTTCATTTTCATGTCTCCATAATCTCTGGTGTGTGACAGTTTCTCACAGTTTCTTGACAGTCTTGAAGAGGGCTGGTCAGGTATTTTGTAGATATTCTGCATTTTGGATTTGTTTTATGTTTTTCTCATAGTTAGACTGGAGTTACGAGTGAGAGAAGTTCCTAACCAATAATCTGTCAAGTGAAAGGTTATCGGGGAACATGTTATTGACATGATTTATCACCGATAGGTTAACCTTGATCATTGGGCTAAGGTAGTGTTTTCGAGATTTCTCCACTGTGAAGTTATTATTTTTCCCTTTCATAGTCTATTCTTTGGAGGCAAATCCCTGAGTCCAGCTCACGTTCAAGGTGGGAAGGGTTTTAAGCTCCACTTCCTGGATGGAGTATTATCTATGTGTAGTAGATGGAATTCTTCTGTAAGAAAGAATTGTCCCTTCTCTTCCAATTTTTTTTTTTTTTTGAGATACTGATGGGATGGATGTCTTCAAAATCACTAAGAGGCCTAGTGCTATTTTTGTAAGAGATGTATAAACATTGATTTTCCCACCTGTTTCTTTGAGAGCATCAGGAGACTTGAGAAAATTCCTGGGGCAAATATTTCTGCTTCACGCAGACAAAAGCAGGCTTGCCCTGGGCCCATGCTTCAGCAACCCTTCAGCATTTTTTTTTTTGAGATGGAGTCTTGCTCTGTCGCCAGGTTGGAGTGCAGTGGTGCGATATCGGCTCACTGAAACCTCCGTGTCCCGGGTTCAAGCGATTCTCCTGCCTCAGCCTTCTGAGTAGCTGGGACTACAGGTGTGCGCCACCACGCCTGGCTAATTTTTGTATTTTTGGTAGAGATGGGGTTTCACCATGTTGGCCAGGATTGTCTCGATCTCTTGATCTCGTGATCCACCCACCTCAGCCTCCCAAAGTGCTGGGATTACAGGCGTGAGCCACTGTGCCCAGCCCCTCTCAGCTTCTATCTGGGCCTGCTTTTCCCTAAGTGCTCACCAGGAGCCTGCAGCCCCCTTTGAAGACCATGCCCCAGGTACCCAGGACTTTGGAATTGTCTTAGCCCGAATGGTTCTGAGCCTACTTCCAGAATCTCCATGGTCTTCTTCTGTGGGCCTTTTTCTTCAGAAGGAAGACTGGGCCACTGATGTACATACTCCTTGGCCTGAGGGGTAGTCAGATGGCTGCTGTGGATGGAGTCTGGATATGCAGTCTGGGATATGTGGAGGAGGAAAAGTCCTCTCCTCATCAACATGCCACATTATTCAGGAAGATGATATCAATATGATTTATCATGGATGAGGTTAACCTTGATCATTTGATCAAGGTAGTTTTTCAAATGAAAAGCAAACATCAGAAAATTGACCAGTGCCTCTTTCAAAAGCTTTTTCACTGGGATTCTTACTGCTCAGAAGTTGTTTTGAAAGTGATTAATCAATTACATGAAACTCTAGGCCTTCCAAAATTCTGAAGCAGTTTAGAAACAACATTTATATAGGATAGAGGTGAGAATAGAGCTGAGTTTGGGGGAAAAAAAAGGACAGTGGTTGGGTCAGAGGCTGGCATTGGCTCTCCTCTAGATGCCATGTTCTGAGGCCACATTCTGGTGCAAATTCTAGTAATTTGGAATTTGGACATCCAGGTAATTTGAAAGAATATATTTGTTAAGGTAGGAGAAAAGAGCACATTGTATTTAGTAGTTTGTTTGCTTGATTTATAATTTAGACATATGGTGTATGAGCTGACAATTTGAGGCAGGCCTGTTTCTGTGAGCAAAGTTAAATGAAGAAAATGTCAGGGCTGTTGACCATAATCTGTCCCCCAACTCCAGCCCTGTGGAATGTAATGCCCTCAAGACAACAGCTGTCACTGGGCCTCTGTGGACTTCCCTTGTGGCACACAATTTTCTTCACATTCCTTGAGAGGACTGAGTGGAGGGCTTTGCCACTGACACAATAGAGGGCTTGCCTTTGTATTTGTCTACTGAGAATTTCCTTTATTCACCTAGAATCCCATGCTCACTCTTCTCTACCTACCCAACCCTCCACTATCTGGAATTCTACTTCTTCCATGAAGTTTTCCTTAATTCCACAAATCCCCTTCGCAGAAATGTGATAAAGTCACTTAGTTGCAGTTGTGGGTTTCCACAGATGGCTGCCTCTTTCCTCTAGGCATTTTGAATGCAGTGCTGGTAGGAGGTCACAAGGGAAATAGTGGCTCCAAGATCAGAGGGCTCTGTGGCCCCAACCTCTACGTCCTCCTCAGCCACACTCAGCATGGCTGTATACTCAAGGGGATGAATATAAATGTGCTATTTTAAAATCTATTTAAATAAGATGTATATTAGAGCAAGGCTGAGATAAATGCTTAAGAATAGGTACAAATTGATGATTATTCACTAGTCACTATTGATACACTAATCATGATTTTCTCCTAGATTTATTAAAATGTTTTTTGTAAGTCATCTGCAATTAATTACTTGAGTCAAAAATCTCTTTTGGAGGAAGATGTGGAACTCTAGGATTTCAAGTAACTCTAGGAGGTGCCAAAACCCTGTGGTCATATCCTAATCAAAATGACTTATAGGCTCTTGAGGATCATTTTTCTTTTCCAGCCATGCATGGGATTTCAGCTGTCCTCTTTCTCTTCATCTTTTTTTCTCTCTCTTTTTTTCTATAAGTATATGGGAACTCTTTTTGTTTTTAGGGCTGAACAAAAATACACAGAGAATAATGTCCAGGTTGGAAGGAACTCTTCCTTTTCTTGTTCCTCCCAACACTGACTTTCTTTAGTAAAGTACTAAAGGTATGTTGTTTTTACTACTTGTTTTCACAGCTTAGTTTCTCTAAAGATAATATGTTCCACTTTTTTCTTTTTTAAAAAGCTTTATTAAGCTATAATTGATAAAGAAATAATTATAGATATTTAATATGTACAATTTAGTGACTCTGAACATGCAAAAACGCTCATGATACTATCACCACAATCAAGGTAAGACATATTCAATATCTCCCTCTATTGGGACACCAAAAACAGAGGTCCCTCCCTCCCTCCTTCCCTTTCTCTTCCTCCCTCCCTCTGTCTTCCTCCCTTCCTCTCTCTCTCCTTTCTTTCTCCCCTTTCTTTTCTTTCTTCCCTTTCTCTCTTTCTTTTCTTTCTTTCTCTTTTCCTTCCTTCTTTTTTCTTTCTTCCTCCGTTCTTTCCTTTTCTTTCTTTCTCCCCTTTACTCTCTCTTTTCCTTCTTTCCTTTTTTCTCCCTCCCTCCCTTTCTCTTTCTTTTCTTTTTTCTTTTTCCTTCCTTCCTTTCTCCCTTTCCCTTTCCCTTCCTTCTTTCCTTCTTTTTTCTTTCTTCCTCCTTTCTTTCCTTTTCTGTCTCTCTCCCCTTTACTCTCTTTTCCTTCTTTCCTTTTTTCTCCCTCCTTCCCTCTCTCTCTCTTTTTTTCTTTTTCCTGCCTTCCTTTCTTCCTTTCCCTTTCCCTTTTCCTTTTCCTTTTGCTTTTCCTTTTCTCCTTCCCTCCTTCTCTCCTTTCTTCCTTCTTTCCTTCCTTCCTTCCTTCCTTTTTTCCTTCCTTCCTTCCTCTCTTTCTGTAGAAGGACTTAATATGAGACCTACCCTGTTAACAAGTTTTGAAGTGCACAATATTATATGGTTAATTATAGGCAGTAGATTTTACAGAAGATTTCTAGAACTTACCCATATAGCACAACTGAAACTTTAAACCCGTTGAACAATGAGTTTTTCAATATATTCCTCTTCTGTGCTTACTAATCTTTGTTTTTGAAAATAAGGTCACTGTGACTATAGGAGTACATACCTAAAAGGTAGCAAAATGTATCAAGGTTTTAAAATAGAGATATAAAATGTATTCATTGTAAAACTCCCATTACATATGTTTTCAATTTCACATCGTTTAACATTTAATTATACTCTATCTTTCACTGTCCTTCACTTGTTTTATTCATTCCTGTATCAAATATATATTAAGCACCTATTATTCTAGGTCCTAAGGATATAGCAGTGAACATACAGACAAAAATTATCAGTGTTATGAAGAAAAATAAAATAAGAAACAAGGATAAGAAGTGCTGAAGTGATAGTGGAAAGTTGTAGTTTAAACAAGATGATCATGGAAGGTCTTACAGAAAGGGGATACTTAAGCAAAGGTTGATGGAGATAAGGGTTCAAGGCATTTGGATCTGGGAGAAAAGGCATTGGAAGTAGCAAGTGCAAAGTCCCTGAGGGAGCAGGCCTGGTGTGTTTGAATAGGGAGGAAGCTAGGGGAGAGCAGGGTGAGTAAAGAAGGACAGAGAAGAACAGTCTGGGCAGCAAGTGGGACCACCTGCGTAAGGTCTTGTAGGCTATATAGCACCATCCCTGGTCCTACACACAAGAGGCCAGTAGTACTTCCTCACCAGCTATAGAAACCAGAACTGTCCCCTATGGGGCAAAAGCACTGCCATTAGAAAAATGCTGCCTCAAGACAACATGTGGCAACTATGACTGTGGTCCCTTCCAGGTCTAAAATGCAATTATTTTGAACCTACTCTATATGCGATCCTTCACTCATGTATATACACAATCTTTTAAATTCCATCTAATACCAGACTCACTAAACTTAGGATCGCTTGCATTTTTCTTTCTTTCTTCTATTTTTTTCTCCCCCTTCTTTTTTATCTGTGAGTCATAGAACGATGACACTTGTGGGAAATAAGTATAAGAATTGAGGCAAAGTTACACATTTTGTGAGAAAAAGAAAAATCAGAAGTTTTAATTTAAAAACACCATAAAGAATCAATGCTATCCATTTTAAAGCTCTAACAAAGATACAAAAGCCAGGATCTGCAATATCTTCTGTTCCTACCAAATAGTCTTTTGATTCAAACTCTCCCTTAGGCACCAACATTCAACCTTAAGCATCAGGTTGAATAAAAACCCATCTGGATTTAATATTTCATGGTCATAGTTAATTAGTAACATTATAAGAATATGGCTTCCCACTCCGAGGGTCTACCTTGGGAACAGAGCTACCATTGAAGGAATAATATTGGGAAAATACACACTTGAAGTTCCAATAAATGGCTTTGAAATGAACTTTTGAAAAATGATTTATAAGCATATGATAGCATCTGCTTTTTATGATTGACTTATAGCATAGACTTAGTGCACGGTTCTGTGGAACTGAGTGTGTCCCAGTGTGGCTTTAAAACAATTTTGTTTCTGGCTTATGAAATAGAGAATTGACATGAACAGTGCTAAGAATGGTTCCTGACACCACTCGGTGACATCCATCACCTTCTCCAGTAAGTGCTTCTTTGCTAGGTATTGTGAAGAGTTAAACAAGCAGCCATGGTCCCTAAGTATGTTCTGTCTATAGAGCAGGCAAGAAAAATAGAAAAATGTACAGAAAATGCAAATATACATAAAGCCATCTATGTTCCATCATCCTGGGAGCTAAATAACTGTGGCTGGTGGGAATAAAATAAATAACAGGGGCCAAATGGGGTCAGTCAATAAACACCCAGAATAAATTGCTAATCAGAAGCGGAGCTAGCACAGGCTGATACATAACAAGGTTACTTTATCTGAAGAAAGAACCTGCTTTTCCTCATGTTGGTAATTATATCAATACAGAGAAAGAGACAATTTGGCATTCACTGGGTTACTGCCAGATGATGTTCTAAACTGATGACATGTTCTCAGGCTTCCTCTCCTCCAGTCACCTGGCTCAAGTATAAGTGGCAGCTAATTCCAGTTTGCATTACCTGAGTAGCTTGATAATCGCCTTTGTGCCTAGTGTGTGTTTGTCCTGAAAACTTGGGCTCAAGTCCATGCAGAGCAGTGCTTTCAGACTTCACCATGTATGCTAATTATGTGGGGATCTGGTTAAAATGCAAATTCTAATTCAATAGGTCTGGGTAGAGGCTTGAGCTTCTGAGTCTCTAATAAGCTCCAAGGTGAAGCCAATGCTGCTGATTCATGGAACACAATTTCTTTTTGAAGCAGCCACACTGAGCATGAGCCCCAAGCAGTTGGTGCACGGGGGTGCACCGCCTGTGTAACTTAAAGAGCTGACAGGTGACACCCCCACCACATTTGATCAGAAGAATATTGGGCTGAAGAGTCCATCAAGGGGAGGGAGAGAGAATTTGAAAGCAGTGGCAATAGAAGTAAGAAGTGTGGATTTAGGGTGATGTCAACAAGACAGCTGACTGGAAGTGCCTAATGCTCATGCCCCCTAACAAAAAAAGAACCAAAACAACAAACATACAACTACATCTTAACTGGAGTGACTAAAAGAGAGTGCTGGAGTACAGCAAGAGAGTGGTGGAAACCCTGGGAAGCATAGAAACTCAGGGTAGCCACATAGAGAAGGGAAGAAAATGCCTTGCCTCTGGCACCCTATCCCCCAGTCTGGAGCAGCTCAGAAACAGAAGGGGCTTCTCTCTGCTGGCAGATAAGCAGGAGGCCCCTGGAGGCCTCTGTCACTGCTGTGTATACCTGCAGTCTTGGATACTGGAGGATCCTGAAATTCTTAAAGGCCCTGAGCCCAGCTTTGGGAGATGCTTGGAGTTCACACAGCTGTGCTACTCCAGAGAAGGCTCCCTCTTCTGCCCTGCCCGCCGTGGCCCAAGCTGTTACTGTGCTGCACCATCTTGAAACTAGAGCCACTGCTAGGATGTGTCCTGCTCCAGGGCTCCGTAGCCACTACATCTCTTCATCCCTGAGGCTCTACCATCATTGCACCATGCTCGCATACACGGTAGCATGTTGTACCCCAGCCAAGCTGCTGTAGCTCCCTACTGCCTGGGAACAAGCTGCCTAGGAGGCAATTCATCTCTCCAGTCCCAGTGGCTGCAACATCCTGGCTACTTGGAGCCTGGGTCCAGTGGAGCAGCCACATCCCCTGGACACCAGAACCAACCTGATGCCCCACACTGAGGGAATTGGAACTTCAGCCTAGGGGATCAGCCTCATCCCCGGTGCCTAAGCTCACACAATGCCTTGCCCTTTGGGAATCAAGTGCACTGGTCCAATGGAGAAGCCACACCAGAAAGGCAGAGCCATACCCCTCACTGCCTGAACCAACCTGGTACCCTGACCTGCTGGGAACCAGAGTCTAGGGGTCTCTTATTTTTTTCCCACAAGGAGAAGCCCCTTCTAGTTTTGAGCTGATCCTAACTGGGGGATAGGGTGGCAGAGAGGCACGGCATTTCCTTCCCTTCTGTATGTGGCTGCCCTGAGTTTCCATGCTTCACAGGGTTGCCACCACGCCCTTGCTGTACTCCAGCACTCTCTTAGGCACTCTAGTCAAGACATAGTTGAGTATTTATTTTGGTTCTTTTTTGTTGGGGTTGGGGATAAGCATCATGCACCTCAGTCAGCTTTCTTGTTGACATCACTCTAAATCCCCACCCTTCTTACTTTTATTCCGTTATTTCAAATTTCACTTCTTCCTCTCCTTGATAGACTTTTCTTCAGCCCAGTATTCTTCTAAAAACATGTGTTCAATTGGAGCAGCTGTACCCCCCAGTGCCTAAGCCAAAGTGAAAGCCCACCCTTTGAGGAACTGGGGAACTGGGGCCCTGGCCCAGCAGAGTATCTGTCCCTCCAGGTACGTGAGCTGATGTGGCACCCTGCCTCCTAGGAAGACAAAAACTTGTTTGAGTTGTGCCACCACATGCTCTGGTCCTAAAAGCCACAGCACCCCTTCTTGCTGGATCTGGATCAGCCCTCTAGAGTCAAATTACTGAGGTGCTATACCTCTCTGGGGCATGGAGCCACTGTTGCCCTGCTTCCTCTTCCCTGGAGCCCAAGCCACTGCTGTGTCCTGTCATTCTTGGGTCCTTGTTGCCACCGCACCTGGCCTTGCGGAGCCTGGGTTACTTCTGTGTCCCATCACTTCAGGGTTCAGAGGCACCACTACACAGCGCCCCCTCTCCTGGTGCCCAAGTTGCCACTCTCCAGAAACCAAGCATCTTGAACACCCCGTCTCCCTTGGAGCCACGCCAGGGCTACACCCTTGTTCCCAAGATCAGAGTTACAGCTACATTCTTGTCCTCCTGTGCCTTAGCTACTGGGGAGTGCCTCAGAGTCACAGTCCTTAGCTTGGTGGAAGAGCTGCATCACCTGTGTTTCAGAGAGTAAACCCATTCAGAGAGTCTTTCCCTATGAAAGCCACTATAAATTTGGAATAGATGACTGTTCCATCAGATGTGCAGATATCAGCACAGGAACACAAAAACCATGAGAAAGCAAGAAAACATGATGCCACCAAAGGAACACAATAATTCTCCAGTAACTAGCACCAGAGAAATGAAAATTAAGAGTTGCCTGGAAAGGAATTCAAAATAATCTTTAGGAAACTTGGTGAGATACATAAGAATACAGATAGACAATTCAATAAAATTAGGAAAACAATCCATGATCTGAATGAGAAATTCAACAGAGATAGATATCTTAAAAAAGAAGTAAATATTAATAGCATTCTTGGAGCTGAAGCACTCAGTGAAATAAAAATTACAACTAAGAACTTCAACAGAAGACTAGATCAAGTAGAAGAAAGACTCTCTGAGCTTGAAAAATAGGTCTTTTGAAATAACCTAGTTGAAGGGGAAAAAAGAAAAATAATGGAACAAAGTGAAGAAAGTCTACAGAACTTATAGGACATCCTTAAGTGAGCAAATTTTTGCATAAGGGAGTTCCAGATGGAGAAGAGATGAAGAAAGACACAAAAAATTAATAAAATAATGCTGAGAATTTCCCAACCCTTAGGAAAGATACTGACATCCAGACTGATGAAACTCAAAGGTTCCAAAACAGGATCAATCAAAGAAGTCCTCACCAAGGCACAGCATAATAAAAATGTCAAAGTCAAAGACAGAGAGAATTTCAAAAGCATCAAGAGAAAAGTGTCAAAGGGCATACAAGGGAATCTTCATTAGACTATAAGTGGATCTTTCTTTCTTTCTTTCTCTCTCTCTCTCTCTCTCTTTCTCTCTCTCTCTCTTTCTCTCTCTGTTTGTTTTATTTTGTTTTGTTTTCTGAGATGGAGTCTCACTGTTGCCCAGGCTGGAGTGCAGTGGTGTTATCTTGGTTGACTGCAAACTTTGCCTCCCGGGTTCAAGCGATTTTCCTGCCTCAGCCTCCAGAGTAACTGGGATTATAGGTGTGCACCATCACACCTGACTAATCTTTATATTTTTAGTAAAGACAGGGTTTTGCCATGTTGGCTGGGCTGGTCTTGAACTCCCAACCTCAGGTGATCTGCCTGCCTTGGCCTCCCAAAGTGCTAGGATTACAGATGTGAGCTTCTGTGCTCAGCCCAAGACTATCAGTGGATTTCTAAGCAGAAAACTTGCAGGCCAGGAGACAATGGCGTGACATATTCAAAGTAATCAAAGAAAAAAAAAAAACCTGGCAGCCAACAATAGTATAACTGCAAGTCTGTTCTTCAGAAATGATGGTGAAATGAAGTGTTTTTCAGAAAAGCAAAAGCTGAGGAAATTTATCACCACTAGACCTACTTTACGAGAAATGCTTAAGGGAGTTCTTCAGCTGTAAACAATGAAAACATATCATCATGAAAACATGAAAGTGTAAAACTCACTAGTAGAGGTAAATACATAGTAAAATTCAGAATACCCCATTAATGTAATGGTGGTGTGTAAACCTTTCAAACTTCTAATGTGAAGGTTAAAAGTTGGAATAATTAAAAATATACTTACAGTAAATTGTGCAGGAATATACAATATAAGAAGCTGTAAATTCTGACAACAAAATTATAAATAATGGAGGGAAGGGTAAAAGTCTAGACTATTTGTAAGTGACCAAAGTTAAGTCATTATCCATTAAAAGTAGTCTATTATAACTGTAAGATGTTTTGCATAAGGCCCATGTTAACCACAAAGCAAAAAAAAAAAAACAAAAACAACAAAAAAAGCAAAACTACAGCAGATATACAAAGGGGAAAGAGGAAGGAATAAAAGCTTAGCACTATAGAAAATCACCAATTCACAAAGGAAGACAAACGTGAAGGAAGGGAACAAAGGATCTACAAAACAACCAGAAAACAACAAAATGACAGCAGTTAAGTTCTTACCTATCAATACTAACCTTGAATGTAAATGGATTAAACTTTTAATCAAAAGACATACTGGCTTAATGAATAAAAAAACAAGATTCAACTATATGTTCCCAATAAGAGACCCATTTTAGCTTTAAGGACGCCCATAGGCTGAAAGCGAATAAATGGAAGAAGATATTCTTTGCAACTGGCAAACAAAAGAGAGAAGGAGTGGTTAAACTTTTATCAGATAAAATAGAATTCAAGCAAAAAATCATTACAAAAGAAAAAGGTCATTATTTAATGATAAATGAGTCAACTGATCAAGAGAAACAACAATTGTAAACTTTCTTGTACCCAGTATCTGAGCACCTAAATATATAAATTGAACATTACCAAATATGAAGGAAGAAATAGATAGCAATGCAATAATAATAGGGGACACCAATAACCCCACTTTCAACAATGGATAGACCAACCAGATGGAAAATTAATGAAGAAATATTGGATTTGAACTGCACTTTATACCAAATGACCTAGCAGACATATATAAAACTTTCAATCCAAGAGCAGTAGAATATACATTATTCTCTTGTGCACATGAAACACTCTCCAGGATAGACCATTTATTAGACCACAAAACAAGTCTCAGCAAATTCAAGAGGACTGAAATCATATCTAGTAATGCTTCTGACTACAACAATATGAAACTAGAAATCAATAACAGGAAGAATCTTGGAACATTAAAAAAATAAGTGGAACTTAAACCATATGCTCGTGAACAACCAATGAGTCAAAGAAGAAATCAAAAAGGAAATAAAGAGTATCTTGAGACAAACGACAATGAAAACAGAACATATCAAAACCTATGAGATGCAGCAAAAGTAGTTTGAAGAGGGAAGTTTATAGCAACAAATGCCTACATTAAAAAAGAAGAAAGATTCCTAAATAAATAGCCTAAGATTACACCTCAAGGAAAGAGAAAAATAGCATACTAAATTCAAAGTTAGCAGAAGGAAGGAAATAATAAAGATCAGAACAGAAATAAATAAAATAGAGGATAGAAATACCATAGAAAGAATGAATAAAATCAAGAATTGGTTCTTGATAAAATAAACAAAATTAACAAAACAAAACCCCTAGCTAGGCTAATAGACTAAGAAAAAAGAGAATAGTCTCAAATAAAATCAGAAATGAAAGTGGAGATATTACAACACATGCCTCAGAAATGAAAAGGATCCTAAGGGACTATTCTGAACAATGACATGCCAACAAATTGGATAACCCTGAAGAAATGGATAAATTCCTAGAAAAATATTACCTACCAAGATTGAATCAGGAAGAAATAGAAAGCTTAAACAGACCAATAGCAAATGAAGATACTGAAGATGTAATTAAAAACCTTCCAACAAAGAATAGCATAAGACCAGATGGCTTTGCGGCTGAATTCTACCAAACATTCAGAGAAAAATTACCAATACTTCTTAAATTTTTCTGAAAAAATAGAGCTAAAAGGAATACTTCCAAATACATTTTATGAAGTCAGCATCACCTTGGTACCTAAGCCAAACTAAGAAAGACACTGTGAGAAAATAAAACTGCAGATGAATTTTTCTGATGAACATTGATGTAGAAATCTTCGGTAGAATATTAGCAAACTGAATTCAATAGCACATCAAAACAATTATGCATAATGACCAACTGGGATTTATCACTGGCAATTAAAGCTGGCTTAACATATGCAAATAAATCAATGTGATACATCACATTAACAGAATGAAAGATAAAAACCACATGATCATCTCAATTGGCATGAAAAAAGCATTTGCCTTTCTTTATGGTTTAGGCATAGAAGGAAAGTTCCTCAACATAATAAAGGCCATTAAAAAAAACCCACAGTTAAAATTTCAATGAACAGGGAACAACTGAAAGCTTTTCCACTAAGATCTGGCACAAAGCAGGAATGCCCACTCTTGCCACTTCTATTCAATATGGTACTGGAAGTACAAAAGCAATCAGACAATAAAAATCAATAAAAGTATCCAAATCAGAAAGGAAGAAGTGAAATTATTTGCAGATGACATAATCCTCTATGTAGAAAACCTTGAAGATAACACAGAAAAATTATTAAAACTAATAAGTGAAATCAGTGAACTTGCAGGATACAAAATCAACATACAAATATTGGTAGCTTTTCTATATACAAATAGTGACCTAGCTGAAAAAGAAATCAAGAAAATAATCCAATTTAAAATAGCATAAAAAATACTTAGGAAAATTTTAATCACATAGGTGAATAATTTGTGCACTGAAAACTCTAAAACATTGCTGAAAAAATTGAGAGTCACAAATAAATGGAAAGATATCTGTGTTCATGTATTGAAAGAATTAATATTGTTAAAATATCCCTACTATCCAAAGTAATATACAAATTTACCACAACCCTTATCAAAATTCCAATGGCAATCTTCACAGAAATAGAAAAGAAATCTTAAAATGTACATGCAATCACAAAAAACCTTGAGTAGCCAAAGTAATACGGATAAAAAAGTTGGAGGCATCACACTTCCTTCCTGATTTAAAATTATATTATAAAAGTACAGTAATCAGAAGAGTATGGCATGGGCATATAAACATAACATAGATCAAGAGAATATAATAGTTCAGAAATAAATCCAAACATACACAGTCAACTCATTTTGGACAAGGGCACCAAAAGGACACAGTGGGGAAAGAATTTTCTTTTCAATAAATGGTGCTGGGAAAACTGGATTTTCCTACATGTAAAAGAATGAAATTGGATCCTTATCTTACAACATGCACAAAAAGCAACTCAAAATGGGTAAAGAACCTATATGTAATACTTGAAACTATAAAACTCCTAGATGAGAACATAGGGGAAATGCTCTATGACATTGACCTTAGCCATGAGTTTTTTTGATATTATACCAAACTCTCAAGCTACAAAAGCAAAAACAAATGGATGTAACTACCTGAAACTAAAAAACTTCTATACAACAAAGGAAACAATCAACAAAATGAAAAGGCAACCTATGGACTAGGATAATATACTTGCAAGCCACATATCTGATAAGGGATTAATATCTAAAATGTATAAAGAACCCTTACAACTCAATAGCAGAACTTTTTTAAATGAGCAAAGGATCTGAATAAACATTTCTCCAAAGAAGACATAAAAATGGCCAACAGGTATATGAAAAGGTGCTTATCATCATTAATTGACAACACATAGGTCCTTTATCCATGTGCACATTGCACTAACGTGCAAGGTGAAGACTATAGTTACTAAAACTGTACTGTATTAGGAATTTTTGTTAAGTAAATTTTAGCTGCTCTTGTCATGAAAAAGTAACAATGTGAGATGTCAGATAAGTTAATTTGTGTCACTATAGTAACTATTATCTGTATGTATCCCACAACATCATGTTATAAACCTCAAATATACTCAAAAAAATTTACTTAAGAAAGAAGTTGTGAATTTAATTCTTCTCTCCATCCAGTTCCTCTTTTTCTTTTATTTATTTTTTATTTTTCTCTTTCCTTTCTTCAGGGCTGCATGCTCCTTCTCTTTCCTTCTGCCCAGCCCCTTACACACACTAGACCAAGAGAACTGATTTAATTGCTTTGGGCTGGGACCCAGGCATTCTCATTGCTAACTCCCCCCTAGATGATTATGAAATGCATGTCTATTTGAGATATACTGATTTATCATCTTAAAAAAATACTTTATTTTTGAAACAGGCTTATTTCAACACCTAGATTTGCTATATGCAATTAAATTCATAATATTGATTCTTGTTGATGATAACCAACATCTCACATGTAACAAAGCTGATCCTATTCCACACCGCTGCAGAATGTAGCATCCTTGTCACCTGGACTCCTAGGTGAAAGCCTCCCAGCTGGACTCCTTCCCCACAGCCCCTCCTCACACCATGGCCAGTTCTCTAGGTTCTGGAGAACCTGTGGCGCTGGTATCACTGGGAGCTTGAGACGCAGAATTCTAGGCCTTGTCCCAGATCTAGTGAACTCAAATCTGCATTTTAACAAGGGCCCTACCTTCACATTTCTGGGGCAATATTTTAAAACACAGTTCTTTCCAGTGACTCTCTGGGTACCCCCTGTGTTGTGCTCCTTATTTTGTGTGTCTGGAGTCCAGCTCAGGGCTCCCGTGTCTGCTGAGGACAATGGAGGGAGGGACCTGCTTTCCTTCCCAACACTTTGCCCGAATCATTCTGCGGTTTTCAGTCTGCCAGATGGTGGCATGACTTCCTTCATCGTATGAAACTGTGCACCGGTGGGTGGAAATTTTTCCCTGAAGAAGTGAAATTCTGACTAAATTAATTTGCTTTTGGGTCTGCACTGATTTCTGAACATCAGGATAGGTAGCAGGGGTCAGCATGGTCCTGAAATTCTCATTTAGGTTGCCTCGATGGGTATCGCGGCTTGTGTTCCCCATGGAGCACCTTGCATTCTGGGTGTCAGCCTTCTGCTCACAGATGGCCTCTTCAGCACAGCGCTCCGGCCGTGACGGGCCTCTGTTGCTCCTTTCTAGAATATCTTCTTGACAGCCCAGGTTTCATAAATGTCCTCATCGATGAATGGAAGTATCTGTATTCAAAAATGAACATGCCAAAGGCAGCTCGGACTATTTTTCCCCCTGCAGCTTCCTGTCATTTGTGGTGTTCTCTTCATAAACCGCAGGGCTCGGCAGTAACGAGCGGCTGTTTACAGAGCCCTGGCTGTAATTAAGTCAAATTGGGTCTGCTCTCTGAGTATGGTGAGGAAATATACTGACATCCATTATGTACAAGCTGGATGGGGGAAAAACACAATTCTTGTCGGTTTTGATACATGTTCAAGCTGGAGGACATGTGAAGGAAGAAAAACTTTTGTGGATCAAAATAATGTGTTATGTTAGAAGCAGAGCTGCCAAGGAGCTCCTGGCATTGAGGTCAGGAAGAGAAGGGAGGAAAGGCCAGCTATCTAATACTTTCCGTGTGAATGTCCCAGAAATATCTCATCCTAAAAGTTGATATTGCCCTGGATTCTACCCTGATCACTCTTTATCACATAACTCTGTTTTTCTTTTTCATAGAATTGATCACAATCTGAAGTAATCATATTGATTTATTTGGTTACTTACTTATTGTTTGTCTTCTCCTCTAGAAAATTGAAGCTACATGAGAATAGAGACCTTACGTTTCGTGCTGTTGCTATACTTAATGCTTGGTATGGTGACTAGAAAATACTAGGAGCTGTATTAGTTTTCTGTGGCTGCCATAACAAATTACTAAAAACTAGGTGGCCGGAAACAACAGAGATTTGCTCTCTTGCAGTTCAGGAGGCCAGAAGTCCAAAATCAAGGTGCTGGCAGGGTTGGTTCCTTCTGGAGACTCCGAGGCACAATCTGTTCCAGGCCTCCCTTCTAGTCTCTGGTGGTTGCTGCCAATCCATGGGGTTAAATCCTTGGCCTGTAGCTGTATCACTCCAATCTCTGCCTCCACCATCATGTGGCTTATTCCCTGTATGTATCTCTGTGTGTCATCTCCTTTTCTTATAATGACATCAGTCATTGGATTTAGAATCTACCCTACTCCAGTATGACTTCATCTTAACTTAATAATTACATTTGTAAAGACCCTCTATCCAATCAGGTCATATTCTGAGGTTTGAGGTAAACACTATTCAATGCACTATAGATGCTCAACAAACATTTGTTGAATAAATGAGCCATATGAAGTTTCCTGTGAGCTTCGGGGTTTAAGCTCAAGGGCAAATGGAGGACAAAAAAAGGAAGAGGCTACTTTTGGTTCTAAATAATCTAGAGGGCAGCTCAACCTTGTTTGCTGAGTGCAAAAATCCCATTGTTCTCAGAAATACTCTAGTAGGAAGACATTGGGGAGCAGACATTGTTCTTTAACTATGGGAAGGTCGGTGGATTTCTAAGCAGAAGCAGCTATAATGTTAGCAAGGCTCTTGGACTAATCTACTCATGTATAACTGGGGGCTCTGACACTGGACCCAGAGCTGGGGTTCCCCTCAAGCTGTGTGAGCTTGGGGCACCAGCAAACAAAGATGTCAAAAAAAATGACAGCATTTTGAGAAAGTATTTGAATTAAAAATTTGTTTGAGAAAACACCAAAATCATCATCATGATAAAAACGATAATTTAGTTGGATTACTTTATACTTATTCTTTAAAACTGTTTTAATTTTGAATCCCACATGATCTAGGGACACTGTAATATTCTCAGTGCTCTCCAGTGGTTTTAATCCAGGCCTTATTGAACCCCCATACTTCTGAAACCTCCATCAGAATAAAGCAGGGGCCAGGGAAGATAGCTGCTCTTTGTATGCTGCTGGCAGTTTCTGTTTAGCTGGAGGTTTAAGTTGACTAATCAAGTCTGTAAATCAGTGCATGTGAGAAAAAGCCAAAATCAGATTCTGGACCATGGGAAGTCAGGAAGCTGTGCTTGATAATATGGAAGTCACCCTTCTTGAAGTCAGAATGGCATCTCTGAGAGACGATGACCAGAAGGCCAACCAGTGACCAAGGGCAAAGAGGAAGCTGTGTTCTAACGGAGATGCTCAGGGGTCCTGGGCTCCCTGAAGTTCAACCAGAGTAAAGTAAGATCTCCCTTCCATCACCCACAACAGTTGGGTGGCCTGAGAAGACTGAGGCATAAGCTGATCACACCTTCTATGGAATGGCCTGGTTTGTGGATCCTTTGGTGGGAAATGTTCTGTTTAAGGTTTTTATTCTACATGGTTATTCCCTTGGGTATGGTATCCCCTGAATTATCTATTGTTAGACATCATATCCTGGGCTCAGTCATTTTTGAGATTGCTAATGCTTAGGAAGAAGTAATTCAGGGAAAAAGATAACAGTCTGGACAGCTGTTGTGGGTTGGCAAGAATTGACCCACTGGAAGGGAAGAGTCACTGAGAACAAGATGGCTCATTGAGGTGGCAAGTGACAGCCAGGACTGATTTGTGTAATGTGTAAGTATCTCCAGAGAGATTGAAGGGATAAACTTTTCAAAAGACTGCACTTGATTTCTTGAAGTTCTGCAGAATGGGTTCTCAGACTACTGGGTATTGAAGGCAGAAATGACTTGTGACAACTTAAGTGTTGGGAAACCTGGATTGCACACTCTAATTCAAATTCTTCCAAAGTTACTGGCTTTTCATGTATCTTGATTCAACTTGTCTGCTGTTGGCATTTTTTTTCTCATCTACCATTATTCATTGACCACAACTAATTCATTTCTCCAATTGATCTGTGTGTTGTCAATAAATTGCCACATCAACAACCATTGTACCAGCAAAGTGAGGCTTAGCTGTTGAGGTCTGACAGCTAGCTTAAACAACGCTGTGTGTGGGACTCCTTGGGGACTGGGACTTTGCCAAGTCCTGAAAGGCAGTAAATGATGTTTACTCACAGACGTGCTGGCTGTGGTAAGGTATTGCATGGAAGAATAATTAGCATATGATTTTTAAAGAGTTTCTTAATTCAGAGGAGCTGTATTTGTTTTTATGTAAGTAACAGAGAATGTCCTGTTCAGCGGACTCCAGAAATGAATGCTTCAAAGCATGTGACCTCTTAGAAAAGAACTGGAAATTTGCACACATTTGCATTGCATGATTATCATACTTGTGAGTAAAACAGGAACATGGACAACTGTAGTGCCTGACCCGTCGCACCCTCCCCTTACGGTGAGGAGAGCTGCTCTGTTCTAGGGTGACTGAGGTTCCTGCACATGCAGAGCCTCTTTGGACACGTAGTTAATCTCAAGGACCCCATTTGCGTTTGAGTCAATAACATCTTTGGTTCCCAGCAGAAGGCTGAGTGTGAACTTTCTATGGGCCCTGACAACAGCTGGGGATTCCTTTCCTTCCCCTTCTGTTTTCCTGCCTCCCACAACCTCCCAGGAGGCAGGATAAAAGAGTGCGGCGTGGCTTTTCCTTTCTTCTCTAGCTTTGATTTCCTCCTCTTCCTTTGTGTTTCTGAATACTTTAAAACAAGCAAACAAATAAAGTATAACTCATGCCCTCCTAAGCCTTGCTGTCCTTCCTGGTGCTTTCCCCCTTTATTGCCCTACCTTATTTTCCTGCTGACTTGTTTCTCAGTTCCTCAATTCTCTTCTCTCTCTTCATATTAGTTAGGATTTGGGTTTGGCTGCTTCAAAGTAGAATAAATAACAGTGGCTCAAACTAGATCAAAGTGGATTTCTCTCTCATATAACAGTATGAGCTGGTAGGTGATCAGAGGAGTGGTGCAGTTGGCTCTGCGTGGGGGTCTAGGAACCCAGGCTCCTTGTAGCTTGTCCTGCCATTCCGTAGCGGGGTTGCTCTCATGCTCTTGGTCAATGTTGACACTCCATGACCTCTACATCTGAATTCTCTTCTGAAGAAAGGAAGAGGGAAGATGTAGAGGTAAAGGGCAACCTGGTAGGTCCCGGAAATTGCATTTAGCACTTCCACTGGCATCCTTTTTGTTATGTTTAGGCACAAGAGAGTTTGGGAGAAGTGGTGGTGGCCAAGCACTCAGGTAAAACTCATGGGGCTCTATGATTAAAGAGAAGAAGTGGAGAATGATGTGAGGAGACACGAAATAGGAGGTTAGCTTGTCAAAATACTAGCTTATGCAGTGGGAAGGAGAAGAGAAAGAAATACAAAGTATTTCAGAAGGATGCCTCAGCAAAACAGCCCCAGTCTTAGTGTGTGGATGTAGTCGGGCTGCATCTTTAATTTATGCTGAGTGCTCTGTGTAGAAGACCAGAATTTACTTTAAAAACATAAATTTAATATATCTGAAAGGTCTCCTTCCTATTGAGTAAAATCAGAGTGCAGATCAATAACGGCTTTCTGGTCAGTCTGCCTGAATCTTGTCAGAGCTGGGTCCACCTAGGAATGTTGCTAAGTAGGTGCGATGTGTTTTAATTTCGTGGCTCTTTTTGCTAAGCTGTCAGTATGAGTCCCAGTGGGGAGAGCAAGTCATAGTACATGGATGTATTTCCAATTGGTTAGCTGAATATTTAAACCCTTTTATACAGACTGGTAAATAGCCCTCGGATGGTAGTGACTTGTAATTGCAGCTGACAAGGAGAAAACAATAATGGAGCCAGTTATTTAGATTACATCTCTTCAATCCCTTGGAGCAATCTAGTCATTTAGAAGAGTCTGCCATTCAGGATGCATAATTTCTAAACTAAAGGTTCTTATTAAATTTGCACTGGGCAGCTCTGGTGAATGAATGCATTGGTAAAAATCCTTTGATGTTCTGGACGCTTTTTAGCAACCGGTTAGTCCCCGTGGTTTCTCTCCTATAATTGTGCACAGCAGGCTGACGTGAAGAGCATAACCTTTTTTTTTGAGGTGTGAAAATGCATTAACTTGCGCTATTATTTTGAAGTCATGGCTACTGTTGGGGTGAGCAATATGGAATAAATATACACCCTTGAGTCTTCACTGTTATGAGCTTTTGTAACCTCTTCTGTTCTCCCTTTTCCTGAAAACACCCTTGCAATTACTTCTTTTTAGGCTTTAAAGAAAAAATTTTGGGTGGTAATATATATCAGAATAAAGCACCAACTTTATTTTCAGGATTACATTCATTTATTTATTAAACATTGATTGAACAGTGACTGCATGCTGAGCCCTGTGCTGAGTATAAGTAAATGAAGACAAATAGGACATAAACCATGCCCTTAAGAAACTCACATATTATGAGTAAGATAAATTAGTGTTACCATATTGCATGGTTTCTTGATTGTAATAAATAAGGGAAAAGCAATTTGTAATTCATATAAATTATCCAGATATAAATGATAACCCCTTCAAAACACTAGTTGCACATATAATCTTTTACTATCATGCATGCTTGCTTTGCATGATAAAGATGTTAAAGAGAAAATCTGCTTTTATTATAGGCATCAATATTCAAACTCTAAATTATTCTGCTAAAGGCTTGCAACACCAAATTTGATTTATTTTCATGGCATCTGGGACATTTCAAAAGCCTGAGATACTGTGGCTACTGACACTGTAGGCTTACCTGCATTGCCTTTATTCCTCCCTTTTCACCTTATTTTGCAGTGAGAAAGGTGTCTCTATTCCTATCCAAGGTTAATTTTTGTCCACTTTTTTCTTAGTCCAATCTTTTCCTACTGCTCCAAGATGTCAATCTTGAGTCCTTGTCCACCTTTCTGCTTCTACAGGAGGTTCTCTGCCTACTAGGGCAAATTCCACCAAGATGTCAATGTGCCAGAAACTCTCCATAATAAAATATTCTCTTTCTCAACCACATGCCCCCTCTGGTAATTGCCCTATCTCTTGCCTTCTCTTCATATCCAATCTTCTAGAATGAGCTATTTACACAGATTTTCCCCTTTTTTTTTTTCCTATGTCATTGCTACCATCCACAAATCCAGCCTTATCACTTCGCTGAAGATTTCTTTCTTTCTTTCTTTCTTTTTTTTTTTTGACACAAGGTCTGGCTCTGTTGCTCAGGTTGGAGTGCAGTGGTGCAATCTTTGTTCACCAGATGCAACCTCTGCCTCCCAGGCTCAAGCCATCCTCCTGCCGCAGTCCCCCATGTAGCTGGGACTACAGGCGCATGCCACCACACTCAGCTAATTTTTGTAGTTTTTTCTAGGGACTGGGTTTCCCCATGTTGCCCAGGCTGGTCTTGAATTCTTGAGCTCAAGCAATCCACCTGCCTCTGCTTACCAAAGTGCTGAGATCACAGGCATGAACCACCATGTCCGGCCACTGAAAATATTTCTATTAATTCACTAATGACCTCCTTGTTGCAAAGCTAATTAATATTTTTCATTTTGATTTTACTTTATCTGCAGTACTGATACTGACAACAATTCTCTTTCTTTTTAATTAACTTAAAAACTATACAAATGCAAGATACACTCAAGGTAAAATATTCTACCAATATTGGAGGTATATTAAGTGGTAATTTGCAGCCCCTTTTTCTCTGTGACTCTTAAGTCTTATTTCTTAAAGACCTATTTTTGGCCATCTCTTCAGTATTTCTCCAGAAATATTCATTCAGATTCAGTATTTAAAAATATACAATGAGATCATACCACACATATTGTTCTTCAACCTGCTCTTTTCATGCAATGTATTTTGAACATCTTCACATTATCTGCACATACAGAATCCATTCTTGATAACTGCATCATATTGTTGTAAACTACTCCTTCTGAAAAGCTTCCGCTCTCCAGACCACCGCAGTGTCCCTCCTTCCCTCTGTGAGCATTTTCTGTCTCCTCTGCAAGATCCAGTTCCTGTTCCTGTGTGAGTTTGCTGAGGATAATGGCTCACTTATAAGTGGGAGCTGAACAATGAGAACACATGGACACGGCGGTGAACCACATAAACTGGGGCCTGTCGGGGGTTGGGGGGCGGTAGGAGGGAGAGCATCAGGATAAATAGCTAAGGCATGTGGAGCTTAATACCTAGGTGATGGGTTGATAGGTGCAGCAAACCACCATGACACACATTTACCTATGTAACAAACCTGTACATCCTACACATGTATCCTGAAACTTAAAAATTAAAAAAAAGTAAAAAAAAAAATCCAGTTCCTGTTCTAAGTCTCAACTCCTACTCTCATCTTCTCCATGGTAGATGTCATCTACTCCCATTGTCACTATTATGTGCTGTTGACTCTCTGATGTTTATCCTTTGTTCAGATCTCTCTTCTAACCTCCATACACAACTGTCTATGCATATTCCCACTTGTATATACTGCAAAAATCTAGAACTGAAAACATCAGGAACTCAACTCATTATCCTCCTTTGATCCCGTTCCCCAAACCTGCTTCTTCTCTCTAGTTTCCTATCACAGTGAATGCTATTCCCATCCAACAAACTGCTAATGTCAGACACATGGGGTCCTTCTTAGTTTTGCTGTCTCCTCAGTCTTCCTGTTATCACCATTCTATTTTTAAAATTTTTATTTATTTATTTTTAGATTTCAATAGCTTTTGGGGTACAGGTGGTTTTTGGTTATGTGGATGAATTATATAGTGGTGAATTCTGAGATTTTAGTGCACCTGTCACCTGAATAGTGTATATTATACCCAACATGTAGATGTTTTTTCCTTTACTCCTTCCCATCCTTCCCCTTCTGAGTCTCCAAAGTTCATTATATCACTCTGTATGCCTTTGCTTACTCATAGTTTAGCTCCCACTTATAAGTAAGAACATATGGTATTCTGTTTTCCATTCCTGAGTTACTTCACTTAGAATAATGGCCTCCAGCTCCATTTAAGTTGCTGAAAAGGACATTTCATTCCTTTTTATGGCTGAGTAGTTCCATGGTATATATATACCATGTTTTCTTTTATCCACTCATTGGTCAGTGGGCACTTAAGTTTGTTCCATGTCTTTGCAACTGTAGATTGGTAATCACCAATTCTTATTGAGTCGAATTCCTAAATATTTTTTAACATAACCACTTATTTACATCCTCATTGTTATTTCCTTAACAAAAGCCAACATAATTCCTCATCTAAATTACTGGAATAAGCCTCCTAATCAATAACCCTTCCTCTAGCCTTCTCCCCTTTTAATCCATTCTTTTCACTATGAGTGACATTTCTAAGACACAAGACATGACAAAGTCTTAATTTCTCCATGCAGCCAATAAGAGCCTTCAAAGTTCAAACATTGTTTTTCTGGTCTTATATCTCATCACTTTGTGTATCAGTTCTACACAAGCTAGGATAAACTTCTTTTGTAGTCCTAAATGGGCCCGACCATCTCCCATTCCTGGGCCTTTGCCCATGCTGTTGCTTTCTCCCAGAACCCATCTCCTCTGTGCATACTCTCTTTCTGCAACTTGACCAACTTTTGTTCAACTTCTGGTCTCAGCTTGGATATAATTTCCTGCAGCAATATCTTTTTTCACTCTCCCCTAAATCTAGTTGGCTGTCCACTTCACATGTCTGCACCTCCCTTCACACACATTACATACAATTCTAATGACATTGCTTTGTAAGTTCTTGTTTCCATGACTTCGTCTCTTGCTGTACTGTAAGCTTGCTGAAGACAACAATCATGGCAATGTTATTTGCAGCTCTATGTGCCCACATTGCTTAGGCAGGGTAGATTATTAAATATTTATAGAGTAATTCAGTTTCATGAAATAATGTCAACTTCATGAGAATTGACAGTCCTTTCCTAATTTTCTTTCTGTTGATTGGGATGGGGATGTAATATGCTGTACCCTTTCTCCCATTCCCTGCTTATCCCCAAATGGTGCATATTTTTATTTCTTTAGGGAACTCAAGTAGAAACTAGACTCCCAGATTCTTAATAGAATCAGGAAATGACTGATAACTTTTTCCAGCTTTTCCCAAATTGATATGCATATCTCTTCTGTGATAGTGTCCTCCCAAGGCACAGAGGGCCCAAGGTCACACGCCTGCCACTGGCATTGGAAACCTCTGTGGGTACCACTTGTCACAGTCATGAGGCTGCAGGACTACTCTGACTCTCAGTGGACCCCTTCTCTATAGCAAATAGACAGTGATGGCATTGGTCTGGCCAATATATGAATCTTAAGATTCTTACGAGTTAATTACCTGTTAAAAGAAAGCTAGGAGGGTGATAAGAATGTAAAGTTTCAGGAAAAAATTAAAATGCCCAGCACTTTCCTACAAGGTAAACATTAATTTCTGGAAGAAAAAAATGTGTGGCCGGAAAGGTGATATGTTTATAGAATTCTCCTTATGGAATGCCACCATGGAGTCCTATGCATTCTGGATTTAATTACTGCCATTAGCCTGGGGCCATGCTGGAGCTGCTTATTGAACATTTTGCTGCTTTGACTTAGAGATGGAGAAGTATAATAAATTCATAAAATATCTGGAATGCAAAATTTATAGGATTGCGATTGAATTTGAGAAATGAGTGGGGTATGTTGGGAATAGGTTTCTAATGTGGATAACTAGATAGATGGGGGCTCCACAAAAGTGTAGGAAACAGAATGAGAAGTAGGTTTGAAGGCAGGAAAGGAATCATATGATTTTAGACATTTTCAGTTTCACTTTTCTGTGGACTGTTCAGGGGAAGATGGCCATTAAGATAAAGAGTTGAGAAGCTCATGAGAAATACCGTGCTAGAGATAGAGATTTCAGGATTCCTCAGCATAGAAATGGGAGCTGAAACCACGGCAACAGAAAAAAATTGGCTCTTAATTTTCTCTAACTGATTGTTCAGGCATGGATCCCCTATTCAACTCTGGTACCCCTTTACTTGAAATTTCCAAGCCAGGTCCTCTCCATTCCTGCATCCAGTAACATCTTCTGAAATCCCAGCACATTTATGATTCACTTTCGGATCTCCTGGTGCTTCTTTCTGCCTGGGGTGGAGAAAGTGAGAGTGAGTATGTGTAGCATGAGGAAAGAAGAGGTAGGCAGAGGCAGGGGAACTCACTGAGGAAACAGAAAATAATTAATCATAAAAGCAGGAGCAACTCCAGGAGGCTGAGAGGGGAGAGCTTCAAGAAGGAAGGAGTGGTTAGAAAACAACTCCTTTGGATTTTCTTCTGAGCTGGTAAAATCTGAGTTTCCTTCTCCCAGAGGACAGTGACCACAATTGCCCTATTGCTTGCTGCTTGCTATGATATTTTTCATCTCTAAGAATATTTCTAGAAGGAGCCAGAGTGAAGTAAGATGAAAGGTCTCCCTTGGAAAAGTGTGATACATGAGAGAATGAACTACTTTGGGAAATTACATTTAAAATGATCCTCATACTAATTTATCCTATGGATGGGAGGCTCGGCTGGTTCCTTCTCAGATGTGCATCCCCTAGCAAGTTGCTTCATTGGCTTTCCACCTTGAGCAAGGCCGCTTTGCTCGGCATGGCTTGGCATCTGAGAATACCTTACTTGGTTGTCACCAGCTTCCTTGTCAACCACAAAGATGGGTGCATGTTACTTTGAAAGGAACCTTTACCCATATGTTTCAACTAGGTTATGAAAGTGAGCATTAAATTTTCAGTTTAGCAAAACTCTCAAGGAATGTGGGAAATAGCCATCCTCACTCCTTCTCTTGAGAAAGGGGTTTAGGGTTGAGGTGAGGATCATGGATAAAGTAGAAGGTCAGCAATGTCTGCCTTCCTGCCTTGCACATCACTTTGTAATTTTTTTTTTTTTTTTTTTTTTTTTTGAGACAGAGTCTCGCTCTGTCGCCCAGGCTGGAGTGCAGTGGCACAATCTTGACTCACTGCAACCTCTGCCTCCCAGGTTCAAGCAATTCATGTGCCTCAGCCTCCTGAGTAGCTGGGACTACAGGCACGTACTACCATGCCCTGCTAATTTTTTGTGTTTTTAGTAGACACAGGGTTTCACCATGTTGCCCGGGCTGGTCTTGAACTCCTGAGCTCAGGCAATCTGCCCACCTCGGCCTCCCAAAGTGCTAGGATTACAGGCATAAGCCAATTTTTTAAAGTCATTTTTCATTTTGTTCATAGTAGTTTTGATGAGACTATGTCCTAATATTCTCTTCAAATAAACAGTTTAGTCAGAACGCCCTGCTTTGGTAAAATAGATCCCAAGTACATGCCTTACAGATTGGAGAGGGACTGGATGGTTGGGATGGGATAGGACAGACAGCAGTGGCAGCAGTTCTTTCAGTGTGGAACAGACATGTAAGCCACTTGTGGCCGTGTATATTTTAAGGGCAATGGAAAAGGAGTTATTGAATATCACTGCGTTGGGTGCTTCCCACACACGTGTTATTGTGTCGGTATTATTGTTCCCATTTTACCTGAAAAGAAAATGACAGTGAGATGAACTTGTCCAAGGCCACACTGTAGGTCACAAATATTCTGACTCATGAAGTTCCCAATGCAGGAAGATTTCTTATGAAAAAGGTGAGGCATACACTTGATTTGAGTAACACAATGCCTTGATCAGAGCGTTATTTTTGTTTCAGTGCCAATAACCACAGTATTTTTCCAGCGAGATACTGATGTTTTGTCTTTTTTCCTCACTTGCTCAAATGAGTCAGTCACAGACTTTTAAAAGCTTAAAAAGGTAATTGAATAAACTGTCCTTGTAAAAGCACTCTGGGCCTAAGGAGGTTTGACAGTTCTGGCTTATGTTAAAGACAGAGAATTATATTTTAAAGATAATTGCATGCTCTTTTTGATAAACCAAAACATTCACAAACACAGGCACAGTGTCAGCCTCATCTGCTGAGCCAGCTGATGGCTGCGATTAGCTTTGGGGTAATGACTCTTCTATTACTTAGGGAGAAGAGAGTCCTGCAGGATCTTAGTGGGTAAAGGGAGAACAGACTGGCTCAGTGGGCCAGCCTTCACATGTAACTCCACACTGCTTTCGGAATCCAGTACGTTCATTCAGAAGGCTGTGAGTGAACTCTACACTACACACTCATAGTTAAGTTATACAGGAGGCCCTAGGAAATGACACACAACTAAAGTAACACAGCCACTTGCAGTATATTATTTCATCTCTCTGATTGCTACCATAATATGTATTGAACTAATACTCACTGATTGCTCCTTCTCTGTGTCCTTTGCTAGTTTGTCCATATCTTCCAGATCTCCATGCTTTCCAGGGCTAGGATCCACTTCTCTCTATCTGATTCTTTTACTGAGCTATCTTATCACAGGTCACCAAATACCATCTGGAAGCTGGTGACTTCCAAAGGTAAATCTTCAACCCAACTTCTCCTCCAAACTCCAGGCTCATATCTAATGGCCTCCTTGACATTTCCTCTTGATTTCTAATAGACTTTCTAAACCCAATATGTTCAAAATGGACTGACTTCCTAATCACCAACCTTCCACCTTCCATCAGCCTATTTCTTTTCTGTATCTTAGTAAAAATCTGTCCAGCTTCTCAGACTAAATAAATTTTGAATTATCCTTTACTTCTCTCTTTTTATTACTGTCCACATCTAAACCATCAACACATTATATTAGTTCTATCTCTAGAATATATCTGGAATCCAACCACTTTTCACCATGTATTTCTGTATCATCTGAGTCTGAGCCACTGTCGTCTCTCATCACCCTTACACAGCAACCAGAGTGATCCCTTTAAATGAGATTTAAAAGACATTACGTTCTGCTCAAAACCCTCCAGTGGGTTCCTTATCACTTGGAACATAAGTGAAAATTCTTACAATGGCCAACGATACTCCCTGCTCCTACCACCACCCTATCTCTTCTTTGACCATATCTCTTCCTATTCTTCGTCTGGCTCACTTCACTCCTCCCACACTCATCTCCCTGCTAGTCATTGAACATATCAGGCACACTTACTAAGAAGCTTTGTTAAAACACAGATTTCTTCCATGCAGAAGGTCTGGGGTGTGACTGGTTAATTTGCATTTTTAGAAATGCAAATTGTTAGAAATACAAACCTAGAAAGGTTCTAGGTGATCTAACTACGTGGTGCTATGGTGATGAACCAAATCTCTGGGTGAGTGGATGGAAGCTCTGACTTACTGTGTTTGCTGATTTCTGTGATGTGAATGCTTCCACCACAGCCAATATCAAACTGATCAACTGGATCACACAATTCCTGAAGATTTAACAATCGGCTATCACGAGTGCACCACCATAGCCTCTGGTCCAGAAGAGCTCTCCAGGGCCTACTTGGGGGAAAGAGTGAGGAAGGGAGCAATTATCTATTGAGCATTTATGATATGCCAGTCACTGTTCTGGTCCTTGACATAAAATGTTTCACTTGGTCCTCAACAAATGTATGAGATTATGTTTTGCAATTTTAGTTTTTTAGAGGAGGAAACTGAGAAGTAAAATTACTTGAGTCACACCCCTGAGATTTGAAACTAGAAACCCAAAGTCCTTCTCCTTCTAAAACAAAACACAACAAAACAATACCTTGGGCCTCTTTGGGTGGCACCATATCACTGAGGACATCACTGTAGGGCTGGGGGATGAAAGATGGGAGAAGCTGAAGGTAACCTATGGCATAGATATAGTCTGACCTTAAAGGTGACAAAATATTGTCCAATTGAGTTTTTAGAAGGAAGCTGTGATGAGTAAACCTATACTTGAAGTAGGTTAACCACGTGGGGGCTGCAGCTCTCTGAGCTAATCACAGCCAATGAGCCAAGTGCAGCTAGAGAACATGTTCCCTTCCCTGGTTACTGCCTGATAATCCAGGAACTAGTAATTTCAGATCAAAGGAGACTGCAAAGCTCATATATTGAGAATTCTGATGCCAGGTGCTAAAATAACCTTCCTTTGAGGGCAAGTAAATTCCCTCAATTGATGGAACAGAAGTTGCTCCAGGCAAAGGTCCCACTTGTTCCTCTGCTTAATTGCCTTGCTACCCTCCTTCTGGATGGAGCTTCAATCACTGTATTTCCTAAGCTTGGAACCCCTGGGACAGGTTTCCACTGGCATGCTTTTTAAGCAACTGGGGTGATTATCCAGGCATCAAAATTGCTTTCCTCGGGCTTTTTTTAAAAGCCAAGTTTAGTTTCTGCTCTTCTGAATCGTCTGGAACACTGCCCTCTGCCTCACCATCCTGTGCCAGTGGAGACCTGGTCTCAGGCTGGGCAGCTGAGCTACCTGGCCTAAACAAAAAGGCTCCAGGCCCTAAAGGTTACAGACCTTATGCTGACCCAAGAGTCCAAGGCAATGCAAAGCAAAGTCCAGGGTGATGAAAATGAAGTTGCATTTTCTGAGCTGCCTTGTTCTTCACAGTTTTTATTAGATTATTTTATGGAGAGCTCTGGACTCTTGCAGCCCCTGAGGCATTTCGATGGAGCTTAAAGTGGCAGAGGAAAAGTAACCCTGAAGAGGAACAGGGAAGGCTCCATCTCTCTTCTGTAGATGGGCAAGCAAAGGATATTCCATTTCTTTCGTCATTACACATTCATTCATTTATTCACTCACTCATTCATTCAAATGCCGTTAGAGCAAGTACAGTGGAAAACTAGAGGAAGGAGACATTACTCTGTAGATGAGAGAACACTTCTTGGAAAGCTTTAAGAATAGCTTTTCGAGATATAGTTATGAGGACATGCTAGGTGGGAGGAAGGGAGAGACCCAAGGCTCAGAACCTCCAAATGTCAGAATGTGTGTGTGTGTGTGTGTGTGTGTGTGTTTAACCCATTCTGAAGGACAAGAATCAAAGCCACCAAAATGTGGAATTCTTTTAACTTGTTATGTTTCATCTAAGCCCTTCTTACAGTCCTCAGGACGGACTGAGAAATGTGCTGCCATTTCCTTTTCTCCTCGTAAGGCCTCCTGTACCTCAAAGCCAAAAAGCAGAAATGGATATAAGGTTTTGTCTGACATGAATCTGCTTAGAGAGAGTGAAGGCTAACTTTTGGAGTTCATATGACTACTTCTTACCTGCAGGGGGTTCTTTGAGAGGACCTAATAACAGAGAATCGAAATGTCACCTTAGTGACTAGATGACCTAGGGATGCTGAGCCAAGACTAAGCACACTCACCCACCCAAGCCCTGACAGGAGGAGCGGTGGAGGCGTGGCCCCTGGTGTGAAAGAAGCAAGGTGCTGGGAGAAGCAGGCTGTGTTTATTCTCCCCATTACCTCATTACCACTCCACTTCCCCCAGGAGAGTGCGAAAAGGCAGGGTGGGGGGCGGGGAGCCAGACCAGCATTGTAACCCCAGTGGGGTCCCCTCCACCAGGACAATGGGAGTGAGGAAGAAGCATTTAACCCTAATATCATGCACTGGTTAGAGAAAGGAAACGTGGCTGGAGGTTATGGTTATCCTCAAAAGAGGAAAGGTGAACTTCTTCTACAAATGAGGGTCATCATAAAACATTTCCAGCGGAGCGTTTCTTTTTTCTTCTTCCATGAGATGTAGAGATGGGAAAAGCTTACCTTACAGAAACTAGTCCCCGGCAGGCAGCCGACCCTCCGTGGGTTCTGTTGACAGTGATTCCTGGCAGGCAAAGGAGGAGTGAGAAGAGGAGTAAGAAGGGTCAAGAGAGAAAGGGCCTGGTGCAGCGAGAGATGGGCCGGGGGAGCCTTTGAGCCTTTGGGAATGAAGCAGATGTAACTTGACTGTATCTCTCCAGTACTTTATAAAAGAGAAAAGGATGATGGCAATTTTGTAGGGCAAGAGTAGAATAAGGCTGAGTTTGTGCTGTCTTATGCCTTCAAAAGAGAAGGAAGGAAAGAAGGACCAAATATGGAATTGGACTTCATTTCTAAGCGTGAACCTTCATCACTTTCATCAGTAGCCATCTGGCATGCTGCGTTCCATGGCATTTCTCTAAAATGACTGGCAACCTCCAACAGTTTCCTTGGCACCGCCACTGAGAAGCCTCCGTCCTCAGCGACGTGCTGGAAATAGTCAAAGCTCTACACACGCAGGTAATAATACTTGGCTTATCAGCACCTTATTCAACCCCAATACAGCGAAGCCCTCCCCTCTGTGTGATACTTCCAGATGCAGATTCAGAACTTCTTTGTTTTTGTCTCCTTCTCATGAGGCTTCTAGAAAGAGTGCCAGTAATGGCGAAGAATAGCAATGCACAGATACATATAAAAATATTCCCCTCCTTTAGGTTTCCATATCACTGTATTCACATATCTTTACAGCACTTATTATATGGTACTATAATTATCTGTTTATATGTCTGTATCTTCCAGTAGATTTTAGCACTTAGAGAAGTGAAAATACATCCATTTCATCTGTGCACCCTCATCACTGAGCACAGATGCTCAAGGAAGGCTTGGATGGACAAATTTTTCAGCTTTATGCTTTCTACCCTTAGTACAACTGGTTCACAACAGGCAAAGCAATCACCCATTTTCAGAATATAAATGAAACTCTTAACTTTTCCAGAAATAGATAATTCTGAAGAAGATTTTCTTTTGTTTTCTAAGAAGTATGGACCTTTCTCCAGGTGCTATGAGAGGAACCAAGCCAACACTCAAAGCAGCCCTGACCAAGAAAACCAGGACATTTTCTACAAGCATAAAAGTGTTCTGGTATTCCAGCCAACATTTGGATTTGGCAATTGATTTGACTGACTTGGTCCAAGAATTTATTCAGGCTTTCAAGTCACCAAACTGAATCTCTCAGCATTTTGGAAGAGAGAAAAAAATATATACACACGAAAAAAATCACACGAAGATTTGACAGACCGATAAAAGTTTACCATAATCGTGTCATAAGAAGTTTACTTTATGCTAGAGGGAAGAGAAAACATACAGAACCAAGATTTGGACAGAACTAAGTTCTCTCAAGAACGGAGCCCATAAATTGGCAAGCCCCTGTAACATTTTATGAAAAAATTTTTGATTGAGCAAATAGCTTTTATTGATTAAATTTGTACGTCCAAATGAAACTCTGCTTCTTTTATGTTATAGTTGGTTTCTAAACCTGCTGCTTTACGTTTGTATCCATGGGTGCACATGCATACCATCTACTCAGTAATATTCAGTGATGTCAAATGCCTTGCTGAAAAAAATGGATGTGTCTGTAAACCTCAGGCGATGGCTAAATTATGTGTGACAATATTTGACACAGCAAAAATTCCTGAGCAAGTGAAGAACTTGGGGCATATCTTGAAGATATCACCATGGTTTTTGACTTGTAATCAAATTTTCTTATAAGAGTCTTCAGACTATTAATTCTCTGATGTGAAGTAGCTTCTCTAGTTGACAATACTTTCTGAAACTATCTAAGCTCTGATGATATTTGTTTGTGGTGGCATTTGTATAGTCTCCTCCAGGCTCTACTTTGAAGAAATTTCACTACTGAGATGCACATGTAAATACCCCAAAAATTGGACTATCTGTACCGAGCATGCATTTTCCATTTTATTGTCTCCCAAACAACAGGGACTGGTTTGTTAAACCAGCTAGATATCACTTGTGGAAAGCAATATTTCTCAAGCTCTGAAACAAAATAGGCTTCTTTAAAACATTTAAAAACAATAATTTCAACTTTTATTATAGAGTCAGTGAGTACATGTGCAGGTTTGTTACCTGGGTGTAGTGTGTGGTTCTGAGGATTAGGGTAGTGAGCATAGCACCCAATAGCTAGTTTTTCAACACGTGTTCCCCTCCCTCCCACCTGCCTCTAGTAGTCCCCAGTATTTATTGTTGCCATCTTTATGTCCATGAGTACCCAATGTTTAGCTCCCACTTATAAGTGAGAATACGTGGTATTTGGTTTTCTGTTGCTGTGGTAATTTGCTTAGAATAATGGCCTCCAGCTACATCCATGTTGCTGCAAATGACATAATTTAGTTATTTCTTGTGGCTGTGTAGTATTCCATGATAGATATGTACCACATTTTCTTTGTAAGCCTATTGATAGGCACCTAGGTTGAATCTATGTCTTTGCTATTGTGACTAGTGCTGTGATGAACATACAAGTGTGTGTGTCATTTTGGTGCAACAGTTTATTTTTATAACAGAAATGTCTGTTCATGTCTTTTGCCCGCTTTTTAATGGTTTTTGTTTTGTTTTGTTTTGTTGCTTGTTGAATTATTTAAGTTCCTTACAGATCCTGGATATTAGACCTTTGTCAGATGCATAGTTTGCAATTATTTTCTCCTATTCAGTTCATTGTCTGTTTACTCTGTCGATAGTTCCTTTTGCTGTGCAGCAGCTCTTTAATAAGGTCCTACTTGTTTCATTTTTTTTTAGAGAGGGGGGATCTCACTTTGTCACCCAGGTTGGAGTGCATGGTACAACCATAGTTTACTGTAAACTTGTTCAGGAGATTCTCCTGTCTCAGTCTCCTGAGCAGCTGGGGCTACGGGTGAACACCACAGTGCCTGGCTAATATTTGAAATTTTTTGTAGAGATGGGGTCTCACTGTGTTGCCCAGGTTTGTCTCAAACTCCTGGCCTCAAGTGATCCTCTTGCCTCGGCCTTCCAAAATGCTGGGCTTACAGGTGTGAGCCACTGCACCCTACTTCTTTTAAAAGCAAAAGAAAATTCTTGAAGATTCCCTTGGGGGTCGTTGGATCCCTGTTGGACTGACACTGATTTAAGAAATTAGAGTTCCAACTCATGAAAATATCTTTTCAAAGAGAATCTCAAAGATCAACATTCCTCTGATATTCAAATAAGGAAACATATAGTAATCATTTGATAGATTTTTTACAACCAGAGTTATGAAAAATTCTGAGAACAAAGGATGCACCTACAAATAAAAGACTCTCTCCAGAAGTCTGAGTATTTTGAATCTCAGTTAAGTAAATGATGGAAAAGAACTAATGATTTCTCACTTTGAAGATGTAAAGATTAAAGAGAAGTGAATAAGCTTTTGAATTGTATGTAGACTGTTATTTAAACCTTCTTTCAGAGATTTAGAGTCCATTATTGGGCTACTATTGTTGGTAGTTCTATAGTAGAGTAAGAGTGTGGATTTTGGAGTTAGACACATGCAGGAGTAGATGTATAGTTTGCTGACTTAGAAATTAGTGGTGAGATCTTAGGCAAGTTATTTAACCACTCCTAGTCTCATTTTTCTCAAGGTAAAATGGGATTAACCACTGTTTAGGAATTTTGTGAGGTCTAGAAAAAAATACAGTATGTTTCTTATAAATAAACACTTAGAAAGTGGTTATGATTATTTTTACTGTATATATGTTTGTTTCTCATTGTACTTTCACCTACTTGAGGTCAGAGACAGTCTTACCCACATTAATATGTCCAGCATGTCAAAATTCAGACCAGGGTAGTGGTTTAACAAAGGTAACTGAAAGAATGAATGAATGAATGAATGAATGGGTGAGTGGAGAAGTATCAGAGAGAAAGTAAAACTGCCTCCTAAGTATTCAGCTTACAGCCTACACTTTTAAATAATGAGAAGACTTCATGCCCATTCTCAAAGCCTGTTTTAATTTAAAAAAAAAATCAGGTTATTCAATTAGAGCCTAATGCTAAAAAACTTGGGGCCTTTGATTCCTAAATGAAAAAGAAATTAACTATATCCCCAACATCACTGGAAGTATTGTTAACTACAGATAACTATTTTAAAATGTTTGCCATTACTCTTCTGATGATTTGGGTCAGAAACACACGCATGCACACATACACACACATGCACACACACACACAGAGAAAGAGAAAGAGAGGGAGAGGGAGAGGGTGAGGAGTATGATCAACTCTACAAATTTAAAAAATAGTCAACAGTCAATCAGTATGTTTGCCTACTAAAGGGAGGAATTTTACTTTAGAAGTTATATCCTAGAGGTGGTGGCACTACAACTAGAGAACTGATGAATCGGATAATCAGAGGGTTATAGGATTATGCTCATGACCCTTGAATCTTAGCCTGAATCTTAACTGGGTACCCTGACTGCAATGTTTAATTTTATATATCAACTCAGCTGATCTTAGTGCCCAGATATTCAGTCAAATATTATTATGAATATTTCTGTGAGGACGTTTTTGGGTAAGATTTACATTTAAATTAGTGGACTTTGAGTAAGGCAGAGAATCCTCCATAATGTGGGTGGGTCTCATCTAGTCAGCTGAAAGGTTGAATAGAATATAGGGATGATCTTCCATGAGCAAGAGGGAATTCTGTAGCAATGGCCTTTGGACTTTTATGGGCTCTTCCTGGATCCCATAAAGGTAGCAGACTACCTTTAAACTTGAACTACAACTGTTTTCTGAGCCACCAGCCTGCCAATCTCCCCCATTAGATTTTGGACTCCCCAAGCCTCCAGAATCATCCAGTTTCTTAAAATGCATCTCTTTCTGTATATCTGCACATCCTATTGGTTCTGTTTCTCTGGAGAGCCCTAATACACTAACCAATGAGATCTATAAGTTTACTAATTGATGATGATTATGTTACTTTGCTCTGGCTGTATCATTAAGAAAACTCAGCCCAACTTTTGTCCAGTGCTTTTCAGAGTGTTTCCCACAGGGCCCTAACTCATTGGATTCTATACATGTCCAGTGGACTGCCTACATCAGATTACCTGGGGGCTTGGAAAAATTCATATTTCTAGGTTCTACTTCAGATATGTTGAATTAGAATCCCTATGGTGGGACTTGGCAATCTGTGTTTTTGACAAATTCTTCTTCTAATTCTTGTGCATATAAAATTTGAGAACTACTGGTCCACTGGATCCTATGGTCTATGTTTCTGATTTTGTATGGATAGTGAAATTACTGGGAAAGAGACTATTATAATTAAGACCAAAACTAGTATCTGAAGAAAGATTCAGCAGTGGGAATAACAAGCATTTAGATAATAAATGCTATATGGATATACATTTCCTTCTACATATGGGTTATAGTTGTGTTATACATTTATTTTAAATATGGAATCTAATCGCTGTTATTAGATAGGATTATATGACAGATTCAAATTGAAAACGTCCCAGAAATAGCCCACAATTCTTTGATTTAAAGGAAAATTGGGAAAACACTAAGGGAATGTGCAAAGATGCAAAAGAAAGTGACACTGAGGGCCGTGAAGAAGAAACAGGTAGTTATGTAGAATGGCAGGAAAAGACTGACTGTCACCTGTGGCCTGGTTTAGAAATGCACCTGCAGGAATTGATGGAGCCCATGGAGTATCCACCTTCTGGCTGTGGCCGATTCTTAATTCTGTAAAGGAAGGTAGGGGAAGGGAAAGAGGGATGGACCTTATCTCTATGGTGTCGATGCCAATTGTGTAATGTACAACACATGGGATATGCTTTTCATCAATACTGTGCCAGAAAGATTTTGACTCACCTGATCGTAGAAATGAGTAGGTTTGTGAAACAATTAGCATATGGAATAGATTATGAAGCTGGTTATCTTAACATCTGGCTTACTGATACTCCACATTTCCTATAAATCTAGAACGAAAGAACAGCAATTCCCATAACAGATGTAGACCAATAACATAAGAAGAATGACTTATTTTCACCCAGGGTGACCCTTGTAGTTATTAACATGGCATTGATTTCCTGTTTGCCTTTTCTGAATTGACATGGACAATGATCTTTAACCCCTAAAAAAGTCATGAAGACTAAATAGTCAGACAAGTGAATGTTGATGAAAGAACCTAATTCTTTATATTCATTTTGACTTTTCTGTGAGCTATTCATATGAGCTGATTAATTTTTCAGAGAAAGACTCACTGTTTAAGTACAAAGTGATGACAAGTAGTAAAGTTCAGCTTAAAATGCTCAAAAGTCCCATTTTCTCTCCCTTTTATATCCAGAAATTTTTGGAAATAAGGACACCATGCAAAATCCTTGGAAATTTAGACTACGTAAGATATTTTTAAGTTAAAGGGATTATACTGAATGTTTTCTCTTCATAGAAATATAGTCAAACTATTTAGTTATTTTAGGCAGACCTGTTAGTTTTGGGACCTATAGATTCTAAATTTATTTTAAAAACCTTTGGGAAGAGAATTGACTATGAAGAAAGCATCCAAATTCCTATGGTTACCACTATTGAACAAAGAAACAAACACTACCCACTCCTCGTCTCTGTAATCAAAAACAAAAACTAGTTATAAAACCTGAAGGCATTTTAAATTTTTTTTGGTTTATAGAACAGGGTGAAAAATAAAATGCAAATAATGGATCAGCAAAATTGTTCTAGTTCAGGGGTCGACAAACTCTGGCCTGCAGGCAAATCCAGCCCACTGCCTGTTTTTAATATGGCATGTGAGCCAAGAATTATTTTTACGTTCTTAAGAGATTGTGAAAAATATAATAAAGAAGAATAGGCAACAGAAGCCATATGCGGCCCACAAAGACTAAAATATTTACTATCTTTCCTTTTTCAGAAAACATTTGCTGACCCCAATCTAGTCTAAATAAGAAAATATTTAGAGCCATTCTGTTATCTCTGTGATCCCTGACAATCTGCATGTCTCCTCTGAGCCTGCTCCCTTATCTGTGACTTTGGGATGATTACATCTGATCAAACTTACAAATAAAAAAAAAAAACTACCTGTTTACCAACCTCTTCTACTTCCCCCATCCTCCTCCCCAGCCTCTGGCAACCACTATTCTATTTTTGCTTCTGTGAGATTTGGTGATTTATTGTACAGCAAGGTGACTATCATTGACAATAATGTATTATATATCTTAAAATAGCTAGAAGAGAGGATTTTGAATATTCCCACCACAAGGAAATGACAGGTGTTTGAGGTAATGAATAGGCTAATTATCTTGGCTTGATCATTACACAATGTATACATGTATCAAAATATCATGGTCTGCATAAATATATACAGCTATTATGTCTTGAAGACAAAACTTAAAAATAATAATAATAAAAAAAAGAAAATGGAGGGAATTTGAAAACCATTACTTGCCACTAGACATTGGTCAGTAACATCACCTAAAACTTGCAGCCTCTTTCCATCAATAAATAAAGGTTTTGATAGAACTGATTTTAAACTGGGGGGAGGGAATTGGGGAAGATGAACTTTTATTTTTGAGGAGATTTATTTTAGGGCTATTGCTTTTCATCAAATAATTTGCTTTGAGGACACATTGGATATTTAGCCCAAACCAAACTCTGATACTTTGGACCAAGTCAAGCAATGGTTTATCTTTGTTTGGTAAATGAGGTCATCCTTCACAGATTGTGCCAATTATCACCATATGAAAATTGCCTGTGTGAGTGGAGGAAGGGGAGAAGAATATTGAACATACTTGAAAACAAAATCCTTTGGAACACCCTCACTTTGGAGGTGTGAAGATGATACAGGGTCCTGGATGTTGGGGAATTACTGAGACCCAGACACGTGTGAAATGATAATGTCTGGAACAGGGAAAAGGTGGACATTAACTTTCTACTGAGAACTGAGAGAGTTAAGAGGAGACTCAAAGCCCTGGCAAATAGGGTGAGAATATCTATTGGCACGGAGGAAGCGGAGTGAGGCAATAAAATCATTCACAAATTGAAATAATGAAAATGATTGTATACTCAATGCCACACTCCAGAAACTGGGCTAGCTAACCACTTTATTATCTCATTTAATCTTCATAACCACATTGTAGGTAGGCAAAATTGTCATTCTTTTATAGGTGAAAAGGCTGAGAAAGGCCACAGAGAACTGAAGAAGCTTGTTAAGGTCAAACTAGACAAGAGTACCCAGGAAGTCCCAGGAAGGGAAGAGTAGGAGAAAAGAGACAACTGGCTGACACCCTGAAACCTCAATTTTGATCATGAAATGTCTGGATTTTACTGCGTTGTTTTCATCTGTCATCCTGATGATACCCTATCCTAAATGGTATAAGTGAAGGGCCCTGCTGGTGGTGATAACAAACCTGATTAAGTAGTGAATTTGAGGCAGGGAGAAGAGGAAGCAGTTTAGGGTGTTTTTGGTTTTGTTTCAATTTTTAAACAATCCATTCATATGCAAATTAGCAAAGTGAGAAAAACCGTGTTTTATCTCTTGACTAAGGTAGGTTCTTTACTAGGCAATAATTTGTCAGCCTGGTTTGAGTAACCGTGGTATACTTGAAAGTAACACAACTTCTTTCAAGTATTTTACAATTTAGATTGTTGTGAATTTATGCCAATTCTCCATAGAATGGTAATTCAAACAATTCAAGTGAGGGCTTGCAGTACATAGACTCAAGGTTACAGGAACACCACATCCCTATTCACTAATATCCCAGATCTTTGTATCATAGCATTTCATGGTGTTGGACACAGAAGAAATTTCAGGGGAATTGAGTCCAACCCTCCTGATTATTCACAAAAGGAAACTAAGGTACATAGAGGTCATATGATTTGCCCAAGGTCATGTAGTGCCTATAGGTAGTATAGATGGAGTGGCAGATACGAACTGTGCATGACTTAGATGTAGCCTCTGCTGTCTCTGAATGGCCTACCTGTCTGAAAGAGCTAAATCTGAGCCCTTAATATAGGATATTCTTTGAGGAGTCCAACTGGCCAGTTGGTGGCAAGGTGTCTACATTGGGTCCATCTGGAAAGGGCAAGTGGTTCATCCTCACAGGGATGGATATCTACTCTGGGTATGTGGATGCCTTTCCTGTTTGCAGAATCTCAGCCAGCACAACTATCTGGGGATCCATAGAGTCTCAGCCAGCACTGCTATCTAGTCTGACCTACCAAATGTGAATCCAACCAGGGATCTAACTTTACAGCAAAGGAGGAGTAAGAGAGGAATCACCATAGGATCCACTGATTTTATCACATACTTTGCTGCCTACCATCCAGAAGGAGCTAGCCTCAAAAAGCTGTGGAATGGCCATCTGAAGTCCTGGTTGAAGCACTAGCTCAGAGGGAACTCTCTGAAAGGATGGGGTGCTATCTTTCAAGATGCAGTATGTGCATTTAATCAGAGACCTCTCTATGACACCATGTCCCCAACAGAAAGAATGTATTGGTCTGGGAACTAAGGGGTAAAAGCAGAAATGGCTTAACTTAGCATCATTCCCAGCGATCCACTGGAGAATTTGTGCTTCCTGTTCCTGAAACTCTGGGCTCTCTGAATTGGAGGTCCTGGACCCCAGAGAGGGTAGCCTCCTTCCAGGGGACATAGTCAGGTCCTATTGAAGTCCAAGGTACCCCTCTTGCCAAAGCACTCTGGACAACTTTGTTAGGGACCAGCAGGCAAGAAGAAAAGGCACTATCTTGGCAGGGGTAATGGCTCCTGACCAGCAGGGGGCATAGGGCTGCCTTTGCACTATGGGGGCAGGGAGGAATGTGTGTGGAACCTTCTGATCCACTTTGGCATCTGCTGACACTCTCTACACTATTAGACCTGTGAATGGATATGACAGCAACTCCAAGCCCAGAAAGGTAGTATGCCTGTCAAGAGTTCCGATCGTTCAGAAATGAATGATGATAGTGAGGGTGGTGGAATTTCGAATGGATAGTGGAGGTGGGAGAGGATGAGAACCTGTAGTGACTCTCAGGCCAACTAACACCCTTAAGTAAGAGGGGCTTCAAGGAGCCATGGAGCAGCCACTCCTAAGGCTGTATGCAGAATAGATCTGTGCAGTACAAGAGGAATGTGGTGGCCATAAAAATGAACTCTCAGATCTCCTGCTGTGAGTGTATTATTGACTAATGGCCCCATCTGTCATCTGTTCCCACTGAGGCCACACTTCCCATAGGCTTCTCTCAGCCCAAGACTGAGCACTGCAGGGATTAATGCAAGCTCTTCCCTGTAGGATGAGAGCCCCCTCTGATGGGTGACTTGGCTTGAGGATTTCCTATTAGCTTGGCCAAGACTTCCCTGGAGGTGCACTGAAATCTGAGACCCCTTCTTCCCATCCTTCTTTCCTTCCCCATCTCCTTCACAGGGCTTAGACCCACATCACAGTCTGAATGGTTGCTGCACATAACCATTCCCAGCTCATTTAAATCCCCTGCCTCATCTGGTTCCCTTCCCCTTTTCCTTCACAAGTGTTTCCTCCATAAATCTCCTGCATATAAAATCCAATCTTGGTTTCTGCTTCTCAGAGGACTTGAACTAACACAGCGGTGCTGTTAACACTTCTCACTGAGTCTTCTGTGACTGATGTTGGTGTGTGAGATATTTTCCAGCCTGCATCTTCTTCCTTCTTCTCCTCCTAACATTTCTCAATTCTCCCAACCCAGAGTTTTTTTCCTGATGGAGAGGACACCTCCTGAAGGTTCTTTTATTTCTCCTTATTTCCTACCACCACCAGCTCCGATTTTTATATCCAAATTCTTGAGTTAAAGTCTTTCTTCAGTAAACTACATGCTACCATCAGCCTCTTTCCTTGAAGGTCCTACTGTAGGACCTTCTTCTTCACAGTGTGTCCCACATCGATGAGAAACATTCTCAAAATGTGGTGGCCATTCCTGTCCTGCAGACATGTGCAGACCCAGACTTGCCATGGCCTCTTAGTGCTGCTCATCAGTTCAGCATTCCTTGTAGGTATTTAGTTAATCCTTGCAAAAGTTCCGTGAGGTATGTGCTATCATTATTCTCTTTTTACAGATGGTGAAATAAAGGGCAGAGTATTTAAGTAACTTGCCATGAACCTACAGCTAGTAAATTCTATGGATGCCAGATCTGAACCAAAGCACTATAAGGAAGAGAGAAAGGAGATGACAATTAGAGAAGGAGATTGGATCAAGGAAGGCCTTTTTTTTCTTTTTTTCTTTTTTTTTTTAAATCAGAGATTTGAGTTCCCCTCTCCTTTTCCCAGTTCTGGACCTACTTTAATTAATTAATTATAATTCACTAAATCATTCATTCATTTATATTTTGACTTAGCAAAATGCATGTGTTGAGCACAACAATTTCCAATTTATTCATTGCTGCTTACTTGCTTGTTTGTTTGATGACAGGAAAAGATCCACTGAGCTGCAGAATTCTCTGTGATTCTTAGTCTTTCTTGCCTTGTCTACTCTTGGCTCTTCTTGCATTGATACTGCAAAGAACATAGTTCCTGGACATTCTCAATTTGCAGATGTACCAGCTTCAACAAAAACCTCTTGATACTGCAAAAATCTGGTTGTTTACTCTTTGTTGTTGTTTGTCTTTAAACAAAAATAAAGAGTATACAAGAACTCTTATAGGACCCTACACAATAGAAAGCTGTGACAGATGGATGTCTTTCTCACATGAGTTTCTGGACAGCATGCATGAGCCCTCTGGCAGGCAGTGCCGCCTGCGTGCAGGGAATGGGTGGTGATGAGCATTCTCAGGAAAGTCCCTCATGTCACTAGCCTGGGGCCCTCCCAATACCCAGCACATTGGAACAGGGTTAAATGGAGCTTCAAGGATTTGTGCAGGTGGAGTGGAACAAAAGGACAGAAACAGCTGATCAGCTTTAAATGTCTAGGCGGCTAAATCAGGATTAACCTTTTTGGCTTTTGTGCTGATGAGATTTAGAGAGCCCTGCACGTCGCCCAGCTTAGAAGCAGATTTTTCACTAAATAAGATTTGTACTGTTTTATAAATATCAGCCACTAGATAACTCGATTCACACCACTAGTTAAAAAATAATAATGCTCCTGAGTTGAAATCTATACGTTAACTTTATATCCTGTTTAAATTAATTGAATTGATATGAAGATAAAAATATTTGTCAATGTATGTTCCAAGCTGTGCATTACTGGGAAGGATTAAAAAAACCACAGACATTTTATCCAACCTCATTTTTCAGTTTGTCTATGGATGATGTTATCTTTCTTCCAGCCAGATAATTAAGTACTTGATGGCACTCATTCATGCATCGTGTAGCATGCAGCAAGTCTTAAAAATACATGTCATGACCAGTCTCCTTCTTCATCTAAATGAATGAAAATTATGTCAGGGGAAGTAATATTCATAAACTGACTATATGCCAGACACTTCATTTTCTGTGTAAGCTGTTTAATTCTTAAAGCATCCTATGTTAAAATGAAGACTCAGAGATTCAAAGATGTTAAGTAATTTGCTTGCAGTAGGTGGCAGAGCCAAGTTGAGACTCACATACTGGGACTCCAGACCCAGTGATTTATTCTCCCACTGTGTTCTTACTTTGCTGTGGACAGACTCCATAGAAAAGGGTAGAAAACCATGGGCTCTGGAGCCAGAAAAACTCATGATCAAAAGGTATGTCTGCTACTGTCATATTTACGAGACCTTTGGAAGTCATTTAGTCTAAGAGTCTATTTCCATATCTGTAACATGGAGATACTTTTTAACATAGTGAGTTGTTTTAGTGATGACATGACATAGTATAGGTAAAACGTTTAGCATGCTGTATGGTACATCATTAACTGTATCATTCAATGGTACTGATATCCAGTTTTTTTTTAAGTCAGTCCACTGGATATTCTTGGCTTTTAACAACACATAGGAAATAATATTTCATCTTATTTTTAAAAATAACACCCTTTTTTGAAATATCTTCAAACCTTTCAGATTTTACATTTTACTGTATCTCCCCTTGTAATGGAGTTCTGTACACACAAGGTGTTATGGGAAAGGGAAATAAAGTTGATACTGAGCTGGTTAGATCTTAACATTATTAATTGTAGGGCACTGGGGTTTGGTTAATGGCCTCATGTTAGAGCACCAACTGGATTCACCTGGCCTTTGTACATTGGTTGAAGGATTCTTTCTGTTCCAATTTCTCTGCAGACCAGATCAGAAGGCTTAGGTCAAAGTTGAAACCCTGTAGTATTAGGATTCGGATATTTGGAGAGCTAAGCTAAGGGATGAGATCTCAACGATAACTTAAAAGGACTGACGCCACTTGCAATGACCAACAGTGACCTTGCCATCAGAGAGAACCTCATCAGGAAGGACTTTGAGCTCTTAAGGAAGCCACCCCTTTGGAGAGGCTCTACTTGGACCCACCAAATTCCAATCTGTAGGAAAAAAGCTACAGCCAATTTTCAGGCCGCTTCCAAATACTACATGAGCTAGTTTGGTGTCTAATGTAACAGTTGTACATGTTTTAGTGGCTCCACAGTTAGACTTGTTGGACACTAAGGAAGCCATCTATCAGAGAGTTGGTGAGTTCAGAATTTAATGAATACCCTTCCTTTTATCACTGTTACCATTATTCTGCATTTTCTTAAGCTGTATTTATTTGGATGATCCTAGCTACCTGTTGTCCTCAGAGGCTACAACTTTTATTTCCTACAAAATAGTTATTCCTTCTTACTTTTATCGTCTTCCTTTTAGAGATGCCTAAGCAATGTGTGTTGTTTGTTTAGAGAAAACTTATGAATATTTCTGGTTTTGTAACATTTCCATTTGACCTTAGGGGCAAATCATGCTTACAATGTCCTTTGTTCTCTGAATCAAGCCATATAATTTCCATCACTGTCAATGCTGCCCAACTGGAAGTGGAGACAGAGACTACTACAATATGCTGATTTGATTTCATAAACATTTGGTCCTACTCACATCACGTGCATATCATCATGTGAAATATATTATATACAAAGGCTTAGGCCCTCATAACCTGAGGATTTATTCTGTCTGTCCCCTTTATTCATCTTTGTCTTGCTGCTTGGAGGCTGGCTTTTGTGCACAGATTGCTGTGAAAATGCCCACTAACGCCTAGAGAATATAAGAAATGGCTTGGGCAGATGTAGGCAGCTGATGCTGATTTGGGTTAACAGCCCCTTTATGTCAATGCCCACATTCTGGAGCTGATTAAAAATAAGATTTTTCCATAACTCAGAACTTATCAGCTATGTGCATATGTATTTTTGTGTCAGTACGTATGAACCTAGACAGAGATGTAGAATACAGTTAACTTTTAACATGGGTTATCACAGCTGGCTAGGATGGGGGTGATTATTAACTTTTTACATATATAATTTTATATTGTTTGATGTAGTACATCAGACACATAGTACTTTAAGAAAAACCCAGTGAAGTGAAACAAAACACAAAGTACACTTCTACAAAGAAAAATGTTATAAACTAAATCAGTGATTCTCCAAATTTTATGTGCATACCTGTGGATCTTGTTAAACTGCACATTCTGGTTCAGTCAGTGTTGTCGAGTGGAGCCTCTGTTGTTGTATTTCTAGCAAGCTCCCAGGTGATGCCAATTCCACAGACCAATCTAGGGACCACACTTTCAATAGCAAGGAATTAAAACTGGAGGAAGGTAACAGAACTTGTTCCTCATCAGCAAAAACCAGATGGAAGTAGTGTTGTCACTTTTTTCTATTTCTGTTCCTCCTTAAAAATATTCTAGTAATTGCTAAAATCTAGATAAAATTTAAAATACTTCTTCAAACCAGACTAGAGAAATGGTTTAATAGGCAGTTGATTTCTGCAGCACAGTGCTAGCAGAGTAAACATCCTGGATAAGCAATTATATTTAATTCAGTCAAGCATACATTTACTAGAAAAGCATTTGCTTTAGGAGAATTCAATGCCGTCAGTTTTCCCCAAGAATTTATGTTCTCGTCATAAAAATAAGACTTAAAATTTATTCTTGGCTGGAAGAAGAGTAGCATTGTTTGTAGGAAAATGGTAGACATAACAGTTTAAAGTCAAGTATAAGGTTAGTACAAGGAGCATGCAAAGAAGGTTGGGATCACCCAGACGAGCAGCTGAACTTGGACTAAGTTTACAGGTCCAGTAGGGCTGGATGGTATAAAGAGCCCAGGTTGCCTCTTTAGATGAAGTCATTGTCTCTAGAAGATGACTCTTGGATGCTTGAGAGAGAGAAGCTTAGAGTTTTTCCTAGGTTCAGGTTTCACGCAGCCAAAGTGGGATTAGCTGCTGATTAGCTAGGAATTGCTGACTAGGATCAGCTCTGTTCAGCAAAATCTCATCTCCCCATCACATCCTCATATTCAATTACTCTGACTAAAATAAGTATTTGGGTTGTGTCTGCCAGATGGTCAGCTTTCTTTTCCCTAGAAGAGCTGTTCATTAAAGTGGATTAGGGAGAAAAATACTTGGTAGAAAATGTATAAATAAATGAATTACTTATTATATCTTTGTTCTGTAATTTGAAGATCCCATAAGGGAAATAGAGAAGAACAGAAATACTGTTCAGCTTGAATTCCTGCTGCCTCCAAAGCAGATTAGGCGAGACAGCATGCCAGACTGCCTGTATCTTTTGATAACCACACTGCAAGCATGGCTTATGATGCATATAGTTCATGACTTATTGCAGTATGGATTTGTTAGTAATGTTTTGTCCATTGTCATTATGGAAATGGATAGCTTTTTAAAAATGTCATTCTCATTTGATATTTCAAAGTATATTTTGTTTGTACATGACTTTATTTCATTTAGGGACCTAATTTTTTTCACAATGAAAGATAAAATGTAATTTGTATGAAATCCAATGAGGAGAAAGAACCGCTACCACAGAAATTGGATTTAAATCATTTTTCACAATTGTGTTCATGGTATTAAGCTGAGGCTACTGATATTACCACATGCAATTAAAATAAAACTAGTTCTGTAGCAAAGAAGGGATGGATTTTTCACATTTCCAATTAGCTGTGGTGAATTGGTGACAATTTCATTCAATGACCCAGTCAAGTCTGTGACCAGTGACGGTGAGTATAGTGAGTATGTCAATAGGTGAACATTTGCAAATTAATATTCACCTTACAAAATCAAGTAAATTTGGGATTACTTGAATTTGCTTTGAGTAAAGAATTTTGATGAACTGTATTTACTGATTCTGTTTTCAGACTTAGCCTTTTGTGTCTTATTTATTTTCATTTTGTTGCCTTCATTTTGAAAGTTCTACTAGTAGAATCTGTGTAAAGCTGCTTTTTAATACAGAGTCATGAGATTCTAAGCATTTTTATCTGTATTAAAAAATAATAAATGAACCTATACTTAGTTGCCAAGTGATCTCTTATGTCAAATTAACTTCCATTTGCTACCCATTAAAATAATGTGTTTCCTTAGTGCATCTGACAGAGCTGTTTGCTCTTTTCTTTCTTCATTTCTGCCCTCACACTGCCTATCCATTTCTGATCTCACCCTGCCTATCCATTTCTGATGTGACCGTCACCTCTATGTGGTCAGCTTTCACATCTATCCTCTGAGCATGGTTTCTTTCCTAAGCTTCAACTTCACTTCTCTTTCTTGCTGATGACTTGGTAGTCTTCCCACTTAAAATTGAACTCATCTTTTCTCTTAAAATCATGTCCTACTCTAGGTTTCCATATTTCTTTTCAATGTGGCCCCACTCTTACTGCAACTCAAAACTTTAGTCTTCATGCCTTCCTTTCCTTCCCATCCTTAACATACATCCCTATCATTCAGGCCCTATCCCATTGACTCCATTCTCATTTGTTATTTCCCACCACCACCCCCTCAACCCTACCCTTCTCATGCCTGGATTATAGCAAAGCTTGCTTGACTGATCTCCCCATTTGTTCCCACTCACCCCTCTTTCCTCATTTCCCATCTGGTTAATATGTGCATTAAGGACAGGGCTATCCCTTAGAATTCTTGTATCCTCAGAAGAGAAATTCCCACAATATAGTATTCAAATCTTGTTTTTTCAAAAGGACAAGAGGTCATTTCTGATATTCACCATATGTCTCTGGTTAGAAATTTGTAACTAAATATGGTACAGACTTCATTTTTAAAATGTTACGCAGAACAGTTAATTTTCTGTGATTATCAGTTGGCTTGGAAGATCTCTATGTTTTTTCTCAACTTCTAAATTTCTCAACCCCAAGTTTTCATAATAATGGTAGTATAAGCAGGATCTACATGAGCAGCACAGTGTAGAAAAATTTATAATTTAGTATACATTTTTATTTGATAAAATATATAAATTTAGCAAGAGCATATTTTTCTCTTATTTTTTCCAGTTACTTAAAGATTTTTAACTAAAATGGTAGATTCAACTGTAAAAAGACAAAATACTTATAAAATATGGATTTGAAACAACTATTTAAATGTAAGAAGAAAAAATTCAATCTGCCAAATGGTCTTTTAAAAAAACCAGAGAGGAAATTCCTGAAATTGACCAATAGTGATTCTTAGTTATAGTAGGATGCAAAATATTTGCTTTGAGAAAAAAAATCATAATTTGTTTAATCTTTCTTCAGTAAGAAGAACTTGAGAACATAGCACATGTATCTGAAACTGTTTTCCTAGAAACATGACACCTATGCTTTACAGAAAAAATATGCCAGTTATAGATGGACTTAGTTTTAAAAGATCATTTTATTCATTAGCAAAACAAATGACAATGATAACAAAACAACAAAACCCACCACCACTGCCCTATAGCCAGCAAACAAGAAACTCCGTATCTGTTTTACGCTGTTTTAAATCCAATGTTTTCTCATACTTCTATGACTGGTAAAATCAATGTTATGTGATGATTTATCAGACTTCTCTCCTCCATCCTGTCTCCTAATTGCACATATCCATTATGAAAGGAGCCCTGTGAAGGTTGCTGGATATATGTCTTCAGAGATCACTCATTATTTACTTTTATATTCAATGGAAGTTTTAAACTTTTTCTTATCTGAAGGATGTATAAATCTCATGAGAAGGCAGCTCATTCCAAGAACATAAATTCCTACATCTCTGTGGCAGATGGCCCTTTGTATCAATTAACTGAACAAATCCTTAAGAGATCCAGGTCATCTTGGTGGCCTGAGTTTACATTCAAAAGCAGAGGAATCGTGGTAGGATCATTTTCTGTACCTCAGTCCCAACCCAGAAACATTTTTTCACTAAAGTTATCAATAACTTCCCAAATTGCTAAATCCAGTGGACATTTTAGTCACTTTCTGTGACCTCTCAATGGTTACCTATTCCCTTTCTTTGAAAATTTTTTCTTTGTCTTCATAATACCACTCTTTTTTGAATCCTTCCTTGTCTTCTGACTGCTCTTTCCCAGTCTCCTTTGATGGTGTCTCCTTTTCTTACCAGCCAATAACTGGAGCTACAGACTGCGTCCTGGGCCCCTTTCTGGTTCAACTCATACTCTTCCTCTAGGCATTTTCATCTATATCATGGTTTAAATACTAGCTCTCTATAGATAAATCCCAAATTTCAATTTCAGATTCACACGGAGACCAGACCACATATTCAAAAGTCTATTCTAAAATTCATTTCAATGTACCATTGGCATCTCAAAGATAATCTTTTCTCCAAAGATGCTCCTTAGCTTTCCTTCTCTCCATAAATGGCACTTCTATCAACCCAGTTGTATAAGCCAGAAGTTGGAAGTCTTCTTTGACATCTCTTTCTCCCTCAATCCCCACATCCTGATGATTTATTCCAGCATATGTTGAATCTCTCTGTGTCTCTCCATCTTTTTCTTCCCTATACTGGCTCAACTCACAGTCACATTTCTCCTGCAAATATTTTCACAGCTTCCTGCCTTGAGCATCCTAATTGTTCCTTATTTTCCTAATAGCTCTTCATCGTCCTTACTTTTGTTCTCAATTCTTTCTCCACACTACAGAAGGAAATTTCACTTCTGTTTGAAGTTTGCAATAACTTCTTATTGAACTTAGAATAAAACCCAAACTTGTCCACATGGCTGACGCACAATCTTCAGTGGGATCTGACTCTCACCTGCTTCTCTGGCCTCATGTTGTGCTTCTTTCTTTGCTCATGATAGGTTCTTAGTTCTTAATTTTTGAAACATGTATTTTTCCCATCTCATGGGCCTGGTATTTCAATTCCTGGGACACCTTTCCCCACCTTTGACTGAAAATACCTGCTCATTCTTTAGTAATCAGCCCAAAGTCACCTCTTCAAAAATGTCCCTTAACTAGGTTTCCCTGCGATAATCTCTTATTATAATCCTTATTGTACATTCTTATGAATCTCTTATTATTTATTTTTCACTCCTAGAATTTATATTGCCCTGTATTTGAGAGATTGTATCTCTCACATCTCATTTCCTAGAAAACTCAAGCCCTGAAGTTTCTCTCTCACTCACTCTAGCTTTTGTTTTCTCCTTTCCTAATGCTAGATACATAGAATAGTGCTCTGAATATGCCCATGTCTTCCTAGCAACCTGCTTAACAAAATTATATTGGGAGCTTGGAATAATAGGAGAATTTAAACCATGTAAATTAGCAAATGTTATAAATCAGATACCCCTCTCCCCAGCTAGTTATTAAACATTTGCTACCAAAGCACGGTACACGTATAAATGCATACACAGTTTACTGAGCAATTGTGTTAAGCACCTAACTGGTATGCGTATTTTCTCATTTAATAGAGTAATCATGTAGTAGATATTGTTATATCTCCATTTTACAGGTAAGGAAATAACTTTGGAATTGCTAGATGTTCATCACCTCATACAGCATATAATTGGCATTGAATAATTTTTTTTTTTTTTTTTTTGAGACGGAGTCTCGCTCTGTCACGCAGGCTGGAGTGCAGTGGTGCGATCTCAGCTCACTGCAAGCTCCCCTCCCGGGTTCACGCCATTCTCCTGCCTCAGCGTCCCAAGTAACTGGGACTACAGGCAGCTGCCACCATGCCCGGCTAATTTTTTTTTGTATTTTTTAGTAGAGACGGGGTTTCACTCTGTTAGCCAGGATGGTCTCGATCTCCTGACCTCGTGATTCGCCCGCCTCGGCCTCCCAAAGTGAATAAATATTTTTATACAGTTGAATGAATAACTTGGGGAATATATGGGTGCAAAAAATTATGTGCCCTTTTTCTATTCTCTTTAATAAGATTCTGCTGCTGCCCACCTGCAAATTTTAGTAATGTTAATCTTCTGTTTTAAACATTTTTAAATTGTAGAAGATATTTATGTTTTTTTAGTATCTTAATTCCAAATCCCTTCTCCATAGCAGTAATAAGTAATATAAGACAGTTTAATATTCTCTAGAAAGTTCAAGGGAAATAAATAAGAAGTAAAATTCATGTATCAGACCAAATTGTCTTTCAGGTCTAAAGGCAACAGACTGACCTCCTTGAAAATAAAATAATTCAGGAAAATAGAGCTCTTCTTGAATAATATTCCATCCTATGAAATTCAGCCAACCAAGAGGTGAATCAAACAAAGAACAAATGGAAAAGTTGTTGTAATAGAACTAACATTATGCTTTAAATCTTTTTCACTTTAAAACTGGCAACAACTATGAGAATTTTGATTGTAGAACTGAATCAAGGTCATAGAAACATTGAGCATATAAAAATAATGTAACTAATGAAAAACAAGATGTGAAGGAAGGTAAGGAGGAAGAAATGTAAGATTAAAACTTTTTATCTCACAGAGTTTCAATGAGTATTGACTAAAGTTAAAATTGTTCTAATTCTTAAAGGTTTTACATATTATATTTTTAACTGGAAGAATCTGTCTAAAGTGTAGCTATTTCTTCAGTTTTACTTTGTTTTCTTCTGTTACATTCAAGTAAAATCAAATCCAAGCTTTTTATTCAAAAGTGCACTATATAATATGGATCTAGTTTAATAAAATGATCTTTGTCTGTCTGTAAATCCCATCTGCCCATTTTTTTTTTTTTCCTGCTTTCATGAAGCTGATTTTTGAGAGAGAGGAGGCAAGCTCCATCCCCAGCCCCTAATATGGCTTATGGTCATGAGTCCTCAGTAAATAGCAATGGTGGCAGTAGAGCTAGAACGGTGGTAGAGGTGGTGGTTGACATGGAAGTGGTGGTGGTAGTGACGGTGTTTTGCATCAAGGTATGTTCATTAAAGATCACTAACCAACGACATTCTCATCATTAATTATTTATGCTATGTAGAGCACTGTAGGGAGGCTATGGAGGAAAATTGTTAACAGCCCAGGATTTAAAATTAGATTTGAATCCTGGCTTCTTCACTGAATTGACTGATAACTAGGGTTACCTCTAAACTTCTGCTTCATTAACTTTAAAATATTATCTACATCTTGGGACTCTTCTTAGAATTAAATGAGATAATGTGTTTCCCTGACATCAATATGAAGTGTTCAATGCATGCTGATTGGTGTAGCTGTCATTTCTGCTGCTTCTCTTATTCCCTATTAAAATAAATCACATTTTTCTTGTTAGTAAATTGATATTTATAAGTGTAATTTGCTTCTAGCTAGCAAGGCTCTAGAAATTCAAACACATTCTGATTTCCTGGACGTTAAAAACTCTAATGACTAATGAAGGGAAAAGCTTAGTTTGAAACAAAACAAAAGATTAGATTTGGACCTACAGACTTCCAGTCTGCTTGGCTTCCTAAGCTTACACCTTAACATCCCCCCTCTGCTTCAAACATGTAGCAATGATAGATAGAAAGTTTAAACAAGAAAACTAACCAGACATAGCTGTCATTCAAAGCAAGAGGAATATCTCCTTGGCCCCCAAATGTATAGAAAGGAATGAGAATCAGTGCATGAGGCTGAAGCCACATCTTTCTGAATTCTACTTTGGAAGCAGGCAGCGGCAACCTGGAGTTCAGCTCCTCTGGCATACTGGGGCCCGAAATTGTCCTGCCAAGGGGAAACACCAAAACCAGGCTCATTACTTGAAAACTGATTTCCAACTGGGGATGATTTTACTCCCCAGGGGACATTTGACTATGCCTGGAGACATTTTTGTTTGTCATAACTTGGCAGGGGTGTGGGGGTGCTATTGGCATCTAGTGGGCAGAATCTAGGTATGCTGCTAAACATCCTGAAAAGCACAGGACAACCCCCACAACAAAGAATTATCCAGGTCAAAATAGCCTTCCTACCAAGGTGAAAAAGCCCCGACTAAAGGGTGAGGCGGGCCTTCCTACTAAAAGGAGACTGATGAAGTTGTCTTGGGCCACAGCCCGAAACTACATCTTTTAAAAATTATTTATTTTTGCTAATTGACAAGTAAAAGTATGTGTGTGTATGTGTGTGTGTGTGTGTGTGTGTATGTATGTATGTATGTATGTATATACTTATATATGGTGTATGAGATGATGTTTATATAATATACAAATATACACACAGGCACATTGTGGAATAGTTACATTAAGCTATTTAACATATGCATTACCTCACATACTTATTTCCTTGTAGTGAGAACACAAAAATCTCTTTTGGCAATTTTCAAATATATAATGTATTATAATTAAATCTAGTAGCCATGATGTACAATAGATCTCTTGAACTTATTTCTTCTAACTGAAATTTGGTGTCCTTTTACTTCCATCCCTCAGCCTCTAGTAATCTCCATTTTACTCTCTGTTTCTATGAGTTTGACTTTTCTAACACTCCACACATAAGATTCTATGATACTTGTCTTTCTGTGCCTGGTTTATTTCACTTAACATAATGTCCTCCAAGTTCATCAGTGTTGTTGCAAATGGCAAGATTTTCTTCTTTTGTAATGGAGAATAGTATTCCAGCGTGTGTGTTTGTGTGTGTGTGTGTGTGTGTGTATCACATTTTCTTTGTTTATTCATCCACTAGTGAAAACTTAGGTTGATTCCATATCTTGGCTGTTGTGAATAATGCAATGAACATGGTAGTGCAGATGTCTCTTTGACAACTGGTTTTAATTCCTTTGGATATATACTAAAGTGGGATTGCTGGGTTGTGGATCTTCCATAATATCTTCCATTATGGCCATGCTTGTTTACATTCCTAGCAACGGTGGACAAAGATTCCCTTTTCTTCACATTCTTGCCAACGCTTGTTACTTTTTGTCTTCTTAGTAATAGCCATTCTAATAGGTGTGAGGTGATATCTCATTGTGATTTTAATTTGCGTTTCTCTAATGATTAGTGATGTTGAGCATTTTTTCATATATTTGGCCATTTGTATGTCTTCTTTTGAGAAATGTCTGCTCAGGTCTCTTTATAGGGTTATTTGCTTTCTTGCTATTGAATTGTTCGAGTTCCTTATGCATTCTGGATATTAACCCTTTATTAGCTGTAGGTTTGCAAATATATTCTCTCATTTTATAGGTTGTCTCTTCACTCTGCTCATTCCTTCCTTGGTTGTACAGAGGCTTTTTAGTTTGACGTACTCTTATTAGACTATTTTGCTTTTGTTGCCTATGCTTTTGGCATCTTACTAAAAAAAATTTGCCCTGACAAATGTCATGGAGATTTTCTCCTATGTTTTCTTGAAATAGTTTTAATTTTAGGTCTTACATTTAAGTCTTTAATCTGGTTGCAGTTGATTTTTGTGTATAGTGTGATAAGCATGTCTCATTTCTTTCTTCTGCATGTGGATATTCAGTTTTTCCAGCACCATTTATTGATAAGACTATCCTTTCCCCATTTTGTATTCTTCACATCTTTGTTGAAAATCAACTGACCAAATGTATTGATTTATTTTGGGCGTTTCTCTCCTGTTTCATTGGTCTATGTGTCTGTTTTTATGTTAGTAACCATGTTGTTTTACTTACTATAGCTTTGTAGTAGATTTTCAAATAAGGTAGTATGATGCCTCCAGTTTTGATCTTTTTTTGCTCCAGATTGCTTTGGCTATTAGGTTGATTTGTGGTTATCCAATACAAATTTTAGGATAGCTTTTATTATTTCTGTAAAAATGCCATTGGAATTTTGATAATGATTGCATTGAATATACAGATTACTTTGGGTAGTATGGACATTTGAACAATATTATTGCAATCTATGAACCTGAGGTATCTTTCTTTCTATTTGTGTTTATTTCTTTCATCAGTGTTTAATGGTTTTCAATGTACTTATCTTTCATCTTTTTGGTTAAATGTATTCCTAAGTATTTTTTGTAGCTATTATAAATGGGATTGTTTGCTTGATTTCTTTTTCAGATAGTTTGTTGTTAGTGTATAGAAACATTACTGATTTTGTATGTTGATTTTGTGTCCTGCAACTTTACTGACTTAATTTATTAGTTCTAATAGTTTCTTTGTGGGAGTCTTTAGGGTTTTCTATATATAAAAGAAATGAGAGTTTTCTATACATAAAAGAAAAAATGAGTCAAAGTGAAAATATTAATTTATTTGAACTTGTATCACTGTTTTCAGATAAAAACTGTTAGTGACTGGTATGGTTTTTTCAGCATATCCTGACATACAAAAAGCCAGACACACAAATGTCATCTGTAAACAGAGACAATTTAACTTCTTCACTATCAAGTATGATGTTAACTATGAGCTTGTTGTATACGGCTTTGACAATCTTTTATTTGTCCATAGGCCTAGAGAGACACCTAGAAAGTTGTCTATTGAACATCAATGTTGATTTGAGAAACTGTGGTGATTTTCTAAATTCCCTGTTATAACTTGATTTATTCGTGAGCAGGCATCACTTTTACAAAAACAATGCATTCTTTATTTTTCAATTTGTTTATTGCTTTAAGTATGGTGATTGCAAAGAATTTGTGCTTAGACAAAATATCACCTAGAGAGTAATTTTGTTTTGTGTGTTTTAATCAGACATATTGGTGAATAAGGAATCAACCCTTAGCTACTTTTAAAGTATAAGTAATTTGGATATTGGAAATGAACTCTCTGCTTTGAATCCAACTGAAGAGCAAGGTTTACCAAATCTCTGCTCTCTCCATTAGTGGGAAGAATGACGAGGCAGCCCAGGGCATGTTCATGGAAAGCAAATGATATGATTTCCCCATTTAGCCACAGTTGACTAATTATGTTAATTGTAAGACTGCAGGAGAGCTGCAGGGAGTAAGCAACTCCCCTTCAGCATGAAGACTTAAATTTTACTCTAAGAACTAGTTTTAAGTTGCTAATCAGAGGCAAAGAATGAAATATTATAGTTATTTCTTTACCTATAATAGATATATTGCCAAGAGAAGAGAGAAAATTGGTTGGGTAGTCATGAGACTCGATCCTAAGATTAAGTGAGAAGCCTTTCAACAAAAGACTGTAGAAACAGCACTTAAAACCAGAGTAAACTCAAATATTTGTAGTTGGTATACTTTCAGTGGGTGTGTCAATACTTTGAAAACTATTGTCCTCACTAATTGATAAATTGTACAATGTTTCTCATCATGCTCTGTTTTTTCTCTTGATGCTATCTTTTCCTTTCTCCAATTCAACTGATGTGGACTTTTTCTTGGCAAATGAGTCACAATAAAATTACTAATTTATTTGAACTGATTTCACTGTTCTTAAGATGAAAACGGCTAGTGTGTTGGTGTGATTTTCCAGCATATGCTGATATACACACAAAAAACCGTAATATTTTTGATGCTAGTGATTGTGAAGGAGAGTGGCATTTTGGGTTAGAACTTATGTCCTCCTGTTGTGTGGTTTTTTATTGTGGAGGCTCTCCTTGTTAGGATGACCACTGAATGCTTTTACTTTTCAAAGGCACTCTTTATGGTTTTAAATCACGAACTTATAAATAAGCAATTGCAACCTTTTACTAATATGGTTTTCTGCTGCTTTGCGTTGTAAAGGTAAACAATACTAGCTACATTATTTGTTAAAGTCTTTCACAGGCTATGCTAGAGACCTAACTAATACCTCTAACATTATCTTAGGAGGAAAATGGGCTTGAATTTCAAGTTCAAGTTTACAAATGACAGTTTGGAACACAAATCTCTTTAAAACTGTGGATCATTTAAAAAAAAAAAAAGGTAGAGCTCTGTATTCAGTTTATACTGAACAGGTATTATGGGCACGGTATATCAGGAGGAAACAAAATATCTACCCCGGGGGAGAATACAACCTGTTAAGGAACTTGTAATTTAATGAAAACATTAATAAGATATAACAATGTTATCTTATAATGTTTCGAGTGCTAAATGGGTTGTATCGAATATACATGTTATTAAAGGTCAGACTCATGAAATTATTCAACTGAGAGAATATACTGCAGTCTCTCCAGACTTGCCTTTCTTAAATTACTTGCCGTGTACTCTCTTGTATCAGGAAGGAACTGTACATGGAAAATGTTTAAAAATTATTTCCCTTACTGAAATTATGAAGAGTCTTCCCATGGGAGTAAAAACATGAACTATAGATCTCACTTGCTTATGCTATTATAATTATATATTTTTACATATTGCATGTAATGAGTATTTATTGATTTGTGGTGGGTGGAAAGGATACCTATGAACCCTTTTCTAACAACAGTTTGCAGAAGTCATTTGGAGCTGCATTATAACTTGTATTCAATATAAGTTTCACACAGTTATGAAGTACAAGAGGTCAGAGAATTACTCTGGTAAATTTTCTCCAGGAGAATGACACCTTGGTTCTTCTCTTTTTTCTTCCTCTGCTCTTCCAGGGAGTATATGACTTATGTTTTTACAGTAGGTCCATGTGACAATAAGGCATTTGTTATTTTGGATACTGGTAGGGCTGATTGTAGAAAACCTCAAAATAGGTATCATGTATTCCCTCAATAGTTTCTTTTTAGAGTCCTCTTCATGCCTTTCAGTATCTTTCTTGTTAGCATTTTCCATTGTAAATATACAGGGGAAAGACATAGGCATCCAGGGCAAGCTCAGCTCTTCCATCTTTCCTAGAACTCAACCCTTTGGTAGTAATCAACATTCATTCTCCTTGCTTTCCTCTGTTTCAAGAGAGTCCTAATTTGGTTTAGGCATTTATCCTTGGCACATTGGCCATTTGGTTCAGGAGAGGGTGACCTACCCTCAGTCCCTGAGAGTAGATTCTGATTGGTCTAACCAGTCATGGCAATTTCAGTTGCCTTGCCAATGACTGGTTCAGGTACTGCCTTGTGATATGTTTTGGGCCAAAGCTATGTGAATAAAAGTGTTCTATGGGCTTTTAGGAAAAGCTTCCTTGTTCTTACAAGAAGACACAAGAAAAATATGGCTTATATTCTGTCTAGAAATATTGTCATGCTTGCATGTGACACCTATGACCTGGAGTGGGTACAAAGGCTGGGCACAGAGCCAATACATGAATGAGAGGAAAGCCTAGAGAGTCACAGGAAGATAGAGGTATAGCAGGGGTTAGCAACTATTTTTCTGTAAAGGTCCAGATAATAAATATTTTGGGCTTTGTGGGCTATGTGATCTGTGTCACAACTACTCATCTCTCTTGTTGCAGCACAGAACAATACATAAATTAATGTCCTTGGCTGTGTATTACATAAACAATAAATTAATGAATGGTCTTGGCTGTGTTCCAATAAAATATTATTTACAAAGAAAAGTAGTAGGCCAGATTTGGCCTGCGGGTTGTAGTTTGCAGAGCTGCAAACCAGAACCCAGTTTGGTATGTGTCTAGAACTCCTCTGAATGTACACTTCTTGATATGTGAAAATTTAAATTGTCTAACTGATTAAGGCAGTTGCATCTGTGTTTTTTGCTACTTGAAGCCAAAGCATCCTTAGAATTATTATCTTGGGTAAGGGAATAAGACTTGTCTTCTCTGCTGTGGAGTAATTCCTGTATTGCAAAAGAAGCTTTCTGAAAACAATGTCATTGTCTTTGTTGTTTAACTGACTTTTGCTTCTGATGCCTGGAATCTAAGGCTTGATCAGAGGTGAGCAGAACCCTAAATTGGTAGAAGACTAACTAGTTATTCTAGGACGAATTAGCCCTTATGGAGAATCCTAAGTGTGATATGGCTTGGCTCTGTGACCCCACACAAATCTCACCTTGAATTGTCATGATCCCCATGTGTCAAAGGTGGGACCAGGTGGAGATAATTGAATCATGGGGATGGTTTCTCCCATGCTGTTCTCGTGAGAGTGAGTGAGTTCTCACAAGATCTGATGGTTTTATAAGGGGTTTCCCTCTTTGCTTGGCGCTCATTCTCTATCCGCCTGCCCTGTGAAGAGGTGCCTTCTACCACAATTGTAAGTTTCCTCAGGCCTCCCCAGCCATGTGGAACTGTAAGTCAATTAAACCTCTCTTTTAATCAGTTACCCAGTCTCAGGTATTTCTTCATAACAGCATGAGAATGGGTTAATACAAACTGTCATTGTGTTAGAAGCTGCTCACCTTGCTCATACAGCCAGGCACAGTGTGTTTTACTGGTTGTGTACTCTGATTGGTGTTTTGATGACTACTGAGCACTCTAGACATGGATACTCCCATTATCTTCCCTCATTGAAAATCTGAACATGACAGCTTCGCCACTCCCCATTGGTGTGTCTCTTGTGAACTTGATAGGGCATTTGAAAAGTTAATGTAAATACTATTTAGAAACGGTGAAAAATGTTTCTGTGAAAGAGGAGAGTATTGATTCCTTGGGAAAGACATAATTAAGATCCTCTGTGATTAAGTCTTTCCTGGCTTGGTCACTTCTTGCTTCTAGCTTTGGTGTAAATCTTCATAATGTAACTATGAAGTTTGTAATTGAATTCTTCTGACCACTTTGGAGTATACCAGGAAGGTTTTAATTACTTTTTATGGATTATGGTCTATATTTCCTCAGGGGCTGCCTCTTTTGAGTAATTCCAGGCTTTTGAATTACATGCTGTTATCCTTAAAATAGCAGTTATTCTAGGCTATTGTTATTTAATTGACTCTTCCTCTCTCTCCCCTTTTCATATTGTATTCTTAACTGAGTGTAGAATCTATTTGAGAACCATTGTGTAGGAGGTCCGAGTACTATTAATTATTTTGAAATAGAGGAAAGCAAAAGTAAGGAAAGGAGGTATATAAGAAAGAAAACTTAATGGTAAAGACAATGAAAGAAATCTGTTAGAACTTTCAAAACTCAAAAATGCCTAAGAAATCTAATAAAGTGAGACCCTGACCAACCAATCTTCAATCTTCCTTCTTGAGGTTACAACACACACACCCCTCTGCACTCAGGGTGGGAGCCACACTCCTTCCCTCTTATTCTACTCCTCAGATCAGCTCCATTTGTCCTCCAGGTATTCAGTTAAATTGCCTTTCTCAGATACAGTGTATCTCAGATGATTAAAAATGGTGAAAAATGTTAGTGTCTGCTTGTATTATACCTACTAAGTAACATATCCTTCTATGAGAATGAAGATTTTACCATGCCATATCTTCTCTTCTTGCAAAATTAGAATCACAGTTACTGTAAGATCAGGAATGGCAACCAGAAGAGAAATTCCTTGAGAATCAATAGCTTATCTTCCTATGGCCTTGTAGGAGTCCTAGCATGTACCTGAGTAGCGAAATTTAGAATTGTTTTTTCTTTTTCATGGATCTGAAGCTCAGTTTTTGTCTTCTCTACTTGTACCCACCCTGGAAACACTTAGATTTCTGAAATGACTAGGTAGAAGGGATAGTTGCAGTCTAGGGTATGAAAACAAGAATACAAAAACAAAAACCAAACATTAAGTGTTATCCAATACTTGATCTCATCTTTAAATTCTCAGGGGAGTTTATTTGATAAATTAGAATTCAGTAAATTTGAATTTGGTCTGCTATGAAAAGTGGAAAAGGAAAGAATAACGTTAAATATCAGACAGCAAGAAACAGCCTTGGCTGACTGCAACATTTTTTCTCTTCCAAAGTCTAGATGCTCCCTAGCTTATAGTGACACCAGGCAACAGCACCCCCCACTGTTTTTTTCTGTAGTTCTTTATTTTGGATTTTACTAGTTTTTGATGCCTCCAAGGCTAAGAAGTTTGAATTAATTGAATTAAACAAAAGAATGAAAATGTTTTAGTTCATTGGAATTTTTCGTTAGAAATCAAAATATAAATTTTGCCATTGGAAATGGTGGTTTTGTGAACAGTTTTGTTTTCCCTAAGCATATCCAGCCACTGGGTGTGGGGATGGGAGATGGGGAAGGAAATGATCATAGTCTAGGGGGTGTTTTTTCCCTAAAGTGAGATAATCTCTATTTGGTCAATAAAAAACAACTTTCAATTCACTCTCCCCACTTTATTCTTGATAAGCACAGATAAATTCAGAGTTAAAAATTACTTGTCTATTATCTTTGGGAGGATTAAGTATAATACTTTTTTCATGTTTATTAAAATCTCATTTCAACACACTGTGGTGGGAGCTGAAGAAATATTTGTCAGCATAAGGAGGCTGGTCTTCTAAGACTTATTCCAGTTTTCCTTCCATTCCTGCATATCCCAATTCTCTGCTGTCTCTCTCACTAAACATGCCAGAATTTAGGTACAGTGTATATCCTGAAAAGACTTAAGTATGTATTTTGTATGGCACTTGAGAATCTGATAAAACAGTTATGTTTTAATCCAAGACTGAGTTGAAATTGTAAACACACGTATTATCAGTTCTCGGAGGGAAATGAATCTCCTGTCGTTGGAGATACTATTTTATTTTCTGATGTTCTTAATGTTCCTAAATGGAACACTCAGATTAGAGTATAACATGATAAAAAGAGAATGGGAACTGTAAGAAAACATTTTAAATGGTCCATTTTCAAGGCATGATAAATCTAAGCACTGGCAGCCAGCCTGTGGATGCAACAAGCCACACAGCTCCTGCTCCTAGAAAGTCACGATAAGCGAACAGAATGTAGACGAGGGGTCAGCCCATAAAAGAGAAGAAAGTTTCATTATTGGGAAATGAAAACTTCAGCAGAGAAGGGGACGGGGTATAATCTTATAAGGGGGATAATGAAGCTTAGGCGACATCCGAGAAGATTGTAACCTTATAGTACTCAACCAATGAGGAAGTAGGAGAGGGACTTGAGTGCTAGGAGATAAATTACCTGCTGTAGCTGCCCTGGGTGTGCCTGCCTACCAGACACCCGATCTTGCAAGACCACTGTTAAAAGTCTCACTTTCGCTGTTCTTCGTACCTCTGAGTACGCCCTTTGGTTTTGGATGGGTGAACATGTTTCTCACAGGAACCCTCAGAGGACAAAGATGATGAAAAGAGAATTGAGACCCGCCTTAGAGAACAAAGTCCATTGCTCATCCCTTAACGCTGGTATTCCCAAAGACCTACTTTCTCACTTATTTCTTAATCCAAGATCTCTTCCTGGGCATTCTCGCCCACTCCCTGAGCCTCAATTCTCTCCTAAATATGCTTATGATTCCAATGTCTTTATCTCCAACCCATATCTCTCTCCTGAAATCAAGCACTGTAGATGTATCCACTTCTGAAATGTGCGATTTGCTGCCCCATAAGACATATTCAGATCTCAAATCATTTTCTTTCTTCTTTTTTTTTTTTTTGAGACAGAGTCTCGCTCTGTCACCGAGGCTGGAGTGCAGTGGTGTGATCTCGGCTCACTGTAAGCTCCGCCTCCCAGGTTCACGCCATCCTCCTGCCTCAGCCTCCCGAGTAGCTGGGACTACAGGCGCCCCCCACCACGCCCGGCTGATTTTTTTTTTTTTTTTTTTGTATTTTTAGTAGAGACAGGGTTTCACCATGTTAGCCAGGATGGTCTCGATCTCCTGACTTTGCAATCTGCCCGGCTCGGCCTCCCAAAGTGTTGGGATTACAGGCGTGAACCACCGCGCCCGGCCTGTCTTTCTTCTTTAATCAGAACCTTCTCCTATGTTCCTTAATGCTGTTCATAGTTACACTATACACCCAGTTGCCCAGTTGTCCATTCAACTTCAGAAGGAAATCTTAAATCCGTGTATTCTCTTCATTCCCAAAGTTATCTCTGTAGCTCTGTTCTTAATCATTTTTTCACTTCTCTATGTCATTATCTCCTAGATGAATGAATTCCTGCCTCAGCATCTCAACCCTGATTGTAATTACTTTTTGCAATTTTTTTCAGATTTACTGAAATATAATTGGCATATAATAAACTACAGATATTTAGAGTGTACAGTTTGAGGAGTTTTGAAACCATCACCACAATAAAAATAATAACCATATCCTTCATCCTCAGATGTTTCCATGTACCCCTTTGTAATCTCTCCCTCCCCCTCCTCTCCACATACTTCCATTCCCAGGCAATTATTGATCTGGTTTTTAATAGATGGCTTGTGTTTTTTAGAATTTAATGTAAGTGGAGTGTTCTCTTTTTTTCTAAATTCTTTGACTCAGCGTAATTACTTCTTCCATTCTAATTAGGATTCCTTTGTTTCTCCATCTTGCTTTATCAATTTTGCTAGAATCTCTAGTACCATGTTAAATAGAAGGGACGAGAGAGAACATTTTTCCCTTGTTCTTGATGCCAATCTTTCAACATTAAATATAATGTAGCTGTTGGTTTTTGTAGCTGTCTTTAATCAGGCTGAAGAATTCTTTCTATTTTTAATTTGGAATTGTTTTCATATATCTTCTATTATGTCATAAATCCTATAACACATTGTAATTGTTTTGGCCTTAATTATCTTTTAAAAAACATTTAAAAAGAATTTTAAAAAATTATTTCCAGTGTTATTCATTACTTTTATATCCAGCTTTCCATCCGGTATTAATTTCCCTCATCCTGAAAGACTTCTTTTAACATTTCTTATACTATGGGGCTGCTGATTATAAATTCTTTCAGCTTTTCTATGTTATGAAAAAGTCTGTATTTTATTATTTATTTATTTATTTATTTATTTATTTTTTGAGATGGAGTCTCGCTCTGTTGCCAAGGCTGGAGTGCAGTGACGCGATCTCGGCTCACTGCAACCTCCACCTCCTGGGTTCAGGTCATTCTCCTGTCTCAGCCTCCTGAGTAGCTGGGCCTACAGGCACCCGCCACCACACCCGGCCAATTTTTTGTATTTTTAATAGAGATGGGGTTTCACCGGGTTAGCTAGGATGGTCTCGATCTCCTGACCTCATGATCCGACCGCCTCAGCCTCCCAAAGTGCTGAGATCACAGGCGTGAGCCACCGTGCCTGGCGAAAAAGTCTTTATTTTATCTTGGTTTTGGAAAAATATTTTTCCTGGGTATAAAATTCCAGGGTGATAGTTTTTTTCTTTTCTTCCAGTCTTTTAAAAAATATTTCTCAATGCCTTCTGCCTTACATTATTTCCAAGGAGAATCCTGCTGTTACTCTGGTCTTTGTTCTTCAACTTTTATATCTTCAGTATGTAATGTGTAATTTTCCTCCTATGGCTGATTTTAAATTTTTCTATTTATCACTGTTTTAAAACAAAGAGGATTATCATAAACTTCAGTGTTTTTTTACGCATGTTTCTTATGCTTGGGTCCATTTAACTCTGATTCTGTGGGTTTATAGTTTATATCCACTTTGAAAAATTTTGTCCAGTATTTTTTCAAATACTTTTTCTGTCCATTCTCCCTTTCTTTTCTTCAGTGACTCCAATGCATGCATATCAGGAAGGCTGAAGTTCTCCCACAGCTCACTATAGTCATTTCAATGGTGGAGGGGGGGGGGTCACTATATTTATACTATGTTTTCAGGTTCACTGATAATTTTTCAATAGTGTCTAACCTTCTGTTACTCCTATCTAGTTTATTCTCCATCTCCAGCATTATTTTTTTTTGTTTTCATGGCTCTAGAGGTTTAGTTTAGGTACTTAAAAAACTTTTATATCTATATTTAGCATGCTCAAGCATTCTTCTACTTCAGTATTTGGATATTTGGAATATAGCTACCACTTTTAATATACTTGTCAACCAATTCTGTTACAGTTATCATCTCTGAGTCTGTTTCTGTTGATATTTTTTCCCTTCATTGTGGGTTATATCTTCCTTCTCTTATGCTAAAGCCTGGAACTTCTCTCCATATGGGAATCTGGGCAGTAGGGCTCAGTTCATTTTGTTCTCCTCTCTCAGGAGTCACTGTCTGGCAATGCCTATTGTCAATTTCTGAAAAACTTGTTTTATATTTTTTATCTAGGGTTTTTTTTTTGTTGTTTCAGGCAGAATGTTAAATCTGGTTCCTGTTATTCAATCTTGACCCAAAGTTTCTTCATAATTTATTTTGTGTACTGTGGCTTGAATTATTGCTCTGAATCTGTTTTGATTTTGTCATTGTCCTGCTTAAAAAATTTTGGTGATAACTCTTTACCTTCAAACCAAAGTTCTAATCTTTAGTAGAGCATCTAAGGCCCTTTATGTTATGGCTCTTTCCACCCTAATTTTTGACCATTAATTCTCCCCTTTCCCACCCACACTACCTCCTACACACATAGGCACCTATAATCAAGTCATACTCAATTAGCCAGAATTCCTAAAATATACCACTCTATTGTTTTTATGATTTGTTTTTTCTTTATCTATACTAGTTTCCCTCTCATGTTGATGAAATCTGACCTACTTTACAAGTCCACAAGTCCTACTTCAAATATAACCTCTTCTTAAAACCTTATGTGACTTCTTCCCTCCCCTCTCCTATTCTCTTCCCCCTATTGCCCCTGGAAAGATTGTAGCCTTCTCCTAGTTACTTCACCAGGACATTTCTGCTCCCTACAGAGCCAAAACTTGGAAAATGTATTCTGTAAAGTACCAGACAGCAAATATTTTAGATTCTGAGGGCCACTACATGTATTTGTTGCATATTCTTCTTCTTCTTCATTTTTTTTTAATTTAAAAAAACCTTTTAAAATATAAAATTCCTTCTTAGCTTAGGGACCAAGCAAAAACATGCTGCAGTTGGCTGCAGCTTTCTGATCTCACCCTTAGAGGATAGAGATCATATTTCATTCTTCCACCCCGTAGAGTGCCTGTCCCGAGAGTGTGCTCAATAAGGATATGCAGTTATTTAATAATGAACATAAAATAATCCGTATTATTTGAGTGCTTAAAGTGTGATAGTGACTATTCTAAGAATGTAAAGTAGGTTATATCATTTGGTCTGCACAAAATCAGGTTATACTGTTAGCACAATTTCATAGATGAGGCAGTTGAGGCATGGAGAAGTTGAGGGATTTGCCAAAGGTCACACAGCTAAATCTCTTTAAGAAGTTGGAAAAGGAATGGGACTGGGACAGGAGGCAATTTTATATGTTTATCCTCTGTTGGGGTAGACTCCCAAAGAGGATAGAATGTCTCTGAGATCAACATACTCAACATCCCTGTCTCTGATGAAAAACAAATGTAGATAGACATGTAGCTACAGAGTCTTCGACGTAAAAATTGGATGAGCTTCAAGAATAATTAACACATCTGTTCCCTTTTATGTTTATCACACAGTTTAGAGAACATAGCAAAACTGAGTTTCTAAGAGGTTATGTATTATTACTTTTTAAAACATGAAAAGTCTTGAATATATTACCATCTTCATATTTTTTTTCCTTAAAATCTAGATAAATCCTGTTCCTCTTTAAATATAATAATATCCTTCAAACAAAACACTTTGTCTAAACTAGTTTACTCCAAAAGCATATCTGGTTTTGAGTAAGAAGCTAAGGAAACATATCATTTGAAGCCACATACAAATGTTTTGTTTTTTTAAATTTTTTTGACAAAAAAGGAAAAGATAATCATCTTTGTGTTTTATAAACAATGTCACCTCATGGCTGACAGTTTTGTGACAGAGTGAACTAATGTGAGTTGACATTGAAGATTTTGATGCTGCTTTTTGGAAATCCCAACAGACTAGACTCTTTAGCACAGTGGGATTGGAACTTCAATAATCAATCAAACCATCATCATGAACCAAAATACCCTCAAAGCAGCTGCAATTTACAATTAAGGGATAATGATCTTTATAGGAAAAATTACAAGGACATAAAAGGCACCTGCTGTCAAAATTAGGTTTGCAAAAAGCAGAAGCTGTTTCACTGCTGTAACTTTAAGCAATGATTATTATTAGGGCAATTTAAAGCAAATTAGTAGGTGTTTGGAATTCAAAAAACAATATATTTACATCAAGAGCAGTATTGTGAAGACAGTTAATTTTTCCTGCTGGGAATTAAATGTGTTTTATCAAATGGCAACTGTGCCCTTTCCTGCATTGAATTCCACCAGCTGGAATGCAGATGCAAGAGAGCAACTCAGAACAGGAGCATTGAATCTAAGGTGCCCAACAAAGGCCTATTCTTTAAAAATAGAGAAATAACTGGCATTTTGTTTCAGTTTCTAGATATTAATATCTTTGACTTTTAGTCACTGACATTTTTCCTTTCCCCAGAATTTCCTGTTGCTTATGTTATTGTATTCCTAGGCATCGTTACTGACAGCCAAGTAAACAAAAAGCAATGAAATAAATGAAAGAGAAAATGATGTGGTAGCAGCATAAATATGGACTGCAGATAGGTTGTCACTTGGTGGGCATTGCCTATTCTCACAACTATCATGGTTACCTCTGAGAATTAAGGAAAATTAGAATTGTAGATGTAGAGCATCATTCCTTCAAAATAGGCACTTTCAATGTGTTCTTCACTGAGGACACATTGTTCCTAATCACTGGTTCAACTCAAGTTGGGTCTTGTGGTCGAAAACTGGAGAGGACTGTGTCTCTGTTGCTGACATAGTCAAGGGACTGGTTGAGAGAAACGTGGGAGGGGTTTGCTACTGAGTCCGTGTCCTCGGCTTACCTGGCATAAAGCCACACAAAGGATAAAATTAGCCATCACACGATGGGGATGAGGTAGAAACTCTTTTCCCTTATTAAATTAAAAAAAGAATTTCTCACATATTTCACCTGGGGAGCAACAGCACAATCAATGGCAGGTGGGGCTGAGAGGAATGGCTATTTGATTGGTGGACTTGTTCATTTGGTAACGCATTTCTAAAGAGTTGAGCAAATGCTGTAGGTAAGCTGGGCATATTTATTTTACTTGTTACATATTTTATTTATCAACTTATTATTTTTTATTACATATACAACCAGTGACTCCCTGAGAGGATTATTAACCAGTGGCCAAGTTATGTCAATCTTATTTCTGCAGGAGAGCAGTATTATAGAATGATTAAGCAATAAGACTCTAGACCCAGAGATGAGCCACTAAATGGGTGACCTCAGGTGATTTTTAATCAGTTTCTCAGATTTTGCAACTGTAAAACTGAAATGATAAAACTTACTTTATAGGAATGTCGTGAAGATTAAATAAGCTAATGACTTAGGCTCAGAACAGTGCAGGGTACATAGTAAACACCAATAGATGTTAGCTCTTATTGTGATTATTATTAGTTTTTCGATCTGCCCCTTTTTCTCCATTCTCACTGCAATGATGCTTCAGCTACTTGTTAGTTCTTGGTTAGACTTTGAAGTCATTCCTCACTGACCTCTCCATACTTGGGATCTTCTCAGCTGCATTCATCTTACATCCTACTGCCAGATTAATCTGGTAGATGGCTAAGGTTTTTACTCTCCTGCTCAAAAAGACTGAACTTAGAAAGTAAAGTCTTTAATTCCTGTGCTTGGCACTGATGACTATACTAGTTTCCACTGTCATTTACCATTGCTGCCCTCAACCCAGCCAAAATGGACTTTTTTTCTCTTCTCCATTTATGTACTGCATTCTCCCACCTCCTTGCTTGGCTTACGGTGAACCATCTGCCTGTATCACCTTCCTCTTCACACTCTTCCCTATTTGGCCAAGACTTACTTATTTTTGAAGCCCACCTCACAGGGCTCTAGCTATGGAGACTTCTTGACCCCTTCCATAGTTCCACAAGAGGTAATATACCCTTTCTCCTACCTTTCATACCAATTTATCTGTATGACTCTTATGTTTCTTTTTATTTATTTATTTATGTTTTAGTTACTTAAATACATTTATTAGTCATTAGTTTAGAGTAAATTAGTTTAGAGTCATTAGTTTAGAGTACATAAATTTACTCTAAATTTCCTTCCCATTTTTACTTTAAATTTCCTTCACATTTACACAGCACCTTATTCATAACCAGTGCTCAGTGCACACACACTGAGTGAATGAATGACTCTCCTTGGCTCTTCAGGCCCAGCAAGGGGCTTTCAGCTAATAGATGTTCTGTGTCTTAAAATGTCTTACATGATTTGAAAAAAGGAACCAAAAAATTATTATTCGTTTTCAACCAGCATTATTAATTATTCATAGTATAGCCTCTCTGACTTTTTCTAGTAAGAATTGCATTTTGAACTTAACAGAAATCACAGGCTTTGGGAGTCCACATAGACCTTAGAGGGCATGGTCCAATCCCCTATGGGAAAAACTAAGGCCTAGACGGGGAGAGTGACTAATCCAAGATACAGGTAAGTTACTGATAAAGCTGAGACTGTTAATGAGGTCTGTACTCTCGGGCTAGCATGTTTTCTTTTCTATTGTCATAAAATCTCTTTGTGGTCTAAGAGTAGTAATCAGAGAGTTTGAATAAAGTCCTTTTCAAACTCTAAAATAATTTTCAAAGGGAAACGTAATTTATCATTTATAAAGAAGTTATAATTAGTATAATGGCAAATCTTGAAGAATGAGACAATTTAGACTGCAAAATATTTGTGAAACTTAAATATAAGAAATGTTGAAAACTGGGATAGGAAGACATCTGTGTACATTGGCTCTTCCTGAATGGCAATAGCTGACTCACACTTTTCATATGTATGAATAGTCGTCTACACACTCACTGCCTTCCCTTCCCTCCATTGCAAAGTCATTGTTTGTTTTTCTCTTTCTCCAAATAGTAACCAGTTATTTTCTCAGAGAAGGATTTTCCTCATCTGTAAAATGTAGATGGTAATTTTTACCTCTTTGTATTTATGAGGATTTAAGCAATTGTGTCTGAAGCACCTGATGCAAAGCAAGTGCTGGTGATTGTTAGTCCCACTTCCTCTGTCTGCCTGGCCAAGAGATAGCAAATGCATCACATACGTGTTCTATTCCCTATTTTAAGACCAGGTTAGACAATAAGAATCTTCGTAATACTTTCAGAGCCTAAAAAGAGCCTTAGCATCCCTTTCAGCACAACACTTTAGACAGCTACCATCAATCAGATGGAGTTTACACATGAGAGAACGTATTTGTCATCTCGTCCTAGATTATAAACTCATTGAAGGGATAAGTGAGAGATGATATTTTCCTCTCATTTCTAAATATGGTTCTGCTACATCTGTCTGCTTAGTTTCCACCCCATCTCAGTCTAGCACTTTGCCTTCTGACTTTTGTTTTATTCTGGCTCTAACCATGCTCTTGATTTCTATTTCTTTTCCCATATTCTAATGTGATTCCAAGAAACCAAAATTGTCATTTACTAGGCTATAGATATATAAAGTTATACTCTGCTGAGTTGACTGTAGCAACTTTGTTAATTTGTTATTTTTCCATTTTCTCAAAAAAAATAAGCATTTCCCTCCCTTTTGTTTTTAACAAAGAAAAAAAAAAGAAAATATTTTAATCCAAAACACAATTTTGAAAGTATAAAGATCTGACTAAAAACCACAAAAACAAAAATTAAAAGCTGAATGTGATATTTTGCGGACATTTCCTTATATATCGGAAAAACATTGGTCTGAACATATTCTCTTTTTGAGTTTTGGAAATTCCTTGCGGGTAATTTCTGCTCCTTAATTGTGATTCTAAACATGTTAGTTAATATTGTTCAAAATGATGCAGAGGTGGCTAATATCCAACATTAAATAGCAGTGCTGAGATCCAAACCCTATTTTGACTGGACCCAAAGTCCCATCCTATTGACTACCGCATAGTACTGTACTGCCTCCCCAGACTAAACTGTCTCTCCGTGCTGGTTCTGCCACTTACTGTGTACCTCAGGTAAGTGTTTGAATTTTCCAATCCTGTTTTCTTATCTGTAAAACCAGGAATGTGTCATGAGGGCTTATAGGAAATATTTGTAATGAGTTCTTACTGAGCGCAAGACATGTCCAAAACACCACAGAAATCATCATTAATTTCTCCAAGTGTATTTTCAATGTAAAAAACAAGGAAAATATTTATGCAAATTTTCCACTGGGAAAATAGCATTTTATTTCCTTCTTCTGGAAGAATGCATGACCTTTGACAAAAATCTCAAACTTAAGCAAAAAATTGCTTAATAAGCTAGAGTTTGTCAGACTTAGTGAGAGATGTAATGAAAGATCATTTGCATTTGAATCCCTTTTTTCTTTCTTTTTAATAAAATAATCATCTTCAAATACTTTATAGAAAGCTAGGATTTAAAAAAAAAAAAAAAAAAACAGCCTTAGCCTGAGTAAATGGTAAAAAGGAATTCAGTGTTAAGTTTTAATTCATTTAGTATTGAATGAATATATAATTAAAAGTATACTTTTAATTTAAATGTGTCTCAGGGGAAGGATGTACATTAAACTGTTAAAATAATGTATCTTGATGGTGACAGAAATATAGTTGGAGATGAAAGTAAGAATTATTTTTTATTTTTGTCTTAATTGTTACAATAAGCATGTACTAATATTTTCAATAGTGAATATTTTAAAAAGCATTAAATTTTTAATTTTAATTATTTTTAGTTTTGGCCCTTTGTAAAATTATGATGCAGCTGAAGTTTGTACTGTGTGTGTTCTGCCTCTTTGTTCAATAAGATTTTATCACATTTTCCTCTGTCCTTACTGCAGCATGTATATTATTTTTCTATCAAAGTTTACTGCCAAAAAGGGTATGAGAAATTAATATACCCTAAATATATAAAATTTCTCACAATAAACCTTTCTGCCTCTCTAAAGGATATTTGCTATTCAACAAAGGTTAAAGTGATAAGGTCAGACATAAAGAGCCTCTTGCTTGAATTTCTATTATCCATCGGCAAGAGGGGCACAAGTGTTTGAACGTGAGGAAGACTTTCTGGCTCCTTAATGTCATATAATCCAGATGTTGGAAGTGTCCTATTTTGCTATATGCATAAATATGGACCTGGTTACTGGACCATATGGTAGGATTATTGAATGACTGATGGTGGTGGTTTTGCCCCAGTATATGTAGACCATGTACACCATTATGAAAACTTTTTTTTTTTTTTGGAGACAATCTTGCTCTATCACCTAGGCTGGAGTGCAGTGGCATGATCTCAGCTCACTGCAGCCATGACCTCCTAGGCTCAGGTGATCCTCCCACTTCAGCCTCCCAAGCAGCTGGGACTACAGGTGTGCACCATCATGCCTGGCTTATTTATTTATTTATTTATTTATTTTGTAGAGACAGGGTTTCACCATATTGCCCAGGCAAAATCCTGGAGTCAAGTGATCCTCCTGCCTCGGCCTCCCAAAGTTCTGGGATTACCAGCATGAGCCACTGTGCTTCCTGTAGCCTCCCCTCCCCTCCCCTCCCCTCTTCTCTTCTCTTCTTCTTTTTTTTTTTTTTTTAAGTGAAACTAGGAGCCATTGCAAGGGTTTGAGCAGATGAGAAATAAACTAACTGCTTTAACTTTTAAAATGATTACTCTGTTGGGTTGAGACTAGGCTGCAGAGACTAAGGATTGGAAATAGATCACTAAGAGGCTGTTGCGGTGATGTAGTTGAGAACTTGCATTGAGTGAAGGCAGTGGTGGTAATAAGGATTGCTCAGATTCTGGATATATTTAAAGGTAGAGCCAACTGGTATTTGACACCAATTCTTGACAAAGTCCTGGTGAAAAGTTTCGCTAGAAAGGGCTAAAAGAAGTGTTGGTTCTAGTCTACATTGTCTTCTCTTTCTTCTCCTGGTTCTGAGAAATCCTCCAGTTCCTTCCAATTAGTATTTGATTTAGGTCAAATGAATAACATTCTTTTATCAGTATTAATAGACTAAAGAAAGTTTATCACTCTCTTTCATTGCTGAAAATTGAAATTTTAAGTATAGAATCTTCATAAACTATCTTAATAAAGCTATGACGATTTATGTTCTCTTTAGTATTTATAGGTCCGTATGGTACTAGAATTTAAGGAAATGTGGTTCTCTAATATCTATACTGCAAACAAATGTCTGCTGCAGAGCTCTGGAAATTTTAAGAATGTCTGTTTTTTATCACTGCAGTGCATTAGTATTGCATTATTAAATGTTATTCCCTGGCCCAAACTGCATCAGTGGTTTTTTTTTCCATTTAGGTTTCTCCTGTCTACTTATGTATGAATGACATCAAACCAATGAAGCCACTGTGAGAAATCTGCCACTGATACATAATTATTTACTTATATTACCCATAAGGAGAACATTATCTGTTTCTTATCCATTTAATTAAGAAGAAAGACTACAGAAGATATTTGTTTATTTCTCCTTTACAAAATGTTTTCTATCTGGCCATGGCTATAAGACAAATAAAGGTTTTAAAAAAATTTTCAAGAACATTATTGTACTTTCTGTTTAGTACCCCAGTGGCATGAGAACATTTTGTGATATTTTCTCAGTTCAGTCAAAGAAATCAATGGCAACCAAGCTGAATGGCTGTAAAATGTTCTGGACAACTGTTAAATAGAAGCCAGGGACCAATAGAAGAGAGCTGGGGATGCTTTATGTTGCAAACCTCTTTTAAACAGAATGTGGATAAAATCTTTTTCAAGGACTAGTATAAAGATGTTCCCTTTAACAAACTATTTTAGTCCTCAGATGATCTTTCCTTCCTTTTCTTCTTTGGCTGCTTAGTAGTCACACTAATCACAATGAAGTCAACAACCTTAAAGTAAGATTTTACTTTGCTGCATCAGACAAGAGCCCTTAATGAATGAATACAATATAACAAATAATGTAATTGGTTGAATAGGACCTCAACACCATTTCTCCAACTTTCTAGAGAAAAGATGAAATCAACTTAATATGCCTATCAAGAAAAATGGCAAAGCGTATTTTTTCTTTCTCACTCTATCTTCTCTTTCCCTGTTTCTCTCCTTATCCCCTCACTCACACGTGCAGAATATACACAATGATAATACCTGCATTTAGTGTGAAGTGGTCTTTCAAAACATGACACAATACTCTATCAAGTATAACCTGACAGAGAATATACCAAAGGGAAGTGACAACTGGCCACTTGAAACTGGTAGATCTATAAGCATCCTCAGACCTCTGTTTCTTTAAAGAAAAAACAGTAACAGACTTTCCTATAACATGCTGAGTACAAGTAGTTTAAAGAAGTATTAGAATTGCTTTCCTTTCCTTTCCTTCCTCCAGAGCTCCAAGCAGGGAACCATCTTATGACTATTTCCTTACCAGCACGATATAAGTAGGGTGACCATATGTCATATTGCATGACTCTTGTGCTTACATAATTATTAAAACTGTCAACGTGTCCCAGTTTAGATAATAAGTTATATGATGGCCTTTGCCATAAGAGATTCTGATCTTTAAAGGAGTTGCACTTTGACTAAAGGAATGAGCTAAATGTCACTGTAGAGGTTATCAGAGAGGCACGTATGTGGAATGATAGTCATGTACGGGAACACATTTAGACTAGTTTGACAAGCCAGGTGGTCAAATTTCTGTAGTTCCATGTCATAGAAAGTCAATATAAACTACCTTTTTTTCTAATTTCTTAACTTCCTTAAAATATAACTTCCTTAAAATATAACTGACAACATCAAATTAAAATATATCTTAACTTCCTTAAAATATAACTGACAATATCAGCAATTAATTTGAGGCTTATAATGTGTAGTTCTAAAATATATGACAATAATAGCACAAACAACACAAATCATATATGTGAAATTGTATAATTGGAACAAAACTACCAACTCTCTTAACCAAATTGACATTTATAGAACAATTCATCTGACAACTTCACAATAAGAATTCTTTGCAAGAGGACATAGAACATTTACCAAGACAGATCAGATCATATGTTGAGATATAAAATAATTAAATTCAAAAGATTGAAATCTTACTACAACAGAATTACCTTAGAAATCAATAACTACATGACATTTAGAAAATTTTGAAGTATCTGAAAATTAAATAGCATACTTGTATATTGGTAAAAAAATGAGAAATTTTAAGATATTTCTAATTAAATAATAATAAAAACCAAACTAAAAAAATTGTGGGATGCAGGTAAACCAGCAATTAGAGTGAAACTGATTGATTTAAATTCATATTTTAGAAAATAAAAAATAGACTAAATATATAAGTATATAAATATATAAAAACGTGTGTGTGCATGTGTATTGGTCAGGGTTCTCCAGAGAGACAGAACAAATAGGATATCTATGTGTGTATGTATGCATGTATCTAGCTAGCTAGCTAAGAGGGGATTTATTAGGAGAATTGGCTCATGGAATTATGGAGGTGAAGAAGTCCCGTGATGTACCATCTACAAGCTGGGGAAGCAGGGAAGCTAGTAGTGTGGCTCAGTCCAAGTCCTAAAGCTCTTGAATCAGGAAAACAGATGTTGTACCTCTCATTCTGAGACTGAAGGCCTGAGAATCTGAAGGGCTGCCAGTGCAAGCCCTGGAGTCTGAAGTCTGGGGAACCTGAAGTTCTGATGTTCAAGGGCAGGAGAAGAAAAGTGTGCCAGCTCCTGGAAAGAGAGAGAGTGAGTTCACCTTTTCTCTGCCTTTTTTGCTCTATCTGAGCCCTCAGACAATGGAATAGTGCCTGCCCACATTGTCCTCTGAGTTGAATGCCAATTTCTTCTGGAAACATCCTCACAGAAATGTCCAGAAATAATGCTTTATCAGTATCTCTTAATCTAGCCAATCTAAACTTAACCATCACAGTATGTCTGTGTGTGTGTGTGTGTGTGTGTGTGTGTGTGTGTGTGTATAAAATGCATATACATATCTAAAATACATAAGCATATATAAATTAGGCCGGGCACAGTGGCTCATGCCTGTAATCTCAGTACTTTGGGAGGCCGAGGCGGTTGGATCACCTGAGGTCAGGAGTTTGAGACCCGCCTGGCCAACATGATGAAACCCTGTCTCTACTAAAAATACAAAAATTAGCAAGGCATGGTGGCGGGCACCTGTAGTCCCAGCTACTTGGGAGGCTGGGGCAGGAGAATTGCTTGAACCCAGGAGGTGGAGGTTGCAGTGAGCTGAGATCGTGCCATTGCATTCCAGCCTGGGCAACAAGCGAAACTCCATCTCAAATATTTTTTAAAAAGATATATACACATATATAAAAATAGATATATATACATATAGAAATAGAAATATATATGCAAATATATATAAAAATAGAAAAAAATTAATGATCACAAAAAAATGTTCTGTCTTTTCAGCAAGGATAGCGGAAGGAAAAAGGCACTTCCTACATCCTAAGGGATGGGAAGAGATGGGAGGTGAATTCGCCACAGTTCCAAGCGGAAAGTCAGTGGTTCAACATGAAATACACTAAATTAATGAGATTTCTTGTCCTTTGGTCACTCTGTGTTGGAAGGAATGGTGACACTGAGTTGAGGTGTTTTGCATGAGTTGTGAGATAATGCAGAGTTCATTTCCTCTCTGATTTATAGCTCACTGTGGAAGTGTTGTCCAGAACTAATTTGGAAGTCAAATGGTAGATGAGCATTGGTCTTAAACCCAGCACCATCTCAGCTATGCTGAGTTAAGGTATTTGTGTCAAATCATTCGCCTCTCTAGATAGAATAATATACATTCCATCAGATGATACTCGTCAAGAATATTGATATGTAGGAATGAAAAGTGTTGACGACACCATTGGTCATTATTTTATGACTGTGAAAGCACACATTCTCTTTCTCTTATGGAAATTGGGCTCTTAAAGCAACTGATTCATATTGTTTACTCGCATAAAATTGTCTGTTTTGTTGATAATTCTGGGTGTGCTTGGTAAGTAACTGTGTAACTATTAAAACACTTACTATACCCTGGCTCTTCTCCACGTTTTTTTTTTTTTTTTTTTTTTTAGAATTAAGGGTTTGCCCTCCCTTATAGAGAAGACCTGCTTTTAATAAGCAGTGCTTTAATCAGCCTTGAAACTCAGAATGAAGATGGGACCTCTAGGAGGGTTTTATTTAAAGAGAACACTTAAAGCCCAGAGTCAATGTGTTTCTATTTTTAGCCTCTTTCTAATAAAAAACCACCAAGACTCTCTCAGGATAAAAAGTCTTATTAAATTAATAATATAATTTAATCAAGCCCTAAACATGAAAGTATCTTAATTGCTCTTCCCATAGAGCAAGTTATGGCTTCTCTTCCTTTAGCTTGGCCTGGCATGCTCATGGCCACCTTTAAGGCCCAGTAATGACCGTTGTCTCCCTTTAAAACCTGCCTCTGTTGGAGTCCCTTGGTTAAGCTTTGTGTGTTGATTTCTTTCTCTTCTGGGATTTTATAGCTTCTACTGGAGGGCAAGAGCTATGTTTTATTCATTTTTGTAACTACAAGGGTGGTGTCTAGCACACCATGCTAAATATTTGCTAGATTAATAGACAAACAAAAATCAGTAAATATATAAAGTAAGCACATGAAGTTTTTGAAGTAGATTGAAGTGTTCAGGAAAAAAAGGGGTTTTTCTTTTTAAGAAAGTATTCCACAAGCGCTTTATAAAGGAACCTCCATTAAAAAAAATATATATATTTAAAATGATCTACAGATATTCTTGGACTTATGATGGGATTACATCTGAATAAACCCATTGTAAGTTGAAAATATAAGTCAAATGCATTTAATGCACCGAACCTACTGCACATAGTTTGCTTAGCCTACTCCTAGATACTTAAGGTATAAATGTGCTCAGAATACTACATTAGCTTACAGTTGGGCACCATCATCTAACACAGAGCCTGTTTTATATAAAGTGTTGAATATCTCATGTAATTTATTGAGTATTTTACTGAAAGTGAAAAACAGAATGGTTGTATAGTTACTTAAAGTACGGTTTCTACTGAAGGCATATGGCTTTTATACCATCTTAAAGTTGAAAAATCTTAAGTTGAACAATTGTAAGTTGAGGACTGTTTGTATTAATGATGTTTGTTGCTTTCTTGTTTGTTTTCTGAGACAGGGTGTTACTCTGTCACCCAGGCTGGAGTACAGTGGTTCACTGCAGCCTCTACCTTCTGGCCTCAAGTGATCCACCTGCCTCATTCTCCCAAGTAGCTGAGACCACAGGTGCATGCCACCACACCCAGCTGTTTTTATTTTTTGTAGAGATAGGTATCACTACGTTGCCCTGGCTGGTCTCAAACTCCTGGGCTCAAGTGATCCTCTTGCCTTGGCATCCCAAAGTGCTGAAATTATAGGCATGAGCCACCATGGCTGACAAGTTTGTTTTTCTATCTAGAATGAATGAATATGAGTACTTTAGCTTACATGGCATAAAAGGAGCCACCTTCTCTCATTACCTGCAATCATGGGTCTGTGTCCTAGATGAGTTGTCTCAACTACCCAACATAAGGCCACTTTTACCAGCAATCTAAGGGGTTTAATAAAAACACATAATATGTTTTTCTGGCTTTTGTGTAGAGTATTATTATGTCTAATTGAGAATTATTATCTAGTATTTATTTATTTATTTAGGCTACATTTATGGTCAGCTGAGTGACTAATGTCTGTTTGACTCCCCTGTTTTCTCAGTGGAGCTGGGGTTCTTGGTAGATAAAACACCAATATTGTCTGTGATTTATAAATGAGAGTCTTTTGTATTGTTGGTTGACATTTTCAATCCTGCAACCAGATTCCATAGCTTCCTAGCTAGGGAAAAGGAAGCACAAGAATGTATTGTGGGGCACTGGGGAAATGCAAGACTGCTTGAATATTGCCAGGTTACAATACCCACCACGTTATTTTGGTGATTCTCAATGTTCTTGCAATCACTTATATGATACGTGCTTTCCTGATGAGACTCAGAGCTACATAGGAAGTAGGTCATTGTGTATTTTATTACTATTGTATTCCCCACATCCTTACACTTTGTGAGCAAGTAATAAGTAATTCTCAAATGAATGAATGAATTGGGATAGGAAATGCACATCGAATGTTATTTCCTTCTTTAGTCTCTCTCTTCCTCCATAGCTTTCTACTTCCTGGCACTAAAAGTAATCTCTGTATACTGATATTTAAAAAAAAATCTTAGCACGTAGTATTTTCTCTGGGCGGTTCTTACATAATTTACTTTCCATTTATATTGTGGTTATTTAAGAGGATATCTAATCGTACTACTAGATTGTCAGTTTCTTGTCCAGAGGATATATTTCTAATTTACTTTTAGATTTCCTATAGTGCCTATGCATTTTCAGCAGTCAATTAGGTAGCTTGTTGAATGAATGAATCATAAGGAGCCTGTTAAAGTGACATTTACTGAGTTCTACTTATTAATATTCAATGAATATTTTATTGGGAAAGCAAGGAATCTTACTTTCATTTGTATTAAATCAATCCAGCATCTAGTCAATGACCACTGCTTTTCCTCCTGGCCTTGTGACATGCAGAGACTCTGGGGGCGCCTTGTTTAAGTAGGACACACTATATGTAAGCACACCCCTCTGTGATTTTCTAATTCCATTATTCAAAACTTCTTTAATTACATTGCCCTTCAATTAGACAAATGTGTTGATTATCACGGAGTGCTGACAGGCAAAAGATGCTTTTAATTACATATCAATTTAGCTTTTGACTGATCAGCAACAAGGTTCTGGTTACTGGATAATAAAATTAAGCATGTGGCCCTCTGAACCTTGAGTCCTCATCATGTAGCCTGTAATGACAGAGGTAGAAAGTTTCCCTATTTGTTCCCACTTTGGGGAATATCTTGGCAGTGAATTCTGTGAGTCAATTCTTTTGAGTCCTTGGGCAACCTCATTCAGCCTGAGATTATGCATGCCTCAACTCAAGGAAAATGCATGGCATTTTGAAATGCATCTGCATGCCTTCCTTCAGAGTCTTTTCTGAGCTCAACCCTTAAAACATCTTATATTTGCAAATAGGAGCAAATGAGTTTTCTCTCAGATGGGATTTGGAGTGGCTCATAGGCTTTTAAATCTTTTTTTGTTGTTGCTGTAACAAGAATGGGAAAAACAGCAAAACAGAATGAGGGATGGGATGAGCAGAATGACCTGTAAGTAGAACCAAGGGAAAAAAAGTAGCAAGTGGAGAAATAAGGAGAAACCAAAACCCTGGAATGTCCCAAAGTCCAAAGGCATGGAGAGGTTCAAGAAGGGAAACTCTTGAAGCCTGTCAGTGGAGTGAAGGGCTACTGTCTTAGTCTGTTTTAACTGCTATAGCAAAGTACCATAAATTGAGTGGCTTATAAACAACAAATGTTTATTTCTCACAGTTCTGGAGGCTGCAAAGTCCAAGATTAAGTCCTGGTTGATTTGGTTTATGGTGAGGGCTAGGATTTTGATTCATAAATGGTGCCTTCTTTTTTTTTAGTCTGTCACCCAGGCTGGAGTGTAATGGTGCCATCATGGCTCACTGCAGCCTTGACCTCCCGGGCTCAATAGATACTCCCACCTCAGCCTCCCGAGTAGCCTGAACCACAGGCACACACAACCATGCCTGGCTAGTTTTTTGTATTTTTCGTAGAGATGGGGTTTCACCATGTTGCTGGGGCTGGTCTTGAGCTTCTGAGCTGAAGCAATACATCTGCCTTCGCCTCCCAAAATGCTGGGATTACAGGTGTAAGCCACCATGCCCAGCCATGGTGCCTTCTTGCTCTGTCCTCACGTGGTAGAAGAAGCAAGGCAGCCCTCTGGGGTCTCTTTTATAAGGGCACTAGTTCCATGTATGAGGGCTGTACTGCCATAAATGAATCACCTCCCAAAGACCTCACCTTCTGATACCATCATTCTGGGGGTGAGGATTTCAACATAGGAATTTCGAGGAGACAGAAACATTTAGACCATAGCAGTCATGCAGAGAAAGCAGAGAACAAGGACAGAAAATAAGCAACTTGGTTTGTCAGAAGGACTATTGGAGACCCCAAAGTGTGCCCTTTAAGTAGAACAGTGAGAGGGAAGCTGACTATAAAGAGGTAATGAAGAAACAAGTGGTGAAGATACATAAGCAATTATTGTATCCTGCTCATTCTAGAAATGTGGCCATGTTCTCTGGAACTCATTTTTTTATGTCTGTTCACCTTTCCTTTTGCATTCTGTTGGCCCAGTTTGAGTTATAAAAAAAACTTCTCCTTTGAGTCAGGGAGGGGAAATAACTTTGCGTAGTTGGGGAATTTGAGCAAGTTGGCAAGGTGGCCTCTTTGACCATCTTCACTTTTAACTTTTCCTCTATTTTAAGAAAATTGAGTAATGATGAGTGGTTCTGTTTTGACATTAGAACAACTTTTATGGTTTTCACATGTGAGGAGATTATACCTGAGCCTCTAAAAGGGCTTAAAAAAAAAAAAGACCACAGTGACTATAGGAAGGGGGTAAGAGGAGAAAGCTTATGGAAGCCAGTTGAAAAGACTAAGATTTTAAAGATGTGATGGTGGAGCCAGAGGGCATGCATTTATTTTAAAGGCAGAGATTTAGAGTTTCAGTGCCTGCCACTGGCCTTGGGTTAGATCCATGGGCTTGCTTGTTGATGCTCTCTTAATGAAAGTCAAGAGAAAAGATTACCATGTCAGTGGTTTTGTTTTCTTTGATCTTCTGTGGCTGTGTGCCACACTGATTTTGCCTGGGAAGCCCCAAGGCAGTTTTTGTAACAACCCAGTGTTATGTTGTTGAAGGAAGGTCTGTTTACCCTTTGTCTCTCACACTGCTTCAAGGGATGGAGCAGGGGGAAGGTCACTAAGTGAGAGGTCATAAAGGTTGAGTTCTGGTGATCATGCTGTGTTATTTGCCTTATGAGTTTTATCCAGCCACCTGGCATTTCTAAAACTTAGTGTTTTTTTGTATGTAAAACAGCTTTAAGAATACCTCCCTATCTTCTAGGGTGATGGTAGAATCAGATGAAATATGTTAAAAAGCACATTAAAACCAAAGAAGAATGCATTATAAATAAAATGCAATGTTATCAAGCAACCAAAGAAGGGAAGTAGAAGACAATGAGGAATTGAAGCAGGGCTAAACATTCCTTCTCTTTCTCATTATCCTCATCCCTATAGGGGTAGCTGAGAACCAGCCTCCGTTGTGGGCCCCATAATTCAATTGAACTGACTTCACACTGGGTCAGGAAGTGAGGGGGCAGGGTCCAAAGCTGGAAATGGAAGGTCTGGGATTCTGTGTGGTTTGTACGAAATGCCTTTCATTGGGCCTCACACATATTTAGCACTCAGTAAATGTTTATGTTGTTACCTCTTCTTGTCTGCTGTCTTTCCAGCCATATATTTAATGCTACTCACACATAGGTTCAGGCTTCTGGGGTCCAAAGCATATACAATATTGGAGAATCTCTTCAAGTAGAAAAATATAAAAATATCTTCTTTTACAAGTTTAATCAAGACATTTGGTCAGGTGGGCACATTCTTAGGAACCACCCAAGGCCTTGCAAGTGGTCTACACAAGTGAGGATTCTTGAAGCTTCTGCTTTGGATGGTGATGAAATGCCCAGTGTATATATCCTGTTTACTGCAATGTTCAGCAACTTCTGTTTGTGTGTATGTGTGTGTTTGTGCATACACACGTGAATTGGCAGTCTATTCACATAATACGCATATGCACACACAAACTCCTAAATGAACTACATTGTAAGTATATTATTTAACATTTAAAAAATTAAAGTGAGTTAACATGTTTAGTTTGAGAGTTTTATAACATCTATTGAAATCATTCAAGAGCTTTTGAATCTCTAGAATATCAAATGTGAGAATCTTTGCTCCAGGTTACTTTTTACTTAAAACTATCTGAAAATTCAACCTACAAATGTGTTGTTTAGGTTACAAAACATTAGGCTATGTTTTCCTCTCTTTAGTGATAGAGCAGAAAATAATTTGAGTGACTTAGTCCAGTCAGCTGCCTTTAGCAAACCTCATAGATGTCTTGCTTGACACATAAGACACTGTCCTATTTTTGGAAAGGAGCTCTCCTTACCTTGCTTTGAAAACTAGCACCCGTGTTAGGAATTTCCTCCTGTGGCGAACCTAAAATCTCCAGGGTGTAACAATGCTATGTGAGCTGCCATTCAGAATGCACCTGTATATTAAGGTCAGGAAGACATCTAGTAAGTGCTTGCTAATTTTATTGTTAAGCAAATTCACTTCTTTGAATCTCTAGTCTGCTTTCCCATTTTTTGTTTGTTTTGCTTTTAGTAAAACTGACAGAACGTTCCAGCCAGTGTTCCACCGTTTCAATTTCTAGTTAGTGGAATCATGGTACATCATCTACTGTACACAATCTCTATGATGAATATCCTCAACAGAAAGGATATTTTCCTGGGAATTGATGGTAACATACTGTGTAGTAGATGTCAGAACTCAGTTTATGATTTGGCTTAAAAATATTTTTACCTTTATTGTGAAAGATATAGAAAACTTGGAAAGTAAATAAATATAGAAGGAAAACAGAAATCATTGGTATTTCACAGCCTACATATAACAACTATTCATATTTCGATGTGCTTTATTCTGTTTTCTTATTTATGGACACACACAGATATTCATAGCAGAGAGAACATTTTATCCTTCTCTTTACTCCACTTAGTAATATATAATGAACATTTCTCATATCACTAAAATTTATCCAGAAACATTAATCTTAATAGATATATGATATTTCATCTTGTGGATGTGCTTTTTTCATTGCTATTTTCTTTGATCTGGTTCTTTATTTATGTAGGGTTTGCAGAACATTAATAATAGTTTTATATGTGTTTTAAAGATTATATCAAGCAAAACACCATTGCATTCTCATTTAAAAAGTCTCAAATAATTAAATAAAGTCCTCCAGTATTTCTCATCCTCAGAAGTTACTGTTTTTATCAGTTTTGTGTCTGTGTAGTTTTCTTATGCATTAACACTTATATATGTGAGCATTCAGGAAATACAGTTTTTTTATCATTTATGTTTCTTCATAATTTATTTGAGAAACCATTTATTATCGATTATTCAGATTCTTTCTAATTTTGATTTTCATAAATAATAACAAATGACTGTACATAGATGTTTAGTGCATCTCTGATCATTTCTTCTGGATTAAATTTATAGAATTATTGGGTCAAAGAATATGGCTCAATAGAGACTATCTTTAATAAGAAAGTATATACTAACATACATGTTTCATTATTATAAACCTAGAAGTTTTCAGTGCTGAATTAATGTATTTATCTGTCTAATAAATAAGAATAAAAAAAGCAAAACAAATGAAAATTTGGGAAAAAGTTATAGTAGCAAACCATGGGGTAAGCTAAAATATAGCATTATTCTGAGTGATTAATGGAGTGTAAGAAACAACTTAATGAAACCACAAAGCCAGTTCTTCAATGGACAGGGAATTCAGGAAGCAGAGACTGATAATCTTAACACATGAGTAATTTTTCCATGTTTAATGTTGCCATAATCACTGCTAGCTTTAGGCATCCCCATGTAATTTGTGTATTTTATTTATTTTGCTTGGAGCTTAGCATTCCATTATTACTATTTTCTTGAAAACTCATCCTATCAGTAAGTTTATGCAATGCAGTGTTATCATGCAATGCCTGAACCACAGGCACACACAACCATGCCTGGCTAGTTTTTTGTATTTTTAGTAGAGATGGGGTTTCACCATGTTGCTGGGGCTGGTCTTGAACTTCTGAGCTGAAGCAATACATCTGCCTTGGCCTCCCAAAATGCTGGGATTACAGGTGTGAGCCACTGTGCCCAGCAATGGTGCCTTCTTGCTCTGTCCTCACATGGTTTTGCCATGTTGTCCAGGCTGTTCTCGAACTTCTAGGTTCAAGCAATCTGCCTGCCTCAGCTTTCCAAAGTGCTGGGATTATAGGTGTGAGTCACCTCACAGGTCTTTCTTCACTATCTTCAATAAAAGAAATTATTATGTTTTCAGGGGTTTTGTGTGTTTTTAACAAAATAGGGTGAGATATTTATGGTTGGTTATGAGTTTGTTTAGACTCTTGCTTTTTTTTTTTTTTGAGACCTAGTCTTGCTATGTCGCCCTAGCTGGAGTGCAGTGGTGTGATCTCAGCTCACTGCAACCTCCACCTCCCGAGTTCAAGCAATTCTCCTGGCTCAGCCTCCTGAGTAGCTGGGACTACTCAGAGCCCTTATCCCAGCTTTCCTATTTTGCTGCTCATGTTGAAATGCTTGTTATCCTTTGAGCTCTATGAAATAACCCAAGGAAACGGCTGGGTACCCACCTTTTTTAGGGCTCTAGATAGTTTACTTCAGTATGATTGTCATATGTTGATAAATCAAGTTATTTTACCTTGCTAGAGCCAGAATTTTAAAAATATAATCAAGCCTAAATAAGTCTTAGGAAATATTTGCAAAATATAACTAAAATATGTCTTTATAGGAGAAAAATGGATGACTTTTAAACAACTAAATATTAAGATGACAGTGCCGTTATTATAGTGGGTAGCAATGCATTACATAAAATTGAGCTGTATATGAAATACAACATTAAAAATTTTTGTTTCTAATTTGAGTCCTAATTCGTCTGGGAAGTGAAAACAAATCCCAGTTAGTTCTGATTCTCTCACTCCTCCATTTTCACCTGAGTTGCATCTATATTCCAGGTTTTATCTAGTGCCATAGATGTGTTAGTATGGATATTTACAAGAGGAGAAGAGTTAAGCATTGACGAGATTCAATTAAGACCTTACAACCTGATCACAATTAAAAATATTTTTTTCCCTTGGGAGGCCAAGGCAGTCAGATTGCTTGAGCTCAGGAGTTCGAGACTAGCCTGGGCAACATGGTGAAACCCTCTCTCTACAAAAAATCAAAATAAAAATAGTTGGGCCTGGTGGCATGCATCTGTAGTCCTAGCTACTCAGGAGGCTGAAGCAGGAGGATCACTTGAGCCTAGGAGGTTGAGGCCACAGTGAGCCACGAGCGTGCCATTGCAAGACCCTGTCTCAAAAAAGAAAATACTTTTTCCCTCCTCTTGCAGGTTGTCAAGACGTATTTTAAGTCAAAGAATAAAGTCAGTAAAGCCTCTCTTGGAAACCACATAAGCTTCTCACATGACCCCTTCTCCACCTTCACCCTCTCAGCACAGTAGGGGTGAGGAGGCCCTCTTACTGAGCAGCATTCAAAGACCTTATGCTTGGGCCAAGACTGTCCCCGTTTCCTGCTTCATCAAGCTCAGGACATTTACGCCAGTAACTCCTGGAAAGAGACTAGGATGCAGCAAAGTTAGTTCTAAGAGGGAAATTCACAATGATAAATGCCTAAATTAAGAAAGAAAGATGTCAAATAAAAAACCTAACTGTATATCTCAAGGAACTAGAAAAAGAAAACAAATTAATCCCAAAGTCAGCAGAAGGAAGGAAATAATAAAGATTAAAACAGAAATGAACGAAACAGAGACTAGAAAAATAATAGAAAAGTTCAATAAAACTGAGGTGGTTTTTTGAAAAGATAAACAAAACTGACAAGCCTTTACGTAGACCAACTTAAGAAAAAAGAGAAGAGGCAAATAAAATTATAAATAAAAGAGGAAATATTATAACTGATATCACAGAAATACAAAGGATCATAAGAGACTACTATGAACAATTGTATGACAAAAAGTGGATAATCTAGACGTGATTGACAAATTTCTAAAAGCACACAACCTACCTACCAACAGTGAATCATGAATAAATAAAGAGAAAATCTGAATAGACCAATAATGAGTAAGGAGATTGAATCAGTAATCAAAAAACTCCCAGAAAAGAAATGTGTAGGACCTGATGGCTTCACTGGTGAGTTCTACCAAACATTTAGGAAGAATTAACATGAATTATCCTCAAACTCTTTCAAAAAATTGAAGAGAAGGAAACACTTTCAAACTGATTTGATGAGATCAGTGTTATCCTGATCCCAAAGCCAGATAAAGACACTACAAGAAAGGAAAATTACAGGCCAATATCCTTCATGAACAGAGATGCAAAAATTATCAACAAAACACTAGCAAAACAAATTCAACAACACATTGAAAGAACCATAGACATGATTAAACAGGACTTATTTCTAGGATGCAAGAATGATTCAACATACACAATCTATAAATGTGATTAGCCACTGTATTAGCTTGTTCTTGCATTGCTATAAAGAAATACCTGAGACAATAATTTATAAAGAAAAGAGGTTTAGTTGGTTCATGGTTCTGCAGCCTGTACAGGAAGCATGGTGGTGTCATACACTCAGCTTCTGGGAAGGCCTCAGGAAGCTTCAATTGTGGGGGAAGGTGAAGGGAGAGCAGACACATTACATGGTCAGAGCAGGAGCAAGAAAGAGAGAGAAAGAGAGGAGGTGCTACCACTTTTAAACAACCAGATTTCACATGAATTTACTCACTATCACAAGCACAGCACAAAAAAGATGGTGCTAAACCATTCATGAGAAATCCACCCCCATGATCCAGTGACCTGCCACCAGGCCCCACCTCCAACACTGGGAATTACAATTTGACATGAGATTTGGGTGAGGACACAGATCCAAACCATATCAACCACATTAACGGAATGAAGGATAAAAATCGTATGATCATCTCAATAGATACAGCAAAGCATTTGGCAAACTTCAACATCCTTTCATGATAGAACCTTTCAACAAATTATGTACAGGAGAAATGTACCTCAAGATAATAAAAGCTATATATGACAAACACACAGCTAACATCAGACTCAATGGTGAAAAGCTGAAGGCCTTATCTCTAAGTTGATGAATAAGACAAGAATGCCCACTCTAATCACTTGTATTTAATATAGTACCAGACGTCCTAGCCAGATAACTTAGGCAAGGGAAATAAATAAATGACATCCAAGATAGAATGAAAAAAATTTAAATTGTTTCTATTTGCAGATAATATGATCTTATATATAGAAAACTCTGAAGTCTCCACCAAAAAACTGTTAGAACCAATAAATTTAGTAAATGTACAAAATCAACGTTAAAAATCAGTAATGTTCTTGTACACTAACAAGGAAGTATCTAAAAGATAAATGAAGTATACAACTCTATTTACAATAGCCTCAAAACCCTAAAGTTCTTAGGAATAAATTTATCCAAGGAGGTGAAAGACTGGTACATTGAAAACTGAAGGAGGTGATTAAGTCCTGAGGGCTCTGCCCTCTGAATGAGATTAATGACTTTATAAAAGAGGCTTGTGGTAACCCTTTTCTCCTTCCCTCATGTGAGGACACAGTGAGAAAATGCCATCTTTGAAGCAGACAGCAAGCCCTCATTGGACACTGAACCTTCTGGTACCTTGATCTTAGATATGCCAGCCTTTAGAACCGTGAGAAATAAATTTTTGTGGCTTATAAATTACTTAGTCTAAAATATTTTGTTATAGCAGAATGAATGAACTAAGTACTCAAAGCAATCTATAGATTTCTGTTGCAATCTCTATTAAAATTCAAGTGACATTTTTCACAGAAATAGAAAAACCCTAAAGTTTTTATTGAATCACTAAAGGCTCTGAATAGCCAAATTAATCTTGAGCAAGAAGAACAAAGCCGGAGGTATCATACTACTTGATTTCAAAATATTTTTAAAACTATAGTAATCAAAGCAGCATGGTACTGGCATTAAAAACAGACAAACTGAACATAATAGAGAGCCCAGAAATAAATCCATGCCCTTATGGTTGCTACAGTTTGAGTGTGTCCCCTCCACAATTTACACTGAAATTTAATTTCTATTGTAGTGGTATTAAGAGGTGGTATAATTACTTCCTTTTGAGAAGTGATTAAGTTATGAGGGCTCCAGCCTCATGAATGGATTAGTGCTTTATAAAAGAGCTGGAGGAAACTAGGCCTTGATTTTCTTCCTCCACGTAAGAAAACAGCAATCCTCCCTTTGCCCTTCTTCTGCCTTCTGCCATGTGAGGACACAGCAAGAAGGACCTCACCACACACCAAATGCTGGTGCCTTGATCTTGGACTTCCCAGCCTCCAGAACTACAATAAATAAATTTCTGATTTTTAAAATAAATTGCTCAGTCTCAGATATTTAGTTATAGTAGCACACATGAACTAAGACAATAATCACTTGATCTTTGACAAAGGGGGAAAGAACACACAAGGGAAAAAGGGTAGTCTTTTCAATAAATAGTGTTGGAAAAACTGGATATCCACATGCAAAATAATGAAATTGAACCCCTATCTTATACACAAAAATTAACTCAAAATAGATTAAAAACTTAAAAGAAAGACATGAAATTCTAAAACTGCTAGAAGAAAACAGAAAATAAACACCTTTCTTGACATTTTTCTGGGCAATGGTTTTTTAAATATTTCCCCAAAGCACAGGCAACAAATGCAAAAATAAATAAGATTGGATCAAACTAAAAAACTTCTACACACAAGGGAAACAACCTAATGAAGTGATAACCTATGGAATGGGAGAATATATTTGCAAATGACACATCTGACAAAGGGTTAATACATAAAATATGTAAGAAATGCAAACAATTCAATAGCAAGAAAACAACCCCATTGAAAAATGGGCATAGCAAGGTGTGGTGGCTCATGGTTGTAATTCCAACACTTTGGGAGGCCAAGGCAGGTGGATCATTTTAGGTCAGGAGTTTGAGACCAGCCTGTCTAACATGGTGAAACCTTGTCTCTACTTAAAAAAAAAAAAAAAAAAAGTGAAATCCTATCTCTACTAAAAAAAAATAGAAAAAATTAGCCAGGCATGGTGGCAGGCACCTGTAGTCCCAGCTACTCGGGAGGCTGAGGCAAGAGAATGGCGTGAACCCGGGAGGCGGAGCTTACAGTGAGCAGAGATCGCGCCACTGCACTCCAGCCTGGGTGACAGAGCGAGACTCCGTCTCAAAACAAACAAACAAACAAAAAACTGGATTTGATGGTGTGCCTGTAGCCCAGCTTCTCAGGAGGCTGAGGCAGGAGAATCACTTGAACCTGGGAGGAGGATGTTGTAGTGAGCAGAGATCATGCCGCTGCACCCCAGCCTGGTCAACAGAGTGACTCTGTCTAAAATAATAATAATAAGAAGAAAAATAAATTAAAAATGGGCAGGGGGCCTGAATAGACATTTCTCAAGAGAAAACATACAAATGACCACCAGGAAGATGAAAAAAATGCTCAGTATTACTGATAATCAGGTAAATACAAATCAAAACCACAATGAGATACCACCTCACACCTGTTAGAATGGCTATGATGAAAAAGATAAAAGATAAACAATTACTAGCATAGATGTGGAGAACAGGGAACCCTTACGCACTATTGGTGGAAATGTAAATTATTGCAACCAGTGTGGAGATTCCTCAAAAAATTAAAAATAGAACAACCATAAGATCCAGCCAACCAACCTCTGGGTATATATCCAAAGGAAATGAAATTAATATGTCAAAGATATATTTGCACTCCATGTATATTGCAGCACCATTCACAACAGCCAAGATATGGAACCAAGCTAAGTGTCCATGGATGAGTGAATGGATAAAGAAAATGTGGAACACACCTCAGCCTGGAACACTGTTCAGCCTTACGAAAGAAAGAAATCCTGTCATTTGCAATAACATGGATAAATCTGAAGGAATTTCTGTTAAATGAGTAAGCCAGGCACAGAAAGACAAATACCACATGATCCCACTTATGTGGAATTTAAACCCATGGAAAGAGAGAGTAGAATGGTGGTTTCCAGGGGCTGGGTGAGATTGGGGAGGATGGAGAGGTATTGGTCCAAAGGTATAAACTTTCAGTTACATGGGATGAATAAGTTCTGAAAAACTTTGTATAGCACAAAACACAATTTATTGTATACTTGAATATACCTAAGGGAGTAGATCTTACATTTTTAATTTTTCCCAGCTTTATTATGGTATAACTGACAAATAAAAATTGAATATATTTACTGTGTACAGAGTGATGCTTTGATATACATATACATTGTGAAATAATTAACACAAACCAGCTAATTAACCTATCTGTTACCTCACGGTTACTTTTTTTTTTTTTTTTTTGGTAAGTGGTGAGAATATTTAAGATCTACTGTCTTACAAATTTCAAGTATATGACACAGTATTATGAACTACAGTCACCACACTGTACATTAGATCCTCAGAACTTGTTCACCTTCTAAATGGAAGTGTGTACCCTTTGACCCAATTTCTCCCTCCACGCAGCCCCTGGCAACCACCATTCTAATTCTGACAGTAGACTTTAATGTTCTGACAACATACACACAGAAAATGATAACTATGTGAGGTGATGTATATGTTAATTGGCTTGATTGTGGGAATCTTTTCACAATGTATACCTATATGAAGACACCACATTGTACACTGAAAATATATACCTCAATAAAGAAAAAAGTAACAAGAAATGAAAAAAATAATAAAGCAACGAAAAAACCCTCAAAGACCTCATGCTGTTTGAAAGAGACAAGAAACTAGGCAGGCCTCTGTGTGCAAGCCCAGGCTCTGCCCTTTTCCCTGTTAGTTTTCACCCCTTCCTTCCTTTAAATCCTTCTTTTCCCCAACGCTCTGGACTCAAATAACTATTAGGAGGAAAGAAGTGAAAATAAACTAACATGTGTAGAGCATGTACTGTACACCAGATGTTAGACTTTATTCTCCATTGTTTATGTTCTCCAACCCATCATCGAATCCTGTCCCTTTAACCTTCACAGTATCTCCAGAATCCAGACACTGTTCCCCATCTTCCTGCTACCACCCTGGACCAAGCCACTAGCACCTCCCTCTCAGATTACTGCCTTGACCTTCTAAGTGGACCCTGCTTCTGGTCTTGCCTTTACAGTTTCATCGTAGCATGAGAGCCAGTGATTCCCTCACAAAGTCATACCATATCCTGCCTCTGCTTAGAACTTCCAGAGCTCCATTCTTTTGCAGAGTAAAACCCAAAGCCCTTACATTAACCTTCAAGGCCCTACAAGATCTGCAACCTACTTATTTATCTGACTTCATCCCCCACCTCTCCCTTCCTGTTCCACTCTGATCTAGCCATCCTGGTATCTTCATTGTTGTGTGAAAATGCAAACACGTTCCTGACTCAGAGCCTTTGTAACTGAGGTTCCAGCTGCCAGAAAGACTGCCCCATCAAATATATGCATGAACAGGTAGAGGTCATTGCTAATCACCTTCTATAAAAAATGCAATGCTCTACCGCACTTACCATCAGGCAACCATTTATTTATTTGCTGTTGTCTGTCTCCTTGAACCCTATCTTGCCTCTATTGTCTTTTCCAAGAGGGCTGGGATGTTTTGTGCACTGCTGTGGCCCCAGCTCCTGGAAAAGTGGTTGGCATCAAGTAGGTCTGAATACATGTTTATGGAATGAATCAGTGAATTGGCACAACAATTGGTGAAGATAAATACTTTCTCCTGTTTCTACAAATGGGTTCAATGCTGCTCAGAATGACAAAGTAATTTATGAATACTCAGCTTCTAAGAGGTGGAAACAGAAACAGACCCCAGGAAGGTTTTCTAGTCAACATAGAAAGAAACCAGGAGAATAGTTATAAAGTGGTCTTGCAGATAAATAATTTATTATTAAACTATCTTTCCTAACATTGAGATTAGTTTAAAGAGGTTACTTAGAAACAGGCAGTGTCTTATTTCAGGGTAATTGCTAACTGTTTCTGGAAACACTCTCCAAGACAGACCAGAAATAATGTTTAACAGACCAGAAATAATATCTGGGCACCCTGTGGCCCAGTCAAATTGATACATAAAATTAATCACCACATCACTCTAGGTCACAGAAAGGCAGGTAGAAAAGAAGGGAATAGCAGGTGTTTTGTTTTGTTTTGTTTTGCCTGCCTGCCTTCCTTCCTTCCTTCCTTTTTTCCTTCCTTCCTTCCTCTCTCTTCTCTCCCTTCCCTTCCCTTTCCTTTTTCCTTTCTTTCCTCTTTTTCTCAATCGCCCACCCCTCCTTTCCCCGCCTATTTCTTAGTTTTCTTTCCTCTCCTCACCATTATGCTTTCTTCCATTCTCCCACCTTGGGTTTAACCTACTGGGCCCCGACTTCCTCGAAAGACTTTCTCTTTGAAACTTTTCTTACCACTTGTGATTAGAGCTTCACTTTTAACTCTGTTTCCCCTTCTCTAAATCATTCTCCTCTCACTCCCCTACTCTATCCCCTTGGAAGCTCCTTCTCCATCTGAACACATGAGAAGTTATACAACTGTAAATGAAATAGATAGAATGGGAAGAGAATTTAGGTCTGGGCGAAACTTGAATAGGAGTAAGGGAGAAGTAATGGGGTCGACCTGTCTTGCTAATTCTTCCTCTCTGCTTTGTTCACTCCATCTACTCTGAGGCATAAACGTCAACCCCTGGGATTTACAAAGGGTAAACTAGATGCCCACACAGAGTAAATGTAGGCAGTAGAAAACATGTTGAATGATGATAGGAAAGATCATGTACCCATGGTGCAACATTTTGAGTGATTCTAATTTTAGCATTTTATATTGATTTTCATTTATTTTTAAATTATTTTAAATTTTTATTTTTAGAGACAGGGTCTTTCTCTGTCACCCAGGCTGGAGTGTCGTGATGCAACCATAGCTGACTGTGACCTTGAACTCCTGGGCTCAAGGGATCCTCCACTTCAGCCTCCCAAGTAGCAGGGACTATGGGTGCGTGCCACCATGCCTAGCTAATTTCATAAATTTTTGGTAGATGGGGGTCTTGCTATATTGCTCGGGGTGGTCTTGAACTCCTAAGCTCAAATGGCCCTTTTGCCTTGGCCTCCCAAAATGCTGGGATTACAGGCATGAGCGCTGTGTCCAGACAGTTTAAATTAAATTAAATTTAGTTAAAATAAATTTTATTTTTCTGTTTTCCGGTTCTTTCTCAGAGCATGTATTTTTTAACAGGAAAAATGCTTATGTTGTATTGCTAAGTAAAAATAAAAATTTAGCATTAAATACAATCTAGCTACAAATATATAAAAATTATAGCAGGAAAATAAAATAGAAAGGGAACATACCAGCTTGTTAAGGGTGATTGTGTTTGAATGGTGGTTCTAAGACTTACGTGGATATTGGGGAATATTGTTGCTAGTGTTGTATTGTCCAATTTTGTTCAAATGTGCATGTTTGATTTTTATATAGAAAATATAAAGCATACTTCACTAAAATGATGTCTTTTCTCTCCATTTTTATTAATGTCTTGGGTCCCCAAAAAGCCAATATAAATTATAAAGAGGGCTTATAAGCAACATTCCTTGCTTCTTAGTTATTTTCATTTGAAAAAGGCGTACATTTAATTAAAATGCTATATGAAATATAATTTTACTAGTCTTTCTCTTCCATAAAACAGCACCATGTAGCACTGTAAAAAGAATATTAGACAAGAGTTAGGCAATTTAAATCTCAGTTCTGTATCTACCCCCAGTGACCTTAAACAAAACAGCTTCCTCCCCACTTCAGTTTCCCAATATATGATCCTGAGTGGATTGGGCCAGCTGGTGCCTTCTAGTTCTTCCTGCCTGTAGAATATCCTTGCAGCACCCTCTCTTCTTCTGGGGCATTGTAACTAACTTCCCTGCTATCTCTCCTGCCTCTCTTCTCTCTAAGAGGACATAGTGACAATGGTCTAAGATATCGCAGCCTCGGGGATTTTAGCAAAATGTGAGAAATATTTTTTAATTTTTATTTTTCATGAGTACATATTAGGAGTATATATTTAGGGAATACATATAATATTTTGACACAGGAATGCAATGCATAATAATCACATCAGGGTAAATGGGGTATCCATCACCTGAAGCATTTATCCTTTGTGTTACAAACAATACACTTACGCCTTTTATTTCAAATGACAATAAATTTATTATTGACTACAGTTACCCAGGTATGCTATCAGATACTAGTTCTTATTCATTCTGTTTTTTGTACCCATTAAAAAATTTTTAAATAAGCAAGATTACACGAGGTGAGTTTTGTGACAGATCTAAACCTGTGATACAACTATATTTTTGCCCATGCATATAGCACCATTCCCCTAGTGCTGCTTTTCCAACTTTGAGAACCAAAGGTACTATAAAGCTCAGCAATATGTTCTAAAGAAATCATTTCCTAGCCCATCTACAAAATGATTGGCCATGAATGGAAACAGTAGTATTATACATTTACTTTTACTTCCAGGGGACATTTGATGGAATTCTACAGGAAGAGTCTTGGTGCTGGAGAATGTTCTAAGAGCATAATGCAAGCAGATAGTGACTCTTCTAAGCTAACATGGTTGAAAGAAAACCCTGGTACACTCCTGATGAGGCCACTCGGCCTTTTGAGGCTTTTTCTTGTGAAAGTTTACTCTGTTAGGTTGGTGCAAAAGTAATTGCGGTTTTTACAATTAAAAGTAATATAGTAATTAAATTAATTAATATGAATTGGGTCATTCTTGTCATACTCAACTAAATCAGAGTCGAGAGGCCAGGGGTGAAAAGTACTTGGGCACACAGCATCTGCTCCTAAGAGTTAAATTATCCACAAGCCCAGCTGCTGAAATGGCCTGCTGTACCCCCTAAGACCAGTTCTAACTAGCAGCTGCTGACATGGCCTGCTGTGATTCTAAACTAGTTTTACCTACTGCTGTCACTCACCAATCAGAGCTTGCCAGCTCCCAAGAGCTTCTCTAGTGCCAATGAGCTTGCTTTCAAAACAACAAGTAACGTTTCTCCTTCTAATAAAACCCTCAACCTTTCCTTTGTTCTTCAGACATACTGAAGACCACCTGGTCTGTGTGCATGCCCTAATTTGCAATTCTTGCTTCCCAAATAAAACATTAAATTTGAAGACTATCTTAATATTTTATTTTGATTTTGACACTCCATTTGCCTTATTTGTCTAGCCAGTTTAACTACTGCTACTAGACATGGATGTACACCTGTTGAAAGCACAGAACATGCAAACCATGGAGCAGAAGGAAGACTGGAATTTTGAAACTGTGTAGCTGGTTTGCATATCTGTAAGAAAAGAGTTTGTTGCTGCTGAGACGGTCCAGGAAATAGAAGAGCAGGGCAAATGATAATATTATTGATGATGGTGATAATAGCGGCTCTTAGTGAGCACTTCCTGTGTTCTAAGCATTGCTCTAAAAATGTTGAAGGTTTTGTGTTATTTAATCCTCATGATGGATTGTCTTATGAGTAAGGTGTCACTGTTATCTCTATTTGTCTGAGGAGAAGACATAGGGAGGATAAATAACTTGCTCGAGGTCATATGAGTAGTAAATAGAAAAATTGGGGTCATACTCAGATGAGTGTGACTCTAGAACATGTGCTCTTAGCCACATGACTATTCCCTTCCTGCTAGTCAGTATTTGGCAATTGGCGCAGAATTTACACATGAGTCAGGAGCCACCTAGGCATTCTGGATTTTGTCTGTTGCTCACTTTCTGTTCCTATACCTGAGGCTTCAGCCTGCTGTCCCCGTACCTTTCTGCCACACGAGGTTAGGGTTAGGGTCAGGAAGAATATATTGATACCTACATACCACCCTCTCCTCATACTGCCCCACCCTAATCTGGCCTCTTTCTATCCACATCCCTCTTTCTATTAACATCCAATCCCCTCAAGTGAAAGCATACAACTAGAAACTAAAATAGCAATTTTAACAGACACACTGGTGTATGTTTATTCTTCTTTACTCTGTGTTATTTTTTGCCCATTGTAGATTATATTTGCATTTTTTAGTTGTTAATTTAATTATCAGATATTTGAAATATAAAGACAATTTAGAAAATAAAATATATTCCCACCTTCTATTTTTAACAAATGTTAATATTTCCCCCTACTTGCTCAGATTGTTTTCTTTGGTGAAGAGATAAATGTTACAGAGGTTGTCAATGCCTACCCCCATCCTGCCTCCAGCATCTTGATATTTGTTAAGGAAAATACTTCAGGAATATTGGCGTTTGCCTTGCCAAAAATGGCATTACTTAAGCACTGTATGAGACCTTAGGGATCATATACTCCAACTTCTTTTGACGACTAAGTGCTGGAGATTCTAGGAAGTAGGTAGGGTTCTGGGAATACAGCAGCGTTGGTCACCTAACAATGTTGGTTTTCCTATTACTGATTGACCTGCTGCTATGTCAGGAGTGTTTGCATGAGTGTTGGGCCGAGGGTACCATTCCCATTTGGATCTTTAGAGTTTGTCATATCTCTTGGCCCTGTTTACTCATTTTCCTTCCCACTGCAGCTGGGTAAATTCAAGCCCTCGTTAACTCCAGATGATAGTAGTGGCTGCTCTGCAGGCCTTCCTGCCCCTCAGCTTAATACAGCTCTTATACATCACATACATCACACATCTGGGTGTCAGCAAGTCTCTTCTGAGCTCCCTGGTGTGCCCACCTCCATGTGAACTTCAGTAAGGGGGATACAAAGGGGGAAGAGATTCTGGTGTCTGATGTAATAACAATAATAATAATAATAATAAAATAATAATAACAAAGATCTCTAACATTTATTGGTGGTTTACCATCTGACGGGAATTGTTCTGTAAACTTACATGAATTAATTCATTAAATTCTCATAGCGTCTCTATGGCACAGGTACTATAATTATCCCTATTTTAGAGATGAAGACATTTAGGCTCTAAAAGAGTAAGTGACTTGCTCAAGTTTTCCCAGCTAGTATGTGGCAGAGCTAAAATTTGGACGTGGGCCATCTGGCTTCAAAGCCTGTGTTATTCACCACCATTGTGGTCCTGTCTTTCAATGAAGCTGTTGATGACAATGAATGGGAGAGCAAGCCCATTTAGGGGCTCCCATTTTTGTTAGTTCTTAATGCATAGAGCACTCTGTCAGATTCTTCAATAGTCAGTGTTTTACATCTTTTGAATGAGTTCTGTTGGAAATGATTTTTGAAATCAAATTATCTGTGACACTGACATATTTCTCCATAGGAAAAATGTGATTGGTATTACTCCTTAGTAGTTAAATTTCAAGAAAAATCCATAGTTTGTTTAAGCCATGATTCAACTGACTACCCCCATTTGCAATGAAATACAAGAAAAAGAGGAACGATATCACATTATCAATAAAATGAGAAAGCTAAATGTTATTATATTTTAATCTGAAATGATTGTGCTTAAAGGAGGGAAGGATAAGGAAGCAGACATAAATGTTGGAGAAGATTTTAGATTTGTGAATATTTTCAAGGGCTTTGAAGATAGATGTCTATTTGATCTAATTTCACTTCAAATTTAAAAGATTTCCTTTTATTTGACATAATTGTACATGTAATAATTTTTTATACTTCTAGAGTTCCAAAACAACAAGAACTTTTAGTTGTTGTCGTTTACAAATATAACCAAGAGAGGCTGGGTACGGTGGCTCACGCCCGTAATTCCAGCACTTTAAGAGGCTGAGGCATGGATGGCTTGAGCCCAGGAGTTTGAGACCAGTCTGGGTAACATGGAGAAACCCGATTGTTACAAAAAATACAAAAATTAGCCTGGTATGGTGGCATGTGCCTGTAGTCTCAGCTACCTGGGAGGCTAAAGTGGGAGGATCACCTGAGTCCAGGAAGTCAAGGCTGCAGTGAGTCACGATTGTACTACTGCACTCCAGGCTGGGTGACAGAGTAAGACCCTGTCTCAAAATAAAGTAAAATAAAATAAAATAAAATAAAATAAATAAAATAAAAAAATAAATAAAATAACCAAGAGAAGATGAGAGATTTTGCTGGAGTAATTAGAGAAGAGGTAGAAAGAAAAGGAGAAGGGGGAAAGGAATTATAGAGAATATAGACACTTGTTTTGTAAACAGATCTTTTAAGCTGTAATTAGCTTAAAAAATAGGAAAGGTAGAGTAGGTGGTGAGTGTATATGCCTTCCAAGTGGAAAAATGATTGTGAGGAAGAGATTTTCAGTAACACATTTCCTTCTGCCAGTTGATAGTAGCACCATTGACTAAACCAACATGGTGGATGGAAGGAGGAGAAAAGTGTGCAACCAGCTAGAGGAAGCAGATATTCCCAGAGAGGCATTTGCAATTTTACAAGTACTTTGCATTTCTCTGATGTAAAGTATGTTCTTTCAGGTTGGAAATGGATTAGGCATGCTTTTGAGAAAATGACATTAAAATTCTTTCATAGAATACAAAAGAGAATGTGTTAGATAATTATTTTTTTCACTAGCAGAAATTTCCCTTCTCTTTTCTTTATTTTTCATGCCTCTGCTGAGGTGCCTCTGCAGGGCCTCTTCTTTTAAGTCTAGTTATTCCTGAGTTCTTATTATGAGGGATGTAAGGAGAATTGCAAGAGTGGTTTCAAATAATCTGCTGTTTATTGTGGCTGGGGAAAGCTTACCCAGTTATTTAGGTTCTGCTCTGTTCCTATTCCACCTTCCTTATCTTTTGCTTCTTTGTTTCATGACACAGTTAGTCACTGGGGTGGAAATACATCTTTTAGCTACCGTAACAGAAAACTTCCCTCCTTATTATCCATGGAGCTGGAGTTAAAACTCAACCTTGGCTGCAGAGAAGAGGAAGTCCTGGATTTGACATTGCTGAGGGAGTTAGAAATGTTGCTATTTTTCAAAACATGTCACCAGGTCATTAATTAAACACTAAAACAAGTAACTTCAATCAGTTCGAGAGAACCCTTTCCCCCACAGCTCTCATTTTGGCCCATATACAATACACTTGATTTACATCTTATTGAAAACGTCTAAGGCTTCCAATCGTCAGTACTACAGATACTAACATAATTTTTTCCAGTTTGTGAAAGGAGAAAAAATGGACCTAAAAATATTTGATTATTTCCACTTTCATTGTCTAGCTAATGATAGCAGCATAATTATTGATTTAAGATACCTACTGATTTGAAGTGCTTGTGGCATAAAGCTTTTTAAGTTCTGGTTATGTGATTTGCTTTGAGGTTAGTCCTGGAAGCACTTTATTCTTAGGAGATGCTGGGATGGGCTCCTAAATGGGGACATCCATTCTGCAGAGAGTATAAAATCTGACTTGCCTGGAATTCTTGGAAGAGTGATAAATACCAGGGCATCTTACTTATTTTTTACTTTCTACTTAGAACTGCAACTCTGAAATGTTCCAATGAAATTGTTCAGTTGCATCATGCAACTCAAGTCAGGGGATGCAAAGCTTTTTCTCTCGATTTCTGGATTTATAGGTCCCAAGTGAACTGAAACTGGTGATTTCTTTCTGCTGAATAGCAATTTGGAGATGGTGCGTTAGAAATTTTGTAAAGTAACATTTCAAAGAAGTTCCTTTGGCCCTTTTTCCTGGGATATAGTAAGCAGGAGGGAAAAACATGGCTAGCCTTTACAATTCTTTTACTGGATAAATATTAAAACACTCTAATTTCACACTGATGTTTCTAAAAGTTTTTGTGCAAGAACCTTGAAAAACATTATATATGCATATACTTCATACCACTTCTTTTTTTTCGGTTTGAGATAGGATTAAACATGACCTTTAAATGCTTATTAGTAAAGTATATTTTACTAGTAAAAATAAAATTATTAAAGTGATTTTTTCCATTTCCATTTGTATATGCAACCCCTTTAGTTGTAGAAATGCAAATTTTAGCTATCCATAAAAGAAAGTATTTTCTTTTTTTAAATTCCTTCAATAATATGTATTTAGTTGTAATTTACTATTTTCCACTAAATGTTCCGTAAATTCTCACTGGAGAAGCCATTGCAAGAATGAGCCATGCACTGCAGAGACCCTTCATTATGGAGTTGTAGTGGATCGGGTGGGTGTGCATCCTGTTTAGATGGGGTATATCCTGTGGCAGGGACAATAAGATAAATTTTGGTGAATGGCTTAGTGGGGTCACACCTGGTTAGTAGCATCACATTAATTTTCCCAAGGCAAACTAGAAAAAATGTGTAAGTCAAGTATAAATTAGCAGAGATGAAAGTGTTGCAGAGGAAAGAGCTATACATTCATATTCAGAATGATCCCTTCACCATGTGGCCTGGAAGTACCAGAATGATCTAACATCACTGAACCCGTTGTTCCAACTATAAAATGCAGGCAGTGGCCATTTGCTGTGGAAATTCAATGAGATTCTCTCTATATAAATGTTCTAGTCTCTAAGATCATGTACCATTGTAACATGCCTTATAACTTTGTCATGTCTTATGCTTTGGTCAAATGGATACCCATTTCTTTAACAGACTTCATTTAAAAAAATTAACTTGTAAAGGAACAATGGTAGATCAGTAGAATTTAGGTCTGAGATATGAAATGTATTTGCAAGGACAAAACACAGCAGCTATCTTGGCTTGTACCCCACTGCCCTCTCTCTAGAGGGAAGTGTCAAGGAAAATTAGACCCAGAAGGATAAGGCTGAAGCTTGGCTGTGCCATTTATTAGCTGTGTGATGTGAGGCTAATTACTGGACTCCTCTGAAACTTTTTCCTCTTTTAGGTGTTGTAATAATCCTATCTCTTAGAGTTATATTCAGGATTGGCTAAGACACCAGCACACCTAATATATAATGCTCAGCAGATGAAAATAAACATGACTTACAAATAGGGCTTACTGTGTATCAGGTATGGTTTTAAACACCTTAAAGGTATGAACTCTTTGATTTCTCACAGTATCCCAAGAGATTGACCAAATTTTAATCACCATTTTATAGGTGGAAATACTGATGAAAATAAGATTAATTAATTTGCTCGGTATCAGACATCAAATAAGTGGCAGAACCAGGCTTTAAATGCAGGGCAGACTGGTATTGGGGTATGTGTGCCTAACCATTACACCAACCTATCTCTAACCAGGAAGGATCTGTTCTATAAAGGAATCCAAGGCTTTGATTTTGATTCATGGAACATGTATGCCTTAGTTATATGCATGATACTTTAAATTCTGCAGAAACTTCTTGCAGAAACTTTCCTAAAATAATGACCTAGAATAACATAATTATTGTGTAGTAATAAACAAGATACGATGGATTCACAGCATATACAGATTTTCAAATACTTAGATTCTTACATACACCACCTGAGAGAAGCAGTGTATTATTTGATTAGATTAACTACCAATGCTATCCTTGTAATTGTATTAGCACATTCTTCAATGGTCTGTTTTCTTGGAGATTTCTTTAGTACCATGTAATTTAATGGTTTGCATCAAAAGTTACTGCCCAAGACCATGGGAACCCACCTCTTGCATCAGCATGACCTGGATGTGAGACATGGAGTCAAAGGAGATCATTTTGGAGCTTTAAGATTTGACTGCCCCGCTGGATTTTGGGCTTGCATGGGGCCTGTAGCCTCCTTGTTTTGGACAACTTCTCCCATTCGGAGTGGCTATATTTACCCAATGCCTGTACCCACACTGTATCTAGGAAGTAACTAACTTGCTTTTGATTTTACAGGCTGATAGGCAGAAGGAAGTTGCCTTTTCTCAGATGAGACTTTGGACTGTGGACATTTGAGTTAACGCTGAAATGAGCTAAGACTTTGGGGGACTGTTGGAAAGGCATGATTGGTTTTGAAATGTGAGGACATGAGATTTGGGAGGGACCAGGGCCGAATAATATGGTTTGGCTGTGTCCCCACCCAAGTCTCATCTTGAATTCCCACGTGTTGTGGGAGGGACCCAGTAGGAAGTAATTGAATCACAGATGCAGGTCTTTCCTGTGCTGTTCTTGTGATAGTGAATAAGACTCATGAGGTCCGATAGTTTTAAATAGGAGAGTTTTCCTTTGCAAGCTTTTTTTTCTGTCTGTCACCATGTAAGCGTGCCTTTCAACTTCCGCCATGATTGTGAGGCCTTCCCAGCCACATGAAACTTAAGTCCATTAAATCTCTTTCTTTTGTAAATTGCCCAGTCTTGGGTATGTCTTTATCAGCAGCATGAAAACGAACTAATACAGTTACTTCAGTAAGTGTTTTTGTACATCTGCAGAAGTAGGCTGGAGTTAGAAGACTTTATTAGTTTGTGACTTTGGACAAATCCCATAAATTCTCTGAGTCCTATTAGTATTCTAATCTGCAAAGCAGGAAATATCCTTCCTGTGTCTACAGTGAGAATCAGATGAGAACATTGATGTAAACATCTTCTGCAAACTCTCAAGTGCTATCTAAATGTTAAGGGTCCTTATTTAGTGTCAAGGGAGTTCCGGGATTTCATGTGATTGCTCATTTAAGTGCCTAGAGAGCTGGGATGTGAAATCTACATTTCTCAATTTAAAATCTTGGCCAGTCATCCAAGATATCACCCCCTTGGGAATCTATGGGGCTTAGACCACGTTGCTTAACTGATTCCCATGGGAGGTGTTGGCTTATCAGGAGAGATGGTTTCTATGAATCAGATAAGGGCTGGCGTAGTTGATCTCCATGATCCCAACTCTGAGAATTTAGACTTTGAAAATTAAAACAGGGGAAGCTTTTCTGCAACTTTACTGAACCTGCAAATTAAAACTTAAAGGTTATTTAGTAATAGCAATTTATAGCAGAACATTTGCAAAGAAAACTAAACACAATCACCACCAGTGTTTTGAGTGAGCTCCAATTTTCCACAGGAAATGGAGAACTCTTTTTCATTTTAGCCGTAGGAGCTGGTATTGTTTATTTCCTCATCCATATGTTTTGTGTCTGGAAATGTTTCAAGATCCTCCAGCCCCAGCAGGTCGTCTTCTCTCCTCCTTCTTGAAGTTCACTCATCTTCTCCTCTTCTCCTTACAGTTCCTACAGGTTCCCAACCATTCTCTTCCTCTTACTCAGTGTTCTTCACATTTTTCCTGCCCCCATCTCTCAGTCCTCCCTCCTTTTTCTCATGTGCTGAGTTTTAATTATGCACATCTAAAAGCATTGTGAATTAAAGTCAGTAGCTCTAGTTCTACTATCTTTTCCTCCAGCATCAAATGAGATGTACCTGGGGAATTGGAGGCAAGGGAGGAACAAATGAGCCTGTAATCAGAGACAAACCACTTTGGAGAGAGTAGACAACATTGTCTTTCAAACAAGGGCAGGCTGCCTGCTTTTGGCCTCCTTGGAGGAGCTCTGTCTACCAAGCCTTGTGCTTTTCGCGACAGCAGCCCTGGCTTCCCTGTCCCCAGACTTTCCTGGCTGTCCCCTGGCTGTCCTTCAGCCCCTCTCTGCTCCCTCTTTATGCCTTTCCGAACTCATCACAATTCTACTGCCAGTTTCAGAATGATTCGTGATTTCTGTTTCCAAAATAGTAGTTCTAGAAAAGGATCTCCCTGGTGTCCTGGTCTCATTTTGCTGGGATGTTCACTATCCTAAGCCTGAGAATGGGACAGGAAAAAAAGTTAAGATTTGTGCTAGCTCTTGTCCTGTTTCACTGACAGGTTGTCACTTTTTCTGAAGTTTCCAGGCCTGATGTGAACGTCGTGGTCTGAAGCATACATGTTCCCACTTGGTGACTCTGTTCATTTCACATTCAAAATAAGGCGAATGTGTGCTATTATTTACTTTATAATGCTCTTGCTTTCAGCTAAAAATTACATTAATGATATTTGAAGAATTAAAATTCTTCATTTGGCCTCATCAAATTACTTTCTGTCATTGATGTCTTTGACTTTCCTTTGGATAATATTGTATTCGATTTTGTTGTAGTTAGAAAAGTTGTTTTTTGTTCTCAGATTTAATTCTGCCTGTCCCCCTGTTTGCTATGTCATTCCTAATTATATCCACTTTCCCCTTACCGAGACCACCCATTATAATTTCTTCCTCTCTGGAGTGTTTAGAGCTTTTAAAATCTTGCACATCATAAATGAAAAACTTTGCAAGTACAAATACTCAATGGAGAGTCAATACAGTATAAGGGTATGACAAATGAAACTGTGTTTTTGACATGACTGTTTGTTCTTATAAATTCAAGTGATTCTTGACCCACTAGTGCTGCAGCCTAAACTAAGAAACCCCTTAAATATTTTAATACTGCCACATGTTGATTTCTATCACATTCTCTGTAGGACTTTGGTAACATTCATGACAGTCACAATGTGTTGCCTCTTTTACTTAAGCTCAAGAATTTATTCTCTGCCCACATTTTAGAAATGTAAAAGGCACTTTTACTGCTAATATTTAGGTTAAATTGTAGTATTTGATTTTTTGAAGCAAAGATCTTGGCATGTATATTTTTCAGATTGTAATTTGTTCAGATGTAGTAGGATGGGTATATAACTTTATTAATGAAGAAAGTTAATAAAAGCAGATTGGCAGAACCAGAGAAGATACAGCAGGTAGAGAATACTAAAGCCCCAAGTTTACATAAAATGTAAATACATCTGTTTGAGTACCTCAGTGTGGCCTTACCATTAGTTCTGTCAATAAACATTCCAAACTTACTGGGTTTTACAAACATTTCTTAGCACTACAGCTTCATCTGAAAAATAATAATAAATTATAGTTTCTAAAATGCCTACTGCATACCCGACACTATATTAAACACCTACACATGTTACCACATTTTATCCTTAGGACAACTTGGTGCCATAGATATTATTATTGTCATCTTAAAAAATATATATCTAGGGCTGTGGTTAGAGAAATTAGGTAACTTGCCAGGTTATATGGCAGTTTAAGCCAGAGTTTGAGTGCATTTCTTTCAGGCTAGAGACCTTGTCCTCAAGTATGTTGTTAATTTGGAGGAAAACTCATCTTTGAAGAAGCTGAGAGCCTCTCACAAAGGGTACCATGTTAACCTGTGGAAAGTGGACTTCTTTTCCTTGTTTCCTTCCTTGTCAGAGCCCATTGACCTGACAAGAGAGAGATAGAAGATCCTTTCCAAATGTATCTTAAATATCTTAAATACATATCTTTTTCTTGAGCACACTGGAGTTTACCACTCTTCTCTCTCTTTTGTAAAGATAGAGTCTTAAATGATTAAACTGTAGTGTATTTCCCAATCAAATTTCCCTTCTGGTTGAGGAGGAAAGTAAAAGACCAGCATTAGTCTCCAGTTTTGGAGCAGTTAGTTTGAGATACATGAGAGTGGTAAGAGTGACCATATAGACAAAAAGTGGTGAAACAATAGCAGTATTTCAACATTCTGTTTATTTCAACACTTGAGGCTTAAGGAAAGCCCAAGATTTTGGTCAAGTACTCTACTTTTGTTGTTAGTTGAGGAGCTGCAGTGTGGAATAATTCTGAAAGGCCAGATGTTTGTTTGTTCTAGAAAAATTTGAACATTATGTTTGATTCTCGTATAGATGTTACGGGAATACTAGGATAAAGTCTGGTGGCACTGAAGAATAGTGGAATCTTTATGTGGGAAAGAAATCGAGAGAACTATTGAGGTCAGATTGACTAACAATTTCAGATTGATTCAGGTCAGGGCCATAATTATCCATTTGGTTGACTATAGCATAAAGATCCACATTAGGAAACTTTTTCTGGTTAATTGTCTAATGTTGTTTCATTCTGTCCTTGGTAAATACAGTGTGAGGTTACTTATATGCTGGCAAAGAAATATGTTTTACTTGCAAAAATTATGATGATTTACATATTTTAAAAATGGGCCTGGGAAATGATTTGCAAAACCATGGGAGAATAAACTGATGCATTGTTATGTTATTTGCCATACACAGAAAAAAAATTGTATTGCTTTGCCTTCTTTTAATGTAAGATACAATCATTTTCTAACATAGAAACAGTTGAGCCTTATTTTATTTCTTTGAAAAGTACAATTGAGAGCATTAACAAACCATGAACTCAAAATGTGGAAAAAAATTCTTACTGGTAAATATCATGTCAAAACCTTTGGGCTCTTAAAATCAACCACATGTTGATTAGAGCATCTTTGGAAAGGTAGAAAGAAGTTGGAAAAATGTTCAGTTAGCACCTCTGTATTCCTAATCTATTCTATACCTTCTGTAAGATTAAAACTTTCTGCAACGACTTTCTCTTGGGAATTTCATTAATAAATTTAGAAGGTGTAAGGTTTTTGGACTCAAAAGAATCTGTTCAAATGTAGCTTTGTCATTTACTAGTCATACATCTTTAATGCTTACCTTAATTATTTTTTCACTTATTTATTTTTAGTTTTTCTCCTCTGTACAATGGAAATAATCAGTATTTCCCTTATAGGATGGTTGTGAAGAGTAACAACCAATGCATACAAGTTACTTAACAAGTTAATCATATGTAGGAACTGATAATTTTGTAAAGGGAGTATATCTTTTATTATCATCAACATTAATAAAGGTCAATTATTGTTTAAGTTTTATTAAATAAATACTGAACTAAGATACAGTATCAGATGTGTACAGAGAATTACACTACTCTCTTTGGTCTTTACGTTTTATCTCAAGGCATATGAATAATGGCAATCCCAAATTAATGTAATCTGAGCCACATGGGGTATCATTTCCTATCCAAATGGTTCTCAGGTTTGGAATGGATGTGAAAGTGAACTTTTGTCCAACAAGGAGAAGGGCTGGGAGTGGATGAAAAGTGTCTGTGAGCATGGGCCAGCCTCTCAGGAATTGAATCAGGCTGGCTCCCACCTACTTAGCTCTGCTGTGGTACCTCTTCTTGGTGCCCCTTTCTCTACCTCAGTTTGATACTTCAGTTGGGGTTTTTATGTCCCCTTGCATGCCCACCACCTGACCCACCCTCAGAAATTCTCTGAGACCAAATACCCTCCAATGTATAAGGTTGCAGTTCCACCCCTGTAGTGCTGCCTCGCTGGGCTGTAGGCCTTAGCAGGAGAAGGGATGTCAGAGTTATGGTCAGAAGCAGGCGAAGTATTCCCAGTCTCTAGGGCCATCTCCTCCTAAACAATGTGTTGCTTAATAATGACCCGGGGAAACACATCCCTCATAGTAGTAGGCTTAAATAACTCAGCCCCCAAATGCTAATTTTAGATACTTAATAAAATGCTCTGTTTCAAGGTATGTTCTTCTTTCATAGTTGGAAAAACCATCTCTTGTGGGTTGTCTTGGAGGTTCCATTTCAGGATGGAAAACTTGTCCATCCATATTTCTACCAGAAATTTCTTTTGTTCTTCACTTTTATCTGGTTAGAACTGTGCCCTGCATATTTTTTTTTCTCTCTGATATTTCAGTGGGTAGCCAGGCACAAGGACCAAAGGGCTATCTGAAATATGAACATGGGTTTACTGTAGTGGTTTTTTTTAAAAAAACAAGGCTCCTTTTAAGAACTTTCTTAAATTTGTCTATCAAAATGGCCATGAATACAATTTTCTGAGAGTTCGCATGAAACCATAATACAACACAAAGGATTTCAATTAATATTTGGTCAAAAGGTTACATGTTATATTTTAAGTACTGTGCATTTCAAATGCATGAGATTTGCTTTTATATTGAATAGGGATGTAATCAAATGAAGCAAATTTCAGTGGTCCAGGGAAGGTAACAGAACAGCTGTGTAAATTCAATCACTCTCCTCCATTTCCATCCTTCTGGGTGGTTTCACTACGAGCATGATGAGCTAACAAGTTACTTGATTGACTAGCAGGAGAAGTCCTACCCATCACAACTGGTAAGCTTTATAATCTTTTGTTGAAAGTTAACAGAGCCCTGTGGACATTCCAAACAACTTTGGCACTAAAAGAACTTTCATAGCTATTTCCTGTAGAAAATGGCAAGAGTATTATAGCAGAGTTGAGGATTTTCCTCAGAGAATAAAGGCAATTTGGAACTTCAGCTCATATTTTAAAATCAATCTTTATGTAAGGCGAGCATGTCTTAGCACATACCTGTTGTCCTGGCATAATTATTAGTAGTGCCCCTTCTGACTGTCAAAGTGCCTGGTTTGGGACAGTTAATTTTATGGTCACACTAATAACGAGGTACATATATGGGAACTTGGAGCCTGAGTAATGCCTCTGTCATTTTAATATCAATATTAGAGTATATATAAAAGATGTAAACCTGGCAGCAAATATGACTTGTAGAATTATTAATGTTCCTAAAAGTTCTATGGTAATAAATACTCTTTGTCAGGTGTCTAGTATCTGAGTTTTTAATTATGTTCTTTGTGCAAACCTTGAATTAACCACAGAGTAAAATGTTTATTATTTATACCTCATCTCATTTTAAACAGAGTAGAGATGTCCTATAAAAACAAAGAAAACAGAAAATAAGCGAAGAAAATTGGTGACAGAAGGGAGTGAAGTTAGTAAAAGTAAAATGAATCCTGGGATATATTTATTACTCCAAAGATATGCTTTAAAGTCTTGTAGCAACAGGCAGAAATTCTGTTTTTTAGGTTCCTGGAAACCAGTAAAATAAATGTGATCAGTTACATGATTCACAGTGTCTACACGAAGAAAAAAAATGGTAGGGGTATGAGAGACATTCATATTGTTCAAGATCAATAATAAGTACAATGGAAACGTCAAGGTGCTCCCGACGCTTCCCCTTCCTCTGGCAGCCCTGCTGTAGCAATTCCCCTCACTTTGTTCCCCAAAGTCCAACCCTCATACTATTTCGATATTTCCTTGCATCATTTTTTCACCTGGCTGTCAATTGGGCCAGAGTGTGATAAGACTACTTCCTTATGTAAGCCACAGCGGTCAGTGAAATAACTTATCAATCAGGGTTTTTTTGCATTCGAGTTAACCTGACTCTGCATCTGTCATCCCAGGCCACTTCCTTAAACACCAGCTTCTCTAGGAATCCATTCTATTACTCTTTCCCCTTATTGCCTGCCCTCCTTGCCTGGTGCATTCCCCTCCCTATCTTTTCTTCTACTGCCTTTCATCTCAACCCTTCTCACACATTTTCCCTTCACCAATATCCCCAATATCTTCTTCCCTTCTATTTTATCCTGTGATGTTGCTCTGTCTTTTATGTGCCTCATACCCTTGGGCCTGGATTGGATTGTGTCTCCCTAAATTATTTTTCTACTTCCAGGTCAATACATCCTCATTTCTGTGTAAAAGTGTTTATTCTTTGAGGTCAGTTTCACTGTTAAGTGATCATCCATTTCTTGCCCCAATTTCTGCATATGAGGTCTTATATTTAGGTCTTATATCTATTTTGAGTTTTGTTTTTGTGTATGGCATAACATAAATGTCCAGTTTCATTCTTTTGCATGTGGAAATTGAGTTTTCTCAGCACCATTTATTGAAGACACCATCCTTCCCCTGCTGTATCCTCTTGGTGCCCTTGGCACCAAAAACTGGTTGACCCTATATGTTTGCATTTATTTCTGAAACACTCTATTCTGCTCCACTGGTCTATAAGTCTGTTTTTATGCCAGTATCATATTGTTTTGATTACTATAGCTTTATAACATAATTTTAAATCAGGAAGTGTGATATCTCCAACTTATTTTTTCTTTCTTAGAATTGTTTTGATTATTTGGGTTCTTTTATAGTTCTATACAAGTTTTAGTATTATTTTCCTATTTCTAAGAATGCCATTAAGATTTTGACAGAGACTGTGTTAAATCTGTATATTGCTTTGAGTAATATGGACATTCTAACAATATTAATTTTTGCGATTCATGAGTATGGGGTATCTTTCATTTATTTGTGTCTTCTTCAGTTTCCCTCATCAATGTTTTGTAATTCTCAGTGTACAGGTTTTTCACCTCCTTGCTTAAATTTATTCTTAGGTATTTTGTTTTATTTTTTGGATGCTATTGAAAATGAGATTGTTTCTTGATTTGTTTTTTCAGTTAGTTGTTTTTTGTGTGTACAAATGCTACTGATTTTGGTATGTCAATTTTATATTCTGAAAGTTTATTAAATTCATTTATTAGTTTTAACAGTTTTGGGGTGGAATCTTTGGGGTTTTTCTACATATAGGATCATGTTATCTGCAAAGAGAGATAATTTTATTTCTTTATTTGGATGCCTTTTTTTTTCTTGTCTGATTGCTTTGCTATTATTTCCAGTACAATGTTGAATATAAGTGGTGAGAGTGGGCATCCTTGTCTTGTACTGGATCTTAGTAGATAAGGTTTCAGTTTTTCTCCATTGATTATAATGTTAGCTGTGGGTTTTTCATAAATGGCCTTTATTAAGTTGAGGACCTTTTCTTTTGTACCCAAATCGTTGAGAGTTTTTTTATTTTTATCAAGAAAGGATGTTGGACTTTGTCCAATGCTTTTTCTCCATCAATTGAGATGATCCTGTGGTTTTTAACTTTTTATTTTGTTAATATGATGTATCACACTGATGGATGTGTGTATTTTAAGCCAGCCTTGCCATGCCAGGGATAAATCCCATTTTGTCATGATGTATAATCTTTTTGCTATGTTGTTGGATTTGGTTAGCTAGTATTTTCCCTAGGATTTTTCCATCAGCGTTCATCAGAGAAACTGATCAGTAGTTTTATTTTCTTGTGATATCCTTCTCTGGCTTAGGTATTAAGGTGATGCTAACCTCATAAAATGTGTTTAAAAGCATTTTCTCAAGGTCTATTTTTCTCAGTAGAGTTTAAGAAGTATTGATATTGATTCTTATTTGAATGTTTACTAGAATTCAATTGTGAAGGCATCTGGTCTTAGGCTTTTCTTTGTTGGAGGTTTTTGATTCTTTAATTTATTTATTTGTTATTGGTCTGCTCAGGCTTTCCATTTCTTCTTAATTCAATCTTGGTAGGTTGTATCTTTCTAGGAATTTATTCATTTCCTCTAGATTATTCAATTTATTGGCATATAATTATTCATAATAATTCCTTATTTTTTTATTTGAGGCATGTGTTTTACTCTCTTCACTTTCATTCCTGATTTTATTTATTTGAGTCTTCTTTCTTTTTTTCTTAGATTAGCAAGGGCTTGTCAATTTTGTTTTTTTTAAAAAAACAAACTTTTAGTTTTATTGATTTGTTTTGTGGTTTTTCTCTATTTGATTTATTTCTATTATGACTTTTATTATTTTGTTCCTTCTGCTAATTTTTGGTTTAATTTGTTCTTTTTCTAGTTTCTTGAGGTATAATATTAGACTATTTATTTGGAATCTTTCTTCTTTTTTAATGTAAGTGTTTATTGCCATAAAATTCTTAGAATTGTTTTTGGTACATTCCATAGATTTTGGTACGTTATGTTTATATTTTCATTTGTATCAAGATATGTTTTAGTTTCCATTTTGATTTCTTCTTTTATTCATTGGATTTTCAGGAGCATGTTGTTTCATTTCCACATATTTTTCAATTTTCCAGGATTCCTCCTGCTATTAATTTCTAGTTTCATATTATTGTGGTCTGAAATGATATGAGAGACAATTTTAATCTTCTTAAATTTGTTAAGACTTGTTTTGTGGCCTAACATATGGCTTATACTGGAAAATGTTCCATGTGCACTGGAGAAAATATGTGTTCTGCTGTTGTTGGATGGAAAGTCCTCTGTAGGTTTGTTAGGTCTATTTGGTCAAAACTGCAATTTAAATCCAATATTTCTTTATTAATTTCCTGTGTGTTTGAGCTATGACTTGTTGAAATTGGGATATTGAAATTATCTACAGCTGGGCATGGTGGCTTGTGCCTGTAATCATAGCACTTTGGGAGGCCAAGGTGGGAGGATCACTTGAACTTAGGAGATTGAGACCAGCCTCGGTTACATAGTGAGACCCTGACTCTACAAAAAAAAAAGTGCATGCCTGTAGTCCCAGCTACTTGGGAAGGTGAGAGGATCACTTAAGCCCAGGAAGTCGAGGTTGCAGTGAACTGTGATTGTGCCACTGCACTCCAGCCTGGGCAACAGAGTGAGAACCTGTCAAAAGAAGGAAAGAAAGAAAGTAAGCAAGTAAGCAAGAAAGAGAGAGAGAGAGAGAGAGAGAAATGAAAGAAAGGAAGGAAAGAAAGAAAGAAAAAAGAAAAGGAAGAAAGGGAGAAACAAAGGAAGAAAGAAGGGAAAAAAGGACAGAAGAAAGGAAGAGAGAAAAGAAAGGAAAAAAGGAAGAAAAGAAAGAGAAGGGAAGAAAGAAAGGAAGAAAAAAGGAAGGAAGAAAGGAAGGAAGGGAAAAGGAAAGAAGAAAGGAAGGAAGGAAGAAAAAGAAGTTTTCTTCTATTGTCATATTATTATCTATTTCACCCTTCATGTTTATTAATTTTGCTTTATGTATTTATGTGTTCTGATGTTACGTCCATATATGTTTACAATGAATATGTACTCTTAATGAGTTGACCCCTTTATCATTAAATAATGATCTTTGTTTCTTGCAACAGTTTTTGACTTGAAGTCTATTTTATCAGATAAAAGTGTAGCCACTCCTACTCTCTTTAGGTTTCCATTTGCATGGAATATCTTTTCATCCTTTCACTTTTGCCCTTAAAGCCTAACTGGGTCTCTTGTAGGTAGCATGTAGCTGGATCTTGGGTGTGTTTTTTTTTAATCCATTAAGCTATGCTATGTCTTTTGATTGAATAATTTAATTCATTTATATTTAAGGTTATTATTGATAGGTCAGGAGTTATCACTGTCACTTTGTTCTTGTTTTCTGGTTGTTTAGTAGTTCCTTTGTTTCTTCCTCTCTTGTTGTCTTCCTCTTTGACTTGACAATGTTCTAGACTGCTAAGCTTTGATTCCTTTCTTTTTATCATTTGTGTATCTGCTGTAGTTCTTTTGTCTTGTGGCTATCATGAGGCTTACATAAAACATTAGTTATAATCTATTCCAAGCTGTTAACAACTTCTGTTGCATATAAAAACTTTTACCCTCCAAATCCACAATTTGTCTTGATGTTACAATTTACATCTTTCTATATTGTGTATTTCTTAGCAACTTATTGCAGCTTTAGTTATTTTTGACCATTTTTACTTTTAACCTATATACTGGAAATAGGTATGATTTACACACCACCTTTATGGAATTGGTGTATTCTGGATTTGATGCATTTACCCCTACCAGTGAGTTTTATACTTTCATGGTTGTTCATGATAGTATTATTGTCCTTTAATTTCTGCTTGAAGAACTCCCTTGAGCATTTCTTAGAAGGCAAGTCTCGTAATAATAAATTCTCTCAGCTTTTGCTTGTCTGGGAAAGACTATTTCTATTCATTTCTGAAGGGCAGATTTTTTGTGCATAGTATTCTTGGCTACCAGTTTTTTTTTTCTTTCTTTCAGCACTTTATATCATCCCATTCTCTCCTGGCTTGCAAGGTTTTTGCTTGGAAATCTTCTGGTAGTTTAATGGGCATTCCTTTATATGTAACTTGATGCTTTACCCTTGCTGCTTTTAAAGTTCTCTTTTTGTCTTTGAATTTTGACAGTTCTGGTTTCAAGATTCCAGTTCCCTTAGGGACAAGGCATTACTTCAGCTTGACTTTAAATGGAGGATGCACCAATGACTGTTGGGGGTCATGATGTGGCTCTGTGGTAGCTTGTCCTTAGTAGGTAGGATGTCCTTAGTAGCACCTCTGCTTGGGTATGGCGTGATATGAGGTGGGCATGGTGCAGTAGCAGCTGAGCCTCGGGAATGGAGAGATACAATACCTATTTGCCCCCAGAGAATGATGCACTTTGGCAGTCACTCAAGTTACAAGATGTTGCAGAGCAGTAGAAGCTTGGGCCATGAGGTGCAATGCACAGTATCATCTCCTTCTTTAGGAGTATCTCACTTGTGTGGGCTCTGTGAGCTTCCTTAGCTGGGCTCAGAGCCTTTGAGGGCTGCAGGAATCTCCAATAGCAAAGACCCAGTTATCCATGGTGGTAATGGGGTCTTCTGTGGTCCTTTTGCTTACCTTTACCCTGCAGGGAGAAGACACTCCTGGTTCTAAAGTGGACAAAACTTGGGGAGTGAAGTGGCAGAGGTGAAGTGCCTCCTTCTTTTTTCTGTGTGCCCATCCTGGGTTTCTATGTTCTACAGGATTTCTATTGCTTTTCTGCTGTTCTCTGGTGCTCTCCTTTAGTTGCTTTAGTAGTTATTTGTTGTTTTGGTTTTTTTTTTTTTTTTTTTTTTTTTGAGGGGCAAAGGAGTGCTAGGAGCTTCTAGTTTGCCATCTTGCTGATGTCACTCCCAATTTTTAAATTACACATTATATATAAGATAAAATTTAACTCTCTCTCTCTCTCTATATATATATGAAGTTGTTCGCTATAAAAGCTTAGACTCAACTTTCCATGTTATTACTGTACAACCTCTAGTGGTATCACAATTTATTTTATCATTAAATCCTGTTCAATTTCTCACTATCTAAATGCTTTTTGGCTCATTCCAGATGATACTTCTATTTTCACAGCACTTTAGTATTGAAAGGGCCTACATATCATGAGAGGACATGACCCAGGTATACTGAAATCTTATTTCTAGTGTCTACAACAGGTTACCCGTACCTCATTTAACTTTGGACTTACGGACTTTCAATCTGAGACTCTGGGGCACTTGATTTGCATTAGCTATATACAGTTTCCAGCTTTCTGGAAGTCCAGAACTGCATAATCTTGAGGGAAGGAAATTTAGCAATGTGCTATTTGTGTGTGTGTGTGTGTGTGTGTGTGTGTGTGTGTGAATTATACCTACAGTGATTGGCTTGCTCCAGCTTTCTCTTTTTCTTTTTTACTTGGGATTGTGTTTCCTGTTTATATGAACTGGGGTGATCCAGAGGCCTCCACAGGCAATAAATCCTGCAAGGGCAGAAAAGATAGGAAAGCGTTCTTTCCCCTAACACAATTCATAAGGTGGCTCTGGAGCCTGCAGTACAGTTTTTATGGTTTTAAAAATTTCTAATGTGGATGTGCCCAAGGAAGAACTAAGAGCAGCAGAGCATTTCTCTATTCCAATTCTCATTCAGAAAAAGCTCTAGGAAGCAGATAAGAGATTATGGACAGGAATAGAATCATACGTGATCTGATGACTGAAGTTTAATTATGAATAGAATCAGGGAGAAAGTTATTTCTGAAATCTCTCTTTCCTCCCTGTAGTTGAATTTTCCAAGATAAATTAGAAGAAAATGTGAATGCTTTATCTACAAATGAGCTGCATCTAGAGAAATGATTTTCTCTCCTTTATGGATTATTTAATTTACTAGAGTGCACCAAATAACAGACATTTGGGTTGTTTTCCTGTCAATACTCTTGTTTTATAGATGAAGAAACTGAGGCCCGAAAAGAGAGTAGATTCTCTTTTCTCAATATACAGTCTTCCCTCTTTTCCCATTCATCTCTAAATCTTTTTAACATACATTCACATTTCTTGCCTACCCCACCCCCTCCACACTTTCATGTTATTGATCTTGGTTTTGCTCAGGCCTCATTGGCAACAGCAGGTTGAATATAACGGTGAGATTCCTGAAGTGTCAACAAATAGTGATTGAGCAGTTAAAACTCAAATCACATTCACTGCAATTATAAGAGATTGAACAGAGCAGGCATGTGCTCCTCAAGCTCTCCTGAGTCTAGAAGGAGAAATTTTTAAGGAAGCACGTCTCAAATCCCTGAGACAACCCATGATGCTCAATGAAAGCAATCAAAGATCCAATATCTGGAAGAAAAAAAAATCTGGCTGGGTGCAGTGGCTCATGCCTGTAATCCAAGGACTTTTGGAGGCTGAGGTGGGCAGATCATAAGGTCAGGAGACTGAGATCATCCTGGCCAACATGGTGAAAACCCATCTCTACTAAAATATAAAAAATTAGCTGGGCATGGTGGCAGGCACCTGTAGTCCCAGCTACTTGGAAGGCTGAGGCAGGAGGATGACGTGAACCTGGGAGACAGAGCTTGCAGTGAGCCAAGATTGTGCCACTGCACTCCAGCCTGGGTGACAGAGAGAGACTCCATCTCAAAAAAAAAAAAAAAAAAAAATTCCAAGAACTTCCAACAATGGTTTGACTGTTTTTACTAAGTAAAAATGTTAAAGGAGATGTGAAGTTGTAGAGAAGAAAACGCAGGTGTGTACAGAGAAGAGTTAAAATGGAGACAACTCCCTCAAGTGACCAAACGGCCCAGGGCTGGGAAATAAATCTCTTGACAGTTTTTCAAAGTCTAAGAAATCTGTGTTTATAAGTTAGCTAAAACACCTGCTCAAGTTTCACTTTTGGGTGACTTATGTTCTGTAAAATTTAGCTTGAGTTTTAAAAGGTGATGAGTGATTAGTGAAGCTGATCCTGATCCCTATTGAGTTTTTCAAATTAAATGGATTGCATTTTGCACAGATAACATGTGTTGTGGTTAAAGTATCAGGCACCAGCTTCTCTGAAGAGGGATAAACAATGGAATGAACTCTCAACATTTCCATTAACTTTTTTATTTTGAACTGGTTATAGACTCACAAAAAGTTGCAAAAATAGTGTGGAGAGGTCTTGTGTACTCTTCAAACAGCTACCTTCCTCTCACTTCCCATGGTAATATTTTATATAACTAGAGTTCATTACTAAAACCAGGAAATTGACAGTGATATAATACAATTAACTAGTCTACAGATCTTTCTCAAACTTCATCAGTTTTGACAAGTACTCATTTTTTATGTGTGTAGTCATAAGAAAATTTATCCCATTTATAGATTAATGTACCACTACAGCTAAGATACAGAACTGTTGCCTCACCTCAAAGGAGGAATGGAACCATTCACACTGCTGATCTGTAGTCACCTTACCTTTATATGTGAATGAATGCACCATGTAGTCCACTGTCCTTATTTGTTGTTCATGAGACAGGAAACAGTTTTTATTTGAGGGAAAATGATATGAATTATTTTGCTTTTAAAGAACATTATAAAAAATTGAGATGAAACTTTCTCTAAGATTATAATGACACAGATGATATATATCATGCTGGATTACACAATAGGATATAGTTCAAATTCCTAATATCTTTCTTTCACAACATCAAAGAAATTCTTTGAAAAGTATAAAGCCCCACTATTTACAGCTGTGGGTGACAGGATTGTAATGAAGTGATAAGATACTATGTCAAATATAGTGATGGCCTCTCTGTCTGGTCCTATTGAGTGAGAATTTTGACCAATTCACGCAATAATTTTCCTGTTTATAGAGTTTCAGTTGATGTTCTGACATTCCATTTTTCTTCATATATATATATATATATATATATATATATATATATATATATACACACACACACATTTCTTTATACATTTCTTTATATATATGTGTGTATATATATATATATATCTCTTGGATAAACTAAAGAGTGTCTTAAAGGTTCATTTTCTTGTGGGGCAGAAAGAAAATACATTTTTGGAAATTCTTTAAAGGTTAAAAAAGGTTAAAAATCAGATGGTGTTAAAGTAGGCATTTCATATGCATACGCTTGGTAAGCAGACGAGTCATGTACAAGTGTGAAAATGCAGAACACAAATAATGGGAACCTATGACATATTAACGGAATTTGAACTCAAGTAATGCTCAGTTGGCCAAACAAAGCTCATAAGACAGCCTAGTTCAACTTGCAAACCACGAATTTACAGTTACTGTCTTTAAGAAAGAGATGAATAAGCTTCAAAACTTTGAAAAAATTAGAATTTATCTCAGGAGAATAATGACATTCCATAAGGAGAACTTCCTACAAATAAGTTAAATCTTCCTCTTGCCTTCCATTGCTGAGCTGGGTTCATGTGATATAATCATAGAATGAAGAGGGATAAACCAAGCCAAAAGAGGCCAGAAAGGGGACAGGCTCAGGACAAAGGGAAAGAGAAAAGATATATTTAAAACACCAGTCAGACCCTTTCTGGACCTCATACTTCCTCAGTTTCAGCACCAGAGTTAGTGTAGATGTTTATTTTGTGGTTTTCATTCTTCTCTCTGCAAAAACATTCTTCCTGATAAAGTTGGCCATGATATTCCAGCAGGACTGCCCACCACTTTGAGAGGGCTGCTCATCATGGGCAAATCTTCAGTTGTGAGTGATGACTCTCTTTCTCAGCCTGGGTCTTGGTGGGAATGGGGAGTTCCAAGGCAGCTAGTCAGGCAAATAGCAGCCATGGTAAAGGTCTATGTCCAAGCCAGGACCAGAAAAGCAAACTCAATTATTTCTATGCGAGCTCATTGTCTGGTTCCTCATCTGTTTTAATGCATGGGACAGATCTTTTTAGATAAAAAGATAAAAAACCCTGGGCCCAATTTGAGCTTTTTAGTTTATTTTTTGAGTAGTTCTGTTTATTTGTAAAGGTTGGTACATCATGATTTTTATTTTTGTCTTTGAAGTTTTCCAAGGAACAAAGAAAAAAATTTACTTACTCTTTTAAAAGATATAATAAAACTGATTTTATATTACAATTATTATATGGCTCCATCTGATGTCAGTCAGTATTTTCTCAATCTAATACAGGTTATTGAATTTCAGTGATCTTACTTTCCGGTATATTATCAATTATTCCTAACTACAATGAAAAAGAATGGTGAAATAGCCCAGAGGAATAATGAAATAGTCAAATAAATCATTACTATTATAACGTCCTTCAGTTTTTTTCATTGTTTTGCTTAAAGTTTTATATCATCTTTTAAGAAGGTATAAAAGAAGTCTGGAACCATCATCTTTATAGTTTATTTCTTAGCTTTTATTAAATACAGTTGAGAATCCAGGAATTTTTGAATGTTTCTCCATAAGAAACATAAAAGAAGGAGTTGACAGAGAAAGAGTTTACAAATTGGCTAGATGAAGATAAATGCAAGGAGACAAGAGTGGTCTTTGACATTCTAATAATGGTGTAAAATTGATTGTATAATAAAAATTTTAGTGAGGCTTCAGATAACAGTATCTTAGGTAAATTTTCCCAAATGCAGTAATAGATGAATGAATTACACATTTCTAAGGGCAAAACGAAAACGTGGTATTTTCATTGTCATGCAACAGAAAGGATTTTATTATGCAAGTATTTTGTGACCAAAATCTAGACCATTCTATTGTGCCAAAAGGCATATTACACATTCTTTCATTGTTCATAAAGCTTGTGCACTGGAATTTACTTGATATCATTAATAAATGGATAGACAGTTGTATATACAAAGTTGAGTAGTAAGAAATAGATGCTGTAGTAATGAAAAAATTAATTGTATCCATCATTCTAATTGGTATTTATAAATCTAAAAATTAAAATATATTAAAATTACAGAGAAAATAAGATGACCCTTTCCTTTTCAATAAAATTATGTACCATTGAAGTTTATAAAGTATCACATTTTGATGATACAACGGCATGAAGCAGAATTAGAAGTAATGACAAGACAGAGCCTAGCAGAGATATATTTGAAATCTGAGAACAGAATTTATAAGTTAGATATGTCTCTCTAGTTGAATTCAAAGGATATTGACTTTTCTCCTCCCTCCCTCCCTTCCTTCTTTCCTTCCTTCCTTCCTTCCTTCCTTCCTTACTTCCTTCCTTCCCTCCTTCCTTCCTTCTTTTTCTGTGTCTACCTATCTATCTGTCTCTCTTTAAAATCAGGAACATATGGAATAAAAATTTGGGTGTGCTATATTTAATTCTTATTAAAATGTCTAATAAGGTTTTTTCCACTCTGCCTTTATGCTTACTTTTGTAATTATTCATGAGATGACAAACATATACAAAATAAAAAGGGGCTATTGTGCCCAGATGGTAGTTATATCTATTTTCCTGGTATATTGTGGGTTAAATGGGGTAGAAAAAACAAGACTTACTCAGTGTACATTAAGAGCTCCTGGACTTTATTGTCTACTTTTCTTATTTAAACATGCATTTGATATAAATTTTGTGAAACAACAATATTATGAGGAGTATTAGCCTGAAGCTGATACAATGTGAGTCTAGCCCTCATTTTGCCACACTGCTATGTGATCTTAAGTAAATGATTTTGTTTTTCTGGACCTTAATTTTCTAATTTTGTAAAATGAGTGGGTAAGAAAGTTTTTCTGTCTCATGCACAATGAAAGATGTAGTCATGTTGAAATGAATAAAATCTGCTGTTTTCTTTTGTAGGCCATCGACACATATGTGGGCCAATTCTATTTCTTAAATTGTTTTGTTGGAGGCTGAAGCAGATATTATCCCATCATCTTTCTCATAAGCCAATCTTTCATTTAACTGTTCAGTCCTTCAGCCACCATACTTAAGTACCTGTTCCATGTCAGCTGCTGAGGAAAAAAATCAGACCTTAGAAGTCCTTAAAAGTCAGATGTGTCAGAAGTAAACTCAGCAAAGTATGTAAGTGTCGTGATGTGAATCTAAGATACAGAAGAAGTTCAAAGAAGGAAGTCATGCAGTCTCTGGGTGCATTGATGGTAAGAGCAGATATGAGAAGAAAAGGGGTATGGGAAAAGGTGATCCTTGAGCTCATATTCATACCAGCTAGTATAGTAATTCTTTCATTTTTACTATTTGTTCCATGGCAGAAGAATCTATTACTGAGAAAAGGGGCTCACTGCTCAATGTGCTAGAAGCCAATACTATGACACTGGGTTTTTGAGTAAACAAATTATTTTTATTGCAGGTTGACCAATAAGGAGACAGGAGTGTATCTCAAATCTGTCTCCCTGTGCTGGCTTTAAGGCTGTATTCTTATTAGAAACAGTTTGGGGAATGAATTCTGAGATTAGTAGGTGATTGACGCAAGGAAAGTCCTCAGGCATGCAGAGTTATCTCTTCATTTTTCTTCATGGGTCACATGTGCAATTTCAGTGGGAGTTAGTTTGAAACATGCTGTGGAAATTTGGTCCCTGACACCAGCAAGTTCATTCTGTGCAGACTCCAGTCAGCCATATTGGTTTTAACGGATTCAGCCAGCATTTTAATCTCACTAGGAGAGAGTTTCAGCATTTCAACAAGTTATATCTTTTCTTATCTGTCATCCTGTGAGGTCAAGAGTTTCTATCAGTCACTGGTTTCTTTAACTCTTCGGGGTATGGCTTCAAATCCACAATGGCCAGGTGGCAGTCTCAACTTCCATCTTAATGGAATCATTGTCAATTCACCTGAAATAATCATCTCTCCCTTGGGAACTAGAACCCCTAAGCCAACAGAACTCAACACTGTAGGAATGAAAAGTAAATATCTGCGTGCTATTATTAGATTTAGTAGTAAAGGGAGACACTCCTACTTCCATTCCTTGATTCTCAAACTGTATTTCCTAGTTTTAGGGGAACTAAGTCTCAGGAAGCCATTACATTGTTCTATGCCAAAGTGAACATCATTGCACTTCTTTTGCTGTGAAATATTACTTGGTTAAAAGCATTTTTTTGTGTGTGAAATATCATAAAAGTGAACACAACATCCCAACCCCACAGTTGGTTGGGATGACAGAAGCATTGTAGGTTGGCAGGGAATATCCATATTCAGAATACATACACCCTTTTTGGAAGGGGTACGATGAAATCAATCCTTCATGATGTGGCTGGCTGGTCTTCCTAGGGAATAGTGTTACATCAGGGCTTTGCTTTTAGCCTCTGCTATTGGAGGATTATGTATTTAGAAGTAGCAGTCACCAGATCAGACTTGGTGAGGAAGAGTCCTTTTGGTGGTTTTAAAATTTGTTCAAAATTCTTTCACTTACTTCCCTTCAAAAGGTAGGGCCAAATTCCCCGCCTTCAATGTGTGATGAACAAAATGATTTGAATCTAATGAATAGAGTGTGGCAGGAATGATGCATTTGACTTCAAAGCCTAGGTCACAAAAGGATGGATTCTGCTGGTTCTCTGGGGATGTAGGAGTGTGCAGAGAAGAAGCCATGTTTTGAGGACACTCAAGCAACCTTTGGAGAGGCCCACATGGGAAGGAACTGAAACCTCCTACCAAAAACCAGCGCTAATTTGCCAGTCATGTGAGTAAGCCACAGTGAAAGAGAGCCTCCAGTGTCGGCCAAATCTTTAGATGCTGCAGTCACATCTGACAATTTAAATGTGACTTCGTGAGAGATCCTGTACCAGAACCACCCAGTTAAACCATTCCCAAATTCCAATAGGAAGAGGTACCCTTGGAATAGATTCTGTATTTTATAATCCAAATTCCCTCTTTATATATCATCCCAGATATTAACAAAAACAAAAAATAGCCCCTTATTCTTTCTTGCTGCCTTATTTTACACTTGTAGTAAGGTTGAATGAACTGTGTTTTTTGCTGTCTTTCTCACATCACATACTGTGTTTTTTGCCCACTTTCTCATACACAAACATATCAGATAAATATTTACACTAAATAAATACATTTTTTGTACATAATGTTTTGCAGATAATATAGGGACCACATTAGAGATTCCCTGCCCTACTTTTCTCATCTCTACTAGGAATCTTAATGAGAGATAAGACATAGAAGTAAAACACATTAATACAATTTTAAATATCAGAGTATGGATTACTATATCAAAAGTTGGATTATGAAATATATATTTATAATTCTAACAATTCAGATTAAAAAATTAACTTCTTTCATTGCATATGTTAATTGGAGAAATATATATAAGTACAAAAAAATTAGGAATCCTAAATAAATTAGAAAACATTCATAATTCCATTACCCACAGTAAATAGTATTAATATGTTATGTCTTATGCTTCTCTCCATATATTTTATTTTTAAACATGGATCATGTAGCAATTACTCTTTTATAATCTCTATTTTACATAGTGTTCATGAACACAATTCTGTCAGTAAATACTCTTATGCTTCATATTTAATAGATATATATTATATACACAAAATTATTTATTGAGTCAATCTATTAGATAGCTATTTAGAGTGTTTCCAATATTTTTACTATTCACAGTGACATAAATAAATATTACATATATTGATAATTATTTTCTTAGGGCAATAGAGTGAAAGAACTTAGAGTAGGTTTACTAGCAATTGCCCTCAAGAAAGGTTTCAATAAAAACCTTTGTCATGAATTGATATTATGAATGCTGCTACAAATTCTTAAGAGGTAAAAGTTCAAGTCCCTTTATCCTGACGATTAACTAGATTAACTTTTTGTTGGTAGGGTTTGGATTTACCTGAGACCATGCAGGTTCATTATGTTTCTTATAGTTAAAAACCTAAGAAAGCTGTTACATGTGTGTAAACACATCAGACCAATCTGGTTCAACTTTTATGTAACAAAATTGTGAGTTGTTTTTCAGTTGCCATGGCCTCCCAGGTTGAAGGTCATATAACATTAGCACTGGTGGAACCTAAGTGCTCACACTAAGGAATGGCGATTTAATTAAGAAGCAGACACTATATGTAGGATCCAAGGTCTAATCAGATTGAGCTCTGGCATCACTTCATCGAAGGATCCAGTCCGAGCAGGTCTCCTGGCATCACAACATCACAAGATCCAATCAGAGCACACTTCATTACCCTCTGACTATAAAACCTGTCCCAACCCTAAGCTTGGGGAAATAGATTTCAGCTTTTCCTCCTGTCTTCTTGCCTGTTGACTTGCAGTAAAGCTTTTCTTTTCTCAAAGCTGATGCCATAGTAGTGCCTTCTATGCACATGGGTTAGTGAGCTCATTGATTGCTCAGTAACATATAAATAGACTAGGAAAAATCCTAGGAGTTGCTGTTTGCAAGATGAAGTTTTGGCAGATGAGACTCTATTTACCATTGTGGATGCCTCTCTACACTGTGCTGTACTGCACTGCAGAGAGTAGCTCACCAGGATTCTGCCCAATATTCTCAGGGAAGGTGTTGTATAAAGCAAAGTTGGTCCCATTAACAATGTCTTAGTGGAAAAGCTGTTGGTTAAAAAGAATGGCAAATCTTGAATGTTTACTTAGAAGCTCCTGAAACCAAGAGGTCATTGATTGCTAATCTTGGACCAGTGGCTCCTAAACTTTATCATGGATAATTATGACTGAGGTGCTGATTAAAATGTCTCAAACAAACTCTATTTATTAAGGCCTGAGATAATACCTACTCTTCTTATCAAACCCTCTAAGTGTTTTTGATGCAGGTGATCTTGCCTATAGCCCACATATTTCAAAATGTGCTCCAAGATTGTGTAGTCTACCACTCTCATTTTGATAGTGATGAAAACCAAACCCAGAGCAATGATTAAATGCCATTCCACGAAACTCACACAAGTGTCTGACTAGAACTTGACTCTCCTCACTTCCAAATTAATAGTTAGTATTAAAATGATACCAAAGAACCTCACTTTTTTAAAAGAGAAAAAAAATGGATGATTATGGCTTAAGAGATTTTTCTCTTAACAACAATAATAAAAGTTTTTTAGCTAGAAATCATGAAACTTGAACTAGCATGTCCCAAACATCAAACAGAAAAAGGCTGCTCCTGTGGAAAGAATGCAAAGGCAACATGGCACTAAGAGGCTGATGATTCCTGCAAGGACAAAGTCTCAGAATACAAGTGACAAACTGTGTTCGCACAGTTTCCTAGGAACTTAAAGCACTCGGTAGACAATTTTTTTTATCACAAATAATTCTTACATTGGACTTGTTATTACTGATTCCATCTTACTGCCATGGAGACAAAAACTGAAAGAGAAGTGTCCGGTTTGTGATAATGAAGGCTGTAGTGCATACAGCTTAGGGGCTGAGGAGCTGCCTCAACTTCTGTTAAGATGGCTTGCCCAGTGGCGGTCGCCTGTAGTCCCTCCCAGCTACTCTGGAGGCTGAGGCAGGAGAATGGTGTGAACCTGGGAGGCGGAGCTTGTAGTGAGCCCAGATAGCGCCACTGCACTCCAGCCGGGGCGACAGAACGAGACTCCGTCACAAAAAAAAAAAAAAAAAAAAAGATGGCTTGCCCATAATCAAATGAGCCCTCAGGTCTCCACTTGGCATAGGATAATCACTTTTAAATATGATCTGAGCATACGCCTTGCCCTGTAGATTTAAGATTCCTTTATAGGCCTACTGTTTTAAGGTCCTATAGCCTAATGTCTATGTACAGATAGATACATTTAAAGATAGTTGTAACCACCTGTATCCCAAGCAGATTAGATATAACTTAGAATAACCACTGTCAGTGCTGGAAGTAATGAAAGTAGAATAGAGAAGGAGAAGCAGGTTAATTTACATATTGATTTGTCCCCATGCCACCTGTGTGGGAAGTACAGGATGATGTACAAAGAAATTACCTGTAGGACCGTAAAAAAATGGTCTTGGAACTCCTGGTCCCAGTATATAGGTTATCAGGTTTAATTTGAGCACTAGAGTATGAGCCTTACCTTTCTATTTTACTTTTTAATATTTGGGGAAAAAGAAAATTGCCACATATCGAAAATCAATCAATATATTGTTCACTGTTTTCAGTACCTGAGAATAACTTAATTTTAAAAATAGGTTGCATGTTTGAAACGTATAAGTTGCCATTGTGACTTATAAAGTTCTGAGGTTTGTTTGCTTTTTATAACTTATAAGAAGTTGCCACTACTTTGCATTTATTTATTCTATTGCTATGTATTGCACACCTCAATGGAAACAATGGTCCATGGAAACAATGGTAATACTGCTCAAAGTGAATAACCTGTTTCTATTTATTGATTAAAAGTTTTATATAACATGTTTACTTATTCTATTTATATGCAATTAATAACAGTTTTAGGCAAATAGTCTCATTAGAAGGATTGGATTAATGACTATGAAGAATGGAAGCCCAAAATTAATTATTTAGTGAATTAAAAAGGTGAATAACATTTGTCTAAATCTTTTCTTGGCCTAATGAACAGATATTTTCTACTTTGCAATAAATGTCTTCCTTTAGACACATTTTTGTAATCCTGATCTTTAATATAGACTCAATTATCTGGCTAAGTGGAGCTTCTCTGCATTTTATTGCCATCTTATAAACCATAGAATTTTTATTTTGCCCAAGGAAAGGATAAAAATGAGAATGATTGATGATTCCTATTTATCTTGAACACCGAAAAAATTTAATGCCGTATTTGCTTCTGTCGTCAGTATTTTCATTTCAGTGTCATGGGGGAAAATTGTGCAGCAATGGTTCCATATCATATTATAAAATTGTTTTTTTCTTAAATGTACGTAGAATACTTGCTTTCCCAGACAACCTTCTGTTCTTCTTCCTTTCCACCAAGTTGTTCATAATTTAGATAATAAAGTCAATTTGGCAATGGAGAAACTCAGACATAGAAAGATATTTAATAACATTCTCAAGCTAGCACAAAAAATTTGTGACTTAGATGTGATCAGAAGAGGTGTTTTTTTTTTTTCCACCAAGTCACATATCCATTTGAACGTGAAATACAGAATATTCGTAATGTTGAAATGTTCTCTCAATTGTATAATAATGTTTGAGACATGTAATGTCTTTGCAAGTCATGCCATATGGAGATGATATTCCCAGTAGACCATGAATATGTGTATGCATCTGTAATTAGTGATAAAATCTTACTTGTTGTGATCACATTGGAAAGAATGAAGCACATTCTTTTCATGCTATCCTGAATGTCTCTGCAGATTTATTGCTTAGAACATATTTACTTGTTTGTTGCAACATCTGCTAAACCTGTCTGTGTCTTATTAAAATAGCAAGCAGACCTAAGTATCAAGTGGTATCATTGGACATCACTCTTGGGTTGGTACACAAGTTTAATCGGGTAAAGGTCATGTTTGAAACATGTGACCCTCACTGTTTTCATAAGTTAGATTCTGCTCATTTCAATAACAAAGCTATTCTGATAACCGGTGTTGAGAATTGGATAGAATTCTACATAACCTCCACCCCACAAACATGGATTAACAGTGATGTTGATAATGATTTGCACAGGACATAATTGTTTCCAAATGAATTCAATATGTACTATCTCATAGACAGAGTCGATATATATAAGGGAGGCAATGGATACCAGGCATCCATATGGAGCTTTACTCAACTTGAACAGATTCAAGCAGCTTTTTAATTAAACCTTGGTAATTTTCCCCTATTGGAGGCAGCTGGAAGTCTTGGAAGACTCCTCCAGAAGCTTATCACATTTTTCAGCTTATCCCAATCCTATCACTTTTTCAGTTTCTCTCTCTAAATAAATATCCCCGATTTTTCTAGTCCATTTCTTTCTCTCTGATTTCTGATCTCTTAAAGCATTTATTGTCAGCATCCCATTATTTAATACTTGAATACATACTGCCATTATTATATAATACTTATAGAGTTATGTTCCACTTTGTTGGTTCCTGAGCGATGTCACAGGCTAATGTACAGTGTAGTAAAGTCCTTTATTTGAAGGGAACATAGGCCAACCAAATCATCTCCAAATTCTGTTTTCTTGCACCCACTGCCCTCATAAACCACTCCAAAGTGTTCCAATGTTTCTCTCTCAATGACCCAACAAACACCTGTATAGTATCTTGTTATACGTATATACCACATTTTAATTATACATTCAATTGTTGATGGATATTTGAGTTGTTTCCACATCTTGGTTAGTATGAATAGTGCTGCAATGAATATAGAAGTGCTAATGTCTCCTTGAGGTCTTGTTTTTATTCCATTAGGTAAATACTTAGAAGTGGGATTGCCGGATCATATAGTAGTTCAATTCTTACGTTTTCGAAGAACTTCCATACTGTTTTTCATAGCAGCTGTGCCATTTTGGATTCCCATCAACACCATTCAAAAGTTCAAAAGTTCAAAATTTCCTTTTGTCCACATTTTTGCCAACACTTCTTCTCTTTTAAAAAAATTAGAGTCATTCCACCAGGTGTCAGGTGATATCTTGTGGTTTTGATTTCTTTTCCCCGATGATTAGTGACATTGATCATTTTTTCATCTACCTATTGGCCATTTGTATGTCTTCTTTAGACAAATATCTAGATGAGTCTTTAGCGCATTTAAAAATTGAGTTATTATGTTTTTTAAACCATTGAGTTGTAGGAGTTCCTTAGATATTTTGGAAATTAACCATTATGCCATTGAGTTGTAGGCATTACTTAGATATTTTGGGAATTAATCAACATAGGATATATAGTTTGCAAATATTTTTCTCTCTTTCTGTAGGTTACCTTTTCACTGTGTTGCAATAAACTATTACTCTTCAATAAAAATGAATGAACTTTGAAGGATGAGGTCTTCTTGGCTTGGTTGGGATAAAAAGAAAGGCTAATCTTACTTAAGGGCCTGCCTTCTGCCAGATGCAGTGCAGTTACTTACCCCACTATTTAAAAAAATAGTTATTTTCTATAGTAAATGTTATTTGTCTTACCAAAAAAAGAACTACTGAAACACTATAAAACCTGAATTAATCTCAAAAATATCATGCTGAGTGAAAGAATACAGATGCATATGAGAATATGTTTTATGATTCCACCAATATGAAATTTCAGAATAGGCAAAACGAACCTACAGTAACAGGAAACGCATCAATGATTACTTGAGGCTAGAACTTCAATGTGCTTGAGAGGTCATAGTGGGATGCTTGAAGTGTTTTATATTACATTTGGGCTGACGGTAGCTTAGGCATATACATTTGTCAAAACTCATTTTGTTATACACTTAAAATGGGTGCATTTAATTATATTTAAATTATGTACTCTAATGAATTTAAACCTTTGAAAAAAGGTGCTAAACATCAAGAAGAAAATATTCTTCTAGCTTTTGCCACCATGTGTCCCTTGCCTTATAGTAGAATAGTCCCTTGAACTATTAGGTTGGTGCAAAGGTACTTGCAGTTTTTGCTATCGAAGGTAATGGCAAAAACCGCAATTACCTTTGCACCAACCTAATACTGTTCTCCTACTTTGTCCTGATTCTCTGTTGCAAGAGTCCAAGCACTTAAGTGGTTAAGAAGGAGTTTCTTGAATGTTAGGAAAGGAAATAGGCAAGACACAATTGACCAAGCTGGAATTATCTCTTGCTGTAAGAGGTAAGCAGAATGGCAGGAAAACTCACATATCATTTTCATTGTGTCACAGCTGTAATGCTTTTATTGATTACTCGATGTACGAATTAGACCCAGCTTCTTTTTCAAGAACCTTACAGTACTATTAAGAAGGAAAAGTCATGTGGAAAGGGTCACCACAAAAGAAGTATGGAGTGTTATGTAAGTTTATGTGTATTTCTGACAGAGTTTTGACACAGCATTGTGCTCAAGGTCAGCCTTATTTCTTAAAGTAAATTTTCAAAAAAGAGCAAGGATAATTTCTTATATTTCTACTATTAATGAAAGGGCAAATCCCAAATTTTAAGAATAGAAAGTGCTCACTCAATAAATTTATAATAATTGCTTGATAAGCTTTTAAATGAGTGTTAGGTTTGGCAGAATTCTCTGAACAAAAAACCCAAATAATCATGACATTAAGAAGACACAGGTTTCCTTTTCCTCTTTCCTGTAAGAGGTCTGGAGATGGGAAGTCCAGGACTCCACACTCACTTTCTCATCCTTGGTGTCACTCATTCATCTTCAAAATACAGGATGGCTGCTAGGATGCTACTGTCTGTCATGTGCTTGTTTAGAAAGAAAAAAGTGGTTAGTGGTGGAGAGGGCCACAAATGAACACCCTCCCCAGGGAACTGGCTCCCTTTAAAGAACATTCCCAGAAGCCCCCCTCAATTATTTCCATCCACTTAAGTCTCAGTCCCAGAAACTTGCAGAAAGACTAGTGCTATGGTTTAAATGTGCCCCCCCCAAAAGTGTGTATTAAAAACTCAATCACCAATGCAACAGCATTGGAGGGAGGGCCTAATGGGAGGTGTTTAGGTCATGAGGGCTCCACCCTCTTGAATTGGTTAATGACAATTATGAAAGGGCTTGAGGCTGCAAGTTTGATCTCTTGCTCTCTCTTGTGCATGCTTTCCTGCTCTTCCTCCTTTATCCATGGGATGATGCCAAGAAGGCCCTCTCCAGATGCTAAGCAGATGCTAGCACCATTCCCTTTGACTTCCCAGGCTCAAGAACCATGAGCCAAATAAATTTATTTTCTTTATTAATTACCTAGTCTGTGGTATTCTGTTATAGCAACACAAAACAGACTAAGACAACTAGGAAATATAATCTCTTAGCTGGGCATGTTGCCTCCTTGGATAAAATGAGATTCTGTCAGTAAGAAAGAGGAAAGGATATGCAAACTAAGTGGCCAACTAGCAATTCTCACCACAATCTGTTTTTTCAGTAATCTCAGATGGTGAGGGCTAATGTGGCTGTTGTCAACCACAACAGGTAATTTATGTGTATCCTTTCCTCTACTCTGTGTGCTGTGTGGGGGAAATTGTTAATTCATCCATTAGGCCCCCAAAACTGGCCATATTAAAGAAGAACTCTGTTCAAATAAAGCTGCCAAATAAATACTTATGTTTCCCAACTGTTTGTCTTTTTATAAAGTTCTTATAAATTTGATAATCCCCTGCTCAGGTTATGGGTTATACCAATGGATTCCCTTTTTTTCTTTTCTTTTTTTTTTTTTTTTTGAGACAGTTTCACTTCATTGCCCAGACTGGACTGCAGTGGCGCAACCTGGGCTCACTGCAACCTCCGCCTCCCAGGTTCAAGAGATTCTCCTGCCTCAGCCTCCCGAGTAGCTGGGATTACAGGTGCCCACCACCACGCCTGGCTAATTTTTGTATTTTTAGTAGAGATGGGGTTTCACCATGTTGGCCAGGCTGGTCTTGAACTCCTGACCTCAGGTGACCTGCCTGCCTCAGTCTCCCTAAGTGCTGGGATTACAAGCATGAGCCACAGCACCCAGGAGATTCCCTTCTTACAGGATAAAATAACCCTATTAATTGTGGCAAATGCTGAAGTTTTCTTAGGTTCCATGCCATGCATACTTCTCTTCTGTAGTGTTGAGATTTTTCTTGGCACATAGGAGAAACAGCTTTCATGAAGTGCCAAAAAAAAAAAAAAAAAAAAACGAGACTGAGAAGTATCTCTACTAAAGCAATGTCGTGGGATATTATGGATAACGCAAAGGTAAACTGATTAGAAATCAGCATCCATAATTTTATATGAAATGGTCAGTGTCAAAGTAGAAAGTTGGTCATGCTAGGAGTTACCTGAGAAAAGTGTGTATGTATGGTCAGACTGGTCCTCTTCCCAAAATTCAAAATGGGCTAATTCTCCTGCAAAACAAAATAGAGAAAATCAGTTTACTGTAATTTACAAGCACTACCTGGTGCCAAATGGCTAGAGATAATAATTAATATTAGCTGCCAAGGTCTCAGCAATACTAAGAAAATTGAATTATTACTTTATTGGTCTCTCAAATAGGATGATAGGATATTTTTCTAAATCTTTTTGATCCATGGCAGGAAGAATGTTGTTCCATTTGAAAGCACTGCTATTATCAACAATAATGGAAAGGACAGTAAATGGCACCCAGACCTAGGGCATCTCATCATGACACAATTTTTCACTACATCAGCTCTGTAGCAGGTGCTATGCTGAATGAAGTTTAAGTATGGTTTCTGCCCTGTGGCCCAGATCCATTTTGCAGTCATTACTCTGTTTTTCAGGACTAAATGGCTGATTGTGTAGTTAGGTTCTTGCCAGTGCATTTATCTACAGCAGCAGCATCCATTTTCGTGATGAGTAGTATGTACAAAATTGAACAGGAAGAGGAAAAATAAATGAATCACAAAGCCTGTTAGAGGCTCTTGAACATTTGGCCCAAGTGCTAGTAAATGCTAAAGGGGAACATATTTACTGTAGTAGAGATAGATTAAATGGATTAAATTGGTAGATAATTGGGAAAGGTATGTGGGAAAATTGAATGAGTGTAATAGGTAAATAGCATAGTACAAATGGAACAAGTTTCTGATATCTAAATTGGGCACAGCCAAGGCCAGTGCTTACATCACCCAGATGAAGAGACTGCAATTTGCTAAGGCTAGAGTGTTTTAGCCTGCCACAGACATTTGGTTTGACACATTTTAAACTCAGCAGTGACTTTCAGAAGAAATGCTTTAGTTAGGCAGAGAAAAGGGATACAGTGCAAGATAATGGGTCTATGAGAAGGCCCAGAGACCATAGACTTATCTGTTCATCTCAGGGGAGAGATACAGAAGAAGGTGGAGTTTGTGGACATACCATTAGCATTCTGGAATGCTATGATTAGCATCTTGCATAAGCAGGCAGAATCTTTTTAAGCTTTTTTTCATAGCTGTTTTTGCATTCATTCCTTCATTAATTCATTCATTGAACATTTATTTCCTAAGTGCTTCCCACATATAAAATGCTGAAAAGTAAAAAACATTTTTTATTAAAGTTATGGTCAGTGTTTGAAGGGTGAAGACATTTATACTTGGGAAGATAAAATATAAAGAACATTCATTTTGCAGGAAATCGGGTGACAAATGGCAGCTAGGTCATTGGTAATGCTCATTACTTGAGACTTTTTTCCTAGGAAGTGTTTTAAAATATCCTTTGAGGAATGAAACAAAGCATAGGACCTTAAGATTAAGAATTACGACCATCAGCTTTCCTTTTTTGTGGTTCATAAACACCTGTCGAACATTTTTTTCCAATTATGTGGCTGACAAAGTAATGATGACTTCATTGTATATTCCTTATGTTTTAGCACTAGTGGACTTTTCTCACTTTGCAAAAGGTTATCTCCAGTGGAACTGGCTTTTAGTTGAGTGAATATTCTGATTATCTGAGCATTTTGATATATACATTTGAATTTAATATAATACAGTTAGCCATAAAACTATCCCAGAAATGATATAATCTGATTTGAATTATTAGATACTTCAGGAATTTCCAAAATAATACACGAAACACAAAACCACTAGACCAACCGAGTAATTATGATGCAGGACTACACATGTGGAAGCTGTGAGAAGTGGAACTAAGCCTATACTAAACCTAGAAGATATCCCTAGAAATTATTTTCAAATGAATCTCTGATATTAGCTTATGTTTTGACTCTTTCTCATAGAAACGGAGTGCAGAAAATATAGAAAAGAAAAGAATATAAGAAGCAAAACCAGGAAAATGAGGAAGAGTGATACTGATGCATTAGATACATCAAGAAAAACTGTGCTGGGATGGTGTATATATAAGCTTTGTCAAAACTTAAAAGCAAAGGAAGGTCTTGTTTCTTTCTTATCTTTTAACACTACTTTACAACCATGTCAGCTCTCAGCTCTCCCCTAGACTCTTGCCCTAAGCAATATTATCATTGCCCACAAAGTGGCATCTTCTTTTTTTCCAGCCTTTTTCATAACAACAGAATAACAGTCCTCTCTTCCTCTATCCTTTCTGTAGTCAGTATGGGGGTTGATACAAGGGCTGATCAAAAAGAGAATGAAGCCATATCAGAAAAGCTATTCTGCTTGCCTAGTAGCTTAAGCTATGGTGGCTGCTCGGAGAGCTCACTTCTTTGTCCAAAGTATGGATGAAGTTGCTACCATCTTAAATTACAGATTTTGAAGTTTGATTTTTAGTAATAGGGGCATATTGTAAATTCTAGGAATGGCTGAAACATTTCCTAAATTTGCAATGCCAAATACAGTGTTTAAAAATTTTGTATTTTTAAAATTATCATACGGCAAAATTTACTTTTTGGTGTACAATATTACAGTTTTAACACATAGATTTGTATAATCACTACTGTAATCAGGATATAGAACAGTTTCAACAACCCTACAAAAGTGCCCCTATGTTATCCCTTTATCATTACACTCTCTCCCAATCCATGACCAATGGCAACCACTGATTTCCATCACTATAGTTTTGTCTTTTTGATAATTTTCTTTTGAGATGGAGTCTCACTCTGTCTCCCAGGCTGGAGTGCAGTGGTACCATCTCGGCTTACTGCAACCTCCACCTCCTGGGTTCAAGTGATTCTCCTACCTCAGCCTCCCGAGTAGCTGGGATTACAGGTGTGTGCCACCATACCCAGCTAATTTTTGTAGTTTCAGTAGAGACAGGTTTTCACTGTGTTACCCAGGCTGATTCCTAACTCCTGGGCTCAAGTTGTCCTCCTGCCTTGGCCTCCCAAAGTACTGGGATTACAGGCATTGGCCACTGTGAATGTAACATAAATAAAATTAGTGAGAATGTAGTACAAATAAAATCAAAGAGTATATACACTTTTGAGATTGGCTTCTTTCACTTAACACTATGTCTTCGAGATTCATTCATGTATCAGCAGTTGATCCATTTTAATTGTGAGTAGTATTCCATTATAAGGATGTACCACTCCATACTGTCCATTCTTTTGTTGAAGAACATTTGGGTTGCTTTCAGTTTTTGGCTATTACATATAAAGCTGCTACAATCATGTACAAATTTTCGTGTGAACATAGTTTCCATTTTTCCAGGAATATGATTGCTGTGTTAGATAGTAAGTGCATGCATGCCTACCTGCCAAACTCTTTTTTCCAGAGTGAGTATGCCAGTATGTATCAGCAATGGATGAGAGTTTTGGTTTCCTTGCACTTTGCTAGCACTTGGTGTTATCAGTATCTTTTATTTTAGCCATTCTAATAAATGTGTAGTGGTATCTCATTGTGATTGTAATTTGCATTTCCCTAATGGTCAATAATGTTGTATGTTTTTTCAAGTGCTTAACTGCCATCCTTACATCCTCTTTGGTCCTTTACCCACTTTTAAATTGGGGTGTTATTTATTTATTTTTAAATTGACAATCATATTTAATTATTGGGTGCAATGTGATGTAATTATACATGTATACATTATAGAATGTTTAAATCAGGCTAATTAACATACCTATCAACTCACATACTTACCCTTTATTTCTGGGGAAAACAATTAAAATCTAGCAATTTTGAAATATATAATACGTAATTATTAACTATAGTCACCATCCTGTGCCATAGAATACCAAAATTTAATCATCCTAACTGAAATTTTGTACCCTTTGACTGATATTTCCCTTTTCCTGTCCATCTCCCACCCTCAGCCTCTTGTAACCACCATCCTACTCTCTACTTCTATGAGTTTGAATTTTTAGGTCCCACATATAAGTGAGATAATGTGGTATTTGCTGAATTTTGAGTTCTTTATATTCTGAATACAAGTCCTTTGTTGTTTTTTGTGATTTGAAAATATTTTATCTCAGTCTGTAGTTTTATTCTCTTGACAGTGTTTTTTGGCCATAACAGTTTTTAATTTCAATGAAGTCCTATTTATCAATTTATATTTTTATGGACTGTGCTTTTTGTTTCATTTCTAAGAACTTTTTGCCTAACTGCAAGTCATGAATATTTATGCCTATTTTTTTAGAAGTTTTATAATTTTACATTTAGATATTTGTTCATTTTGAGTTAATCTGTGTATAAAGTATAAAATTTAGATATAGGTTCAATTTTTGCATATGGTACCATTTTTCTAACAACATATCTAAATTATCCTATCTCATTGAATTGCTTTTATACCTTTGTCAAAATCAAATGACCATATTTGTGTAGATCTATTCCTGAACTCTCTATTATTCTGTGCATTAACCCATATGTCTATCCCTTCATTAAGACCACATTCTGTTGATTACTATAGCTTTATAGTACGTCTTAATATTGGATAGTGTGATTTGTACAATTTTGTTTTCTTTTTCATTTTTTTTCTAGTTTATCTGCCTTTCTATATACATTTTAGAATCAGTCTGCCTATACCTATATAAAATTCTCCTGGAATTTTGGTAGGAATTGCATTAAATCTTTAAGTCACTTTGGGGACAATTGATTATGTTAGGCTTCCTAATCCATAAACATGGTATACCTTGAAATCAAAGGTCTTCTTTGATTTGTTTAATCAACATTTTGTGTTTAACATGCAAGCCCTGACCATATTTTTAAGTTTTTAATATTTTGTATCTAAGTTTTTAATATTTTGATCTGATTATAAATGGTAACATATTTAATTTCTGTTTTTCAATTGTTTACTGATTGTATATAGAAATAGAATTGATTTTTGTGAGTTGACCCCATAACACATAACCTTGCTAAATGCACTTATTAGTGGTACATGGAAAATTTTTAAAGATACTGTTACGAATTAGCATAAGAAGATGCCCTGAGAAAAAGAATAAGGGGCAATTTGTTCAGAGGAGTCCAAGCCCTCACTAGAGGAATCTCACTGAGTGTTCTTTATACACAAAAAATTGGAAATCTCAAAAGGGACAGGCTTTTCTAAGCAGTGAATGTCTTTTCCCCCAAGTTTTCCTTCTGTTTCTCTCCTACTCAATAAATTTGATTATATAATTGTCAGTCATTTTTACATGCAAATATTGGAATTGTGTAAGATTTTTTTTCTTTGCCCAAGAATATATCACATGGGTTTATACTTGATTCATTCCATCAATAAAAAGAGTATGGTTCAAGGATAATTTGGGGTTGTCTCACCCCTATGTTTAAGTTCTTCACAGCTTCTTTTTCCCAGGTTCTTATATGTTAATTTTCCTATTCTGTCTTTCATCTAGAAAAAGATTTAGTTTAATAATATCATACCTACTTCATTATTTAATAGTACATCACTTAGTTGGATGAGACAGGAGTTTATAGTTTGTAAAGGTATAACCCTGTAATGCCATTTAGTTTCTTGCCCCAATTTCTAGCAGCTTGGGATAATGTATCTATTACATTAAAATAGCTATACACCCTTCTCCCTCCCTCCCTTCTTCCATCCCTCCTTCCCTCCCTCCTTCCCTCCCTTCCTTCCACCCTCCTTCCCTCCCTCACTCTCTCTTTTCTTTTTTTTGCTGAAAAATCTCCAGAGAAAAATCTCTCATTCTTGAGTGATGCACTCCATTGTCTAAAGACTCAGTAAAAGAAGAAAACAGATGGTTAGTCTTCTCCAACATTAGCTTTACAAAAAGAATGCCACTGGTGTTTGCACCAGCAGCAAAGTAAACTGACCCTCAGTTATCCATTGTGAACTTTTACTGGGCTCAGCAAAGCACATTGCACATTAAGGTGGCCATGTACTAAAAAGTAAACTACACAGATATTTCTGAAACAAAAAAAAAACAAATAAACAAACCAGCACTGCTAGATGTAATTGGTAAATTCAAATAAAATAAACATGTGCAATCAAAGTGAAATTAACATTTTAATTTTATCAAATTTTGTAGAAACACTCAATGCTGGAAAATATATATATTTTTCTCAGAATATAAAGAATACTAACTTACCTTTACATAAGTGTATTTAACTTGCCACTAAATTATATGTATTGTACGCCCTTCACAATTGTGCCTTTTTTGTTATGGGTCTTACCTGAGTGAATATTCTCTATCACCATCATACATTTGAAATTAGAAAACCGAACCAGGCCCCAACCCCAACCTCACCCAATAATAATGTCTTATTATTGAACAGTTTTAATATTTAATGAATATTTGAAAATGTCAGTCATGATGAAACAAAATTGATTTGACTCTATTTCAAGTGTCAATATTCAATGAGAAGTGATAATTAGATATCAGACTTAAATATAATTATTAGTCACTAGCAACCTGTCCATATTCCTTTTTTCTTTTGCTAGTTAGATAATTTCAACATCTAACACTGCCAGCAGCATGAATATGTTTAACTAAATTCCATTAATACAAAAAATTTATTTAGCACCAACTGTGTACTTGGCACTATTTTGTGATCATCATTGCTCAAAGATGAACAAAGAATTATTTCTCTCTTCAAGGAGCATACATGAGTGTAAGAGTGATAAAACAAATAATCAAATGAATATTGTATATGTAAAATAAATTCTAGTTTACAGTTATTGAACCTATTATTTGTTAGGCACTATACTATGTTTCATGTATTTCAAGTCATTCAGTGTCATAAAGAGTTTACATGGTAGAGATTATTAATATATAAAATTTTTCATATGAGGAACTTGAAGCTCAGGAATATAAATAACTTGCCCACAGTCATACAACTAGAAGAACAGAAATTCTACCCCACGATATCTGACATCTTTGTTCTTGACCTGACACTTTAAGCATGAACCTTTTACCTATCGACCCTTTTATGGTTTGTAAAGGCATAACCCAGTAATCCTTAATGAAACACCACAAATGTAGTTATGTGTGGTAGGGTATCAGTCATTATGTAAGAATTTAAAAGTTGTCATTATTAATCTCCTTGAATCTATGGATTTTTATAGTTCTTCCTAAAACTCTACCTCATGACAACTTTGTCCTCAGAAAGAAGTTAGTAGTTTCTTCCAACGTGCCACTACAGCTGCAGTTTTGAATAAAATGTTTATTGCCATTTTCTTCCATTTCAATTTCACCTTTAACCAAAGAGTTACATAGAAGTGCAGTTTGGGTTTTTAAATATATTAATAAATTATCTTTTAATTATCATTCATCTTAATTACATTGTCAAGTATAGTCTTTATTATACAGATGATTTGACATTTGAGAGATTTGTTTTGTGGCTTAGTTTGTCATCAATTTTTATAAGATTTCCTCATGAATGGAGAAAAATTATTGTGATAATTGGGTGCAATATTCTAAAGATAAAGATGTATATGTCTTGTTAATTTTTAATTTAAATCTTCTACAGTACAAGTGTTTTTTGTCTGATAGAGGACTTAAAATATCCTACTCTGATATTGTAAATTTGTTAATTGCTCATTATTCTGTCAGTTTCTAGCCAATTAATATTGAGACTTTATCATTTGTAGCAAATAAGCTCATACATGTTAGAATTCCTTGGTGACATAGTTATTTTATTATTGTAAAGTATTCCTCTTGATCTTTACTATTTTTGCCTTAAATTCTACTTTATCTCCCTTTATTTTGCCACAATAGCTATTTTCCATACCTTTGTTTTCAGCATTTCTGAAATATAAGCAGAATTTAGCTGTATTTTAATCTGCCTATATCTTTTGGGGGGATTTTATTTGTATATTTCCCCCATCGTTGCTATTTGTTGGGAGCAGAAGGTCGGCATCAGAGGGCTAACTTTCAGCTCTACTTGGCTAGAAGTCTTCTGTTGGGCTTTTGATGGTAGCTGGAAGTCAAGTATTCCACGTTACGCATCCCCAAAGAGCTGGTATTCTATGTTACTGGCCCCCAGTGCGCTGACATTCCATGTTACTGACTCTCAGAAAACTAGTGTTCGGTGTTATTGACCCCTAGAATCCTGGTATGCCATTATTGCCCCTTAGTCTGTTTACATTACATGTTATACATCCATACAGCACTGGCTGTTCATGTTACCCAACCCCAGAGCACTGGCCTTCCACGTTACCAGTCCCAATGAACACTGGCAACCACAAGGTCTCGTGGTGCAGTTGAACAAAAGGTTATCCTACCACTTCATGGCACTGGATTTGTAGAGGTCCCTGTAGAGAGAACCAGGGCTTTCCTGAAAATTTAGGGAGTTTGATTTGTAAAGTGTGGCTGACAGAATGTAGCCAGTAATTTTTTTTTTCTAATAAATAGGAGAAAAACCAATAACCTAGAACGAGGGAAAAATCATAACTGTACATGTCACCAAATGTAATTTTTTCAAAAGTCAAGTATAATGCAACCTGGAAACAAACACAGAATTAGCTTATTTAGAAAAAGCAAATGTACCAGTAGAGAAAACAAATGAATTGTAACCAGGAATGACTTACCTTACGAGACAATTTAAGATCACTTAAGGAACCTATGCCTTGGTACTTTTCTCAGGAAGAACTGAAAGTAAATGTTAGTGGTCTCCATAAAAGTTCTGCTTCATCGTTTGGCATCTTGAGAATTTACCCTGATGGCTGCGTGAGAGAAGCTGTCCAACCCTATTAATCACTTCTCGACCCAGTTTGCAATGATTACATTTTTAATATTTAAGGAAGTTTTCTAATTATAGCCTCCTGGCTTGATTGATGCAGAAGCATGGAAGTAAATCAAGTCAGCATGGTAACTCCATCCCAGGGCATGCTTAACCGAAAGTATCTTGTGAAGAACTCAATGTTCTCTTCTGTCTAATGTGCAACAGCATATGTGAAATGGAACAACTGTTAATGAGCAGAAAAGTTTATTAAATACGAGTACTGTTTTAAATACGAAAGTGGATCTAGGGATATTAGGTTTCCAATGTTAATATCCATGTAAGTACTTGTATGAAAGTATTTCTAGGTCAAATTAGTACATGCAGCATACTTTGTGATGTTTTAAAGATCAGTGTAAATGTCAGTAAACAAAACAGCAGAAAAGGCAAGGCACAGTTCTGTAATGATTCTAAATTATCCAAACTGGATGATGTTTGTTACTCATTCTAGTATCTTTTAAATTGAAATCTCGAGGGCAATATAATGACCTCCTCACATCAATGGCTTCCTAGTTATATGGTCTTTTTCTATATCAGCAAGGGAAATCTTCTCATTTCAGTTTAAACCAGTGAGTCTCAATGTGCTTCAAATTTACTTACATTAAAAATTAGGTAAAATTAGGAAAATATAGTAAGTTTTTAATTTCTAAATTACTTCCTTGTTTATATATTCAGGTTATATATGTTTCTTACTTTTGGGGTGTTCAAAATAATTTTGAAAAATAGTAAAATGAAGACAGTACTTGGAAATTTTTAATGGGCTTTCTTAGCATAAACAATAACTTATGAAACTCTGCAGAATTTTTTTTCTAATTTTCTGGTATTGTGAAATTTAAAACCCTGGAATCATTGACTCAAGTCATTCTTTGGGAACAAAAGTAGTTATTTCAGAGAGTAAGCAGATTAAGTGGTATTTTTAAGACTGGAAATGGTATTTCCAACATTCTTATGGAATAAAAAGTGGCGTTTGATTAAAGTATACTTGATTTGAGTACACTGAAAGTGTTTTGTAGCTCTCCCCTCATCTACCCACTAGTTGTGCTCAAACAAAAAAGGAGCAGATAAATGGGCCTAAAAGGAATTTAAGCCAACGCAAAGCACTTAAGTCTTCAGAAGAAAAATCAGTATTACGTCATTTCCAAGGCAGTAAAAATGGAAGACTTTGAAGTGGCTGTGCCCTCAAGCATTTCTTGTGCTTGCTTATACCATGGGTAGTCTCTCTGAGATGATTCAGTTTGCCTTATGAGAAAAATATGTATGAAAAATTTGATACACTTGTCCAAGTTGACAATTCACTCTCTTTGGAGGAATCAAGAAGTAGAACTCTTTAGCCATTATGAGGAAACACACACACACACACACTCAGTTCACATTTATTTTAAATGCAAATGTACTGTAAATGAATGAGCACACACATAGGCACATCACACACATTGATTCTTTTATAAATTTGCATTTCTCTCCACATGTTGGCAAAATCCTTTACCTACTGGGGCTGAGAAACAACATCTTAGCTTTGGTGCTGGTCCTGGTTTGAGCCATCCTCTGCATCCTGCCGGTCCTCACTGGGCTGCTTTTCCTATGATAGTAATGTCTCTTCTGTGAGGATGTTGATGACTAGAGCTTTTCAAGTCAATGTTTTTAGCCTTGCTACCATGGCTGCTCTAGTTATGACTACTTTTTATCATTCATCTTCTTTGTGCATCTCATATGTTTGTATATTTGGATAGTTTGAAAAAGATGTATAATCATCTTTTTGTCAGATAGCTTTTACACATGGTGATCAATGCTGGGTCACCTTCCTGTACTTTGCTAAACAGTTTTCTCTTCTCCAGCTGTACTTGGAATCTGTTTCCCTAGACTATACTTTCTCTTGGGCATCTTGGATTCCAAGTCAAGAAGAGTCAGATTTCCTTGTCCTTTAAAAACATGGTGCCCTCACTGGGTCCATTTTTTTTTTTTTTTTTTTTTTTTTTTGAGACAGAGTCTCACTTTGTTGCCTGGATTGGAATGCAGTGGTGCAATCTTGGCTCACTGCAACCTCTGCCTCCCAGGTTCAAGCAATGACCATGCCTCACCCTCCTGAGTAGCTGGGATTACAGGTGTGTGCCATCATCACCCGGATAATATTTTTTTTTTTTTTTTTTTTTTGGTAGAGACAGGTTTTCACCATGTTGGCCAGGCTGGTCTCAAATTCCTAACCTCAGGTGATCTGCTTGCCTTGGCTTCCCAAAATGCTGGGATTACAGGCATGAGCCACTGTGCCCAGCCTCCGTTACCTTTTAAGAGACCTCCCTGACCATTCATGATTCCTCTGTTAACACCAGCCACATGTATTGGTAGCTGCAAAGACTATACTGTATGTTACTTCATGGATTGTTTTCTAGATTCTAAGGTCTTTATGATTCCTCTAGGAACTGACAGTTATTTGCCACTGTGATTTGAGAAGAGGTAGACTGTGGTAAAGCTCTTCCAAATGAATTGTTTTCTAGGAAAGAACAGATCTCCCTAGCATCATGTTTGTACTATTTCCTTTTTAACTATATCAGTCCTTCATCCCATGGAGCTTCTGTGCAAGAGCTGCGACTTATATTCTAATTCTCTATCCTAGGATAAAAGTCTTTCTGTGCACTTTTAACTCTACTATTGTACTAAGACTGACAAGATCTTCAGAAATTTTTTTTCATGTTTGAAGACGCTTGCTTAGATTTGCCTTTTTTTCCTTTTTGTCCAAATTTATGGGGTACAAATCTGTGCAATGTATTACATGCAAGATTGTGTAGTGATCAAGTCAGGGCTTTTATGGTGTACATCATACCCATTAACCAATTTCTCATCATCCTCCCCTCTCCTACTCTCTTACCCTTGTGAGTTTCCATTATCTATCATTCCACTGTTTACATACATATGAACACATTTTTCACCATGCTCTTATGAGTGAGAACACGTGTTATTTTTCTTTCTGTGCCTGGCTTGTTTCACTTGAGATAGTGACCTTCACTTCCACCCATGTTTCGAAGGGGTCCTAAGACCTTGTAAGTGTTTCCCTACAGCTGACAATAAAAAAGGTCAAACAATTATCACATGAAATAACTTTTAAGGACTCATGTATGTAAATTTAAGGAACAGGAACATTAGGATGACCTTAAGATATGTTTACACATGAAAGTGTCCAAGCCTATAATACTTTATTATTTTAGCATTTACAGAGTACTTTTGCTAGGTACTTTGCTAGCTTCTTGAGACTTAATGTTGAATTAGACATGGCTTTTGTCTGAAAGGAGGCTCAAAGGTTTGCCGAAGCTCCAAACCTCTGGAAAATACACTTTAAAATACAGGACCTAGACATAGTTAAACAGAGGCAGTTAATATCTCATGGATGAGAAACATAAAGAAGCCATTCAATATGATCTCATTTACTTTCTCCATACGTACACTACAGGTAGTTATATTAGACAACTGTAGCTGTTCTACAGTTAGAAATTATGAAGCCAATAAAAATGCTTTAATTGCTGTTCTTTTGCATTTCATCTCAAAGCAACTTTAACTTGAACTCTTCAAGTGAGATTTCTTGTGGAGATACACCCGAGAAGAACCTGTGCACTGTGAACTTCCTCATGCTCATGCCCATTGCTTGGTTGGCACCCCACGCTGAACTAGAAGGAGCCAGGACAAGAAGCTCAGCATCCCTGGCACCCTACTGTTAAATCCATGGGCCAGTCTGCAGGGCAGGGAGAGTTTAGATTGAAATCAACCCAGCACAGGGCGTGGGGCCAGGGGAAGAGAAGTAGTCCATATCAGCCATAGCAGTCTTCTGGCCGTCTGTGGCCCAGCCCTGAAAGCTTTTACCCAGTAAATTTTTTAAGCTTTCATTTTGGCTGCCTAGACAGATGTTCCAAATTTATATCTGCTTCACTTAGTGCAAGAACCAGGTAATGAGGAAGAAGCCAGTTCCAGTAAATGATCCCCAAGGCTACGGTCCTTTCCATTTGGGCAAATAGATGATAAAACCTGTACGGCGTTCCACTAATGCTCAAAGTCAGTTTCTTCAGTGGAAGTACACTTCGAATAACAAATCTAACAGCAATTGGCAGGGGTCTGCCTCACAGGAGGGTGGCATCTTTTATTTAAAAAGCCTTGTTTTTGTGAAAAACAAGAGGGGCCTCATTTATGAATGCAAATGATGGCTTGCTTTTGTTTTACAAAATATTGAGAGATGGTATTAGATACTATGATTGAATATGCACACAACATGCATGCATGCGCGCGCGCACACACACACACACCCACGGCCACTCAATGCATTTGTGAGCAGGTCAGAGACATACATTTTATATACTAGGATATTCAGTGCTTCTAAGTTTACGGAGACTGATGAAAAATATAAGTTATCCCCAAGTGAGGGAGTTTTCATAATTGATGGTTTTGGACTTCAGAGACCAAAATTGACCTTCTGATCCTTTGGTTGCTCAGGGTGGATGGGGAAATCAGGCTCTGCTTTTATCTGTCATCTGATATTTCCTTTACGTTATGACCTATCCCTGAGTGCTGGGACCTTGTGTCTCCCTACAAGTGCAAAATATGTAGTCCTTGCAGGTTAAAATCAAGACCTTGGCTTCATTTTGAAAACAGCATGCAGTAACCAATTATTTTAATGTTTCACATTTTCCACTTATGGTGATTATAAACTGTTTGGAACTTTGTTTTTAGACCAAGATAATTTTTAATAAATGGTCTGAAAGCTTCAAATCTGTTGATTTAATTATCAAAATCCGTGTTCCTGTTAAAAAACTCAAGAGAACATTTTGATTATGGGGATGGCTTAATAGACAATTAGGTAAAGTGATCTGGCAGAAGCAGCATAGTCAAGGCTCTTTCGCAAGGCAACTTGTCTCCACAGAAGGCAAAACTCTTCAACCAACAGGAACTTGGGCATAGACTTTTTTCTTCTCACAGTTTTTTTGCTTACTGAAATAAAGGGTGCATGAAATCCTGAGCAGGCAAATTAACTAGACAAAGCACTTAGAAGCTGAATTTAAAGTTCCAATGGAGACCATTGGAAAACTGTATTGAGTGCTTTTAGTGAAAATTCTACCCATTAATGATGTAGTAAAGAAAATGTGGTACGTATATACCATGAAATACTATGCAGCCATAAAGGAGAAGGTAATCATGTGAGTGAATTAACACAGGAACAGAAAACTAACTTACAAGTGGGAGCTAAACATTGAGTACACATGGACGTAAAGATGGCAACTATAGACACTGGGGGGACTACCAGAGGGTGTAGTGGGGGAGAGGGGCAAGGGTTGAGAAACTACCTATTGGGTACTATGCTCACTACTTGGGTGACAGGATGATTGTACACCAAACCTCAACATTATGCGATCTACCCATATAACAAACCTGGACGTGTAATCCCTTGACCTAAAATAAAAGTTGAAAAAAAAAGTTTACTTGCTCAGTTGTAGGCCAACAGATGTAGTCTCATAACTGGCAAGGACTGTGAAGAAGGGCATGGCATGATGAATAAAGAGACAGGATGAATACAGGGTGAATATGATTCCCATGTCTTGATTCAGATTAGAACTGTCCACTGGTATGGGAAGTACCTTATCCGGATCCATTCCCTTAGAAATGGTTCCAGAGATTTGTCCAGAGATAGTGGAAAATATCCCACAAACCCATGAGTTATTTTCTGAACACCTTATTAATACAATGATCATGTAAGTTATTTAAAATTTCATCTGGGAAGAAGGTAAAATTAGATGCAATGCTGAGATTCCACTGGACATGATGAGAAGCATGACCACAGTATTTCTGAAGAATTTGCCCAATGGACTAGGTGCCAGGTGATAGAGGAGTGACTGATGGCTCTTCCATCATGTCTCTGTGTGAACAGAAAAAAATTATCATAATGCCACAGTTTCCCATTCTTTTGACTCATGCTCCTGTCTAGCCAGCAGCAAGCTGCCACAGGCAAACCTTCTTGAAAGAAGGAAACAACTCAGGTTTCGGCATTTATGTTGCAGTCATTTGTTGAACTTTTTTGAAGCAATTTTTACTTATGAGAGTATCTACAGCAGTGGCTTTCAACATACATCTCATTGAAACATCCTAGCATGTAATAATTGGTGAGGTATGTCACAAGAAATATGCAAGGTACTAAAATGTGTAATATGTCATTTTGCATAAATTCACTTGAATTCAAGGTTACTGGTATAATGATACAAGTCACACTTACTGATATTGCAAAAAGCTTTCTGGAAAAACAAAATGGGTTGGAGCTTGGGAATCAGCTAATCTTATTTTTAAAATCTAGTTGAGTTGGACAGAGTGTCTTCTGTGCCATTGAGTCTCTTACCAGTGTTCCACCAGGAGAAAAAAAAATTGAGAGTCTGTGTTCCACTTATCTATTGCTGCATAACAAACCACTCCAAAATGTAATGTCCTAAAACAAAACAACATTCATTTTGCTTGTGAATCTGCAACTTGAGCAGGGCTCAGTGGGGATAGCTGTTTTTCTGCTCCCCTCGGAATCAACAGGGTCAGCTCTGAGGCTCAGGGCAGGAATCATCTGAATGCGTACTCACTCTCACGTCTCGGGCAGGTATGTGAGTTGTTGTGGCCAGGGGATGGACTGTGGCACATTGTATTTTCCAAAAGTGGCCATAGCTAAATTTCTAGTCCCACATGCTCTTCCAGAACTTTGGCACTCACCTATCAAAACGTGGGGTGAATGTTCCTTCCCCTTGATCCTGGGAAGGATGGTGAATACTCTGACCAATAACGTGTAGCAGAAATCTTGCCAGCCTTGACTTTCGAGGCTGGGCTGTAAAGGGTAACATGACTTCCATTTGAAATTCCTCTCATGATGCTCAGTCTACGAAGCCCCGGCCACATGAAGAGGACATTGTTAAGTGGCTGATAATCTCAGCTAAGTTCTCAACTAACAACTAGGATCAACGATCTGACATGAGTAAAGGAGTCTTCCCCTCACTCCAGCCTCGAGATTTGAACCTTCCTAAGCTGACACCCTGTGGAGCTGAGATGAGCTACCCCCACCCGGCCCCAGAGTCTTGTTCAAATTGCGGATGTGTGAGTAAAATAAGTAGATAACTGTAATAGGTAGCTGCAACTCTGCTTTAAAGATTAAAGAGCGGATGTGCTCAAAATTTTCTGAAGATTCCAGAGGTTATTCTGAAACAAAAGTTGTTTTATTGATTATTGCTGCTTATGTATTTTTCTTGCCTAATTAGACATGGGCACCAATCTCTTGTCAAAATTCACTCCTTTCCACCAAAGTATATACCCCATTCTCTAATTTTCTAGATAGCATCTTTGTGGTAAAATGTGAACTCAACATTGCTAAATTGACAATCTGTAGATTTTTGTTATTTTTGGCAGTCTGTGTCCTAGAATTCTTTACTTCTATTCTCTAACTTATTTCTGAATTGTTAGATAAGATGAACTATAATTTTTGAACTGAATGGTAATGATATAGCATGGTTATTATATTAGTGTTTGGTAGATTTAAAGATTTCAGGGCTTTCATGTTAGCATAAGTACAACTTGATCAGACACCAAAGAGTATATAGGGATATTATGTGATGTTGTGTATTGCAAGATAAACAAGGCCACGATTCTTTTAAATAGAATTTTGCTATCTTCACCAAGTTTTTTGTTAAATAGGAACACAATGGCATATAGTTTTTGCTTCTGAAATGTCACTGTGTTGTTTCCTTATCAAAAGAATTCTGATAAATGACAGAAGTCTCCCCTTTCAGAGATAATAATTGATAAACAATCCTGTAAAATCTCCACAAATATATCATGAAAGAAATTTTTTTTCTATAGGGGTTGTCCATCCTTCATTCTGTCCTCTAAGTAGATTTTTAAGGATCTGCATCAAACATAATCCAAAGCATTTTCAAACTTTAGCATTCATTAGAATCATCTAGAAAGCTTAAGTCACCGACTGCTATGCCCCAGCCCCATAGCTTCTGATTCACTAGTAGAGTGAATCCCAAGAAATTGCATTTCTAACAGTGCTGCTCATCCCATGACCACACTATGAAGATTACTGATCTAGAGAAACAAGATAAAAGCCTAATATGTGGAGATATTTTTCTAACCACTACTCTCTGAAATATACTCAAATTTAAAGCAGCTTTCAGTTCATCCCGTGACAAAATAGTTTTCATTCATTCAAAGGTTAGACAAGTGATTTCTCTTAACCACATTTTCTCACATACTGGGGCAAAGTGCAAGAAGAAACAAATTGATTCTTTCAGTCTGAATGTCATTGAGTTCTAAATGGGTTCTAGAATTGAGAATGTGTAGAAGTGCAAGCCATTTGTCACCAATGCACAACCAGAGAATTTGGTTAGTTTTGCCAGTTTAGAAAATAGCCAGAATTCTGTATCAAACATTTCAGTAATAAAAGATGGAATAGACAAAATTAGATTATGACTGGGAGCTTAAAGACCAAATTTGTTCTGGTCTAGATGCCTCAGACATCTGATTCTCAAGAAACCCTCACTGTCTTCAGGAAAAGTATGAAAGATCTCTTTCCTCAACTCCTGAGAAGGAAACAGATCTGTTACCTTGAAGGTTTTCTTTCAGTATTCTATATATTTTAAACTAAATTAACCTAATTGAATTACTCAAAGAATTGGCCAAATCAGAACCAACCCAAATGTCCATCAATGATAGACTGGATTAAGAAAATGTGGCACATATACACCATGGAATACTATGCAGCCATAAAAAAGGATGAGTTCATGTCCTTTGTAAGGACATGGATGAAGCTGGAAACCATCATTCTCAGCAAACTATTGCAAGGACAAAAAACCAAACACCGCATGTTCTCACTCATAGGTGGGAATTGAACAATGAGAATACTTGGACACAGGAAGGGGAACATCACACACTGGGGCCTATTGTGGGGCGGGGGGAGGGGGAGATATAGCATTAGGATATAAACCTAATGTAAATGATGAGTTAATGGGTGCAGCACACCAGCATGGCACATGTATACATATGTAACACACTGCACATTGTGCACATGTACCCTAGAACTTAAAGTATAATAATAAAAAAAAAGAATTGGCCAAGTCAGCAGTGCTTTAGGTTGGCTCTGGAATTATTAAGGTCCTTCTGTCCACAGACTTTCCACTGATTCTTTCTCCATCCTTAATTCAGTTGTTTCTTTCTAATTTAACTCTTTCATAATTGGATAATTAGAGTTTCCATTTTCCATTGCGGACCATCTTGCTTTGACTTGCTGAAGTGCATGTTTATGAATGTATACTTTCTATTAGTGATTTGCTAAATGTCTCATTTATTTAAAACATTTTCTCTTTTATTATAAAAAGAAATACATGCTCATTGTAGGGAAAATACCAAGATATTAAAGAAAAATTAATATCCCAAAGGCTATCATTAAGAGATATGTAGTAAATATTGTGATGATTTTCTTTACACTCATTTTATATATATATGCTCACTATATATATATTTGGAGTTTTCAAAAATATAAATTAAGAGTTACCTACGAATAAACTTAACCAAAAAAGTGAAAGATCTCTACAATAAGAACTACAAAACATTGATGAAAGAAGTTGAAGAAAACACAGACAAGTGGAAAAATGTTTCATGTTCATGGACAGGAAGAATTAATATTGTTAAAATGTCCATACTATCCAAAACGATCCACAGATTCAATGCAATCCCTATCAAAATACCAATGACATTATTCAGATAAATAGAAAAAACAAGCCTAAAATTTGTATGAAACTACAGAAGATCCCAAATAACCAAACAAGTCTTCAACAAAAAGAAGAAAGCTTGAGACATCACACTATCTGACATCAAAATAAATTACAAAGCAGTAGCAACCAAAACAGCATGATGCTGGCATAAAAACAGACACACAGACCAATGGAACAGAATAGAGAACCCAGATGTAACTTCATACATTTACAGCCAACTGATATTCAACAAAAGCACCAAGAACACACATTGGGGAAAGAACAATCTCCAATAAATGGTGCTGGGAAAACAATATCCACATGCAGAAGAATGAAACTAGACCTTTATCTCTCATCATTTACAAAAATCAACTCAAAATGGATTAAAGACTTAAATGTAAGACCTGAAACTATGAAACTACTAGAAGAAAACATCGAGAAAATGCTTCATGATATTGATCTGGGCAAAGATTTTTTGGATGAAACCTCAGAAGCATAGGCAAAAATAGACAAATATGATTACATCAAACTAAAAATCATCTGTACAGCAAACAAACCTAAGTGAAGAGATAGTTTACAGAATGAGAGAAAATATTTGCAAACTATACATCCGACAAAAGGTTAATACCCAGAATGTACTAAGAAACTCAAATAACTCAATAGCAAAAAACCAAATAACTCAATTTTTAAGAAGGCAAAAAATCTGAGTAGATATTTCTTAAAAGAAGACATATAAATGGCCAGCAGGTATACGAAAAAATGCTCAGTATCACGAATCATCTGGGAAATGCAGATCAAAACTGCAATGAGATATTATCTCACCCCAATTAGAAGGGCTGTTATTAAAAAGACAAAATATAACAAGTTCTGGTGAGGATATGGAGAAAGGGGAATACTTACACGTGTTTGGTGGGAATGTAAGTTAGCACAGTCACTATGGAAAACAGTATGGAAGTTCCTCAAAACATTAAAAATACAACTGTCAGGCCAGGCGCGGTGGCTCACGCCTGTAATCCCAGCACTTTGGGAGGCCGAGGTGGGCAGATCACCTGAGGTCAGGAGTTAGAGACCAGCCTGGCCAACATGGTGAAACCCTGTTTCAATTAGAAATACAAAAAATTAGCCAGGCATGGTGGTGTAGTAATCCCAGTTACTTGAGGGGCTGAGGCAGGAGAATCGCTTGAACTCAGGAGGAGGAGGCTGCAGTGAGCCAAGATCGCACCATTGCACTCCAGCTTGGTCAATGAGAGAAACTCCGTCTCAAAAAAAAAAAAAAAAAAAAAAAAAAAAGAGAAAGGCTGGGTGTGGTGGCTCATGCCTGCAATCCCAGCCCTTCGGGAGGCCGAGGCGGGCGGATCACGAGGTTAAGAGATGGAGACCATCCTGGCCAACATGATGAAATCCCATCTCTACTAAAAATACAAAAAAAAAAAAAAAAAAAATTAGCTGGGTATGGTGGCACACACCTGTAGTCCCAGATACTCAAGAGGCTGAGGCAGGAGAATTGCTTGAACCCAGGAGGCAGAGGTTACAGTGAACTGAGATCATGCCACTGCACTCCAGCCTGGTGACAGAGTGAGAGTGAGACTCCCTCTAAAAAAAAAAAAAAAAAAAAAAAAAAAAGGAACTGCCATATGATCCAGCAATGCCACTATTGGCTATATATCCAAAGGAAAAGAAATCAGTAGGCCAAAGAGATATCTGCACTCCCATGTTTATTGCAGCACTATTCACATTAGCCAAGATATGAAGTCAAACTAAGTGTCCATCAATAGATGATTGGATTAAAAAAATTAGCATATTTACACAACTGAATACTATTTATCCATAAAAAAGAATGAAATCCTGTCATTATAATTTTTTAAATTAAGGGTTATATTATAAAATTTTAAGTAAGTCAAATGGTTTTTATTTTTCATTACTTTATACTTATCATTACTGTTATTAATATTAGTAATAAAATTTATGAATGTCTACTAAATACTAGACACTATGCTAAGTTCTTTACATGTATTATCCTTTTTTAAAAAATTCAACTTTTAGATAAGGGGTACATGTGCAGGTTTGTTACATGAGTGTAAAATTAGAACACGTAAAAATAGAAAAAAATGAAGAAAATTATAACTTACCCATAATAAATACCATTCCTTCCCATCACAAATATTATCTTTATTTACATTTTAGGGTTATATGTTAAGATATTTCATATGCATATGAATGCATTTTTTGAATTTGAATTGAACTGAATTTTTTTGAATTGAATAGAATTTTCCTTACAGATTGCTATGTATGGATGGAGGAGTGAATTATGAAGGAGCACAAGAAAGCTTTTGTGGGATGCATACATTTAGTATCTTCATTAGTATCTTCCTATTATGGTGTGTGATAATGTCAAAATTTATCAAGTTGTACACCTTAAATATTTGCAGCATATTGCATGTCAAGCACACCTTAATAAAGCTGCTAATCTTTTTTTGAAAAAGGAAAACAACATGTTTTTGGCCACAATTGTGGTGGAATGTGAGTCCACATTGTATGTAAGACTCTGCAAGGTGGTTACTCTTCCAGAAGCATAATGATTGGGCAATGGCCGTATAAGCATAAGAGGATGAAATTATATCAGCTCATAAAACAGAATCGAGGGAGAAGAGGGAGTGGGGTTCAGGTGGCAGAACCAACTTTTATCAAAGTAGGAATAGTAGCTCTTTTATGTTTTGTTATTCTTGGAGAAGTCAGAGGTTTTCATATTCTCCCCAGCAGGGGCCCATTTAATGGTCTAACAGCAAGTGTTTATTTAGATTGTGCTTCTCACTCACAACCCGTCAACTCACACAGGAGGTAGGACACAATAATAAAAACTGGAAAACTGACAAGGGACTAAAACGAGGGCTTTTGGGGTATTTCCCCCAATCCTGGTTCAACAGACATTTACTTGTTACTTACTATGTATACTTGCTACCTTTTATGTATCTATAAAATATATGTGACAGAAACAGATAGGTTTCTGCCTCTCTAATTAGCTCAGAGGTAAATAAATAAATAGATACTTATACTTGAGGGTTTGTGAAGCACAAATCTGTTAGAAATAGAGGTGAAGAGAGGCATCTGTATACAGTAAACTGTGTCAGATTAGCAAATTTCTTGGCCAATTTAGTTTTACTTTAGGGTAAGAAATATGTACTCTATTACTGATCCATTTCCATTTCTAATTGATTCCCCTAATTATCCTAAGGAATTTTCTGTAGTAAATACCAAACCTATTTCAACAGAAATAATAAAAGTGGGATTTTATTTTCAAATTCAATAGAAGTGTCTTGGGAGATCATCAAAGCCCCAAGTCCAGAGGATATACGTCATGGTAACTGGTTATTCTCAGCCACTCCATCAGAAAATATTTACTATGCTTTTACTAAATAACATTTGTTATATAACCAACCTTCTATTAATGGGCACTTAAGTTTTTTCCAACTTTTTACTATTACAAACAAATGGCAAACACACATTTTGTGTGTGTGTGTGTGTGTGTGTGTGTGTGTGTGTGTGTGATCTTTGCTTGTCTACAGTTTTTTCCATTAAACATATTCCTAAAAGTGGAATTGCTGGGTCAATGAATATAAATATTTTAAATTCGTATCGCTATTGCCAAATTTCTTTTCTGCATTGAGTGGATTCAGCCATGGATTTTTGTCTTTGATCTTGACTAGAAAAGTTCCAGTGGAAACAGTCTGAAGCCAGATTATAGAAATTCAGGGAGGGGAAGAGAACGCAGCCTGTGAAAATAACTCTTTCCAAAAGTTCGCTGATGATACTGGAGTATAAAGGCCTTTTTCCTTTATCCCAATTGAGGAAAACTTTGCAGAGAAATCTCAGCTTCAAAGCTCCCCATAGGGACAGCTGAGGCCTTTGTTGTGACACCATGACACAGCTCAGCTTCTCCTTCTGCTCAGTCCTTATTCCTTCATCCTCCCAAAGGCATTGATCAGGGGAGATGAACATCCTGTACACACTAATCTTCATCATATAGTTTCTTTCCCAGAGAACCTGACTTCAAGTGTCTGTCAACCTATATTCCATACCAAGTAAATATATTCTTCAAAAACAAACTCCTTTTTGGACAATCAAAAGCCAAGAGAATTCATTGCCAATAAGTTTGCCCTGCAAGAATACTAAAAGAAGTTCTTCAAATGAAGGGAAATTATTCTATATGAAAGCACAGATCTTCAGGGAGAAATGAAGAGCACCAGAAAGGATATATATGTAGGTGAACATAAAAGTCCATTTTTTAATAAAAAGGCAAACAATGAAATAACAATGCATTGTGGGGTTTATAACATATGTAGAAATAAAATATATAACAACAATAACAAAAGGCAGAGGAATTGGTAAAAATGTTTGTGATATGGTACAATATTCAAGGCAAACTATAATAAATTGTGGGTGCATATTTTAACTTCCAGTGTAACTAAAATAATACAAAAACATATAGCTAAAAAGCCAATGGAGAAATATCATGAATAATAAAAATATTTGCTTAATTCAAGATAAGTAAGGAAGAGAAGAATAAAAGTTCAAAGAACAGATAGACAAGTAGAAAAGAAAAAGCAAGATGGTAGAAAAATCCCAACTGTATCAGTAATTACATTTGGTGTAAATGAAGTAAACACACCAATTAAATTGTCAGAATGGATTAAAACACACACATGTGCACACACACACCTGTGCACACTCACATGGCCCAAATACATACTGTTTACAAGAGACATACTTCAAATATAAAGACGTGGTTAAGTTGAAGGTCAAAGAGTGGGCAATGATATATTATGCAAATATTAACCACTTGAATTCTATGGCTACTCTTCTTTACAAAGGTGGGATTTCCTTGTAGGGCTTCAGGGAGGGGAAAGAATAGCAATTAAAAAGAAGAGATGAGAAGAAGAGCTAGAAAAGAGTAGGAAGAGAGGGAGGGGAGAAAAAGAAAAATGGAGAAGAGAAAAGGAAGGAGAGAGAGGATTTGGAAAATTAGAGGGGCAAGAGTTAAAGAGAAAAGTAGGGAAGTATAATAGTGAAGGACAAATAGGATGGGGAGGTACTGCTATAAAGTTTCACAGGTAATTTCTCTTTAGCAATCAAGTTTCTTGTAGACCCATGTATTAGTTTGTTTTCATACTGCTGATAAAGACATACCTGAGACTGGTAAGAAAAAGAGGTTTAATTGGACTTACAGTTCCACATGGCTGGGGAGATCTCAGAATCATGGGGGAGGTGAAAGGAACTTCTTACGTGGCAGCTGGCAAGAGAAAAATGATGAAGAAGCAAGAGCAAAAACCCCTGATAAACCCATCAGATCTCGTGAGACTTACTCACTATCACGAGAATAGCACGGGAAAGACCGGCTCCCATGATTCAATTACCTCCCCCTGGGCCCCTCCCACAGCACGTGGGAATTCTGGGAGCTACAATTTAAGTTGAGATTTGGGTGGGGAGACAGCCAAACCATATCAACCCATCTCCCAACTCCAGACAGTGCTTTTTAATAGGACTACTCCCTAACTTGTTCCTTTTCATTTTTCTGTATATCACATTTTTAAATATCCAACCTTTTTGTTTTAAATGTGAAAAAGGGCCTCTGCTGGGTGAGGAAATACAACAAAATGCTTTACAACGTACAAGTGCCACTAATTACTTCAATTGCTTGCATTTTCCTGAGCCACACCTTGGGAATGCTAAGTACCCCATTCCAGGCTACATGGCCAACACCCAACTTCTGCTGAGGGAGTGTTTATAGTAAGTGAATTCTCAACTACAGGATTTTGAAATGAATGTTATGAGAAAGATTTATGTTTGCAATGACTATGAATCTACGATTACTGACAGCACAAAGCTACAGATGTAAGTGAAAGGATTAGAAGCAGCTGATCCAAAAACAATGCAGTCTCAATATAAGGCCTTAGGTGAGTTTTTTTTTTTAATTAACATTTATATGGAAGGAGAGAACTTGTTTATTTCAGATTGCTGTCTTGGATTGACCTCAAAATAGAGGAAGCACATTGTAGGGTTTTAAAGCTATCCTTGAACTGGAATTAGCCTATAGAATTTTGCCTATAGAATATTTGGCATTAGTTGTTGGAGCTAAAAGGAGTTAGAATTTTCTTATGATAACTGAACCACCCTGCAGCTATTTTTCTTTCACAAATATGTGAACATTATCCAAAGGTGTTAGAATTGGGAATAGCAAATACATGTTACACATCCCTGTATTTCCCTGTATGCATGGCCAACATTGCTAATTAAGCTTGGCATGCCTTTTTCTGGTTCTTTTGAATCCTTCTTGATGTATCACTGGGCTGTACCATCAATCATCTAGGCATGATGTGCAATTTCTCAGCATTTTTTTGGTGCCACATTCTCCTTCAGCAGTTTGTGCCTACGGACTTCTCACAATAATGTTATTTATTTTATTTTTTTAAATGTATAAAGTAAATTGCATAGGATTATTCTGACATGCAGTTACCAAGATATTTATAAAAATCTGTGGTATAGTAATAAATTTGCTTCATTATAAATACACTAAAAAATCTACCAGTGGGTTTTAATAAAAACTGTTGAATTTTAACACAGTGATAAGCATAAATAATTCATCTGTATGTACTGCTGTAACGACATAAAAATAGTTATATTTTATACTTTTGACGAAGTCACAGGTACCACTACAACTGTGGGTTCTTTCTTTCATTCTCTCTCTCCTTCTTTTTGCCTTTATTCACAGTTGAAGGAATACTAAATTTTTGCTACATGTAAATAAAAATAGTATGTAATTATTTTTCCATCCATGTGGTCTCCAGGTTAGAAACCCTGGGAAGATTTCATGACTGAGGGATCATGAAAGTTTAAACCTAGATTTTCAGCAAAAGCAATTAATAGACTAGATAGAAGCAAAGAGAGTTAAGTGACTGTTTTCTTTATGGCATAAGAATTTCCCATAATAAGAAATACATAAGAAATCTGAAGCTCAATATTAAAGATGAGTATTAAATATTAATCATATCAGTAGTAGTAATAGATACATTTTAGGCCTCTAATGCCTTTTATCACTTTTTACCTTGTTTCCTTCTCCTACTTTACAACAGGAGGCAGGCCTTTCCCTTCCAAAGTTGTGCTCTTCATAATGGTAGTTAAAATCTCTTGAGATTTCCATACTTGGAAAGTGTTTTGGGATATTGTGGGTATCCTAGATATGAAAATATAAATGACATATATTCTAGTAAATGTTGGCTATATGGTCATATATTAAAAAAAAAAAATTATTTCCCTTCCTGATCCTAGAGGATCGATTCTATATGTGATGGATTTCGTATAGACTGATAAAGAATTGGATGCAGCAAGCCCCACATGGTGAGGTCCTCTCCGCCCGGTAAGCATACACAGTCAAGTGTCAGCAGTATGGGTCTGCAGCCCTTGGGTTTGTATCTCATCTGGCCCTTTTTAAGAAAACTGGGGGGAGCAGAAGCCCCAGACCAAAATGCAAAGCCCAGGTCAGATCTGCTTTGACATCATCTTCCCTTTCCTTCTCTAGTAATGTGGTGATGGCAACACCCTCTTATTGTGAAATTGGCCTTTACCATCCATTGTGCAGATGAAAAATTTAATTAGTGGGAATGGTGGGGAATATGAAGTACATTGAAAACATCTGACTATTAAGAGAAAGTTGTCCAAAGCAGGGATAATATCCCTTTAAGGGTGAAAAAGAAAACTTTCCCAAGAAGGAAATTTAGAAGAGGATATATAATTCAGTGACCAAACAAGCCTTGTCAAGTTTTTAAAAAGTACAGTTTAGAAAATTAATGGTTAGGATTTCAGTGGGGCATGTTCATCAGCAAAATGCTATAATGTTAGAAACAGTATCTACTGTTGGAACCAGGCAGGGGCCTATTATTACTGGTTTAGAATGGCGTATTTTCTTAGCTATATTAATTCTGTTAAAAATAATTCATCTTCCACTTTTGTTTTTCTTTCTCCCATTGAAACTGCAAAGACGTTAAATAGAAAAGCAGTAGATTAAATTAATTTCTTATCTGGGGAGAAGTTATTAAATGTTACACGGTTATAGTCATAATAAATAGCATATGTAATATAGGAAACTTCATATGATTACTGGTATACCTCATGGCATTCTAAGATAAGGTTCTCCCTTGAAATGAAAAATACGTACTCTTAATAAACCATTTGGGAATTGCTGCTGGAAGTATTTGTTGGATTGACTGGAGTAGCACTTCTGTAGTTGACACATATACAGCGTAGCCTTGCCAAGAAAGCCACGTTTTACCATACCACAGAAGTTTTCTTGAGCTTGCTCACTCTTTGCCAACCCAGTTAATCCCCAAAGAGAACCATTTGTTGAGGACAGCAGCTCCCTAACCTCACAGATCCTAGGCTTACCATAGGCACACAGGATTCTGTAGTCAGCACAGCAAAAGAGTCCTTGCAGGCAGCACCAGCTGGTGGCACTGTCATATTGCCATGAACAGTCTTCTCTGATTGGTGATCCCAGAAAGGCAGGAGGAGGAAGAGCCATCACTGGGACACAGGTTTTCTACCACAGCAGGGCAGCAGCTATGTCCATCTATACCAACCACTCGTGGCCAAGGCAGTGCCTGGACATATGTGTTCCTACACTTTCCTTTGATCTTCCGGGGGATTTTTACTTAATTGTCTCATTTCCTACAACAAATCTTAAACTTTCCCTATAGTAGAAAAAGGGGAAACAGTTTTCACCAGTTCTGGCACAAGCTTTGCCTCTGGTGGCATCAGTTCTCTCCAGCTGCTTTGCTGGTCCCACTGTCAGAGGTGGCATGCCAGCTCTGCATTATTTACACCTGGGTCAGGCAGCTTGCCCTCGAACCTGACTAGCTGACGGGGCAACCTGGGAGTGGAACTCGACGCCATGATCTGCAGCTCCTGCGTGTGATTTGAGATGCCAAGCATGTGTGCACAGTGTCTGTAATGAATCATCTTTTTGTATTGTGCTGGTTGGGCCTTGTCTTGCCAAGCACCACTTACAGCCTTTGTTGGCGGGGCCTGTTACCTTCGCTTACACCACATGATGTGCTTAAGGATCACTTATCCAAGCAACATGGCCTCTCTTCACTGAGGCAACCGAACCTCTTACATTTCAATATCTCTCCGACTGGTGAAAAATAAGCCCTTCAGCAGGGCCAGTGTCTTTAGAGCTCAGAGCCACACTGCTCTGCAGCTCTGCAGGCTTTGCTGAGTCCTTTGAGGGGATCAATAGGAGCCGGGTGGCATGGTTCCTGGCCCTGGCACGGACCCTTCCCGTAATGTGATAATCCCAGCAGGCCGGCCCTGAGGAGGAGGCGGCCAGCATGCTGTCCTTAGAAATCAACTTCTGACCTCCTGGCTTTCTTCCCCTTTCCCCAAAACTATTTTGTTTAAAATGCTAGCTTCTCTGTCATAAATTATTCTTTAGTTAAGGGGTTTGGCTCCTGTGTGAGTTACTGTGGTTTGAGAAGAAAAAGGAAAAAGAAAAAGGAACATCTTAGTGTAGCCAAGACCCAAACCCTAACCAAGAAAAAGTGGAAACAGGCTGGGAAAGGTAAAGTAGCAGGCAGGGAGTGGGTTTTTATTCACACGCTGTTTTAAACGGTGCAGCTCATTACTTGTTGATAATGTGCATTTTAGAAGTGTCTTTTCTGTACCCGAACTTCTCCAGGGAGTGGGCTAAGAAGAATATGCGTTTTGATGGTAGCAGTGGATTCTTTGGGTTATCACCCTGCTTAGAGCTGCTTCTCTAACATGCCCCTGAAAGTCCAGAAACAGGCCAGGGACCAGAACTTCTCAGACAGAAGTTTTCCTGAGGTCCACAGAGATCATGGCCATGAGTAGAACAAGAGCAAGTGGCATGGATCCAACAGTGTGACCAGGAGAGCATGTCAGTGGCATCTCCACTTGATTTTGCAGAGAAAGCTTTTGTTTGTGATTTAGCTGGCATTTTCCGTGCCATTACTGGTTGTTCAGCAGGAAAACAAAAATTAACCCAATGTCCAATCCAATTTAATGTTTTACTCTTAATTCCAATCATTTAAAAACTCCCTTCACATAGTATAAAGTCTCTTTTGAATAAAAATGCTCAGTCTTTCCAAAGCCTCCTCCTCCCTCATTGCTCTCTTTTCAGTGGCCTCTGGTTGTGTGAGGCCTTGGGAGGAAATAGGCTCCTAGCTTCTGGCTTACCCTTATGCATAGTGACTGGTAGTAGCAGCAGGTCTCCTAGGCACTGTGCCTTGACCCCCGGGTGGTCCTGGCCTCACTGGCTCCATATTCTGCAGCAAAGAAGTATGTGGCCTCTTCTTTTGGCTTTGAATGTTTCGCGGAGCCTCCACCACCTTCTTGTTGCTTTGGCCTCCCATCATGCTCCCTAGCTGTGGAGCTTCACCCTCTGGCCTCAGTACCCCCTGCCTTTGCAAGAGCACCTTGCCTGTCCCTAGTAGGGTCCCCAGCAGGCCCATTCTCTCCCAACTCAGCATGCAGGCTACTGGGGGTTGAGACCAGCTGAAGAGCCAAGCTCAGGGCCTCTCTTGACCCCACTGGGATGCCTTATCTGGCTTAGGGGTACCTGGCAGCCTGAGAGGTAGCACCTTCTCAGAGACCATGGTGGGCAGCCAGGCAAAAGCCACCTGACTTCTTTGTTCTGTCTCATGTCTCCCACCATTGGGAACAAAACCCAGGGAGGGGCAGCCAGAAGACACATGTCTGATTGCTGTTCCTTCCTGCCTAGGTGTCGCCTTATTTTTTCCCAGGGAAGAGATCAAGGAGTGAAATATCCCTGCATTTCTGTCTTCCTGTTTGTTCTAATTAAGCCTTCAACAAGGGTACTTGGCATATCACTTCTATCACAGAAGACATCAATTAGCTGGGCTTCCTAGGATGGCTCTCCACCTGCCAAAGGAATAGAACAAAGGAATTAAGCAAAGCCTCTCCTTCCACAAAGCCTGGTATTAAAACCCCAAATCTCCCTAAGAAGTGAAATGCCAGCCTTACCATGGGGTGATATTTCTAATAGCTTGACCTTTAGGATGAGAAATTGCAATAAAATATCCATTAAAGGAGAAAGTAAAAATGATATTTGCCAAAGGCTGAGGCAAGAGAATCGCTTGAACCCGGGAGGCAGAGGTTGCAGTGAGCCAAGATTGCACCACTGCACTCCAGCCTGGGTGACAGAGTGAGAATCTGTCTAAAAATAAATAAATAGATAGAAAGATAGATAGATAGATAGATAGATATAGATAGATAGATAGGATTTTCAATATTTAAACCTCATGAGGCCAGAACTGCCTCACTGCACAACTCCGGGAGGAAAGGATGGGCGCCCCCTGGAATTGTGGCATGTGTCACTATTATCTGTTCTTTTAAATGCATGTGTCCATCTGGGGTAGAGCTGCAAGTCAAAGGAAAGGATGACAGAGGTAAAAATCTTTTTAGAATGAAGTGTTAGTCAAATGTTTAGCCATGATCTTTTCTTCTTAATACTGTTTGCTCCTGTGATGGGGGAATGGGGGAATAATCAGGAAAAAGGAAAGTTACATTCAAGTTAAGCAGCAAGAAGCCCCAGGTGAAACATATTGTAATTATCCTGTTCCTGACCTTCTTCATTGAGAATGCTTCTTTCTAGTGTTTTTTGTCTAGTGTTCTTCCCTCAGCTGTGCCCGTACTCCTAGGATATGATCCTGATGTTACTGTATTTCAATCCTTTGCCTGAACAGAAAGTCTTTCTGTGCCTTAAGCTTCCTTTGGTAGTTTCCCATGAAAGTTTAAAAATGAATGTTAAAATAAATGACAGGCTGGAGTATGCACTTTCAAAGGGTAAATTATATCAATAACGCTGTTATTTTTGAAGAGAAAAAAAGACATGCAATCATCCACACACAGTATTTTCTTTTTCTCAAAAAGGATGGGTCATATTAAAAACAAGATCATATCACATGAGCGTCTTTGAATGTTGATTTACTTACTGAACCATAAATGGCAAATTTCTCTGAATTAATTCACATAATATAACACAGTCTTTTTAATGTTACTGAATACATTTTATGGATGTAGTGACACACATATGTTCAAGAATTCCTCTTTTGATAAACACTTTATTTCTTTTTTTTTTTTTTTTTTACTAAAGTAAGTCTTTATTTAAACACTTAGTAAATAAATACATTATGTGCTATTATTACCATGGAATAAATTCACAGGAGTGGAATTGTGTGGCTTATGGTATATGTATTTGCAATTTAGTAGATATAGCCAGGTTACTTTTCAAAAAAGACTAATAATTCATAATTCCACAAACAACATAGTAAAATTTTTTTCCATATCCCTGATAAAAATAGGTGTTACAATTCTTTATTTTTTACATTCTAATGGATTTAAATTATCTCATTGTTGCTTCAACAGAATTGAGTGCTTTTTGATATTCTGCTTGCAATTTACTATTTATATTGATTATTGCAACATCTATTGGGTTGTTTTCCTTTTTGTTATTAATTTATAAAAATTTATAAAAGCTATTCATATAAAAAGATATTAATCATTTTTCTGTCATATGGGTTACAAAATGTTTCCCAATGTGATCTCTTTTTCAAACAAATCTTTTAATTTCAAATATTTAAATATATCTATACGTGTGTGTGTGTGTTCTCAGAATTGGTAAAATCATCTCCCCTGCCTTTAAGATTGTAAGTATAACATTTTTGAAGTATTTTATTCTTTTTTTTTTTTTACATATAAGTCTTCTATCCATCTGGAATTTATTTTTACGTTTGGTGTGAATTAAGCGTTCAACTTAATTTTCTTCCAGATGGATAACCAGTTGTTCGAGCTCCATTCATGAAATAAGCCACATCTTCACACTGTTTGAAATATCACCATAGTTATATGTTAAACTTCAGTTTATTCCAGGATTTATTTCTCTTTATTCTCTTTATTGCACTAACTTGTCTATTCCTATGCCAGGACTATAGTCTTTTGTTTGCAGTAGCTTTACAGAATGTTTTCATTTCTGATAGGGCAGGTCCTTCCTTCGATAGTTTCAGTGACCAGCGAGAAATGTATAAAAGATTACCCATCAAGTTGCTTACTTTAGTTCATGAGGGGCAGAAGGAGGAGCTATTGGAGAAGTCATGTAAGATATAGATGGAAAAAGAAAGGAAAAGGGAAGTGGAAAAAAACACTGCAAGGTAAAATTTATTCCTATATATATATGGAAAATCTCATCCACCTCTTTTCCTTCTTCCCATTCCATAGAGGATGATGGTGTGAATGTTAGCAGTGAAATACATTATCACCATCATCATCATTTCCAAATGAGCATCTTTTTGTGACTACCCAACTGTTACAATTGGTAAGGCCCACTTTCTAGTGGCTGATACCTCTGCCGTACTAGCTATGAGTTTGCTGAATTCAGAGAGGAATATAGTTGATAAAATCTGGCCCTCTGAAAGGAGAACCATCTTCTACTCCAAAATGATCAACCACACTGAATTATTACTTTTCAAAAAAGAAAAGCAAATTTTTATTTTTTAATTGACAAAAATTGTTCATATTTATCATGTACAACATGATGTTTTAAAATATGTATACATTATAGAATGGTTCACTTGAGCTAGTTAATATACGCATTACTACACATTTTTGATAACAACAAATTCCCAGAAGAATGATAATAATATTGTGCTGAAATCTGCTACATATATTGTTTTAAAATTCAAAAGGCTCATTTGTTTTCTGCCTGAAAATGGATAAGATTAAATGTGCTTCTGATAAGTCTGTTTTGAATGGATCATTCAATACTGTTTAATATTCATTTTTAAAGCCAAATAACATATAAAATTATAATATTTTGTTTTCTTTTTATAGATTCAATTTTTATTTTAGATTCAGGGCTTACATGTGCAAGTTTGTTACTTGAGTATATTGTGTCATGCTGAGATATGGAGTATGATGGATTCCATCACTGAGCATAGTACCCAATTGCTAGTTTTTGAACTCTCTCTCTCCCTCTCCCATCTTATGTTCCATAGTATCTATTGTTGCCATCTTTATGCCCAAGAATACCCATTGCTTAGCTCTGACTTATAGGTGTGGGCATGCAGTATTTGGTTGTCTGTTCCTGCATTAATCCACTTAGGATAATGGCTTCCAGCTGCATCCATATTTCTGCAATAACAACAACAAAAAAAGCCCATTCTTTTTTATGGCTATGTAATATTCCACAGTGTATATGTACTATATTTTCTTTATCCAATTCAGCATTGATGGGCACCAAGGTTGATTTCATGTCTTTGCTACTATGAATAGTGCTGTAATGAACATACAAGTACATATGTCTTTTTGGTGAAATGATTTATTTTTTGGGGGGGTATATACAAAATAATGGGATTGTTGGGTCAAATGGTAGCTCTAAGTTCTTTGAGAAATCTCCAAATGGTTTTCCATAGTGGCTGAATTAATTCACATTCTCACTAACAGTGCATAAGTGTTCCCTTTTCTCCACAGCCTTGCCAGCATTTGTTAACTTTTTAGTAATAGCCATTCTGACTGGTGTGAGATAATATCTCATTGTAGTTTTGATTTGCATTTCTGTGATGATTAGGGATGTTGAGCATTTTTTAATATGTTTTTTGACCACTTATATGTCTTCTTTTGAGAAGTGTCTGTTCATGTCTTTTGCCCATTTCTTAATGGGTTATTTGTTTTTTGCTTTTTCAATTGTTTAAGTTCCTTATGGATTCTAGATATTAGACCTTTGTTGGCTCCATAGTTTGCAAATATTTTCTCCCATTCAGTAGGTTGTCAGTTTGCTCTGTTTGTAATTTATTTTGCTGTGCAGAAGCTCTTTAAATTGTTCTCACTTGTCAATTTTTGTTTTTGTTGCAATTGCTTTTGAGGACTTAGTCATAAGTTATTTTCCAAGACCCATGTTTAGAATGATGTTTCCTAGGTTTTCTTCTAGAATTCTTATAGTTTGAGGTCTTACATTAAAATCTTTAATCCATCTTCAGTTAGTTTTTGTGTATGGTGAAAGGTAGAGGTTCAGTTTCAATCCTTATATGGCTAGCCAGCTATCCCAGCACCATTTAATGAATAGGGAGTCCATTTCCCCTTGCTTGTTTTCGTCAACTTTGTAGAAGATCAGATGACTATAGATGTGTGACTTTAGGCACTCTGTTCTGTTCCATTGGTCTGTTTCTGTTTTTGTACCAGTACCATGTCATTTTGGTAACTGTAGTCTTATAGCATAGTTGGATGTTGAGTAAAGTGATGCCTCTGGATCTGTTGTTTTTGTTTAGGTTTGCATTGACTATTTGTGCTCTTTTTTGGTTCCATATGAATTTTAGAATAGTTTTTTTCTAGTTCTGTGAAAAATGACGTTGGTAGCTTGATGGGAGTAGTGTTGAATCTGTAGATTGTTTTGGGCAGTATGACCATTTTACTGATACTGATTCTTCCAATCCATGAACATGGAATGTTTTTCCATTTATTTATGTCATCTATGATTTCTTTTAGCAGTGGTTTCCAATGTTCCTTGTAGAGATCTTTGATCTACATGGTTAGAGAAGTTTTTTCGCAACTATCATAAAAGGGATTGCATTCTTGATTTGGCTCTCAGCTTAAAATTTATTGGTATATAGAAATGGTATACATTTTTGTATATTGATTTTGTATCATGTAACTTTACTGATTTTTTTTTATCAGTTCTAGGAGACTTTTGGCAATCTTTAGGGTTTTCCAGGTACAGAATCATATTGTCAGCAAAGATAGATAGTTTGACTTCTTCTTTTCCTATTTGGATACCTTTCTACACTAAATTATTAACAGCAGAGCTGAATATCATTTTGGAAGTTAAATATCCTGATGGACACAACTCATTATTGCACATTTAGCTAAGTGCAGAAAGAGAAAATTGTTTCAGGAAACAAATCTTGAATTTCTCCCTTGAGTAAAAGGATCCTTTCTGCTTCAGGAGGTTTTATTTATACCAGCAACCCCAAGGGTCTCTCCATCCACTCATTGTTTCTCACAGCCTCAGTTAGCATGCTATGTTAAGAGTACACATTTACATAATTGGCTATTCCTGATTGGAATAGATGTATTTTAACCCATTTTGGGAAGCATGCAATAAAAAACTCGCATTGTAGATTTTTGGAAGCCTAATTGTTTCTTTTTTTCTTTCAAATTTTCTCTCTTTCTAAAAAAATTCCTGTTGCTTCTTCAGTCTTGATGATTTTTTTTCTTGTTTAGTTAATGTGGTTATATTCTCTATGAAACTATTATAGATTTACCCTTTATCTTATTGCCAAGGAGAATGTGTAATTAAATCCTTGATTTAATATATAGATTTTGTGTTCAAGGAATGGCATGGGAAAATTTAATGAAGTCATTTTAGTGAAGCAATTAGCAGTCATTTTGTATGTGAAGCTTAATTGGGAAAATTGGGGGTGACTGTAGAAATAAGATGATGTATGGAAACCTAAATGCTCACTTTCTCTTTTTCTTTTTGCGTTACCTATTACTGCATCACCTACATTGCTCTTACTAGAATGATTTATGTATAGTTCTCCTTGAGAAAAAGTAGGTACCATAGACCATATGTTTTCATAACAATTTTTTTGAGTGTTTAAGTTAGAATCACCAGAAAGATGTACTTGAGATGGCATTCTAGATTGTTAATGTGAAAAAGATGTGTCAAGAGTCATATATAAGATGAAGATTTCAAATGATAGGTGTTTAGTTTCTATGTAGAGCTTTTGCTGCCCTCCACAACTACATCAAAAGATATATTTCAAGTCCCCTTGGTCAGCTCTTCTGAGGAGATTTTACACAAAAGCCCCTTAATTGGCTGTCAGTGAGTAGCACCTAGCTCTTTTCCTGTCCATAAGATGTGGGAGAAAAAAAAGAGAGACATAAACTCAACAATATAATATTGTTGGAAATTATCTTATAGACACAAGCTTTGATTCCACATCTGCAGACTTGTGACTAGAGGGCAAGGATCCCCCTCCCCTTCCTTTCACCATTACTCTAAAGCTGGTCTCAATTCAAGATAAAAAGAAAGTTCTAAACTTTAAGATTATTTTAATATCAAAGGGAGATGATGAAAACGGCATTTCCATCCAAATTATAAGCTTATGTTTTCTTTTTAAATTAAATATGCTTAAAAAGCCAATCTCCAAATTTTAGCACAGATGCTCACAAAGAATAGAGGCAATGGTTATTTAGCCAAGGGGGTTAATAATTAAGTGTTTTATTAAGCTGGCCTAATTTACATTTTAATTCAAAAAGCATATTATAAATTAAAAGGAAAAAGCGTGTTTCTAAAAAAATGTCAAAAATCAAATATCAAAATAAAGATCAATCCTTTGAATTTGGTTCAAAAATTTTTGAGATGAGTAAGATATAGTAAGAGGACTGTGTGATAGGAACATATTTCTGAAATCCTTATCCAATTTTTTTCTTTAAATATTTTCTATTTTCTCTCCTAGCTAGGAGAGATAATTTTGATAGATAGCTGGAACTCGTTGTTTCCTAGATTTTTTTTCAGTTTAAAATTCCTAAGACCCAAGTTGTAAGAAAAATAGATGGCATGGATTTGGAGAGAATGGAATTTTCTTTGGAAGACAGAAAACATCTTTTTGGGCTAAGAAAGAGAAAGACTCTGCAACCTGGACAGAGGGACCCTGAGCACTGCTTCTTGGGCAGTGCCACGTAGGTAATAGAACACCAGATGGATCTGGCAGGCACTAGAAGAGAGCTTGAAATCTGTTATGGCTGTATTCCATTAAGATCCTGGACCACTACTTCTGCACAGAAGCAGAAGAATGGTTCCCATGCTCTGGAGTAGAGCTTCTTCAGAAGTAGTGAAGACACAGTTCTAAAAAGCCAAGCAGACAGCAAAGAGGCCTGTCTTCAGGGATCCAACTGAGTGCCCAAAAGGACAATGAATGGTTCAGTGTATGTTTATGTAGTATTAAGGCTGGAAGAATCAGACGAATGCCATGTACTACACCAAGTCTTCATACTCAGTACTAAAGATGAGAGGGAGAGGACATGGCAAACTGATGGAAATGAAGCTTCTGTCATCTGACACAGTGGGAGTTCAAAATGGAAATTTAGTTGAATTATACCCAATAAAGTTATAACGTCTCACTTACCTGAGAGTGTGGATTGAGATTTATGCTCACGATATTTGAAAATGATGGGGGAAGATGGAGATGAGTACCACAATATCAACTGATTTCTATCACTTTATCACTGTTAGCTGAAGTTAAAGAAGAATAGTTCCTTTCTCTAACAAGAACATAACTCTCTTTGATAGCTGTTTGAAAGGATAGTCTGCATCAGTATAATGGCAAGAATTTTTAAAAGTTCCTTAAGGTTCTTTGTCTCTATGTTCTGCTGTGAGATACTTTGCTGCCAGAAGCCTGCTGTCAACAAGGCATCAACATTTTTTCTTCTCTTTCATTTTCTTAATTCAGTTTGCTTATTTATTGGGGCTGTCTTCCGTTTTATCACCCAGAAACTAAGTAATATTTTAAAATATATCTTTGCTATGATATAGACTGTATAATACCTTGAAATTAGTTTACCTGCTTCTCCAAGTTTCCATTTTTATCCTTTAATATGTGTTATTTGCATTTCCTTAAAGTTTTATTGACATTTAACTTTTCCCTTTACTTTTTTCTCTTTTAAATTCATCTTTGCTTTACTTGTTATTGTTCACTTCTGTTGTAATTTTTTTCTTTTTTGTAGCTTTGTGTTTTGAATATATTGTTAATTTTTATTTTTATCTTAGTTTTAATTTTAGTTCCTATATTATTTTTTTCTCTAAAATATTTTATCCTGGTAGTTATGTGTACCTTTTCATGGTCTTAAGATTCAATTTCTTTATTCTTTGACATTTATCCTATTATTTTATTTTATATTGTCTTCCTTTCTCTTAAAGAAAGTATGACTTATTTTCTAAATAGCAATATAAGAAGCAGAGTTCAGAGCACGGAAGCAGTGAAGAACACTGAACAGAGGTTGGAAGGTTGAAGTTGAATGAGGTGATATTATTATCTGATTAAGTAGATGTTTGCTGATATTAACATAGCATTTTTGCAGGTTAAAATTATTGTAGTCTTATGATTTAGGGTTTCGGAAATAAACAGTTGTCTGTTTGTTCATGAACTGGAGCAGACCCTCAAATTTATTTTTGGGGAAAATCTCTTGGACTTTTGACTCACTCTTATTCTACAACAGGATGCATTATATACTTAATGAGCTTTCCAACTCTCCAAAAAGAATAGCAATACTAGCTGAAAATGAAAGTATTTAGATCCTTCTTTGGAAAAAATCCTCTTTGATGAGCAACTTGAAAACGTATGCCGACATTTGAAATATGCACAGAACAATTCCACATTGAAGAACGGAGATAAAATTCTATGGAAATTTCACAAAATACTTATTATGTTATTTAGCAGGGCATTTCATTTTCTTCTTTGGGTATATATGATGTGTATGTTAAAAAAGAGCAAGTTGGTCCTCTGGTTCCAGCAACATAAAAGATTGAACTTCTGATGCCCCTTGCTCATTGCAAACAGGAAATTCAGGATAAAAATGCATATTTTAAAAAATTTTCAAAATATCTTTGGGAAAGCATCTCTAGGAGCCAACAACATAAAAGAGGCAAGTCAATGAGGTGATGACATGGTGGTCTTCGTAGGATTTTAGTCTAAGATATAAGACTAAATATTTGGGGATAACAATTTAAAAACACATGTAGCGAGAAAAGTTGTATCCTTGGAACCTATTTCTATAGAGGTCACTGGGTAGATTAAGTTAAAAGAGAGAGGACTTAATGCAGATTTAGAAATAGTTTCTAGGGAAGGGATAGTATAAAGCCTTACAATTACAAGTGTTCATTGTCATTATAGATAAGCCTTTTAAAGGTCACTTTAAAAAGTTAGAAAAGGGTTTTGGGAAAATGTTGAAGTGATATAATTTTTGAGTCTTCCAGAATTCCTCTATAAATAATACTGCATTAAATTATTTTCTCACATTTTCCCTTTTAAAAGTGATTCTACTCAGTTACCTCTATAGGAATAAGTTGAGGGATACAACTCCTCTCTCTACATGTGATTTTTATTTTTATTTATTTATTTTTTTGAGATGGAGTCTCGCTCTGTTGCCCAGGCTGGAGTGCAGTGGTGTGATCTTGGCTCACTGCAACCTCCGCCTCCTGGGTTCAAGTGATTCTCCGGCCTCAGCCTCCTGAGTAGCTGGGATTACTGACACCCACCACCACACCTAGCTAATTTTTCTATTTTTAGTAGAGACAGGGTTTGCCCATGTTGGCCAGGCTGGTCTCGAACTCCTGACCTCAGGTGATTTGCCCACTTTGCCCCCACCAAAGTGCTGGGATTACAGGTGTGAGCCACCAAGCCTGTCTCCCTACATGTGATTTTTGTTATTCCCAAATATGTGGTCCCATATCTTTGACTGAAATCCTGGCAAGGCTACCATATCATCACTTCATAGACTTACCATTCTGGCTTTAGTTTTTTTTTTTTTTTCTATGTTATTGGCTCCTAAATTTTTTTTTTTTCAGCTGACCAGCAACTAGGATTGTTACTTTGGGTGAAAAAGGACAATATCTACAGTAGTAGGAGACAAGGTATTACAAGACCCACAAATTAGAGGAGGTAAAGAAATTATGACATTGCAAAATCCCAGTGGGCAGGCAGAAAGAAGAAACAAACAAGAGTATTCCAAAGTAGTAAACAGCAACTTACTGGAAAGTACTACAGGCCAACTTGAGAACAGCAGCTGAAATTGGAAAAAGTTTTTACCCACACCAATTTGAAGATGAGTACAAGGGATACGGTAAGGTCTGAAAAGGCCAGAGCAGCTCTATAAACTTTCAAAATGAAACACAAACGTCTGAGAAACCTACAGGAATAAAGTTCAAATTAGGCAGAGCAGTGAGAGTGGGAGCAGAAAGCAAAAGTTGAGGGAGGGGAACAAAGCCAGAAGATTGTCAAAAAGTCAGAGGCTATAGCTGCTTAACACTTCATTAAACCTATAGGGCAGAGTTCTAGATTAGTGTTGCCAAAAGAAGTTGCATTCCACCCATTCATTCTATAAGTTAAGGAAAAATAAGTTGAATTTGATATGAAGTTATTATAAGAAAGAGAGAGAGAATAAGGAGCATACTAATGTCCTTACACACAATTGAAGCCAGAGAGACATGTTCATAAAACAAAAAGTATAACCTGAAATCTTAATATTTCAAAATGAGCTAAAAATTAAGAAAGTGATAGATGATATGAAAGAATAAAATAACTTAGACATAAGATGTTAGAAGTCAGGAAAGAATTAGTAATCAAAGGAAAAAATAATTTCAGAAATGATGACTAATTTGAATAAACACAAAAATAAACACAACAAATAATACCCGAAGATAAATAGAAAAAAATAAAATGCAGGAAGGGAAAATAATTTTTTAAAAAGTGAAAGATAAAGAAGATAGGCAGAAAAGACTGAACATGAGTATAATAGGAACTTCTGAATAAGAAAACCAAAACAATGGGAATAAAAACAAATACTAAAACTATAACTTAAGAAAATAGTTTTCCGAGGCGGGCAGATCACGAGGTCAGGAGTTTGAGACCAGCCTCACCAACATGGTGAAACCCCACCTCTACTAAAAATACAAAAATTAGCCAGGTGTGGTGGTACATGCCTGTAATCTGAGCTACTCAGGAGGCTGAGGCAGGAGAATCGCTTGAACCCGGGAGGCAGAGGTTGCAGTGAGATGAGATTGAGCCACTGCACTCTAGCCTGGGTGACAGAGCGAGACTCCGTCTCAACAACAAAAAAAAAAAAAAAAAAAAGAAAGAAAAAAATAGTTTTGAAATTAAAAACAAGTCAAAAGTGCATATTGAAAGAGCTCACTATTTATATATTTATATGACAAACTTGGCATAGAAATATGTTATTTAAAATATGCACAAAGCAAGGCATTTTATAGTAATGGACTATAAAGAAAAAGAAAAGGAAACAAAATAAATTGAAAACTAGGCAAAAAGCCCAAGACATTTATCAGGAAAAGTAACACAGTGTCATCAAACTTTTTGATAGGAATGCTGTTTGCCAGAAAACAATAGAGTAGCATATTGGAAGATAATAAAAGAAAGCGTGAGCCAATGGCTTTATGTCCAGCCCAGATGACTTTCTGTTTAAAAACTGCACACAAACCATTATAAACATGCAATAATTTAGGTGATTTTTTTTGAGAAATCTAAAGAATGAGCTTCAGGCTAATTCTTCAACAATAAAGAATGAAGAAAAATTTACATAAGTAATGGTGGTAAGTACTGAATATGTAATTACATGTAGAATTTCAACTAGATGGTAATTATATGACAGAGTGTAATATGTAATGGCTATATACTCTGAAAATAATTTCATAGTACAACTTTCAAAATATTAGGGGAAAGTAGGGAAAACACGAAAAGTAGGAAAAGCTTACTGTTTACTTCATAGTTATTATTTGAGAGTAAATTAATATAATTTGAAACCAGATGTTGGAGAGATGCAGGGAAAAGAACAAAAGAGGGTATTACCTCTTAATATGGCTCATAGTAAGAACCAAATAAAAAATAACCAAAAAAGGGGAAAGTGCTATATCTGTTACAAAATATAAGAAATTAATATATAAGTGTTGAAGGCAAACTGTTAATCATATTAAAAAAATAAAATGGGATTAATTTATCTATTAATTTTTTTGATTGGTAAACAAAACAACATCCAACACTGTATTATATAAGAAGCACATCCAAAACAAAGAGATTTGGAGTGGTTTAAAATAAACTAATTGTTAAAGCTATATCAGGAAAATAAAAATACAAAGAAAGGAGTGGCTAAAATATTGCTATCTGACTAGGTAGAATTCAAACTGGAAAATAAGAAGAGATGAAGATACTTTGTAACGCTAAATGTTAAAACACAATGAAAATAAAGCAGTTATTCATATTTAAAACACAGAAGCATCTTTCACACTACAGGAGATTGAAGGGGAAAGAGAAGCAGTAATACTAGAAAATTTTAACACACTTTTAAAATCCAAATCAGATGAATTAGACTAAAAATTAGTGATGATATAGAACAGGGTCATCAAGTATTTTCTATGAAAGGCCTGACAGTAAATATTTCAGATTTTGTGAGCCATACTGTCCCTGTTGCTTCTGCTCAACTTTGATGTTGTAGTGCAAAAGTACTCAGAGACAATACATAAAGAAACAAGAATGGCTATTTTCCAATATTTTATTTAGTTTGCTAACCCTGATATAAAAAACCTAAATAACATCATCAAATAAACTTTATGTATGTATGTATGTATGTGTAATTGTGCCTATAACAACATATATGCATATGTATCTTTCAGTGAAATCAGATTATAGCTATCTAATCAAATATGTGTGTGTGTGTGTATATATATATATATATATATATATATATATATATGTATGTATTTTTAACAGTATGGGGAACACTCACAAAAATTGACCTTAATTTAAACCATAGAAAAATCCATGAATTCCAAAGGTTAGGCTTAATGCGGGACCATTTTCTTACCATAGTGCAATAAAACTAGAAATTAATGACAGAAAGCCACCACAAACATTTTAACACCTGCAAACTTATGAAATTAAATCCTACATCCATAAGACTAAAAAATGAACAATAAAGAATTAAAAAAAAACAATTCAACACGTTAGAAATTAAAACACAAAAAGTGCTCAACATTACTAATCATTAGAGAAATGTAAATCAAAATCAGAACGAGATATCATCTCACACCAGTCAGAATGGCTATTATTAAAAAGTCAAAATATAACAGATGCTGATGAGGTTGCAGAGGAAAGGAAACACTTATATTCTGCTGGTAGGAATGTAAATCAGTTAAACCACTATAAAAAGCATTTTGGCAATTTCTCAAAAAACTTAGAATTACCATTCAATCCAGCAATCCCATTATCAGGTATATATCCAAAGGAATATAAATTGTTCCACCATAAAGACACACACATGTATGTTCATCACAGTACTATTCACAATAGCAAAGATATAAAATTAACCTAGATGCCTATCAACAGTAGACTGGATAAAGGAAATGTGGTACATATACACCATGAAATATTACGCAACCATAAAAAAGAACAAAATCATGTCCTTTTTAGCCACATGGATGGAGCTGGACACCATTATCCTAGGCAAACTAATTCAGAAACGGAAAAAAGAAATACCACATGTTTTCACCTATAAATGGGAGCTAAACATTAAGTACACACAGACATACAAAAGAGAACAATAGACATGGGGGCCTACTTGAGGGTGGAGAGTGGAAGGAGGGTAAGGATCGAATAACTACCTATTGGGTACCATGCTTATTACATGGGTGAGGAAATAATCTGTACACCAAACCCCCATGACACATAATTTGCCTGTGTAACAAATCTGCACGTCCCCCTGAAACTGAAAGTTTTTTTTTTAAGATGTGCAAAAGTTCTGAAAAAACTCCTCACTTAGAAGATACACAGATGGCAAATAAGCATATGGAAAGATGCCCAACATTACATGTCACTAGATTATTGCAAATTAAAACAATGAGATACCACTACCCACATACTAGAATGGGTAAAATTCAAAATACTGACAAGACCAAACCACTGGCAAGGATGTGAAACAGTGGGAACTCTCATTCGTTGCTGGAGGGAATGCAAAATGGTATAGTCACTTTAGAAGGCAGTTTGGCAGTTTCTTACAAAGCCAAACAGTCTTGCCATACAATCCAGCAATTGGACTTTGAAGTATTGATCCAATTTAGTTTAAAACTTATGTCCATACAAAAACCTGCACAGATGTTTATGGCATTGTTACTCATAATGGCTAAAAATTGGAAGCAACTAAGGTGTCTCTCAATAGGGGAGTAAATAAAGGAACTGTGTTAAATCCACACAACAGGATATTACTCATCTCTTAAAAAAAATGAGCTATCAAGCCATAAAGAGACATGGAGGAAACTTTAATACATGTTGTTAAGTGAGAGAAGCCAATCTGAAAAGGCTATACTATATTATATGATTCCAACTATATTATGTTCTGGAAAAGGTAAAACTATAGAGACAGGAAAAAAAGATTAAGTGGTTGCCAGGGGTTGGTAGGTAGGTAGAGGGATGAATAGGTAAAGTACAGACAATTTTTAGGGCAGCAAAAATTATTCTGTATGTTGCTGTAATGGTGGATACATGACACTAACATTTGACAAACCTATGTAACTGCACAACACAAAGAGTGAACCCTTGATGTCAACTATGGATATTCATTAATAATAATGTAGCAATATTGGTTCATTAGTTTCAACAAATGAACCACATGAATGCAAGATATTAATCACAGGAGAGATTGTGTGTGAGAGAAGGGTTATATGAGGACTCTTCTCTTTAAATTTTCTATAAACTTAAATTTTCTCTAAAAATAAAGTTTATTAAAAAAGAAAAAAATAATAAAATAAATGCAAAAATCAACAAGTCAGAAGACAGAAATACTATAAAACTAAAAGCTGGGTTTTTGAAAAATAAAACAATAAAATAGATAAGCTACTAACCAACCTAATTTTAAAAAATGAGGGAGAAATGGTAAATATAACACAATTAGGACAAAAGAGAAATAATCATGGACACAGAAAAAATTAAAATAACTTAAAGCAACTACTTACAATAGCTCTATGGAAATAACTTTGAAAATGTAAACTAAGTAGATGAGTTTTTAGAAAAAAATGCAGGTGACTAAAATTGACCCCAGTGGAGACAGTCTACACAGACAAATGATCTTAAATAGAGAAAGTAACTGAATACACCCCCATAAAGAGAAGATCTCCAGATTGTTTCATGGAAGAATTCAACCAAGTCTTTAATAATAACATAATTATAATGCTACTTAAATTATTTCAAATCATGAAAGAGAAAAAAATTAGAATTTATTTTTATGAAGTAGGTATTACATTGATCTCCAAAGCTGACCATGCTATACCAGAAAAGAAACAACAGACTAGTCATATGAATTTTGGATACAATAGTCTTAAATAAAACTAAATACTAATGAACAGACTCCATTGGTACATTTAAAAAGAAGTATGAACAAGTGGGTTTCATATTAGAAAAAACATCAAGAGTTCATCCTGTTAATAAAGCAACACTACAAAATCATTTTGATTATTTCCACAGATGCAGAAAAGGCAACATCAAAGGACATTGGTGTCAAGAACAATCAGTAAAATGAATTGATGGATACTTCTGTAATATGATAAAACACATACCTATAACATAACTCTACCTTAGGATCCAGAAATTCCATTAAATAATCATCAACAGATATTGTTGTAGATTCATTCAATAGACTATTGTGCAGTAGTTAATAGGAACTAGCTAGGGCTAAATAGACTGGCTATGCACTTACCTGCTAATTTCTATCTGTGTGACCTTGGCAAATCTGCTTAATTTCCCTGAGCTTTGATTTGGTGTTTCTATCTGTAAAATGGAGATAATGATATCTACCTTCCAGTGCTGCAGTAAGAATTAGAATTAACATATGTGTAAAGCTCTTTGCACAGTGTGAAACCTGGCAGGCACTCAGATGATGATCTGAGAAGTGCACTAATGCTGCCAAGTTTATTTAACTAGGTTATAGCAAGCGGATTAAATAGAGCTTTAATAATAAGGTAAAAGTTACCAGATCCTTTTCATAATGTTGCCTTAGCTGAAATTCATATCTCTTATTGCTTGAATTACAACAACCTCCTGTCTGATCTTCTTGACTCCAGTCTTTCTTCTTATCAAAGTCTGGATGTATAGGGGGAACAGGAGAAAATCAAAATGTGATGTCAAGATTCTAAAATCAGAGGGTTGTGAAATCAATTTAGTAGGCCAAAGCCAGAATTTTAAACAATAAAATAGATTAGAAAATGTCAGTGCATTCTATATAGTAAAATTACATGCTCTTTTGTGAAACTATTTTTTTAAGTTCTATTTCTATGTATGCCTACCGAATTTTGATGTGAGAGCATTTACTGTGGGTGACAAAGTTTGATAGTCTCGGCATATTGTCCATTCTCTATAAGTCAGCTGGAGTGATCTACTCTACTTGACAATATGTCAAGCCATTAGTTTTCAAAGAAGTGACATCTTGTCGGTAATGAAGATCCCTTTAGATAGGTTGCATATGGATCTAATATAAATAAAATATATTATTACTCTTCAAATATGGATCTCCTAGGTTTTAGGCCATTTTTACTTTACAATTTCCCTCTCATTTCCTGCCTTTTGATCATTTCTTTATAGTTAGCAGCTTTGTAAGAGCAGTATTATAGGGAGAACAGAGGAGAATCAAAACGTGATGTCAAGTTTCTAAAATTTATAAAAATGACTGTTAAGTACTACTCAGCACTTACTGTGTTGGAATTATAAGAAGGAATTACAAGAAGTTCTGCTATCTTGTCATTATGACATCATTATCATTATCATCATACATTATCTCATTAAATCCTCACACCAACCCTACAAGCCTAAGGTGGAGGAATTAAAATCTGGCAAAGTAATCTGCCACAATTGTGTAATTCAAGCTGGTTTCTCATTTTTATATTTAAAATGACAAAAGTGGGGTCACAGCAAAGGTGGAAATGAGGGGCTAAATTGAAAATTTAAGTTGAATTTTGTAGTTGATTTATCAAAAAAAAAAACAAAACAAAAAACCTTCCTGTCCATGGGTTATAGAGAATAGTCTGGACAATGGATATCATGCTGTACCTCACAGTGTTTTTACTTTGTCTGGTACATTTTGCTGTACCATTGAGAAATTAATAAGAATTAAGAAACTAATATCACTCACTCATTCATCTTTTAGGGACATTTAGAAACATGTTAAGCAAATAAGAAAAATGAAAATCATAGTCAATTAAGGAGTTAGGCATGTAAGTGAAAGGTACAGCCTTGCAGTTAAAGATAGAACTGCTATGAACATGCAAACCTAAGAGAAAAGATTGATCATTTAAGCCTTTAACTCCCCTGGAGCAATCAGAGAAGACTTTCTGAAGAGATGGCACTTGAACTGAGTATTGATGGATGAACAAGAGATTGCCAATTGAATTCTTACGGGCACGTTGAAAAATACAGAGCCTGTGGCAGAAGTGGCTCCAAAAGGCTGCAGCAAAGAGCAAACATCTGGAAAGCTGATAAAAGCAGTAGCCAGGTGATCAGAGCTAGAGCATGACAACTCCCTTGATGCTTCCTGTTCCCCAGCCTTTAAAATCTTTGAAATGAACTTGCTTTATAACCACTGATGGAAGTATGGTGGTGGGAAATAAAGGAAGTATTTGGAATGAAGAAGTTTGACAACTGTTCTGAAGTACTGTGTGCCTCATCATTTTCAGATTCAATTTCTTTTTTCGTTGAATGAGGCACAGTCATAACAATTCCATTACTCCGGACATTTACAGTTCATTCCCAGATAATATGATAAGGATTATCCTCCTGCTGCCCTGCATCCCCGCTCCACTGCTTTTGAACTCTTGACAATAGCATTGTCAGGAGACCAAAGGCATATCATTAATTACCCTTAAATTTCTTGGAAGTACTCATTTGAGGGAAAGCCCTAAAGGATCTTTCAGCTATTTGTTTTTGGACACAATAAATAATGGAGAAGAATAAAATCAAGAATAGGACCTGTTTTACTTTTCCAGATCCCCTTGGCTCAAGTGTAAAAGAAACCACAGACGGAAGCCCACAGATGGAGGCTCCTGATCATACAGCTGCGTCTTTGTTGGTACAGAAAACCAATTGTGGGTAGGAGCCATGGAGGAAGAGACAATATTAGAATGCAATGGCATTTTAATTATACTTACCATAATTCTAATGTTCTCTTCTGTGGTGAAGTGTTTGGGGAGTTGTCTTGAAACTAGAATCCAATCCTGCAAACTTCAATCCATTAGAGCGGTGCTGTTTGGAAATATACAGAGAAGCAAGTTTGAAAGATTTTCCAATAATCTCGCTTTGTAGTGTTTAGACTTCCTCTGATGACTGGAGAGGAGAAGGAAGAGAGAAAGCCAGGAGATTAAGTGGCCCATTTCTGTTCCTTAGGGATGTCCACTGGAGAACAAGCTTAACTCCTTGAACTATTTAAACTGCCTCTGAACATTCTTACAGAAGCCTGGTATACTGGACATGAATCCTATTTTCCCGAAAGAGGTAATATAGCTCTAAGCTAGTGGTACCATTCCTATTTTCCAGGACTGGAAACTTCAGAGCCAATTAAGTAGGCTACCTACTAAGAGTCATACTGAATTTCATTTCATAGGTATTTATGAGCCTACTATGTTCCAGGCACAGGGGTGAGTGAAAGAGATGCTGGTCTTGCCCTCCTGGAGCTTGTTGTCTAGTAGGAAAAACATATATTAAGCTAATGAATTAATTACATGGCAACACTTGTGATAAATGCAAAGTAAAGAGGGATATGAGAGCACGTAAGAGTGGGACTAGAAATGGATGAAGGGGTCATCGGAGGCTATCCTGGCTAACATAAGCCTTTTGTACTGAACAGATTACACAGTTTAAAAGAGAGGGAAGCAAGCTTCAAGTAGAGGTAACAGGATGTGTGAAGACTCAGTGGCTGAAAAGAGTGTGATTTAAACCACAATCTTCAAAGTGTGAAGGAAGCAGACTCATTTTACGTGGCTGAAACAGGAGAAAGAGAGAGATGGGGGGAGGTGCCACACGGTTTTAAACAACCAAATCTCATGAGCAGTCACTATCATGAGAGCCACGCTGAGGGGGAAATAAGGCAGGGAAGACTGGGGTGACTGGAGTACAGAGAGCTAGCACATGAGGCCAGGAAGGGGTGGAGATTAAACTGGAGAGCCCTGTGATAAGGTCTGGGTCTGTGTGCACCCAGCCCAAATCTCATGTCAAATTGTAATCCCTAGTGTTGGAGGTGGGGCCTGGTGGGAGGTGATTGGATCATGGGGGTGGATTTCCCCCTCAGTGTGGCTCTCATGATAGTGAGCGCTCATGAGATTTGGTTGTTTAAAACTGTGTAGCACCTCCGCCATCTCTCTCTTCCTCCTGCTCCAGCCACAAAAGATGAGTCTGTTTCCTTCACCTTCCGGCATGATTGTAAGTTTCCTGAGGCCTCCCAAGTCATGCTTCCTATAGAGCCTGTGGAACCATGAACGAATGAAACCTCTTTTCTTTATAAATTACCAGTCTCAGGTATTTCTTTACAGCACTGCAAGAATGAACTAATACACCCTGTAAGCCGTACTAATGATATTTCACTTTATTCTAAGATTCTAAGATGGGAAACCAACAACTTTAAATGCTCTGACCTGAGCATTTTTGAAAGGTCTATTTGGTGATTGTGTATAGGTTGATTTGGAAGGTGGCAGGTGTGGAAGGAGTTTTAGTTAAGAGGTGTTTGTGGCAGTGGTGATGGAGAGAATCTCACACATTCAAGAGAGGTTTAAGAATGATGTTAGCAAGGTTTGGTGACCGATTTGATATGATCTATGAAAAAGGAAGTGGTGGCAGGGCACAGTGGCTCATGACTGCAATCCCAGCACTTTGGGAGGCCAAGGCAGGTGGATCACCTGAGGTCAGAAGTTGGAGACCAGCCTGGCCAACATGATGAAACTTCATCTCTACTAAAAATATAAAAATTAGCCAGGTGTGGTGGTGCATGCCTGTAATCCCAGCTACTCAGGAGGCTGAGGCAGGAGAATTGCTTGAACCAGGGAGGTGGAGTTTGCAGTGAGCAGTGAGCCGAGAGATCAGGCCACTGCACTCTAGCTTGGGTGACAGAGTAAGACTCCCTCTCAAAAAAAAAAAAAAAAAAAGAAAGAAAAGAAAAAGGAAATGGTTCAGGGTGACCCTAAGTTTTCTTAATAAATGAGTAGATATTTGGTTGTACATTTGCTGACATTAAGACTCAAGAGAAGGACCAAGTATGGAGAATGAGTGCTGGGAAGAAAAACTGTGAGTTTGAATTTGGGCAGTAGAACTTAGGGTGCTTCCAAAAGACCAGGGCCACTGAAGGGTGATAAACCTGAGCTTGGGATCCCCATTCTGCTGTTTACTATCCATGACAACTTAGGCAAGTTTCAAAATAACCTTATACATCAATTTCCCGATCTGTAAAATGGGAATAAGAATAACAGTACCTTCACTGAGTTGTGAAGAACAAGTGAGAATACATACCAGACTGGTAACTATCCATGGGGCCAGGAGTGGGATGAGGTGGTCTAGGAAGGGGAACATTGGGTAAATTGAGATGGCTCTTCCTCTTTGTTATTAGTTAAATTTATATAAGAATCTATGTTATTACATATACACTTAGAAATGAATACAATAATATATGAAAAGAATATAAAAGGCTATATAAAAATATCCATGTATAGCACTCAGCCTGGCACTTGGAGAACAGTCAATAAATGTGATCTCTGTGTAGATAAAAGGGACCTGGAGTTCAGAGAGAGCGCTGGTCTAGAGGTGTGCATTTAGTAGTTCTTGCCATTCTAATGATAACAAGAGCTGTGGGAGTTGATGAAATCATCTCAAGAGAGAACATTGGGTTAAAGGGGGACAAGGGTTGAATGTTGAGGAATTTCAACTATTAAAGATCAAGTGGAGAGGAATGAATCAGCAAAGGAATCTTAGAAGGGGCAGCCAGCAAGGCAGGAGGAAATCTCTGTCCATGTACTCAAGGTACACTTACATTCAGAAGAGGTCAATGGTATGGCATGCTGTCACAAGCTCTAATAAGTGGAAACCTGCGAAGTGTGCTTTGGATAAGCAGACTCTTTGGATAATCAGGCAACAAGCTTTTGTTTCAGTTGTCTGGTTCTTTATTTTAAATCAAATCTTGGCTTCTGTCCTGGAAACGGGGCCAGTCAGCTGGTGTAGGCTGAATTCATATTTCTTACAGATTCTCTGTCTATAGGGAGGGGTGCTTAAAAGTGAGTTTGCCGATGTCGAAGAGGAAAACAAAATGGTACAAAGAAAAGGAATCTCAGTCCAGGCACAGTGGCTTACGCCTGTAATCCCAGCACTTTGGGAGGCTGAAGCGGGAGGATCACTTGCGGTGAGGAGTTCAAGACCAGCCTGGCCAACATGTTGAAAACTCATCTCTACTAAAAATACAAAAAAATTAGCTGGGCATGGTTGCACGTGCCTGTAATCCCAGCTACTCAAGAGGCTAAGGCAGGAGAATCACTTGAACCCAGGAGGTGGAGTTTACAGTGAGCCGAGATTGTGCCACTGTATGCTCAGCCTGGACTACAGAAAGAGACTCCATCTCAAAAAAAAAAAAAAAAAAAAAAAGATTCTGTTCATTCCATTATTTCTATGCTGGTCAATTTATAACCTTTAATGTTTTTCAACAAAAATAGTTTATTTTCTCAAATTCTTATTCTATAGACAGCCATCTCTCTAATTTTCTTTCTTTTTAATAAAAATGGGCACATTTCCCCCTTATTGTTGGAAAAAAGATGATTGACCTTCATAAAAAAGAGGTGAGTCTTGTTTATAATATTACAACAAAAAGTTATAATAAAGCTAGTTCATTTCAGATAAGTGGAAAACTTCCAAAGGGAGGGAGGAGTTAAATTCTATGTTCTGTTGTTTAATTCTATACAGTTTTGTTTTAAGAGACTAAAAATGCTAATTTGTATTAGGAAATAAAATAACCCTAAACACACCATGGGGAGACTGAGAAATGAAAGACATAAATGGGTGGCAATGAATTCGTAGCTCAAGATGGCATTCTGAATGGCAGGAGTCAGAGCTCCACATTCTGCTTAGATCCTGAGCCACAGTGGTGGAGGGAATGAGGGTTAAGATGCTTTAAGCAGCCCATCCTACTCTGCTTCAGTTCTGCACATTCAGGGTGCCCGAGAGCACAGGGCTAAAGTCCTGTGTTTTGCACCTTTAACCTCATACTGGTCTGTATTGAATTCCAGGCAAGTTGTTTACTTCTATGAACATCACTTTCCTAATCTGTGATTTGGTGATAATAGTCTTGCCATCCTCATAGGCTGTTAGGAGGAATGGATAAATTAATTCAGGCATAGCTCTTGGTATATACAAAACTTCCATGTAGTGTAGTCCATTTTTTTTTTTTTTCTTGAGACGGAGTTTCGCTCTTGTTGCCCAGGTTAGAGTGCAATGGTGCTATCTTGGCTCACTGCAGCCTCCACCTCCCGAGTTCAAATGATTCTCCTGCCTCAGCCTCCCAAGCAGCTGGGATTACAGGCACCTACCACCACACCCAACTAATTTTTGTATTTTTAGTAGAGACAGGGTTTCACCATGTTGGCCAGGCTGGTCTCGAACTCCTGACCTCGTGATCTGCCTGTCTTGGCCTCCCAGAGTGCTGGGATTTCAGGTGTGAGCCACCGTGCCCGGCTGTGTAGTCGATATTCTTAAACATGAGAATTATCTCAGTAGAATGGTTAATTTGCTCATTTTCATCTGTCTTAAATTTATATAAGAAATATCCTTCTTTTCTCCCTAATCTATTCCCAAATTTTAATATTGGCTTTACAAACATTACAGATATGCCCCTCAATTGACAAAGTTATGCAAAACAAATTTTTTATTTTGCTCAAATTTAAGTTGATTTTTATTTTGAGATCTTATTTGTCTAGGGAGGTAGAAATTTAGTCCCGTCGATTTGGGAATCTCTCTTCTCCCTTTTTCCCCTCCTTTCCCTGGGGTTTTAAGTAAATCTGTCAAGCATCTATAACAGTGAAACTTCGGAAGGAGGGACATTCATCCTTAAATATGCAAGAAGTGGCTTTTCTAGGTCCATGCTCTGGCCCAGTCCTGGTCATCCATCATCAGTAGTCCCACTGGGAAGTGGTTTTTGTTTGTTTTGTTTTTTTCTGCATGATTTCATCATGTCTGATGTCTCCCTAATGGCATAGGTGCCAGCCTGTGGGACCCCTTCCCTAGGTTAGGGAAGCCATGCTTTCTTCCAGCTTCTTCTCATTATTTGGTTTTACTCTGATCTTCCAGGGTCTCCTAAAATCTTTGGTTTTTATAGTATTAAAATCAAAGACTTGTGTTACTTCTGCTCTCTCACCTGTCACCTTCCTTCTTTGTAGCAATGTCATGCAAAGCCACTTACATACCTGGTGAGAGAATAGAGAAGGGGACTCCCAGACAGGGAAAGACTGAAGGCCAGTACCTCACACGGACTGCCCTGGCCCTTGCATTTACAGATAGGCTGTGGAAGTCCGTGCTGTCAACCGTGGAGCACACAGAGAGGACAGGTAGTAAACGAAATGTTGTACAGAATTTATTATGTATACACAGCTCAGCAGAAAGATGTTTTAAAAGTGCAAGTTTTGTTTTTCTTAGAATGGACCCCAACAGTATATACTGACTTAATGAATTTTAAAATATCCCATAAGTAATACAAGAAGGCTCATTACACAGCCTAGTGAGAGGAATCCTGAAGCTAAAATTGACACACCTATATCAAAGAGACAGATGAGGCCCAAACATTACAAATGCTTTGGAAAAATACACTCATTTTATTTGGTGTTTGTGCTTTGACTAAACATCTGACTCTGCTTTTTCAGCATTAGAAGACTTTTTCTTTACTTTTTCTGGACCCAATAATTCTACGAATTTAGCAAGAGAGAAAACAAATGTTTTCCTTCACCCACTATGGTCTGCTCTTATAATGTGGCTTTCCTGTTTCCTGTTTACTTTTTGCATTAACAGTAATTGGAGGGAAAATAAAATCAAAATTTGGTTTGTATAGGGGACAAAAGGGTTCAGACGCGTTATTTACCTACTCAACTGAAGCAGACCTTGGTGGCCATCTGGTACGCCATATTTTTGGGTAATTAACATGCATCCACACTTCTATTTTGTTTCCTTTCTGAAGTGAATCTGAAAATGTGTGCTAACAGACTGTCTGTAACACAAAGGAGCCAATGTTAAAAAATGATTATACTCATCTCCTTTTAAAAAACAATGAAAAAAAAAAAAAACCCCACAAACTTTGTTTTGCCACCAAAGGCAGAAGCTGCCTTCCAAGCTGCCAAAGACTATGGGTCCCAGACGGAATTGCTTGTTCTCTTTAGTCACCACATTTGGTGAGCAATGTTGTAGGCCCAGTATTCCCCCTTCCTTTCCATCACACTTGTCATCCAGAGCCTTCGGGGGAACATTTACATGATCAAATGTTCACACGGCCACAGTGGTGCAGCCCCACTCATGGTTTGAATTGAATCTGGGATTAGTTCTCAGTGCCTAACAGCTTGAGTTTGTTTTTCCAAATGACTTTATCATAACTATAAATTCAAGTGAGTCAACTTATTGGATGATGGCTCTGTGTGTCTGTGTGTTGGCAATATATATTCAATTTAATCTATACTGAGAAGAAATTATTCTTTCTGGCATAAAGTCTTCCAGGAGAAATCAACAAATAGGTCACATAAACAAGTTTAAACAATTTCTTGCTGGAAGATTTTGCTGTACAATATGTCAGTGCAGTTGCTTCATCCACAAAATATCTAGATGTATTTTAAGTCAACCTGAACAAATAGATGAGAAAACTCAGGCTGTCGTGGTGAACTTAAGCAAAAATATTTATGATATAAATAAAAAATTGCAGATGAAAAAAGTGCTTGATGAGTAAAGGTGGGAATTAAATGAAATTGTATTGTAGAACATTAATCTCACAATATGAACTTTGAAAACTAAATTGTTGGTTTCTGATACAAAGTGATATTTAATATTTACTTTATTAAAATGTAGAATGGTTAGCTTGTTTTGGTTGAACACATTTTCTGATTTAAGAGCAGTTGTTATTTTATATTTTATGTAGTTATATATAGTAGAAAATATTTTACAGGCATTACTGCACCCCCTTTTACTGATGAGAAAACTGAGGGTTTAGAAGCATTGCATTACTTGTTCATTTTTACTTGTCTAGTTAGACCTTAAAATAAAACGAAACTTAATTTCATTTAACCCTTCTTCCCTCTCTTTCTTCCTCCTTGAATTATTTTATGCCTGCCATGATTCTGCTGTTAAGATAGATGCTTGGGATACAAAGACACATAGATAATAAGACCAAAATAGGGTTCTAATTCAAGAAAGACAAGATAATATACAAGCTATACAGGTGTGGATATGGAGATCCTTGCAAATAGCGTTTGAGTGTGTGTGTGTGTGTGCATGCATGGTGTGTTGGTGGGAAGGAATCCAGCGAGTTCTAAAGATCTACAGGAATAGAGAATTCTGCAAGTATTTGCTCCAAGCAAAATGAAACACAACTGTTGTCTCATTACTCTCCTTTGGTTCCCTTTTATAAATGTATTCAATTCCAATGGCACCAGAGAAAAAGCCATAATTTGGGCTAATGTCTAAAATGACACTTCTCTTGTGAGAATTTCAAGCTCGAGATATCTGTGCCACACCCCCACAGAAATGTGAATCTTACACTGTTACACAAAAAATGCCACGGAAGAAAATGTTTAGTTCATCCAATTACTATTTAAATCCTCAAGAAAGCTATTCTGTTTTCAAAACCGTATGAGGGAAAAATTTTAAAGCCTTTTTCTTACTTAGATGAGGTGATACATTTTACTTCTATAATGAACACTTAAAATATAATAAAATTCTTATGGTAATATTTTAAATCTCTCATTCTGATCTGTTCAACCCATTTCATCTTTGCTTGACCGAATGGAGAAGAAACACAGCTGGTTTTCACACACTCTGTAATGAATGCTTGCTATTCTTATTGAGGTTAAAGTGGCTCAATTGCTTCTAACTTTATACAGTGGCCGTATTTTTTAAGGAGATAGATATGGGTGAATATGCATTATATTATATATTTATTATTATATGTACTATATATAGTATAGATATATATGTATTAACACACACACACACACGCGCACACACACACACACACACACACCCCTCCACAGCAATGTAGGCTATGCTTTGGTTGATTTTAAAGCATTGCTAATAGAACAAGTTGGCGTAAGTAATGTTCTGGAAGACAGAAGCTATGGATGAGTAATTCTCAATGCTATATTCATTGGTTTTAAGCCAGCTTTGCCATTAACTATCTGGATGATCTTAGGCATATCATAAAGCCTCCTCTGTAAAATGAGGAGCTTAGGTTAGATGAAATCTAAAGATTTTTCCTGAACCAGCAGTCTTTAACAGTGGTTTCCAAACTGTTCATGTCCTGGAGTTGTAAGGTTTCATAAAGGTGTCATTGAATTGAAGGAAAGAGTGTCCAAATGAGAACTTTGAGTAAGCCTTCCAGAACTCTCGTTCCCCCACTTCAAACACAGCAGCAAGGCTTTATGTGTTCTCCAGTTGAGTTTCAGTGTCAGATTCTCATTTCAAAAAACTTTAAAGTTTGCAAACATCTGTCTCTGATGAAAGGTAGGATCAGCTAAGTCAGGTACATGTAATATAAACAGGAAAAAGCAATGTTTGTTTATTGAAGTTTAAATACTTTTATTATAAAACATGACATGCAGAAAATTGCATAAGATTGTAGGTATGTTTTAGCATTTGTCTGTAAAGCAAACGTCCATATAACCCCATCAAGTCATGAAATAAAACATTGCTGGAACCATAGACTTTCCCTTATATGTCTTACCGCTCTGTCTTCACTACCCACTCATCATAAAGTAATTATGTAATTCTAGTACTCCTTTTTTTTAAAAACTAATTCTTGCCCTCCTTAAAAAGTACATCAGTTCTGCCTGTTCTTGAACTATATATAGGTAGAATGTTGTTATTAGTATTTTACAACTTGCCTTTTTCTGGCCACACATTTGTAAATTTATCTATATATCTGTAGTTGATTCAAATCTGTTTCAATATAGAGTCCCATTGTAAGAACATAAAACATATACTTGCAATATTGCTATGAACAGTCTTAAGCATAAATCTTGGTATACATAATCAAACATATCTTTTAAGGTATATATGCAAAAGTGGAACTATTGGATCTTAGTTCCATTTTTTTTTTATTATACTTTAAGTTCTGGGATACATGTGCAGAACGTGTAGGTTTGTTACATAGGTATACATGTGCCATGGTGGTTTGCTGCACCCATCAACCCAACATCTACATTAGGTATTTCTCCTAATGCTATCCCTCCCCTAGCCCTCCAGCCCCCAACAGGCCCCGGTGTGTGATGTTCCCCTTCCTGTGTCCCTCTGTTCTCATTGTTCAACTCAAACTTATGAATGAGAACATGCAGTGTTTGGTTTTCTGTTCTTGTGTTAGTTTGCTGAGAATGATGGTTTCCAGCTTCATCCATGTCCCTGCAAAGGACATGAAGTCATCCTTTTTTATGGCCACATAGTATTCCATGGTGTATATGTGCCGCATTTTCTTTACCCAGTCTGTCATTGATGGGCATTTGTGTTGGTTCCAAGTTTTTGCTATTGTGAAGAGTGCTGCCATAGATCATAGTTCAGCATGTATTTTTACCAGACACACAGTTTTCTAAAGGTGCTGGAACAATTTTCACTCCTACCAGTATAAGAGCTCCTGTTGCTTATATCCTTGCCCACATTAAGTCAGAATTTTATTTTTTCTCAATTGAATAGGTATGTAGTGGTATCTTATGATATTAAGTCTTGTTTTTCTAATGACTAGTTTTGTTCAGCACCTCTTTATTTGGTTACCAGCTATTTATATTTCTCCTTTTGTAAAGTGCCTGTTAAAGACATTTGCTCATTTTTCTATTGAGTTGTTTACTCTCTTCTAATTGAATTACAGGAGTTCCTTATATAGTCTGAAAAATAATTATTTTTTTGGTTAATATGTTTAAAATATTTTCAAATAACTCCATTTTTTTACTCTATGTGATGTCTTCCAAATGAACAGAAATTTTAATTTTAATGTGATTAAATTGATCATTCTTCTACTCTACTAAAATTTGCGTCTCCTTTAAGAATCTTTCTATAGATCTACAACAAAGTAGGAATAAAAGGAAAATTTCTCAACTTGATAAATGATTACTACAAAAACCCCTATCTAACATCACATTTAATGATGAAAGACCGAATGCTTTTTTCCTAAGACCACAAAACAAAGATGTTCATTCTTGCCACTTCTATTCACCATTGTACTGGAGGTTCTAGCCAGTGCAATTAGGCAAGAAAAAATGATAAAAGGCATCGAGACAGGAAAGAAACATATAAAATTATCTCTATTCACAAGTGAGATGATCTTGTATATAGAAAATCCTAAGAAATACACTAAGAAAATTAATGGAACTAATCAATAAGTTCAGCAAAGCTTTAGGATACAAGATTAATATATAAAACAATTGTTTTTTATATGCACAATGAGCAATATGAGAATAAAATTAAGAAAAAATCCCGTTTACAATAGCACCAAAAAGAATAAAAAGAATAAAATTCTTGAGCATGGACTGTCCTTCCATTTGTTTGTGTTCACTCTTATTTCCTTGAGCAGTGGTTTGTAGTTCTCCTTGAAGAAGTCCTTCACATCCCTTGTAAGTTGTATTCCTAGGTATTTTATTCTCTTTGAAAAATTTGTGAATGGGAGTTCACTCATGATTTGGCTCTCTGTTTGTCTGTTATTGGTGTATAGGAATGAGTGTGATTTTTGCACATTGATTTTGTATCCTGAGACTTTGCTGAAGTTGCTTATCAGCTTAAGGAGATTTTGGGTTGAGACGATGGTGTTTTCTAGATATACAATCATGTTATCTGCAAACATGGCGCATGTATACATATGTAACAAACCTGCCCATTGTGCACATGTACCCTAGAACTTAAAGTATAATAAAAAAATAAAGAATAAAATTCTTAGGAGTTTTATTAAAATTTTATAAAAGAAGTAAAAGTCTCGTGCAGCTACAAAACTTTATTGAAAGATATTTAAAAAGACATAAGTAAATAGAAAGATGTTTTATATTCATGGATTTAAAGATTTACTATTGTTAAAATGAAAATATGGCTCAAAATGATCTACACATTCAATGCAATTCCTATCAAAATTCAAGTTACCTTTTTAGCAGTAAATGACAAACCAATCCTAAAATTCATATGGAATTTCAAGGGACCCAGAATAGCTAAAATAATCTGGAAACAGAACATAGAGCCTTACACTTTTTCACTTCAAAACTTACTACAAAGATACAGTAATCGAATGCTATAGTGTGGTAGTGCTATGAGAATACATATATAGATGAGTGGAATACAATTGAGAATACAGACATAAATTCCTACTTTGATGGTCAATTGATTTTCAACAAGGGTGCCGATATCATTCAATGAGGGATAAAACAGTCTTCTCAACAAATGGTGCTGTGAAACTGAATATTGACATTCAAAATAATGAATTTGAAGTTCTATCTCATACCATACACAATGAACTCAAAATGGATCACAATTTTCAGAGCTAAAACTATAAAACTCTCAAAAATAAACACAGCAGTAAATCTGTGACCTTCAGTTAGACAATAGTTTTTAAGATACAACACCAAGGCCGGACACGGTGGCTCACACCTGTAATCCCAGCACTTTGGGAGGCCAAGGCGGGCGGATCATGACATCAGGAGATCGAGACCATCCTGGCTATGGTGAAACCCGGTCTCTACTAAAAATACAAAAAATTAGCTGGGTGTGGTGGCTGGCACCTGTAGTCCCAGCTACTTGGGAGGCTGAGGCAGGAGAATGGCGTGAACTCAGGAGGCGGTGCTTGCAGTGAGCCAAGATGGCACCACTGCACTCCAGCCTGGCCTGGGTAGCAGAGTGAGACTCTGTCTCAAAAAAAAAAAAAATACACCACCAAAAACACAAGCAACAAAAGAAAAAGATAGGCAAATTGGACTTATTAAAAATTAACACTTTTGTTCTTCAAAGGACATCATTATGAAAATGGAAAGACAACTGACAAAATAGGGGAAAATATTTTTAAATCATGTGTCTGATACAAAACATATATCCAGAATACATAAGGAACTCTTACAATTCATCAATAAAAACACAACCTAAATTAAAAACCTGGGCAAAGGATTTGAATAGACATTTCTTCAAAGAAAATATACAAATGGTCAATAAGCATGTAAAAAGATGCTCTACATCCTTACTTGTTAAAAACAATACAAATCAAAACCACAGTGGGATATCACTTTACAATCACTAACATGGCTAACATTTAAAAAGACAAAATAACAAGTGTTGACAAAATCGTGGAGAAAGTGAAACCCTCATATATTGCAGGTAGGAATGTAAAATGGTGTAGCCACTATGGAACAACAGTTTGGCAGTTCTTCCAAATGTTAAACATAGAGATATCACATGACACATCAGTTATATTCCTAAGAAATAAAGACACAGGAGAAATAAAAACACACACCCACAAAAAGACTTGTAGATGAACATTCATAGAAACATTATTCATAATACCTGAAAAGTGAAAGCAACTGAAATCGTCAACTGACGGATTAATTTAAAAATTGTGGTATATCCATATAATGGAATATTATTTAGTCATAAAAAAGAATTATTGATATGTACTACAAATATATGAACCTTGAAAACATTATGCTAAATGAAAGAATGTAGTCACAAAAGACCAAATACTGTATAATTCCTTTTAAATGAGATTTTCAGAATAGTCAAATTGACAGAGACAAAAAGTAGATTAGTGGGTGTCAGGGACTGAGAGGAGGAGAGAACAGGGTTGGTGGCTAATGGGTACAGGGTATTTTTTTTTAGTGTGAATTGGAAATATTTTACACTTGGATAGAGCCGATAGTTTTATAAGTCTGAGAATATACTAAAAATCACTGACTTGCACCAGAATTGCACTGAATTTATAAATCAGTCTGGGGAGAATTGACATCTTTTCAAAATCTTACAAATCATGAAGATAATAAACGTCTTGTTCATTAAATTTTAATATTTCCCACTAAAGTGTTATAACTTTTATCTAGAGCTCCTGCACATCTTTGATGAGTTTTACTCCTTGGTTCTTGATATTTTGGAGGCTTTGGTAAATAAATTCACTCTTAAAATTTTGTTTTCTAACTGTTACTGGTATACAGAAAAGCAGTTGATTTTTGTATATTGAATTTTGTATCAGTGACTAAGTTCTCCTATTAATTTTAAGGTTTACATGTAGATGCTTTTGGATTTTCTACATACTTAATCCTATCATCTGCAAATAGTGACAATTTTTCTTCCTTTCCAATTCTTATATCCTTTTAAAAATTCATAATTCACTTAACATACTCAATGTTGCATAGAAGTGATGATAGCAGGAAATCTTGTCTTATATCTAATACCAAAAGAAAAACTTCTAATTTTTATCATGTTATATGATGTTGGCTGTGGAGTTTCTATAACTACTTTCATTGGACTAAGCAGACTGGATCATTGTTTCCAATTCTTTATTCCTTCCCTGTGTTAGAATCATACATTCACACATTATGTCATGTAAATGCTTATTGTGTCTTATTGTTGGTGGAATTTATTTCTCCATTCCTTGATGTTGACCATGTGACCTTTCTTTGGCCTAGGAGATATTAGTGAATATGATGTAAACAAGTATTTTAAGTGTGGTTGCATGGTTTACTTGTCTTCCTCTTTCATCACTATGAGAAAAAAATATGCTTTGATAGCTGCTTTTTTGAGCAGAATCAGAAAATACATAGAACAGAACTAATCACAACATTCAGCCTGAGATAAGCCCAACCAATCACAGCTGAGTCCATCAGAGCCTTACCCTACCCCATGGCTTGTAATCAGTGTTATAAGCCACCAAGATTTGGAGATTGGAGTTTGTTTGTTAAACAGTGGTATTATAGTGAAAAACCTCCCTGAGATGCTATCTAGTCCTAGTTTGCTAAGAGTTTGTATTATAAATGGACTTTGAATTTTATCAAATGCTTTATCTGCATTTATTGAGATAATAATATAAATTTTCCCTCATCCTATTAATGTGGTAATTTATCTTGTTTGATTTTTGAATGCTAAACAAACCCTGCATTCCTAGATTTAAACAGACAAAACGACTTAGTACTGAGGTATTATTCTCTATATTTTGCTGAATTCAGCTTGCTTATTTAATTTTTTAGTTTGTGCATCTATGTTTGTGAAAGAAATTGATTCATAAATTTCTTCCATCATATTGTTCTTATCTGATTTTATTACCAGTGTTATGCCATTCTTTGGAAGAGTTTGGCCACGACTAGAATGATTTCTTCCTCGAATAACATTTATAACATTCTCCAATGAAGATATGTAAACTTAGGATTTTCTTTGAGTAAATATTTATAACTAATAATTCATTTAAAAAGTTATAAAGTAATCAAAACTTCTATTTCTTTTTTAGTGAGTTTAATTAGAATTTGTGTTTGCTTTTGTCAGACACTGTCAATTTTGCTGTAGAACTTGTTCTACCTAAGGTTCTACCATTGGGCTGCCTCAAACCCAGTTCTGGGTCTCCGGAATAGGTCTCATGTCATACTCTAGGTCCAGATTCATGCTAGCATTGTTCTGAAGTCACAGCCCCTCAGGGACAGCATTTTTTCTTCCTTTCTTTTTACCTCTTCAGCATCATGTGTTATCAAGACAGCTCTCTCTGTAGTTCGCCACGGTTGAGAGGAGATGAGTCATGTCTAGGTCCTTAAATCAGAGAGAGTAGGCTCCTGGGACCCCATCTCAATAGAGAGAAGTTCTCTTACAAGTCTCCCAGCTCTGGACAGAGCCTGGACCTTTGAACTCTCTCTCTCAGATCCCAGCTGGAAACAGAGTTTAAACAGTAGATTTCCAGGTAAAAGCAGCTTTTGAAACTATGACATCTTCTTTAACCTTCTGCTTATAGATTTTCAACCAAAATTTGGCCCAGGAGCTACCCTATGTCTTTTTTTGAAGACTTTATTATTTTTTTTTTTTAGAGAAGTTTTAGGTTTACAGCAAAATTGACAGTAAGGTACAGTGACATCTCATTCCCTGCCTCCACACATGCACGGGCTCCCTTATTATCAACATCCCCTACCAGAGTGGTAGAATTGTTATGATTGATGAACCTGCATTGATAAAGCATTATCAACCCAAGTCCACAGTTTACATTAGGGCTCACTCTTAATATTGTCTATTCTGTGGGTTGGGACAAATTTATGACATGTATCCACCATTATCATAATCATACGAAGTATTTTCACTGCCCTAAAAATCTTCTGTGCCCTTTTTATCCTCCCTTTGTATTTTTAGGTTTGTAATGGGAAAGAGTCGGAGTATAATAAAATGAAAATAACACAAAGGGGAGATAACAAAACTCAAAAGATGTTTATAATAGGAATCAAGGGACTATGATCCCTGATGTTCTCTGATAATGATAAATGGAAGATATTTTGCACTTCTACTTTCTTTTAATTTCTGTGAATGAGATGTTCCATATTCCATTTTCAAACCCACTATCAGCTAAACATTGAGAATCCCTCCTTTCCAGGACAAAGCCTTCCACCAACTGGAAGGGCAGTATATGGGCAGTAAAAGAACCGTCTCACCAGCTACAGTTCTCTCTGGGAATCCATTAGATTTTCTAGGATAACTTGGTACATATAATAAAAGGAGGATAAAGAGGATACGGAGGCCTAGGTACACTCCCAGCTCTTTTTGTTTTCTAATTAAAGTTGCTGGCAAAAATAGCAACCACACCTTTCTGGAAAGAAGCTGCTTATGGACACTGAGTGAGACAAAATACCAATCTGGGTCAATTTTTGGTGTATTTGAGAATGGCATTTCTTATTAGAATCTAGCAGGTAATCACCTCTAGGTACTCTAGGGCTGTCATACTTTTCTTCCAGTAAAGACATCTCTTTCTGAGCACTGCTTTTTCTCCTGCCTGCATGGTTTGGTTTCTTCATCTTAACTGTCTATTTGCATTTTGCCTTTGCATAAAGGGCTTCTATATGTTTTTTCCCTCTATTTGAGACAAGCTTTTCTCATTTTTATAGAAGCAGCTATGATATTTGAGGTGTATGATATAGCATTAAGAGAGAAGAAAGGAAACTAGTTTAATAAGCAGAGCTACTAATAACTTCCCAGTGACTTGGGAACTTATCCCTTTCTCCCAACCCCCATTGTCATGCCAGGAGTCACCGCCACATAACAGTGATGGTGACTGATGGTATGGCAGTGCCTTCTGGGGCCAATTCATCACACACAAACTCAGCTCGGTGCTGCTTCACTTGCGCTAAATGTGGCCTCCGAGACTGGAGTTTGGCTCTGCTCCAAGGCCCCTTTCTGGCTTCTGTCCTGGAGTTTTTATATATGATCTGCAGGTGTTACTGATATAATTTGTCCAGGAGTCATATATGATGTCATGCTTACTAACCTAGATTTTCCTGTGGTCAGTATAGTATAGGAGAAAACTGTAAAAATGATATTACTGACGATTACACAATAAAATAATATCCTAGAAATAGCTTTGTGTGCCTGTTGCTGAAATGAGAGCATATGGCTATCACTAATTTAGAGTTGCCTTTGAGAATTAATTTAATTTGGAATAAGAGATCCAGGCAGTATTTAGCATCAAACATATGATTATAATTTTAGAATTATGAAGAGAGGAGATTTTACCTCATCAGTGCATTTTAGAGTTAAGATGCTTTAAAGAAGATAGAGGAGGTTCTTGACTTGAGGTGGTCTAAGACGTTATGGATTGAAATTAAGGATGGGTTTTAATCACACTGAATGAAAGTATGTTTTTCTTGGTCATTGTGTTGACTTGTGAAATTTATTCCAAGCACTGCAAACATCTACTGTCTCCACCTTTCCATCCTAAAACCAATCTAGGTGGTGAATGGAATATACTAGGACATGTGTCAATATATTCAGAAGAGTGACTTCTGGGAATATAATATGGGGAATATAATATGGGAATATAATATGACTGGGAATATAATATGACTTCATGTTACAATGACTATAAAATGGCTTCATTTGGGGTTTTTAATGTATTTAGGTTTATAATGTAAATATATGAAAGGAAAATTAGAAAAAAAAGATCTTCGTGTAAATTTTAACACCATGTGCTTTCATGATTTGCTTATAACCAAACAGAAACAGGAGGAGAAAAGGGTCTTTGGGATCCTTGGAGTCAATAATATTTGTGGCAGCTCCCATCTTTGTTACATAATATCTTCGCCCCTTCCAAAGAACTATGAGAAGTCTGGTAAAAAAAATTCAGGAAAGCTGAATTAAATGAAATGTTCTAGAAAATGAGCCAGGACATCAGACTGGATGTGGATGCTTTCTGTCCCTAAAATATCTCATCCTTGTTTTTACTTCACTTGTTCTCCAGCTAGCTTGTAGACAAAAATATTTCCGTATACAAATAGTTTTTTTTACTCAAAATAATTTGGATGTTCTCAGTTGTAGCAGTAATAATGAGGTTTCAAATATGTAATATATATTGATCATCTTCTGTATATTAGATATTATTAGTATTTTACCTATATGATTGATTTTGAATTCTTAGCAAATCCTAGGTTAGCTAGTGTTTTCCCTATTTCACAGATTTGAGAAAGCTGAAGCTCAGAGAGGTTATTTTGCTCAGGTTTAAACAGATGGCAAGTGATAAAGTAGAGACCTGAATACAGATCTGATTGGTTCTACATCTGTGCTCTTTTCACTACACCTTGCTGCCTTTCCTACTAACATATAATACTCATTCATTTACAGTAAACAAGCATACCGCACTCTCTCAGTTAATCCAATAATAATACTGCAGAAGCTATTTCTGTATTTTAGTTGAGAAATTAAGAAATCGAAGTCCAGGAAATTGAGGGTTGTTCCCAAGTTTACTCAACTAGAAAGAAACACAATTTGGATCTGAATTTAAACATCAGGATTCTCATCTCTGATGCTTCAAACTTAGCTTGGCCCACAAGACTGCAGATTAGCAGGCAACTTTAGATAATGCAATTTCTAAGTAGTAAATTTTGCTGCTCTTTCAAAAGTAATCAGAACAATTAAAAGGAGAAACCACTTATCAAATAAGTACTTGCTGACCTTTTTCTTCACTTTGTAGTCACTTGAATTTAAGTTTAATTTACTGTTTGCCTCCAGTCAAAGAATTACACTGAGTGTCTTTTTAAGAAAGGTTTTCTCTCAAAGGCTACATTCCTATAGTGATCAAATAACAAAGATGCAAACAAGAACACAGAAAAATTTATGACTGTAAAAGAAAATAAAAAGTCCCAGGATACTTTGTATAAAGTCTGGAATAAACACATCTGAGTCTGGCAAATCAACTCCTGGGAGTAGGTGACACAGCTACACAGGCCGATAACTGCGGGGATCAATATTTACTGGTCAAGTGACAGTGGTATGTGCAGTAAAAGCTGTTCTGGAGGATTAGCTCAGCTGATTAGTACAGTCATAGATGTTTTACTGAGATGGAATATTTGTTGTATGCCCAGATTCCTCTTAATACAATTGTTGGTAATTGCAACGTGTGTGTGTGTGTGTGTGTGTGTGTGTGTGTGTGTGTGTGTGTGTGTAGGACAGAGGAGGGAGAAAGGAAATGAACAGAGTGGAACTATCAGGTTCCACAGGTTCAGCAAGACCTCTTAAAGAGGATAATGTGTATTATTTGCCTTTGATTTTAACTTTCATTCTTTCCTCAATTTGCTGAAAATGTAAAGCCATTGTTGACTTATAAGTTGTCAAAGTCAATCATTATTTTACTTGATTTCTTTGTAGCTTTTTGAGCTTGTTGATCATACATTCACCTTTTGATGAAATGCTTTTCCCTTGGCTCCTTTACATCCTATTTCTTCATTCATAATATCATTTCCGGGCTATATTAATGTACATATTCCTTACATGTTCCCATTTCCCCCAAAATAAGTCAATAATATAAAACCAACTGTACATTTAAAACACAAATAAATCTAAATATCAATTGCAGTAATAAAAGTGGATGAAATTCCTGTTAAAAGACACAGACTCCCAAAGTAAAATAAAACAAAAACATTAAAAGTACAAGGAAGGGCAGAGTTGTATTAAGGACATGCTAACAAAAAGTAGAAATTGTTATGCTAGCATAAAAAAGATTTAAGGTAGAAATTATTACCAAAAACCAGGAAGGTTATATTTCTATATTGATTGAGGATTAAATTTATGATGAAAATATCATACTTTCCACTAACAAATATATTTTTATATATTTGCTTGCTTGTTGTATTGACTGACTACCTGATTAGAACGTGAGCTTGGCAAGGCAAGGAACATTGTTAGAAATTAAGGAGAAGTTGCTGAACACAATGAAACCCAACTATAGTGGAGATTTTAACTGTCTTTGATGGGGTACCTGAAAGTCAAACAAAATGCAGAGAGATAGAGGGGCTGGATAATATAATTAACAAAATTGGTTTATCAGATGTATGTTGAATGATGTCTCTTGCAACATAGAATTAAATAATTATTTAACAAATACTTATTATAAACACCTGCTAGTTGAAATAACAAGACACTCTTGATTCTTAATATGCCAGGGAATCTGGCCTAGTTTGGAGGAGATTGGAATCTTTTTTTCTGAGGAAATGGCTTTTAATATGAGACCTGGAGCATGAGTTGACACTTGAGTGAATGGTGAGAGAACATCTTTAAGAATGGGGACTAATGTGTGCAAAATACCAACATGAAAAGGATGTATGTTGACCCATCTGTCTACAAACTCAGAGAAATAGCAGGAATGCTGAACACCAAATTGTCAATACCAATTACCTTGAAAAAAAATGATACTTTCATTTACTATCCTATATAATTGTTTAAATGGTAAGATTATGGTGAGTATAAGCACTATTCAAAGTAAACAAACAAAGTCTACTGAATGCAATTTTCTTTTTTTTTGAGACAGAGTCTCACTCTGTTGCCAGGCTGGAGTGCAGTGGCATGATCTCGGCTCACTGCAACCTCCGCCTCCCGGGTTCAAGTGATTCTCCTGCCTCAGCCTCCCAAGTAGCTGGGATTACAGGTGCATGCTACCATGCCTGGCTAATTTTTTTCCTGTGCCTCTTTCTATCTGTCAAGCTATTTCTCTTCCTCTAAGTCTCAGCTCATAAAAGCCTTTCAGATTAGTCAGGCCTAGAGATTCTCCAATTGTGTTCCTCCAATAGCAGAGTTTCTCAAACTACTGAGCAAAAATTCCTCAGGTCATTATCAGACATGCAGCTTCCTGAGCCCAGCTCCAGAAGATAAGGATTAACTTGGTCTAGGGTGGAAATCCAGTTACAAGCTTCCAGGAAGGTTCTGAGATAGCTGGTTCTGGAACTTAATTTAGAAATGTGTTCTTTCTATTCTATCAACAAGTATGGTGCTCCATAGATATTTGGTATATAAGTGAGTGTATGTTCCCTACCTCCTTTTACTTCGTGACTATCAAAGTTATAAATGCCTCATATAGAAAACATGTAGATACTAAAAAGTATGGAAAAATAGAAAAAAGTTACTGGTCATCCTACCACTGAAAGGCCAACATTTTCTGAATTTTAACATATTTCTTTCAGATATTTTTTCTGGTACATTTTGTTTCACTTGGCTTAGAACACATCGTGTATGTATTCTACCCTAAATACTTTTTGGAACTAGAAAAGATAAAGATGTTTTTTGTAGCATCACTCAGTTAAATGTATTTTTTCAAATGCTAAGTTGGACAGTCTTTCACACTTTTCCTTCTCTATGATTGACTCATTCTTTGACAGTAATTTACCAATAAATAAATAAATAAAAAAACATTATTCCCTGAATTTGGGGATCCTGTATTTCATCTTCTCAATTCATGTTTTATCTCTTTAAAGATCACTGCAGATAGAAACAATTTCTCATTTTTCCAGAAATTTGCAATGGAAGGATTTCCAGAAGTAGCCATTTTCTTTCCCATATAGTTAAATCACCATGATTTTTACATGTTAATTAAGGCTTCTGTGTTGCCTTTTTGACCTCTGCCAAAAAACTGTGTCAAGATGTTGACATTTGCACAGCAGAATTATAAGGCAGGTGCTTGCATACTGAGCACCCTAGAACTACTTCTTTTGTCCTTGAAAAACCCAGCCAAAGGCATCATCTTACTTTTATCTCCACAAATCATGTTGTCTTCAATAAGTTAGCAAAGCACAGAGGACAGGTGAGATGTAATTCTTTTCCTGCCAGCAATGTTGTATTTTATTTGTTACTTTTAGAAATAGTATATTAACTTATCTCCTTATCCCTTTTCTTTTCCTTAGAGATAAACATAATTCACCTATTACTCTCCCTATTATATGCAGAGATAGATTCGAAAGTCATTTGTATTTTGAATTTATGAACAAATGCTGTTAATTGATAGAAAAGTACAAGTTTGTTCCCTAAAAGAGACTTTTAATTTAATAGTAATCTAGCCCTAAGTAGCCTAGAAGAGTTAAATCAATTCTTCCATTGCTCTGAGTTTACTTCCAAAAAGTAATTTAGCCCCCTGGAGAAAACTGACTCAATGATGTGTCAGTATAACAAAATATAAAATACCTCTCCCCATTCTTAGGCAAATTTGTTGAACCTTGTGAGCATAAGTATTTATTGTTGCTAAGCCTTGATAATAATGAAGATGACTTCTTCCCCAAAAGGACATTGCATATGAAAGGGAAAAATAAATATAGCATATATATGGATTTTATAGCATCCAGTTAGGTATCTGAGTGTTCTGAAAACTTGTAGCCAAATTCTACCTGGCCACAACGGCATGGGGTAATCATTAAGTGAAAACAGGACCATGTGGGTGGTTACTCTAGATGATTTATTCAGGCCTAAGTTGGAGGGGATTGAGCATAACCAATTTTTACTGAGCTTTCTTCACCTTCAAGCATCACTGTACCAGATTACCTGAAATGACTTCCAACAGTACTCTGAACTCACATCTCCACATAACTCTGGCATATTCAGAAATTTAATTTTCTGAACTTTTTTTGTCCAAACAGAAAGAAACGACATGTGATAACTGAAACTGGTTGAGGACTAGGAAACAGAACATTATCAAATGTTTGGTATTGATCTATTCATGCAGATGATCTTGTTTAGGATCATCAATTTATAATCCTGTAACCAAATTGATCATTCTAATAATCACAATAAATACATTGCAGAGAGAGAGAGAGAGAGAGAGACAGAAATATATTACTAAATACTTTTAATAACTCTCAAGACAAAAAGGATAAGATAATTAACCTTTTACAGTAAAACTTGACATTTTGAAAGACTGCATTCCAAACTTAGGACTTTGACTTTTTTCTGTAAGAGTTCAAAGCTCATAAATATATTTCATTCTATGGCAGGTACTAAGTATTTCCCTTGGTTATATATTACATGGAAAAACTTTTCCTAAACCTAAATGTATACACCAGTCTTCTTATGTTTCAGAAATACTGGCAGAGGAAATATGTTTTTAATTTTTTTGAGTGTTCCCAGGAGGCTAAGACCCTTTGACTTCTCATTTCCAATTCCTTGGAAAGAGAAATTGAAGTCAATTCTTTCCAGGAACGAAGGCAGTCTATTTTTAGCCTTCACTGATTAAGACTGTGCTATCTAAGTAGAAATGAATTTGAACTGCCTGTACCTTTTACTCCCGAACAGTACTTATGGGGTTTCCATGATACCAACAGGGTATGTTCTCGAATCTATGCTTGCACAGTAAATTGCCCTTATTTGAGTTCACTGAGGAACACTGTTGGGTCAAGTTAGGTCAAGTTAGGTCAATTTTTCTTTGAATTGTGCTTTTATTTTGTGCTTTTCAAAGGAAATTCAGTTAAAATCAAATCTTCATAAAAATTTCATTTTTCTAAGGTAGATGATGAAATTTGTTCAACTAATAAGGGATCAGATAGATAAGAAAATTTGTTAAGGCGAAAAAGAGAAAACCAGGAAATTATAATTTATGTGGGTAAAGCAAAAAAAAAAAAAAAGCCAGCATCATGACAGTGGCAGATGAGATGCAGGAAGCGAGAAATTATAAATATGGAGGATGGATGCTGCACCATTAAATGGAAGGAGAGGAACAGTGAGGCTCAAATGCAGAGCTTTGTGCAAGTGGGAAATGAAGGGGCAGGAGGCAGACGGAGAGCTCCTTGGAGGAAAGGATTGAAAGTGAAACCATAAACGTACCAGAAATGAGAGGCAGAGAAAGTACCATTATTAAAATAGTGATGTTGCCAGAATTAGAGACTTGGAAGAATAAAAATTATCTGTTTGTAAATTCAGAACTATGTTTGGCCATTTATGCCCATGATTTTAGGAGAAATATAAAGGAGAAACAGCTGTTGTGTAGATTTAAATGACAAAATAGAATTATAGGGAATGAGAAGACCCCAGGAAGGCAAATTATAGGCAATGAGAAGACCCTAGTGAAAAAGACTGCTGCTTTTTCTCCTCCTTGATAGAGGTAGATAGTATTTGAGAAGGGAGAGCAACTTTAGGGGAGCGTAGCCGAGTCAGCAGGAGAAAGGCAGGTAATAGCCAAGGTACTTAGAACAGTACCTGGATTTTCCACATCTGTTGGCTACCTCAAATCTTATTTCTTCCTTTTCTCCTGAGACCCAAAATGCTCTCTCCCTCTCTGCAGGTTCCTTAAACAATGACAACTTTAAAAGACTCCAGATCGCTTTGAAAAAACTTGAAAGCCATCCAGGGTGCACTGTAGGCCTTTGTAGACACCCCATGTGGAGCTAGTCTGAAAACTCTATAGTTTTTCTGTTTGGATTATGTCCTGGGGATGAGCTGCAGGGCCAGCACACACACACACACACACACACACACACACACACACACACACACACACACTCACTTAAAAATTAAAAATGAGCCAGCCCTAACCCATGTGTACTCAGAAGTAAAAAGGTAAGCTCTTTTTGCTGTGAGCTCTTGTAGCCATTGGCCTTGGTATTCATCACTCTGTACCCTGCCTGGCCGTGCTGTGAGCAGAAGGCAGAGGACATAGAGATCAGCTGAATAACTCACTCTTTGCTTCTTAAATGTCAGTTTATAACCCACTGCTTCAGTGGATTTACTGTTTGGATAGAAATTTAACCCACCATGGCTTCACTGGGAATATATTAGAAAGATTCATAGACTCAACCAATTTTGCCTAATTTTTCTCTAGGACTATTAAAATATCATTATCAATTATCTATAGCCAATCTCTAGAGGGAGTTATATTGAAATGACTTTAATAATAACCAATGGGTATAAGCAGCTACTTTTAGAGGATGGGCAGCTTTTATAAAGCTGAATTTAATATTGTATTTTCCCAGGAACAAAGTGGTTAAGAATTGAAGAACTGTGTAAGAGTCATCTGGAGTCACTGGTTTCTTGGAAAGAAATAATCCAAAGTCTTAAGATAATATGAAAATGCAAGAACTTTGAAGGAAAAGATAAATTCACATGCAGAATCAAATTCTAAGAAAAGCAAAGGTTGAGTGTGTGTGTGTTGTGTGTATGTGTGTGTAAGAGAGGGAGAGAGCAAGTGGAGGAACAAAATGTTTGTTCTCTTGTCGTGTTAACTGATTTATAACAAGATTATTTGTGCTAAAAATATCTCTTTCAGGCTGTCCAGTGCCCTTTTCAGCAGGCAGGTTGATGGGGTGATTGTGGAGGGCAAAAGGTTGAATAGCAAAATCTAGGTGTTACATGAGAATTACTTTTAACTGTGCTTAAACTTATGGGGAGATAGTTTATTTTTAACACTATTTCAACATCAGTACATCTTGTATTCCATCTGTGGACATGAGACGCAAGGGACTGAGGGATGCATTGAGAGACTGGTTCAGCTGACAAAGTTGACCTACCTAAAATATTCTTTTCAACCCCTTCCAGGATAGTAATGACAGATGCCAGAATTTTTATTAGAATTCCAGCCTTTAGGCAAATAAAAACTAGAGTAACATCCTTCAGTCACCATGGAGGCTCTTTACACTCCAATTATAAGCATCAAAGAAATCCTTGGAACAGTCATCAGGTAATCAGGGGAATGCAGTGTGTTCATGGTGGCTGCTTATTTTTCTCCAATTCACATGCAGAAGATATTTAAGGGATTAAGGGGAACTTGCAGATTCAATGGGGACTCAGATCACATATTGTTTATTGATAGGATAATATCATCTGGAAAGTATTTAGACACAGGCAGAAATTTCCATCTATGCAGAAAAGGCCTTTGACAAAATTCAACAACCCTTCATGCTAAAAACTCTCAATAAATTAGGTATTGATGGGATGTATCTCAAAATAATAAGAGCTATCTATGACAAACCCACAGCCAATATCATACTGAATGGGCAAAATCTGGAAGCATTCCCTTTGAAAACTGGCACAAGACAGGGATGCCCTCTCTCACCACTCCTATTCAACATAGTGATGGAAGTTCTGGCCAGGGCAATTAGGCAGGAGAAGGAAATAAAGGGTATTCAGTTAGGAAAAGAGGAAGTCAAATTGTCCCTGTTTGCAGATGACATGATTGTATATCTAGAAAACCCCATTGTCTCAGCCCAAAATCTCCTTAAGCTGATAGGCAACTTCAGCAAAGTCTCAGGATACAAAATCAATGTGCAAAAATCACAAGCATTCTTATACACCAATAACAGACAAACAGAGAGCCAAATCATGAGTGAACTCCCATTCACAATTGCTTCAAAGAGAATAAAATACCTAGGAATCCAACTTACAAGGGACGTGAAGGACCTCTTCAAGGAGAACTACAAACCACTACTCAAGGAAATAAAAGAGGATACAAACAAATGGGAGAACGTTCCATGCTCATGGGTAGGAAGAATCAATATGGTGAAAATGGCCATACTGCCCAAAGTAATTTATAGATTCAATGCCATCCCCATCAAGCTACCAATGACTTTCTTCACAGAATTGGAAAAAACTACTTTAAAGTTTATATGGAACCAAAAAAGAGCCCGCATTGCCAAGTCAATCCTAAGCCAAAAGAACAAAGCTGGAGCATCATGCTACCTGACTTCAAACTATACTACAAGGCTACAGTAACCAAAGCAGCATGGTACTGGTACCAAAACAGGGATATAGACCAATGGAACAGAACAGAGCCCTCAGAAATAACGCTGCATATCTACAACTATCTGGTCTTTGACAAACCTGAGAAAAATAAGCAATGGGGAAAGCATTCCCTATTTAATAAATGGTGCTGGGAAAACTGGCTAGCCATATGTAGAAAGCTGAAACTGGATCCCTTCCTTACACCTTATACAAAAATTAATTCAAGATGGATTAAAGACTTAAATGTTAGACCTAAAACCATAAAAACCCTAGAAGAAAACCTAGACATTACCATTCAGGACATAGGCATGGGCAAGGACTTCATGTCTAAAACACCAAAAGCAATGGCAACAAAAGCCAAAATTGACAAATGGGATCTAATTAAACTCAAGAGCTTCTGCACAGCAAAAGAAACTACCATCAGAGTGAACAGGAAACCTACAAAATGGGAGAAAATTTTCGCAACCTACTCATCTGACAAAGAGCTAATATCCAGAATCTACAATGAACTCAAACAAATTTACAAGAAAAAAACAAACAACCCCATCAAAAAGTGGGCAAAGGACATGAACAGACACTTCTCAAAAGAAGACATTTATGCAGCCAAAAGACACATGAAAAAATGCCCACCATCACTGGCCATTGGAGAAATGCAAATCAAAACCAAAATGAGATACCATCTCACACCAGTTAGAATGGCAATCATTAAAAAGTCAGGAAACAGCAGGTGCTGGAGAGGATGTGGAGAAATAGGAACACTTTTACACTGCTGGTGGGACTGTAAACTAGTTCAACCATTGTGGGAGTCAGTGTGGCGATTCCTCAGGGATCTAGAACTAGAAATACCATTTGACCCAGCCATCCCATTACTGGGTATATACCCAAAGGACTATAAATCATGCTGCTGTAAAGACACATGCACACATATGTTTGTTGCGGCACTATTCACAATAGCAAAGACTTGGAACCAACCCAAATGTCCAACAATGATTGATAGACTGGTTTAAGAAAATGTGGCACATATACACCATGGAATACTATGCAGCCATAAAAAATGATGAGTTCATGTCCTTTTTGGGGACATGGATGAAACTGGAAATCATCATTCTCAGTAAACTATCGCAAGAACAAAAAACCAAACACCGCATATTCTCACTGATAGGTGGGAATTGAACAATGAGAACACATGGACACAGGAAGGGGAACATCACACTCTGGGGACTGTTGTGGGGTGGGGGGAGGGGGGAGGGATAGCATTAGGAGATATACCTAAAGCTAAATGAAGAGTTAATGGGTGCAGCACACCAGCATGGCACATGTATACATATATAACTAACCTGCACATTGTGCACATGTACCCTAAAACTTAAAGTATAATAATAATAAAATAAAAAAAAGAAATTTCCATCTATAAGACAAGATAAAAATCACCAGTAACTGTGGCCTTCTGAGCAACCCACTATCTAGTGATATCAGAATCTAGCAGCAAGAAGGAAATGGAAAGTTTGCCATCAGCTTCAATGAGTCAAGCATAGTGTTTTCCAAACTTCAGTCACGCAGGCTCTACCTTCACAATTTAATAACAGCTAAAATCACATTTACAGATATTTGCTGAATATTTTATTTAAATTGCATCACTGTTAGCTTAAATTTATTTTGAGCAAAATTAAATACAAAAATAAATCAATGTTGTTAGATTCAGGCTAGACATTGTTACCGCCTAAGGTCCTGACCCCAGTTCTGCTCTTTCCATGTTGAAGAGAATTAGATTTCAGAGGAGTGTTAGAGACTATTAGTAAACTGAGACTTTCCCCTGGAAAGCATCAGAAAGAGTGAAGGAGAACTAAAAGACCAGTGGCAATGTTATTTAAGGTGCAATTCCTGAATCTCTTGTAAGCATTAGCATAACACCCAAATCAACTTCAACACTGCCAGGGCAGGTATCCCACACTCTGGGAAACCCTGGCAGAGAAAGGCAGTATGCAATGCCAATGGGATCTCATGTGACACATTCAACTGAGCCCCTGCTGAAGGGATATATGCAACTCTCCATAGGCTGTCTGACCGGGACCTGCCACAACGTCACCACAACTGCATCTCCCACAATAGAACGGAAAAGGGAAGCTACTAGAGCAAGGCTGAGGAAGTGCTGAGAGACAGGTCACAGAGAAAGGCAGTCATCTTTTTCATAACCCTAATCCTAACCCTAAACCTAAGCCTTTTTCTCCCAGAGAAGTCTAGGGAACCACACTTAGGATGAGATAGAAGATAGGGGAAATCTCTGTTTTTGTTTTTTTTTTTTTTTTTTTTTTTTACAAATGCATGAGTGACATCTTTCCTGACCACCTCATTTTAAACATTATCCCCCTTTTTATTCCCTATTACCTTTTCCTGCCTTATTTTATTTCACCTGGGATTCTATAAATCTTATTATATATCTACACTAAAATCATTATATCTGCTTGCTTATTGATTGATTGTCTCCACTGCCAGAATGTAAGCCTAGACTCCAGGTATTTTTGTGTTTCATTCCCAGCTATATTCACAGCCCCTAGGATAGTACCTAACATATAGTAGGTGCTAAATAAATATTTGTTGAGTAAATCTGAATGAATTAATGAATGAACTGCCTTCAGAAAGGAGATAGGTAGTGAAAAAGGATTTTAATTCACCAAAAATACCGATAATTGTAAGTATCAGTTGAATTATTTTTGGCATAATATATGATTCAGTGTGAGCAATGTGTATTTTTGCTTAAAAAAACAAAAATGTTGGCATGGAGTTTGAAGTTATTTGTTTTTAGGAGTGGGAATGAGGATCCAATGTTTGTATCTTGTCACAAGGAAACTTAGCAGCAAGTCTTCTGTCAGATGCTTATCATATGCTCCTTAAGCATCATTGACTTGTCACATTTCACAGTAACTGATATTCTCGATCACCTCCAGTAAAGCAATTAATCCACCCAGTAGCTATGAAGTTCTGCATACCTGTGCACCTAAGAAGAATTGGCCCTTTTTGGAAAGCTGAATTGAAGCAACTGGTAGGCAGAAGAAATTCCATAGTGCAGGATTCACAGGTCTGTTCCATGGATTAAAGCTGTGGGATAATACTGGGTGTATGCAAAGAACAAGGAAGGGAGAGGAAAATGTGGTCACATAATTTGGGGATACTCTGGGTTAAACAAAGTTAGATAGCCTATTGAGAGGCTTTCGGAGGCAAATCTACTAGTTTTTCCCAAGTGTATTTCATGACAAAATTGCCATTCCTACCTCTCCCTCACTCAAGGATGACCTAATGGGCTTATTTTGGAAGCCTTGATGTATCTCTGTGGGCTTCTCGGGAACTCTTCCAGATGGAGAAGAGTCCTGTGATGAAGTACAGATGTCTGGCCCTTTCTGAGCAAAGGCATAGAATCAAAGAGAAAAGTCAAGGGCTGCATTCACTGATGGACTCATGGAGACGTTCACAGACAGACAACGTCTCCATGCAAGGACAGACATTTTGATTATGAAGTGCAGTCTTTACTGTTGGCTGATAAAATGACTGACATAGTAGGATGAACAATGAACCATGTTCCAAGTCCCACTTTCCCATGACCTTCGATGGCCATTTTCTGGGTCTCAGTTTCCTCATTTGTAAACAGAGAGTTAAATTAAGCAGTCTTTGAAGTCCCTTCCCATTCTAACACTCAATAATTAAATGGCCTTTAGATGTCTGTTCTAGCCTTAGAGTTGTTTTACTCTAAAGGACAAACAGATGAGACACCGATGAGGAAAGAATAGCTAATCATTTGAAGCTTGGATGTTACTGGCTGAATAATGATTTTCATACCTAGGATGAAAAACCTTTAAAAAGCCACCTTCCCTGATGAGCCAGTAAATAGACCTCTGCCAACAAGATTCAAACACGTCTCATGTTTGTGCCCAGCATGCCTGAGCAGAGCCCCATGGCACTTGCTTAATGTTTAAATTTTTGTATTAATTTTTGCATTATTTTGAGAGTGCAAAACGTAAGTTTTAATTTTTGTCATTTTAGTGTTCCTTAAAATGGCATTGTTGATCTAGAGCCAACAGGATTCTTAAATTTTAAATCGAAGCTCCTAGTGACTCAGACTTTAATTGGACACACCTCTTGGCTCAGACTATTGATAATTAGTCCATTAAACATTAAGGAACTCTATACCTCCAAGCCTTCAAAGTAAATACTACAGTCGCAATAGAGAAGATGTAATTTATTATAACTCTTGTATGGTTACACAAATACAGGGATAACAGTGACGGTGCTTTTTACTCTAGGATCGCTTTCTTGCAACCTCCTCATTATTCCAACTTCCAAATTCCAAGGAAGTGAGGGTGTCATAAATGGGATGACCACTTCATTCAAAGTGGAATAATGACAATGCTAGGGTGGTATAGTTTGGCTCTGTGTCCCTGCCCAAATCTCATGTTGAATTGTAATCCCCAGTGTTGTGGGAGGAACATAGTTGGGGGTGATTGGATCATGGGGGAGGATTTTCCCCTTGTTGTTCTCATGATAGTGAGTTCTCATGAGACCTGATTGCTTGAAAGTGTGTGGCACTTCCCCTTTCACTCTCTCTTCCTCCTGCTGTGCCATGTGAAGAAGGTACTTGCTTCCCCTTTGCCCTTCCACCATGATTATAAGTTTCCTGAGGCCTCCCCAGCCATGCCTCCTGTATAGCCTGTGGAACTGTGAGTCAATTAAAACTCTTTTCTTTATAACTTACCCATCAATTAAAACTCTTTTCTTTATAAATTACCCAGTCTCAGGTAGTTCTTGATAGCACTTTGAGAACAGACTAATACATAGGGTAAAATTAGGGTTTTCTGACTCAAACTAGAATCAAAATTTGAAGTTCTCACTGCTAGTTTTGAATTTGCCACTGATTAGCAAGAAGGTGTTAGGCAACTCATTCAACTTGCCTGTGTCTCAGCTTTGCTTGTATAAAATATAGATGTTAGATGTTAGAATATAAAATTGGGACATCCCTTCCTGTTAAAAATTATTTAAAAGGATTTATCTTTATGTTCAGGGAATGAGATTAGGATGGGAAGGAAAGAGTCAGTTATGTGTCCACAAGGAGGCAGGGAGTGAAAAGAACATGGCTTAAGCATCAAGAGGGTCTGTGTTCCAATCTTGGGCTCAGCTGTTTAATGGTTATTTCTGAGCAGGAAGTCAAGGAAATGGACATGAGAGGGGCTTTACAGATAACTGTAACATTCCTTCCCTTAAACCAAGTAAGTAAGTGGGTGTTATTTGTATTGCAATTATTTATATTTTACCCATATTTTACATATTATTTTTTCTAGCTACTATTTTGTACATATTATTAAACCAAACTAAAATTCGATAAATGTGAAAAATAAATAAAATAGATTCTTCAAAAAGAAAAGACGAGCATGCCTTACATTTATGATCAAATTGAATGTTTTTTGTTTTTCTATAGCACATTCTATTATTATGACTTTTTCCTTCTGACCCCTCATGAAGTGACCTCTGCTTACCTACAAGTCTTCATCTCCCATCTCTCTCCCCTCTACTCTTAAGTTTCTCCACAGTTTCTCAACCATGTTATACGTGATTATGCATCTGCGTCTTTCCACATGTTGTCATTCTGTCTGGAATGCCTCCTTGAGCTTGCAAAGAATTCCTACCGATTCTTTCTTTTTCACCTCAAATGCTTCTGAGAAGCCTTCTTCATCTTCCCCCAGCAGATGTGGGTGCTCCTTCTCCTCTACTTGACTATGCATTGTGGATTTCTGCTTGAAGCAATTGTATATTACAATGACTTGCATAACTGGCTCCTGCTTGGATAGTCAACTCCTTGAGGGCAGAGGCTGAATCTTGGAGTGTCCAAAATCTACCTGGCCATGTTCACCCATCTGGTTTATTTATCCATTCCCTCTCTCTGTCTCTCTCTTCATGCTTACCTCAGGGGAATTCAAAATATGGCTGGCAACTGAAATGTAGTACTAAAAACATACACGTGCCCCTCCGTATCTGCAGTTTTTCAACCAACCACAGATGAAAAATATTTGGAAAAAAAAACAAGACAAAATAATACAAATAATAAACAATACAGTATAACAACCATTTACTTACATTGTACTCCGTATTATAAGTAATCCAGAGATGATTTCAAGTTTAAGGCAGGATGAGTGTAGGTTATATGCCATTTTTATGCCAACATTATGCCATCTTATACAAGGGACTGAGCATCTGAGGGTTTTGGTACCCACAGGGATGTTGGAAACAATTCCCTGCGGATACCAAGGAACAACTGTATGGAATAATTGAACAAATATACTGGATATTCATTAATATTCATTGGTACGAAGAAAAGGAATGGCATGGAGGAGCTGAGCAGGGGAGAGGCAGGGTGTTTCGGAAGCAGAGGTGAAAGGACTTTTGTTGATGAGATTTGGTCTGGGCATTCGGAATGCTGAGTGGAGGGAGAGGATGTGAGTACCCAGCATGGTCACCGTTATTATTGGGGAGGACTGAGGAGGATTCAGAATGCATCTAGCAGTTAAGATTTGAGCACTTGAGCTTTGGCAATACCCCTCTTTTGATGGAGAAGGCCCTATTTTTGTTGCTTTTTGATATACAGAGTCAAATATACAGATTATTCACAAATAAAATTTTTAAATATAGATTTACTGACATGATTGGTTAGCTTTCCCTGGACAGTTTCAGGAAAAATGTCACACACGCTCCAAAAAGAAACATTTATTTTTTTGTCCAGAAGGACCATTTCTATTTTCTTCCCAAGCACTCTCCTGCCTTCATTTTTCATCATTCCCCTCTGTCAGGTCCCCTGAACCTGAAACAAGCTTATTCCTAGTGCCATTCTTTCATTCATATTGTTATATTCTCCTGGAATGCCTTACGATTTCCTTATACAAATCCCATTTATCCTTCAAAAACTGGTTCGAGTTTGCTGCTTCTATGAAATCCTTCCTGGTCACTGTGGTCATTACTGAGTTTCCCCCACTGTCAATGGCACCTCACTGCTACACACTGACTTAGCCATTCCTTCCATTTCGCTCTGAACCATTTCCTCCTGGTTCATTTATGCTGATGTTGATTAGTCAGCTGGAGAGCAAGCACTGTAAAAACAAGGCCCATATTTTACGTACACAACCTCTGTATCCTTGTAGCCCCAGTATATTGTTAATCACATAATTCTCACTTAATAAAATACTTACCTGATGATTTGGTTGCTGACAGGGAAATCACCAACAAAGATTAGTTGCCAGTGTGATAACCAAGCTCTGGTTCAAAGTCTGATTTTGCAAAATATATCTTGTGTCTCCTCTTTAGAGGCAGGCATAAGGGAAAAGAATCATGATAATGACTCAACTACTGAAATTCTCAGCTTTTGAGAGGTGTTCACTTTTAGAAGGGGGAGCAGGGTAAAAGGTGAACTATAAGGTAATCTAGGCTTACACTTTGAGGTCCAGGATTAAATGGTTTCAGCACAGTGCATTCTATTAAGAACTAGCCAGAGGTCAGAGGTTTACTGGGAATTTGAGCTGAGCTGATCATAGCTTTGCATTCATCAATGAGGGGATTACTACTTAGATCCTATATGCCATTTCTTTCCTAATTTTAAAAAAGGCAATTTAATTTAATGTTTTTACTTATTAATATTTATAAGTTTGAAAAATTTTACCATCTCCCTAATATTGTAAATTCTATGATTAGTAGTTTTGCTCCTAAATCTCCATGCATATCTTTGCTGATTTCCCAGGACTAGATTCCTAGAGGTGGGGATTTCTGGGTTGCAGCGTCTAGACCTTCTTAAAGTGCATGTCTTTAAGTTGTTGTGTTTTGGAAAACAAAGAGAAAATTATGACTTGGTGCATAATGGTGAGGAAGAAGAATATTATGGCTTGATTTTTATAGATTTTACTGAAAGATACTTTCTCTTTCATTTTTGAAATTCGTCTCCTAATTGCACCATTTTTTCTTCATCATCTACCATAGAAATATGCAAGGGTAGCATGCAGAGACAGCCTTGTCAGGGTACTGTTTTGTATGGGAGGCTGCTTAAGTCATTTTGATTACTGTGCGTAATATTCAGGTCAGTTCAACCCAAGCCACCTCTAACACTTCCTGGAATGGTTCTTCAATTTGTATGAAGACAGAAGTAGGACTCGTTAATGATAAACCGAAATTCTAGACCTGACTGCAAATTTAAGCATAACTATGCAGTATAATTATATGTACACATACACTATTATATATTCCCTCCCTCCTCACTAAAGAATCACTGAAAAACCCCAGGCTGCTCTGTCTAAATAAAAATAGGCTCTGTCACATTCCCAGACTGGGTGCTGTACTTTGCCTATGTTAGATATGCTGATTGTCCTATACGAACCCCATGGTTTTCACCGGTGAGGTCCCTAAAGCCATGGAAAATCTGCCTGTGCCTATACACTTGCTCAAAGTTCACTTTAAACAAGTCCAGGCATCAACAGCAGCTATAGAGATTTTGTCACTTTCAAAGAACTCTTCGAAAAGCCCATCTCTAATTACTTGCTAGTGAGGAAGGACTTCGTGTCTTTGCTGTGGGACCTTGCACTTTTCTGGCTCTTTAACCTGAGTACACTGTGTTCTCTGGCTGACCTCTCTGTTCAAGGTATACTATTGAGAAGAGAGGAATTAAATTTTGCTCTGCTTAATCAAGAGCATAACTTTCTGATGGGAAAGTGAGTGAAAATGGGTTTCTCCCATTGAAAATAAATTTGGATATTATGTCATTTCCCTCTTCTTTGAGCTTTGGCTGAACCCTGGACATGCCCCTGCTGTCGTAATCACTTTAGTATCTGCCTCATCCAAAGGCTACTGTGCTTAGGGCACTGTTTTCCTCACATTATACATCCAGCACCTTGCTCAGCGGGCACACATTTTGTTAAATCATTTGTTGTTAAGCTGTTGTCAAACAGTTGAAATATCTTCTTAGCTATTCTGATCAGCATTTTGCTGTATAATCGCTTCATCTCCCTTTTGTGGATCACAGCTATTCAAAAAACATTAAGTCCTGACTTGGAGCCAGAAATGAATTTAGATGTGCGTGTATCCTATTCCATGGAATGCTGTTGCTGATCTACATGTTGAAACTGTGTTTTTAAAACTTTAATTCATGAACATGGTGTGACAATAATCTTTTTTTTAATTAGCAAATTCATTTGTATGCATAGACTTACAAAGGTATTTAGATTAATTCAAATCTGGATTTCCAGTTAATGAATTATTATAATTAAATATGTATAATACCACTGGGATTATATCAATAAAGAAATACAAAATTATGCAGTAGTGACAAACAAATATCAAAAACTGAAATCTTAGTGGTTTAAAACAACAGGGTTTTACCCTCAATCATGGAACACGTTCTGTTTCATACTGTTTTCATTTAGGCTTGCAGGCTTATGGAAACTCTACTATCCAGAACATCACTGATCTATATAGAGGAGAAAAGTGAAGCACGTGAGTTCTTAATGGCTTCTACCAGGAAATGGCACACCTCACTTCAGCTTATGTTTTATTGATCAAAGCAATTCACATAGTTAGTTAGCTACACTCCAAGAGGCAAGGCAGCACAATTCTTCCGTGTGTCCAGACAAAAGAGAAGCATGTAGTATACAGAGCTAATGAAGACCTCCGTCTGTGTTCTATGATCAAATGTGGAGCTTGCTCCCTTTCCCTCTGCTAAGTGACATAATTATACTGATTTCAGGGCAAAGAAGATCAGCCATGGAAGAACCCATGACTTTATAAAAGGGTGTGGGTGAACCAAGTGCAGAAGTGGCTAAGAGATGCTGGGGATCCAATTTAGGAGTATCTATTGGTCCAGCAGACAAGAGACTGGATTCAAAAGAGGCAGTTTGGGTTTAAATCATTGGACTGGTTCCTTGAGTTCAGGTAGACAAGAGGTTTAAAACAGGAATTCAGACAAGTCAACCAAGCTTTATTCCCTGAGAAACATAATTACTAATCAGAGCAGAGAAAGAGTGTCATGAACCAATAAGCATAACTAAGGAAAATTTTGAATCTAGGAACATGCTTATTGCATTCTACTGCATCTTCAGCTAAAGAGGACAGAAGAGGCCTCATGTACGTTGTTTTAAGGCAGATCATGAAGTTGTCTAAGAGACTCAAGTGTGCTTATATTACCTTAATAAAGTCTAGAAAGCTTCCTGGAGGCTCTTCTATGTAAAACAATTATTCTTAGCCTTTTGAGTCACACTTCCCATTCAAAATCTGATAATCCAATTCCGTGGAGGAAGAGTAGCTTTTTCAAAAAGTGATCCTTGACCTAAACTGTATACTTTATACAATTATTAACTCAAAATAGATTGTATAGTTAGAAGTGAAATGTAAAACCATAAAACTTTTATAGAAAAAAAGGGAAGAAAATCTTTGGGACCTAGATAAGAAATTCTTGTACTTAACACTGAAAGCATGATCTATAAAAGGAAAAATTGATTAATTGGAGCTCATCAAAATTAAAAATATTTGCTCTGCAAAAGACTCTGTTAAAAGAATCAAAAGACAAGTTATAAACAGGAAGAAAATATTTGTAGACCATGTCCTAAAAAGAACTAATATCTGGAATGTATAAAGAACTCTCAACATTTCACAGTAAGAACAAACAAAAAGTCTATTTAGAAAGTGGTCAAAAGACATGAAGAGATATTTCACCAAAGAGGGTATACAGATGGAAAATAAGGATATGAAAACATGTTCGATATAATTAGTCATTTGGGAAATGCAAATTAAAACAATAACCTATCACTTACATACCTATCAGAATGGCTAAAATAATAATAATAAAAAACTGGCAATACCAAATGCTGGAGGGATGCAGAGAACTGGATCCCTCTTTACACATTGGATCCAAATGCAGAGAACTGGATCCTCTTTATGCTGGATCCCTTTATACATTGCTAGTGAAAATATGAAATGATACAGCAGCTCTGTAAAACACTTTTTCAGTTTCTTGTAAAACTAATCATGTATATTTGTTTGCTTGGGCTATCATACAAAATACCACAGACTGGGTGGCTTCAGTAACAGAAATTTATTTTCTAACAGTTCTGGAGGCTAGAAGTCCAAGAACAAGGTGTCAACAGGTTTGGTTTCTTCTGAGGCCTGTTTCCTTGGCTTGCAGTTGGCTGCCTTCTCGCTGTGTCTTCACATGGTCACTCCCAGTCTGTGTTGTCTGTGTCCTAATATCCTCTTCTTATAAGGACACCAGTGTTATCAGATTAGACTGAATGATATGATCTCATTTTACATTGATTACTGCTTTAAAGTCCCTATCACCAAATACAGTCATATTATGAGGCAGTAGAGGTTAAGGATTCAACATATGAATTTTGAGGAAACAAAATTCAGCCCACAGCACCATGCAACCACCAGATGACCTAGCAATTGCACTCTTGAGCATTTACCGCAGAAAATGTAAGACTTACGTTTTGAAAACTCTGTCTATAATTGTTCATAACAGCTTTATTACTGAGAGCCAAAAACTGGAAACAATGCAGATGTCCTTCAATAGGTATATGTTAAGTGAACTTGTAGATCCATAACGTGAGAAACTACTCAGCAATAAAAAAGAAATGAACTGCTAATATACACAACAATTTGGATGAATCTCCAGGGAATTATGTTGAGTGAAGAAAAAAAATCACAAAAATCATACTCTATGATTTCATTTATATAATATTCTTCAAAAGATAAAATTACAGAATGGGGAACTGATTAGTGGTTTCCACGCACTAGGGACAGGGGGTGAGGAGAGGGAGGTGGTTGTGGCTGTGCAAGGGCAACATGAGTGATTCTTGTGAGGATGAAAATGTTCTATATTTTGATGGTATCAATGTGAAACAAACAATTTTTATTGAGTGCTTTTTTCCTCTCCTTTTCTTCTAAATGAGTCTGGCTAGATGTTTATTAATGTTTTTGACCTTTCAAAGAACACATACTTTTAGTTTTGTTGATTTTCTGTCATGTAGATCTATCTTTTTCCATTGATTTCTGCTCTTATTTTTGTTATTCTGTTGAAAGTCTGCCTCTGAAAGCAGACCCTGTGATGGGGTTTGGTGTACAGGGTATTTATTAGAGATGAATTCCTGGGGAAGGGAGGAAGCTTCATCTCCACTGGTCAGAGGGAGAAGTTCAACTGTGACTGAGGCCTGAAAAAGCTTAAACAGCACTACAGGGAGCTGTAACAGTATTTAGCTGTCAGAGGTGTCCTGCACTGGTCTGGAATACCTGGGATTTTATACTTCCACCTCACTCAGTCACTGAGAAGGGCATAGCCTTGGGTGAGGAGGCTCTCTGCAATTGAGACAAACCCAAGGGAAGCTGGACAGCCAGGGGCTATCTGTGACAGCCAAGGCTATCTGTCTTCACTGACACTGACAGGGGATCTGAGAGCCTCGTCTCTGCTGTCACCACAGTTCCCTACCTTCTTTCTTTGAGAATCCTTTTTTTTTTTTTACTAGACACTTGAGATCATTCTTTAAAGCTTTTATTTTTTTAATATAAGCATTTAAAGCCAGTACCTTACCCTGTAAACACTGTTTTAGCATCATTTCACAGATTTTGATATATTTTCATTATTTATGCTTCAGAATACTTCCTAATGCCCATTGTGATTTCTTCTGTGACTCATGGTCTATTTAGAAATGCGTTGATAACCCAAAAACCCCCAAATGTTGGCAATTTTAATTATCTTTTTGATATTGAGTTATAGTTAATTTTCACTATGGCCAGGGAACATATTCTGAATGAATCAATCCTGTGAAACATAAAACGAATTACCTAAAGAATAAGGCATATGGTTTACATTGTTAATAATTTATGTATATTTGAAAAGTTTGTTCTCCAGTTGTTAGTAGTCTGTTTATAAATATTAATTTGATCAAGTTTGTTAATAAGAGTTTTTCAAATATTTTACTGATAGAATTGATATCTGCTTGCTTTATCTCAGAGAATGTGAAAACCTCCAATTACGACTGTGGGTCAGTCTATTTCTCCTTTTAGTTCTGTCAGTTTTGCATCATACATTTTAAACTATGATATTAGGTGCATATACATATAGGCTTGTCATGTCTTCCTGATATATTGATCCTTTTATCATTATAGTGTATCCTTCTTTAGTATTAGTGCCTATGTCATTTATATTTTCTCATCTTTTTACTTTTTTTCTGTCTATATCCTTATATTGAAAGTTTGCCCTTTGTGGATAGCATATATTGAGTCATAGATTTTTTTAAAAAAATCCACTCTCACAAGCTCCCTCTTTTAATTGTGTGATTTAGAGTTTTTGTTCATTTTTACACTTAAAGTAGTTACTCACATGGTTGGGTTTAAGTCTATCATTTTGCTTTCTCTGATGCCCATTTTGTTTGGTTCCTTTGTTGTTTCTTTCGTGCCTTCTTTTAGATTATTCAAGCATGTTTCTCATTCTATTTTATGTATTTTATTAGCTTTTTATTAATACAGTTTTGTATTTCCTTTCAGTGCTTATGCTATATGTTAAAGTATGCATCCTTAACTTAATGCAGACTACCTTGAATTAGAATTTTACCACTTTACAAATAATTTCAGATGCTTTCAATTCCTCCTGGTCTTTTTTTTGCTATTGTTCATATATATTTTACTTTTATATATGCTATAAATCCCATAATTTGCTTTAGTCTTTTTTACAAAGTAAAAATTTTTATTTTATATTTACCTCCATATTTACTCTTTTCAATTCTGTTTCTTTCTGCAATTTCATGCTTCCATCTGAGATCATTGGCCTTCAGTCTAAAGAAATTCATTAAACATTTCTTGTAGTATGGTTCTGCTGGCAATAAATATTCTCATCTCTTTTTTTTTGTCTAAAAATGTCCTTATTTAGAAAAATATTTCTATTACTAGTGTTATTTTTAACTGACAAATCATCGTTGTATACATTTATGGGGTACATTGTGACATTTTGACATAGGTATATAATATGGAATGATTAAATCAAGCTAAATAACATAGCCATCACCGGGCTTACCTCTCATTTTTTTATGGTGAGACGTTTGACATTTACTTTCTAAGTTATTTGGAAATATACATCATTATGTATAGTTGCTCTAAAGTGCAACAGGTTTCAGAACCTATTCCTGCTGTCTATCTGAGATTTTGTACCCTTTGATCAGCAACTCTCCATTTTCTCCTTCCCCATCTCTCAGCCTCTGGTAATAACCATTCTTCTCTCTACTTCTAAGAGTTCAGCTTTTTAAAATTCTACATATAAGCGAGATTATGTGGAATTTGTCCTGCTGTGCCTGGCTTATTTCATTTAGCATAATGTCCTCTGGGTTCATCCATGTCATTGCAAGTGACAAAATTTCCCCCATTTTTTAAGGCTGTGTAGTATTATATTGTGTATATAAACCACATTTTCTTAATATATTCATCTGCTGGTGGACACTTAGCTTTATTCCATATCTTGGCTATTCTCAATAATACTGCATTGAAAATGGAGTACAGATATCCCTTTAACAGATTGATTAGATAGATAGATAGATAGATAGATGATAGATAGATAGATAGATAGATAATCTCCTTTGGATATATACACAAAAGTGGGATTACTGGATTGTATGGTAGTTCTGTTTTTAGTTTTTTGAGGAATCTCCATACCTTTTTCCATAATAGCCATTCTAATTTAAATTCCCACCAACAGTGTATAAGAATTCCCTTTTTTCCACATCCTTACCAACACTTGTCATCTTTTATCTTTTTGGTAAAACCCATTCTAACAGATATGAGGTGATATCTCATTGTGATTTTAGTTTGCATTTCCCTAATGATTAGTGACTAATGATTAGTGATGCTAAGCATTTTTCTTTTCTTTTTTTTTTTTTTGAGACGGAGTCTCGCTCTGTCGCCCAGGCTGGAGTGCAGTGGCACAATCTCAACTCACTTCAACCTCTGCCTCCCGGGTTCAAGCAGTCCTCCTGCCTCAGCCTCCCAAGTAGCTAGGATTACGAGCATGCACCACCACACTCAGGGCATTAGTCATGGTTCTCTTAGAGGGACAGAACTAATAGGATAGAGATAGATAGATGGATAGATAGATAGATAGATAACTTATTGTGGGACCTTGTGATGGTGTAAGTTAGTACTTAATAAACTCTCCTTTAAAGGGTTTATTAAGTACTAACTTACACCATCACAAGGCCCCGCAATAGGTTGTCTGCAAGCTGAGGAGCAAGGAGAGCCTGTCCAAGTCCCAAAACTGAAGAACTTCGAGTCTGATGTTCAAGGGCAGGAAGCATCCAGCACTGGATAAAGATGTAGGCTGGGAGGCTAGGCCCATCTCGTTGCTTCACGTTTTTCTGCCTGCTTTATATTCGCTAGTGGCTGATTAGGTGGTGCCCCCCAGATTAAGGGTGGATCTGCCTTCCCAGCCCACTGACTCAAATGTTAACCTCCTTTGGCAACACCCTCACAGACACACCCAGGATCAATATCACATCCTTCAATCCAATCAAGTTGACACTCAGTATTAACCATCATACCCAGCTAATTTTTGTATTTTTAGTAGAGTCAGGGTTTCACCATGTTGACCCAGCTGATCTTGAACTCGTGACCTCAAGTGATCTGCCCGCCTCAGTCTCCCAAAGTGCTGGGATTACAGGTGTGATCCACTGCGCCTGGCCTAAGCATTTTTCATGTACTTGTTGGCCATTTGTTTGTCTTTCTTTGAGAAATGTCCGTTCAGTCCCTTTGCCCATTTTGCCCATTTTAAAAATCAGGTAATTTGTTTTCTTGCTATTGAATTGTTTGAATTCCTTATACTTTTGGATGTTAGTCTCTTACCAGATGTTTGATTTTCAAATATTTTTTCCCATTGTATGGGTTGTCTCTTCACTTTGTTAATTATTGCCTTTGCTATTCAGAAACCTTTTAGTTTGATACAATCCCATTTGTCTATTTTTGTGTTTGTTGCTTGTGCCTTCCGGGTCATATCCAAAAACTCATTGCCCAGACCAATGTCGTGGAATTTTCCCATGTTTTCTTCTAGTTGTGTTACAGTTTCAGTCTTGATATTTAAGTCTTTAATCCATTTTGAGTTTATTTTTTATATAGTGTGAGACAAGGGTCCAATTTCATTCTTCTGTATGTGGATATCCAGTTTTTTCAACATTTATTGAAGAGACTGTTAGAAAAATATTTTCTGAAGAAAACTTTTGCCAGGTATAAAATATCTATCTTGGCTGTGCATGGTGGCTTACGCCTGTAATCCCAGCACTTTGGGAGGCAGAGGCGGGCGGATCATGAAATCAGGAGATAGAGACCATCCTGGCTAACACGGTGAAACCCCATCTCTACTAAAAATACAAAAACTTAGCTGGGCGTGGTGGCGGGCGCCTGTAGTCCCGGCTACTCGGGAGGCTGAGGCAGGAGAATGGTGTGAACCCCGGAGGCGGAGCTTGCAGTGAGCCGAGGTCAAGCCACTGCACTCCAGTGTGGGCGACAGTGCAAGACTCTGTCTTAAAAAAAAAAAAACAGTATTTTCCCCTTTCACCACCTTAAAACTGCCATTCATTGCCTTATGTCTCTTGTTGCGTATGTTAAAACATCAGCTGTAATCTCTGTTATTTCTCTGAAGATAATATTTCTTTATTTTCAGCTATCTGGTGAAAGTGGTGATTGTGGTAGTAGAGGAAACATGAATTTATTAATCAAATCTTATTCCCTCTTGATTAAAAAAAACTACCTCACAGGACACTAAACATGTCAAACAGCACCTATTCAGTTTTCTCAGTGGCAATAGGGAAGCATCTTGGAAAGAAATAAGAGCCATGGATTGTGGGTGTAAGATAAGGTTGTGTTGGTGAATCCTCATCAGTAACAAGAAAAAACTACAACAACTGCTACATAGAGCCCTTTGGTCTGCAGAGATGATAAAGGCAGTAGTGATCTGCCTACATGACCTTAGAATTATTACAGGCTTTCAATCCCAGCACTTTGGGAGGCCGAGGCAGGCAGATCACGAGGTCAGGAGTTCAAGACAAGCCTGACCAACATGGTGAAATCCCATCTCTACTAAAAATACAAAAAAAAAGTTAGCCGGTCATGGTGGCTCACGCCTGTAATCCCAGCTACTCAGGAGAGGGGAGGAGAATTGCTTGAACCTGGGAGGCGGAGGTTGCAGTGAGCCAAGATTGCACTACTGCACTCCAGCCTGGGTGACAGAGCGAGACTCTTTCTCAAAAAAAAAAAAAAAAAAAAAAAAGGAAATATTACAGACTTTCTCTAATGCTGTTCCAGGAGGAAAACAGGTAAGCATATGGATCTGAGGTAGCACATAACCTTAACTTGAAACAATATATTAGGGTATTTCCCCATTTTCTGTGATATGAGTTGAAAATATGTTCCCCCCCCCACTATACCCTACTCAGTTTTTCATGGTCCTACTATAAATGGTACTGCCCAGACCACAGCTGAGCACACATTTTAGGAGAGATACATTGAAGGGCTACTAGATATAAATACTGTATGGAAAGAGTTGAAACTGGGTGTGGAGCAAAGATTATATTCAAATGGTTATCACATGAGTGAGATATTATATTTATTCTACACAGAATCTTAGATCAGAACCAGAACATATGAATAGAACCTCCAACAAGAGTTTTTAATCTAAGAGAAGAAAGGCATTTCCATGTTTCGAGGTAATGAATTCCCCATAGTGGAAGTAGAGAACCACAGACCATCTATTCTGGATATGATTGGGTGTGGTAGTCTTTCTGCATTGAGTGGGGAGTTGTATTAGATAGTCTCTATTGCTTCTTTCTCTTGTCAACTTCTGTGATGGGCAAGGTTTGAAGTTAGTCATAAAAGGCTATCTTTGAGGTAATACGTGGGTACAAAAAGATAATAGAAGGTGCAGAAATAGAAAATACTCCTTCAGGCTACACACTGATGAAAGAAGAGAGGTTGAGTCACTTGAGTGCCACCCATGTTGTATTGATCAAGACTTCATTCCCAAAAATAGGAAACCCTTTGAGTCTTGAAGTGTGAAGAGTTGTAAATATCCCCAACTGTCATCTAATCAAGCTCCCTCATTTTACAGATACAGAAATTGAAGCCCAGGAGAATCAATTTGCTTAAGTCAGTGATTCTCAAAGTGCAGTCACAAGAATACTTGTCTTAGCTCTTGGAGAACTTGCTTCATGTGCAGATTTCTGGCCCTCATCCTAAAGCTACTCTAGAAATGGAGTCACATAATCTTTGTTTTAACAAATGTCACAAGTGATTCTGTGCACATTGAAAAATCATTGGCCTGTGTCACAGTGTTGGTTACTTACAGAGTCCTGAAGAAGACTCAGGCCTCTAAACTCACAATCTGTTATTTCCCATTATTCCAACTTCCCTGTCCTTGAAATAAAGTCTGTTACCAACCCCTATAAACTAACTTCCAACCTTGGAAACTAGTCCTAGAAATAAAATTGTGTTACTCTTTTGAAATTGTGTTACTATTTACAAAATGCAAAATAAATAGTTTGGAAAATATAAACACAGTCAGTAAAATCAAGGTGAACCCCAGGGATAGAGGCTATGAACATTGTCTTCATTATAAATTCAGAAAATTTTGGAGCAGTCCTCTCCATCCTGGACAATGGAACACAATGAGTTAGTTTCTTTCGTTTGAACTAATCAGAGGCTGAGACCTATTTGGTGCAAAGTAGAAAAATTATGGTTTGCATATATTTGCATGTTTGACACATTGGCATATTTCTTAGCATTTTAGAGCACAATGAACATAATTGAACTAAAGGGCTTGGGTTAATATTTTGTTAATAAAGCTCAATACATACAAAATTATAAATGCTCTTTATTAATTCTTAATAACTTGTCTGATCTATAGAGATCACATCATGACAACTGAAGACAAACTAAGAAAAAGTTGGATTTCATACTTGTTACATTAGGTGAAATAGGGGATCCAATTTCAAAATTGAAAATTGTAAAGATGTGTCTGAATATAGGCTTTGAAACACTATTGTGGGTCAAAAGTACAAAGCTTGATCTAGTGCTTATAGTAGGAAGGAAAGTTTATTAAATAAACTTGAAGGCTTATTTTTAATATCAAGATGGTTGATGGCATACTTGCCAAGAATTAAGGAACCCTGTTTCTTGCATAAGTACACAGTTGAGAAAATGAATTTCCATCTTTATTACCTTTGGCCAATAGTCTAATCAAAGCTACAATTAATTTAAGCTCTCTATTGGGTGTCTGCAGGTGTTGTATAGAAAATATTTAGTAATCTTAGGCTTCTGCTCTTATGGGGTTCCAAAGGTTTCCTGCTATGCCGGGTTTTAAGTCCTTGAAGTTGCTTTTGTATTCAAAAATCCAGCAGGTAATGGGAGACTATTTTAAGTATGATCTGGTGAAAATAATGCTTTAGAAATATGCTTCTGGTGGTGGCACTATAGTTTTAAATTCTTTGGAGGGACAGAAATTAGAAGGTAAGAGAACCAAAGCTATTGAATTATTATAGGTGGAAGCTGATAAAGAGCTAAAATAGGATAAAAATTTTCAAATTATGATTTGATTATAATTCACACATGTTTTTATATAAAGAATAGAGAGGGAATAGTTGAAGGTGAATTTAAAATGTGAAGTTTGATGGCTGGTACAATAGTAGTACCCTTAATAGATGTAGGAAAATAATGAATGAAGTCAGGTTTGGGGATGAGGATGAGTTGACTTTTAAATGTGTTGACTAGACTAATGATTTTCTAGAATGCATTTGGAGAAATGACAATGAGAATTTAAAAGAGATCAGGACTAGAGATATAGATCTGGCAAACACCTACATTTGTATGATTATTACAACCATAAGGTATAAAATCTTTAGAGGAAAGAAGGAAGCAGCAGAAGGCCAAGAACTGCATTATGGGGAATAGCCACGGGCAGAGAATAAGAGAATAGTATATTTTTGGCAACAATGAAAAGCAATTAGTAACACAGGAGAAGATTCAGAATAATATAAAGTCAATGTTAAGGAGTTTTTAGATGAAAAATTATATATTATAGAAATAAAAGTGATAAATATAGAAGTAAAAATCAACTATGGCAAACAAGTATTTGGAGGTTTATTTGAATAATTAGGAAAAAGAGAAGGAATTGAATATTACAGAGAAGGAGGAACAAGTTAGTAGAGGGGGATATAGAACAACAAGCATAGACCACTAATTTGAGGTAAGAGACAAAGAGATACATTCTATCCAGTGAGAAGTCAACTGAATTAAGCCAAAAAGGAAACAGTAATAAAAGCCATAGAAAGAGAGTTCAGTAATTGGAAGTGCTAGAAGACACAAGTTTCTGAAGGGAGCGGCAAAGAAGAGACACAGAGCCCTAATGGAGGTCTTTGCTTTGGTAAGAAAGGGAGGCATATTTCCTCTAAAACTGAAAGTATAGCTGTGTAGTAGGGGACAGAAACAGAGAGGAGGATGGGTGAGATAATTTATGTTAAATGATTTTTCCCTTTCTAGTGAAAAGAAAAAAAAATTCAAAGATCATAGTTTTATTTGACCACAGGAAATGAGAACTTGATGACCTATGGCTTAAAACACAAGTATATCTCCTATTTACTTAATACTTAATCCAGGGTTAAGGAGTTTTAAGATGGGTGTGGCAGCTTAAAAATGTATTAAGGACTAGGCTCTAGCTATCATTCTGCTCTGCCATTCTTAGAGTAATTTTTTTTTGTTTTGTTTTTGGTCCCCAAGCTGTTGCCTCATGGTTGCCAGTTGACAAATTTTGTTGCAGCAGATATCACATGCACATGCTGCCTTAAGACAGAAAAGAAGGCTCAGAACAAAAAAAGGATTTGACTTTGTGAGACTTTTTCTTTTTGTGCTATAAGAAAAATCTTTCCTAGAACCCTACGTCACCAATCTAGATGATTTTCCTTTACTTCTAACTTAAATTTCTCATAGAACCCCCTTTAAATGCAAGTGAGGATGGAAAATGAGTATCTGGCATGGGAAAGAGGATTACTTAAATTACTCACAGAGACTGATTGTTCTTTATCCTCTGGGATTTGTGGAGAAGCCAACATCTGTGAGATCAAGCAATGTTGCATAATATCTGAGTAAATTGGGGAACTGTTATCAGGGAGATTGGGTGTATGATGACTCTGTAGTAGGCAACAAAAAGAGCAAATTCCAGACCACCATTTTGATTATCCAGTATTAATACATATCCTTTCTCCATTCATTCACATATATATCCTTATTTAATTTTCAATTATTTAGATATTTTCCAGATACTTTGCTACTAATATCAAGTTTAATTATAGATTTCAGTCCTTTTAAACATTTTCAGACTTGTTTTATTACCCAGAATATGGTCTATATCATAAATGTTTCATGTACACTGGAAAATATAGACAGTCCCTGACCTATAGTGGGTCTACTTAATGATTTTTTTTTTTTTGAGATGGAGTTTCACTCTTTTTGGCCAGACTGGAGTGCAGTGGCATGACCTTGGCTTACTACAACCTCCACCTCCTGGATTCAAGTGATTCTCATGCCTCAGCCTCCTGAGTAGCTGGGATTACAGGCACGCACCACCACACCTGGCTAATTTTTGTATTTTTAGTAGAGATGGGGTTTCACCATGTTGGCCAGGCTGGTCTCAAACTCCTGACCTCAGATGATCCACCCACCTTGGCCTCTCAAAGTGCTGGGATTACAGGCATGAGCCACTGAGCCCAGCCTACTTAATAATGTTTTGATTTGTGATGGTGAGAAAGCAATACATATTCAATAGAAACCACACTTCAAGTACCAATACAACAATTCTGTTGTTCAGTTTTTACAACATTCAATCAATTACATGGGATATTCAATATTTTATTATTAAATAGATTTGGGTTAAATGACACGTCCACCTATAGGCTAATATAAGTATTTTGATCATGTTTAACATGGGCTAGGCTAAGCTATGATGTTTGGTAGGTTAGGTATATGAAATGTCTTTTTCACTTATGATATTTTCAACTTACAATGGGTTTATCAAGTCATAACCCCATCTGATATAATTTGGATGTTTGTACCCTCAAAATTTCATCTTGAAATGGGACTCCCAATGTTGGACATGAGGCTTAATGCGAGGTATAGGGTCATGGAGGAAGATTCCTCATGAATGGCTTAGTGTCCTCCCCCACAGCAATAAGTGAGTGCTCACTTTATTAATTTAGGTGAAAGCAGATTGTTTTAAAAAGCTTGGCTGACGGTAGAATTTTCAGCAGAATTCCTACAAGCCAGAAAAGATTGGAAACCTATATTCTGCACTCTTAAAGAAATAATTTCCAACCAAGAATTTCATATCCAGCCAAACTAAGCTTCATAAGTGAAGGATAAATAAGATCCTTTTCAGGCAAGCAAATGCTGAGGGAATTTGTTACCAGCAGATCAGCCTTACAAGTGATCCTGAAAGGGGTGCTAAATATGGAAAGGAAAGACTGTTATCAGCCACTACAAAAACACACTTAAGTACACAGACCAGTAACATTGTAAAGCAACCACACAAACAAGTCTGTATAATAGCCAACTAACAACATGGTGACAGGATTAAATCTGCACATATCAATACTAATTCTAAATGTAAATGGGCTAAATGCCCCAAATGAAAGGCACAAAGTGGCAAGTTAGATAAAGAAACAAGACCCAATGGTATGCTGTCTTCAAGTGACCCATCTCACATGCAGTGACACCCATAGACTCACAATAAAGGAATGGAGAAAAACCTACTAAATTAATGAAAAAAAAAGCATGGGTTGCAATACTAATTTCAGGCAAAAGAGACTTTAAACCAATAAGATAAAAAAGAAAAGACAAAGGAGAGCTTTACAGAGCTTGTAAGGGTTCAATTTAATAAGAAGGGTTGTAAGGGTTGTAATAAGAAGAAGCTTGTAAGGGTTCAATTTAATAAGAAGACCTAACTATCCTAAATATATACTCACCCAACACAGAGACACCCAGATTCCTAAAGAAAGTTCTTAGAGACCTTCAAAGAGACTTAGTTTCCCACACAATAATAGTGGGATAACTTCAACACCCCACTACATGAAACAGATCATCAAGGCAGAAAATTAACAAAGATATTAAGGACTTGAAGTCAACCCTTGATAAAACGGACCTAATAGATATGTACACAACTCACCACCTCAGAACAATGGAATATACCTTCTTCTCATAGCCACATGTCATGTACTTTAAAGTCAACCACACAATCAGATATAAAACAATCCTCAGCAAATTAAAAAAAAAACATACAAACCACATTCTTGACTACAGTGTAATAAAAACAGAAATCAGTATTAAGAAAATCATTTAAAACCATAAAATTACATTGAAATTAAACAATCTGCTCTTTATGACTTTGGGGTAAATAATGAAATTATGACAGAAATTAATAAATTCTTTTAAACTAATGAGAACAAAGATAAAACATACCTGAATCTCTGGGACACAGCTAAGGTAGTGTTAACAGGGAAATTTATAGCACTACACTTCCAAGTCAAAATGTTAGAAAGATGTCAAATTAACAACCTAACATCACAACTAGAGGAACTGAAGAAACAAGAGAAAACCAACTCCAAAGCTAGCAGAAGACAAGAGAAAACCAAAATCAGAGTTGAACTGAAGGAAATTAATATGTGAAAAACCATACAAAAGAGCAACAAATCCAGGAATTGGTTCTTTTAAAAAATTAATAAGATAGAACACTAGCTAGACTGATAAAGAAAAAAGAGAGAAGATCTAAAAGAACACAATTAGAAATGACAAAGGGGACATTTCCACTGACCCCACAGAAATACAAAAATCCCTCAGCGACTACTATTATCACCTCTATGCACACAAACTTGAAAATCTAGAAGAAATGAATAAATTCCTGAAAACATACAACCACCCAACATTGAACCAGGAAGAAATTGAAATCCTAAACAGATTGAATCAGTAACAAAAAGCTTACCAACCAAAAAAGCCCAGGACCTGATGGATTCACAGCTGAATTCTACCAGATGTATGAAGAAGAGCTGGTACAATTCCTATAGAAACTATTCCAAAAAATCTGAGGAGGAAGAACTCCTTAACTCATTCTATGAGGCAAGCATCATCTTAATTTTTATTTTTATTTTTTTAAATTTTATTATTATTGTACTTTAAGTTTTAGGGTACATGTGCACAATGTGTAGGTTTGTTACATATGTATACATGTGCCATGTTGGTGTGCTGCACCCATTAACTCGTCATTTAACATTAGGTATATTTCCTAATGCTATCCCTCCCCCCTACCCCCACCCCACAACAGTACCCAGTGTGTGATGTTCCCCTTCCTGTGTCCATGTGTTCTCATTGTTCAATTCCCACCTATGAGTGAGAACATGCGGTGTTTGTTTTTTTTGTCCTTGTGGTAGTTTGCTGAGAATGAAGGTTTCCAGCTTCATCCATGTCCCTACAAAACACATGAACTCATCATTTTTTATGGCTGCATAGTATTCCATGGCATATATGTGCCACATTTTCTTAATCCGGTCTATCATTGTTGGACATTTGGGTTGGTTCCAAGTCTTTGCTGTTGTGAATAGTGCCGCAATAAACATACGTGTGCATGTGTCTTTATAGCAGCATGATTTGTAGTCCTTTGGGTATATACCCAGTAATGGGATGGCTGGGTCAAATGGTATTTCTAGTTCTGGATCCCTGAGGAATCGCCACACCGACTTCCACAATGGTTGAACTACTTTACAGTCCCACCAATAGTGTAAAAGTGTTCCTATTTCTCCACATGCTGTCCAGCACCTGTTGTTTCTCGACTTTTTAATGATTGCCATTCTAACTGGTGTGAGATGGTATCTCATCGTGGTTTTGATTTGCATTTCTCTGATGGCCAGTGATGATGAGCATTTTTTCATGTGTTTTTTGGCTGCATAAATGTCTTCTTTTGAGAAGTGTCTGTTCATATCCTTCACCCACTTTTTGATGGGGTTGTTTGTTTTTTTCTTGTAAATTTGTTTGGGTTCATTGTAGATTCTGGATATTAGCCCTTTGTCAGATAAGCAGGTTGCAAAAATTTTCTCCCATTCTGTAGGTTGCGTGTTCACTCTGATGGCAGTTTCTTTTGCTGTGCAGAAGCTCTTTAGTTGAATTAGATCCCATTTATCAATTTTGTCTTGTTGCCATTGCTTTTGGTGTTTTAGACATGAAGTCCTTGCCCATGCCTATGTCCTGAATGGTAATGCCTAGGTTTTCTTCTAGGGTTTTTATGGTTTTAGGTCTAACGTTTAACTCTTTAATCCATCCTGAATTAATTTTTGTATAAGGCGTAAGGAAGGGATCCAGTTTCAGCTTTCTACATATGGCTAGCCAGTTTTCCCAGCACCATTTATTAAATAGGGAATCCTTTCCCCATTTCTTGTTTTTGTCAGGTTTGTCAAAGATCAGATAGTTGCAGATATGTGGCATTATTTCTGAGGGCTCTGTTCTGTTCCATTGGTCTATATCTCTGTTTTGGTACCAGTACCATGCTGTTTTGTTTATTGTAGCCTTGTAGTATAGTTTGAAGTCAGGTAGCGTGATGCCTCCAGCTTTGTTCTTTTGGCTTAGGATGACTTGGCAATGCGGGCTCTTTTTTGGTTCCATATGAACTTTAAAGTAGTTTTTTCCAATTCTGTGAAGAAAGTCATTGGTAGCTTGATGGGGATGGCATTGAATCTATAAATTACCTTGGGCAGTATGGCCATTTTCACGATATTGATTCTTCCTATCCATGAGCATGGAATGTTCTTCCATTTCTTTGTATCCTCTTTTATTTCATTGAGCAGTGGTTTGTAGTTCTCCTTGAAGAGGTCCTTCACATCCCTTGTAAGTTGGATTCCTAGGTGTTTTATTCTCTTTGAAGCAATTGTGAATGGAAGTTCACTCATGATTTGGCTCTCTGTTTGTCTGTTATTGGTGTATAAGAATGTTTGTGATTTTTGTACATTGATTTTGTATCCTGAGACTTTGCTGAAGTTGCTTATCAGCTTAAGGAGATTTTGGGCTGAGACAATGGGGTTTTCTAGATATACAATCATGTCATCTGCAAACAGGACAATTTGACTTCCTCTTTTCCTAATTGAATGCCGTTTATTTCCTTCTGCTGCCTGAGTGCCCTGGCCAGAACTTCCAACACTATGTTGAATAGGAGTGGTGAGAGAGGGCATCCCTGTCTTGTGCCAGTTTTCAAAGGGAATGCTTCCAGTTTTTGTCCATTCAGTATGATATTGGCTGTGGGTTTGTCATAGATAGCTCTTACTATTTTGAGATACGTCCCATCAATACCTAATTTATTAAGAGTTTTTAGCATGAAAGGCTGTTGAATTTTGTCAAAGGCGTTTTCTGCATCTATTGAGATAATCAAGTGGTTTTTGTCTTTGGTTCTGTCTATATGCTGGATTACGTTTATTGATTTTCGTATGTTGAACCAGCCTTGCATCCCAGGGATGAAGCCCACTTGATCATGGTGGATAAGCTTTTTGACGTGTTGCTGGATTCGGTTTGCCAGTATTTTGTTGAGGATTTTTGCATCGATGTTCATCAAGAATATTGGTCTAAAATTCTCTTTTTTTGTTGTGTCTCTGCCAGCCTTTGGTATCAGGATGATGCTGGCCTCATAAAATAAGTTAGGGAGGATTCCCTCTTTTTCTATTGATTGGAATAGTTTCAGAAGGAATGGTACCAGCTCCTCCTTGTACCTCTGGCAGAATTCGGCTGTGAGTCCATCTGGTCCTGGACATTTTTTGGTTGGTAAGCTATTAATGATTGCCTTAATTTCAGAGCCTGTTATTGGTCTATTCAGAGATTCAACCTCTTCCTCGTTTAGTCTTGGGACGGTGTATGTGTCCAGGAATTTATCCATTTCTTCTAGATTTTCTAGTCTATTTGCATAGAGGTGTTTATAGTATTCTCTGATGGTAGTTTGTATTTCTGTGGGATCGGTGGTGATATCCCCTTTGTCATTTTTTATTGCATCTATTTGATTCTTCTCTTTTTTCTTCTTTGTTAGTCTTGCCAGTGGTCTATCAATTTTGTTGATCTTTTCAAAAAACCAGCTCCTGGATTCATTGATTTTTTGAAGGGTTTTGAGGCAAGCATCATCTTTATACCAAAATCTGGCACATACACAACAACAGCAAAAATATCAGGCCAGTATGTTTGATGAACATAGATACAAAAATTCTCAACAAATTACTAGCAAACCAAATTCAGCAGCACAAGAAAAAGCTAATCCACCATGATCAAATAGGCTTTATCCATGGGATGCAACATTAGCTCAATATACACAAATTGATAAATGTGATTCATCACATAAACAGAAATAAAAACAAAAACCCCATGTTTATTTCAATAGATGCAGAAAAGGCTTTTGATAAAATTTAGAATCATCTCATATTAAAAAACCGTCAATAAATGAGGCTTTGAAAGAATATAATTCAAAATAATAGAGCCACCTATGACCAGCCCATGGTGAATATCATAGTAAATGGGGAAAAGCTAGAAGCGTTCCCCTTGAAAGCCAGAACAAGACAAGGATGCTCTCTCTCACCGCTCCTATTCAACATAGTACAAGAAGTCCTGGCTAGAACAATAAGGCAAGAGAGAGAAAGAAAAGGCATACAAATAGGAAGAAAGGAAGTCAAATTATCCCTGTTTGCAGATGACATAATTTTACGTCTAAAAAAACCCCATAGTCTCAGCCCAAAAGCTCCTTGCTCTGATAAACAGCTTCAGCAAAGTTTTAGGATATAAAATCATCATATAAAAATTGGTAGCATTCCTAACACCAACAGCATCCAAGCTGTGAGCCAAAACAGGAAAACAATTGCATTCACAATTACCACAAAAAGAATAAAGTACTTAGAAATACAACTAACCAGGGAGGAGAAAGATCTCTACAAAGATAATTACAAAACAGTACTCAAAAAAATCAGAGATGACACAAACAAATGGAAAAATATTCCATGCTTATGGATAAGAAGCATCAATATCAGTAAAATGGTCATACTAGGCCAGTGCGGTGGCTCACACCTGTAATCCTAGCACTTTTGGAGGCTGAGGCAGGCTGATCACTTGAGCTCAGGAGTTCTAGACCAGCCTGGGCAACATGATGAAACCCCATCTCTACAAAAAATTAGCCAGATGTGGTGGCACATGCCTGTAGTCCCAACTGCTCAGGAGGCTGAAGAAAGAGGATCACTTGAATCTGGGAGGTGGAGGCTGCAGTGAGCCAAGATCAAGTCACTGCACTTTAGCCTGGGTGACAGGGTGAGACCCTCTCTCAAAAATAAAATAAAATAAAATAGTCATACTACCCAAAGCAATTTATAGATTAAATGCTATTCCTATCAAACTACTAATGAAGTTCCTCACAGAATTAGAAAAAACTGTTTTAAAATTCATATGGAACCAAAAAAGAGCCCAAATAACCAAAGTAATCCTGAGCAAAAATAAGAAAACAAAGCCAGAGGCACTATGTTGCTCAACTTCGAACCATACTACATAACTACAGTAACCAAAACATCATGGTACTGGTACTAAAACAGACACATAGACCAATGGAACAGAATAGAGAGCCCAGAAACAATTCTGCACACCTACAACCATCTGATCTTCAATAAAGCTGACAAAAACAAGCAATGGAGAAAGGACTCCCTATTTGATAAATGGTGCTGGGATAACTGGCTAGCCATATGCAGAAAATTGAAAATGGACCTCTTTTTTACACCCTATACAAAAATTAACTCAGATTAAATATTTAAATGTAAACCTAAAACTATAAAAACCCTGGCGGATAACCTAGGAGATGATATTCTGGACATAGGAATGGGCAAAGATTTCTTGATCATGACGCTAAAAGCAATTGCAACAAAATCCAAAATTGACAAATGGAACCTAATTACACTTAAGAGCTTCTGCACAGCAAAAGAAACTATCAATAGAGTAAACAGATAACCTACAGAATGGGAGAAATTTTTTCCAAACTATGCATCCAACAAAGTCTAATATCCAGCATCTATCAGAAACTTAAACAAATTTACAAGAAAAAAACAACCCCATTAAAAAGTAGGCAATGACATGAACAGACACTTTTCAAAAGAAGACATATACGAGGCCAACAAGAATATGAAAAAATGTTCAACATCACTAATTATTAGAGAAATGCAAATCAAAACCACGATGAGATGCCATCTCACACCAGTCAGAATATCTATTATTAAAAAAATCAAAAAATCACAGACGCTGGCAAGGTTGCAGAGAAAAAGGTATGCTTATACACTGCTGGTGGGTATATGAATTAGTTCAGCCATTGTAGAAGCAGTGTGGTGATTCCTCAAAGAACTTAGAACAGAATTATTTGACCCAACAATCCCATTATTGGGGATGTACCCAAAGGAATATAAATTGTTCTACTACATGTATTAGGTCAAGTTGAGTGATAATGTTGTTCAAGTCTTTTATATACACACTAATTTACTGTTTGTTTGTTCTTTAAATTATTAGAGAGGGGTGCTGAATTCTTTAACTATAATTGAGGATTTTTCTTTCTTCTTCTGAATTTTTGTTTCACACACCGCCCGCGTGATTCAATCAACTCTCACTGGGTCCCTCCCAGGACATGTGAGATTATGGGAACTACAGTTCAAGATAAGATTTGGGTGGGGACAATGCTAAACCATATCAACTGCAATTGAGTAGGGATTGCATTAAATGTGTAGATTGCTTGGCTAGTGTGGACATTTTAACATTATTAATTCTTCCAATTTATAAATGCATATCTGTTTCCGTTTGCTTGTGTCTAGTTTTTTTCATCAGATTTTTCTAGTTTTTAGTGTACAAATCTTTCACCTCCGTGGTTAAGTTGATTCTTAAAAATTTTATTCTTTTTGTTGCTGTGATCAATGAGATTTTTTTTTTAATTTGCTTTGTGGCTAGTTTGCTGTTAGTGAATAGAAATGCAACAGATTTTTGTGTGCTGATTTTGTGTCCTGCAATTTTACTTTACACATAGAATGAAATATATTTATGAGCTTTGAACTCTTACAGAAAAGTCAAAGTCCTAAGTGTGGAATGCAGTCTTCCAAAATGTAAGGTTTTACTGTGAAATGTTAATTATCTTATCCTTTTTGTCTTGAGAGTTATTAAAAGTATTTAGTAATCTATTTCTCTCTCTCTCTCTTTCTCTTTTTCTTTCTCCTTTTTTTTTTTTTTTTTTTTTTTTGACTATTTGCTCTGGCTAAGGACTTCTAGTACTGTATTGAATAGAAGTGGTAAAAATGGGTATCCTTACCCTGTTCCAGATCTTAGAGAAAATGCTTCAGTTCTTCACTTTTGAGTATGATGTTACCTGTGAACTTTTCATATATGGCCTTTCTTGTGTTGAAGTAAGTTTCTTCTATAACTAGTATGTTGAGAGTTTTTATTATAAAAGGGTGTTGAATTTTGTCAAATGCTTTTCCTGCATCTATTGAGATTGGTATGTGATTTTTTTTATCTGGCATTCTGTTAATGTGGCATATCATGTTGATGGATTTACATATGTTCCTACCCTCCTTGCGTCCCAGATATAGATCTCACTTGGCTATGATGTATAATCCTTTTAATGTGCTGTTTAATTTGGTGGGCTAATATTTTCTGAAGGATTTTTGCATTGGTGTTCATCAGGGATATTGGCCTGTAGTTTTCTCTCCTTCTTGTATCTTTGTCTGGCTTTGATATCACGGTAAGGCTGGCCTCATAAAAAGAGTTTGGAAATATTATATCTCCTCTTATTTTGGAAGAGTTTAAATAGTATTAGTATTAAGTCTTCTTCAAATGTTTTATATAATTCATCTGTGAAACCATCTGGTCTTAGGCTTTTCTTTGCTGGGAAGTTTTATATTCCTGGTTTAATGTCTTTATTTGTTATTGACTTTTTTAGGCTTTCTATTTCTTCTTAATTCAATATACCTTTGAACAATTAAACTCCCTTTTGATAAAATAAAAAATTAAAAGGGAACTAGAAAAAGAAGAACAAACTTAAATCCAAAGTTAATGGAAGTAAGTAAATAATAAAGGTTAGAAAAAATATAACTTCCATGTACTTGTGAATTTTCCCATTTTCCTTTTGTTATTGATTTCTAGTTTCTATCATGGTTGGAAAAAGACTTATTTGTGACCTAGCATGTGATCTATCTTGGAGAATGTTCTATGTGCACTTGAGTAGAATATGTATTTTGCTGCTGTTTGGTGGAATGTTCTGTGTATGTTTGTTAGGTCCATTTGGTCTATAGTGTTGCTCAGTTCTCCTGTTTTCTTATTGATTTTCTGTCTGAATGATCTATCCATTATTGAAAGTGGAGTATTAAAATACCCTATTATTGTATTGCTGCCTCTGTCTCCCTTTACATTTGTCAATGTTTGCTTTATATATTTAAGTGATCTGATGTTGAATGCATATGTGTTTATAACTGCTATTTTTTTCTGCTATATTGACCTTTTTGTCATTATGTAATGATATTCTTTATCTCTGGTGACACTTCTCAACTTAATATCGATTTTGTCTGATATACGTATAGTCACCTATGCTCTCTTTTTGTTACCATTTGTATCCCTTCACTTTCAGCCTATATGTGTCCTTAAATCTAAAGTTAGTCTCTTGTAGACAATATATAATTAGGTCTTTTTTTTTCTATTCAGCCACTAAATGTTTTGATTGGTGAGTTTAATTCATTGAAATTGTAAGTAATTATAGATCTGTAAGGACTTACTATTGCCATTTTGTTAATTATTTTCTGTCTCTTTCATAGTTCTTTTTTTCCTCTCTTCCTCTCATGCTGTCATCCTTTGTGATATGATTATGTTTTAGAGTGATATGCCTTATTTCTTTTCCATATATCTATTTTTGTATTGACTATAGTTTTTCTCTTTGTGCTTATTGTGAGATTTGTGTAAAACTTTTTATAGTTACAACAGTCTATTTTAAGTTGACAACTTAACCTTAATCACATTCAACAACTCTACCCTTTTAAACCACTTCCCCACCACACACAATTTATGTTATTGATGTCAGAATTTACTTCTTTTTATATTGTATATTCACTGACAAATTTTTATGGTTATAGTCATTCTTTAAACATTTTTCTTTTAACTTTTCTACTAGAGTTAAAAATGATTTACACACCACCATTACAGTATTGCATTATTCTGTATTTGTCTATACATTTACATTTATGAGTGAAATGTATACCTTCATATGCATTTGTATTGCTGTTTAATGTTCTTTCATTTCAACTGGAACTTCTTTTAGCATTTATTGTAGGACAGGTTTAGCGGTTACAAACTCCCTCAGTTTTTGTTTGTCTGGAAAAATTTTTCTCTAGCTTTCATTTTTAAAGGACAATTTTGCCAGTATTATAGGATTCTTAGTTGGCATTTTTTTTTCTTTCAGTACTTCAAATACATCATTCTACTCTCTCCTGGTTTGTGCAGTTTCTGCTGAGAAATTTGCTGATAGCCTTATGAAGTTTCCCTTGCATATCATGAGTTGCTCTTGCTGCTTTCAAGCTTCTCTCTTTATATTTCACTTTTGAAAATTTAACTATAATGAGTTTCAGTAGACTTCTTTAGATTCAACATGTTAGGGATCCTTTCGGCTTCATGAAAGTGATGTTCATTTCCCTCCACAGATTTGGGATGTTTTCAACCATGATTTCTTTAAATAAGTCTTACTCCCCTTTCTCTTTCTCTTCTCCTTCTAATACTCCATAATGTACATATTGGTTTGCTTAGTGGTATTTCATAAATCCCATAGGCTTTCTTCACATTTACATTCTTTTTACTTTTTCCTTCTCTGACTGGATAATTTCAAGTGGCCTGTCTTAAAGTTCATCAGTTCTTCCTTCTGCTTCATCTAGTCTGCTGTTGTAACTCTCTATTAAATTTTTCAGTAAATTCACTGGTTTTTCAGCTCCAGAATTTCTGTTTGGTTCATTTTATGGTTTTTATGTCTATGTTGAGCTTCACAATTTGTTCATGTATGGTTTTTCTGATTTCATTTCGATGTCTATGTCCCCTTGTAGCTCCCTGAGCTTCTTTAAGATGACTATTCTAAATTTCAAGTGGTTCATAGATCTGTGTTTCTTTAGGGTCAGTTACTGGAGCTTTATTTTGTTCTTTTAGTTGTGTCATATTTCCCTGAGTCTTGTAGCTTTTTCTTGGTTGTGTATTTGAAGAAGCCATCACCTCTTCCAATCTTCACAAACTGGCTTCAGGAAAAACCCTTTCCTAGTCAGCCCGGCCAGAGATTCTGGGTGAGCTGGTTGGTAGTGTCTGTGGGCAGTCTGCCTGGTAGAGTCTGTGGGAAGATTGACCTGCCACTGGGGCCTGTGGATTAGCTGCTGAGATCTGCACACTTGTTGGGAGCCCCTCTCTCTTTCCTTTGTTCTTACTTACCCCAAGGCAATGTAGCCATGCTGATTCCTTCAGTGGTCTGGGTGAGGCATGACAGAAGCAAGCCACTTAGGTGTTGCCCCAAGAGACTGAAGAATTCAGATGCACACTTTATTATTTCTTTCCCCCATTGGAGAACTCACAGGCAGAGGGAAACTGTCTTGTTGCTACATTATGCTGGCTTAGGGAAGGATGACACAGGTAAAGTGAAACTGTTCTTACCCTTTTAAATCCATCATTTCTTGTTTTTGTGCTCAACCAGGGTGCTATAACCTCTCATTTAGGTTATGGAACTCACACACAAAAAACTATTTTCATCTATGAATGGTTGCTGAATCAATGTTTCTGTGGGAGGACAAGAACTAGGGCTCCTATTCTTCCATTTTACTAATGTCACTCCTGCAGCTTTCTTTGGACTAGTGTTTGCATCATATTTGTTTTTCTTCTTTACTTTAAGCCTACATGTGTCTTTTTATTTAAAGTGAGATTCTTATAGATGGTATGTTTTTGGATCTTACTTTTTTAATCCAATTTGATTGGTTCGCTTTTTGATCAGAATGTTTAGACCATTTACATTAAATGTGATTATTGCTATGATTGGGGTTAAAATGTATCATTCTGATATTTGCTTTGTGTTTATTTAATCTCTGTTGTCTTTTTCCTTTTTCTTTGCTTCTTTTGAATAAACTAGATTTTAAAGTTATTATCTGTTATCTCCTTTATTAGCTTATTTTTCCTTCTTGAAGGATAGTCTTAAACATTTCTGGTCTTCTGGTAATGAGTTCTCTGTCCTTTTGCACATCTGCAACCATTTATATTTTGCCCTCATTTTTAAAAGGTATTTTTACTGGACATAGAATTCTAGGTTTGTGTGGTATTGTTTTGTTTTGTTTTCCATTTTTTTAGTACTTTGAAGATGTTGCTCCACTATATTCTGGTCTGCACTATTTCTGACTGCAAGTCTGTTGTTGTTCTTATTTTTGTTCTTCTGTAGTGTGTCGTATTTTTCTTTAGCTGCTTTTAAGATTTTGTTTTTAATCTGTCCTTCAACAATTGATTATGATGCTTATATGTGGTTTTCTTAATGTTCTTTTGGTTCACAATTTGTTGTTCATCTGGATCTGTGGTTCTATACTTTACATCAAATTTGAAAAATTGCCAGTCATTATATTTTCAAAATTTTCTTCTGTCCCTCCATCCTTCTCTCTTTATGGGGAGTTCACTTGATGTTGTCTCCAACAGAACTGATGTTCTGTTAACTGTTTTGTTTTGTTTTTTTCTTTTGAGATAGAGTCTCACTCTGTCACCCAGGCTGGAGTGCACTGGCACAATCTCAGCTCACTGCAACCTCCGCCTCCCGGGCTCAAATGATTCTCCTGCTTTAGCCTCCCAAGTAGCAGGGATTACAGGCACACACCACCACACCCGGCTAATTTTTACCACGTTAGGGTTTTACCACGTTGGCTAGGCTGGTCTTGAATTTCTGACCTCAGTGTTCCGCCCACCTTGGCTTCCCAAAGTGCTGGGATTACAGGCATGAGCCACTGTGCCTGGCCCTGTTGACTGTTTCTGGTTCTTTTTTCTCTGTAATACATTTTGAGTAGTTCTATTGTTAGGTCTTCACATTAGTAACCTTTCTTCTGCAAAATCTAATCTGTTGTTACTCCCATTCAGTGAAGTTTTAAACTCAGATAGTGTATTTCCCATCTCTACAAGTCTGATTTGAATCTTTTCTATAGCTAACATTTTTCTCTCTATCATGCTTGTATTCTCTTCCACCTTCCTGAACAAATGGAGCATGTTTATAGTAACTGTTTTGATGTCCTTGTCTACTAATTGTATCATGTAGTTCATGTCTGCATCTGTTTATATTGATTTACTTTCTCTTGGATATGGTTCATATTTTCCTGTGTCTTTTTATGCTTGGTAATTTTTGTTCAGATGAAAGTCACAGTAATTTCACATCATTAGATACCATATTTACTCCCTTTCTATTTTAAAATTTTTTGTATTTTTGTTAAATATGTTGAGATTTTGTTCTGAGATAAAGTTTAGTCACTTGCAATCAGTTTGATTCTTGCTTTTGAGCTTTGTTAGGGTGAATCTAGAGCAGCCTTTATTCTAAGGCTAATTATTTACCATTACTAATGCAACACTTTTCTAAGGACATTACTCAATGTTTTGTGTATTAGGAGGTTTTTAGTCACTGGGTGTTGGAAGAACAAACTATTTCTAGCTTTGTGTAAGCCGTAGGGATTATTCCACCTACATCTCTCTGTTGGTGTCCCTCGCATTTTTAGTTTCTTCACATGCATGTCTGTACTCAGGTAAAGACTTTAGGTTTACCCTCTGTAGATCTCTGCAGCAATCTTATGCTTTCTCTGTACAACCTTTTCCTCTTCTCATACTTTTTTCTGAAAACTCTAACCACCCACCTGAATTCCAGAGTCTGTCTCCTCACCTCAGGGAAGGAACCACCAGGCTCTGATTGCATTCCTTCTTCCTGTTCTGCAGGCTGAAAAGGTTCTCACTGCTGTGAGATGGGACACTCATTGGGCTCACTTTCTTAATTTTCCTTATCCTAGGTACAATTGTCCTGTGCTAACTATTGTCCAGTGTTTAAAAACTGGTCCAGTTTTCTCAAGACAGAAAGGTAAGCTTGTTAGCCCATCATAGCTATAATCAGATGTACTCCCATATCGATGCTTCACATGAAATGCACTCATCCCTCCCAAAGGCAGTGACTTCAAAGTGTCATGCAATTAATGCATTTAGCTTGAACTTCACCATCTCTGGGTAGTGAACAGTTTTCTATATCATGTCTTGATATAGTTTCTCATGGTCTGACAACTTAGAATCTAAAATAAAAGCTTTACTTCTTTTTGGCTTGATGAGAATAGAGGCATAGCAACAGAATTTGGCCTTAAGAAAACTAAAGAATGTTTAGACAAGTTTCCATGGGACTATCCCAAGGAATTAATATAATATTAATAATGGCCCAATAGTTATTATACAACTGTCCTAGTCAACCTTAGAAAACCCTATGAGTAAAATACTATTAACTTGGAGAAAAAATGTATTTGTTCAGAACATACTTTTTGTTAGCATACAGGACTCTCCAAATTGGTGCTATATTCACATATGTTTCAACAAAAAATATAACTTTAATTTCCAAATTAGTCTTTCAATGGAGCTTGGTTCTTAAAGGACCATTATTTAATTCAAGCTGTTCCACCATGTAATTTATTGTAAATACACTTCAAGTGTCCAAAGGGAGACCACTTTTGCTTTTTGAAGAATGTAAATTGGAAATGGCACACAGCAGGTTCATAATAATTATTGTTGACTAATGGCTTTCACCATCATTGGGTATAAATGGGTTTTATACTCTTGATTCTATGAATCACTTAAATGACCCAGAATTTGATCCAAAATATAAGTGCATTGAAATGGCTGGCTAATGAGTGAAGCAAGTCTTAAATATACAATTACTGTGGTTTCAGGATGAGTCACATGGGTGGAATTACAGAGAAATGCACATGTTTTTTCTGTTCATTTTACACCTGATCTGGAAAGTATAATGATGCCTTTAATTGTGCCATGAATTTCAAGCCAACACCTTTTCAAATCACTCACTCTTGCTTTCAAAGTAAATTATTTAGAACTTTAAAGAGAAAAAAATCTTCAAACTCAGACAGGCTTAGTACTATGGATTGGGAGAGAGTTAAGATGCCATCTCTACACAATATGCCATCCATACTAATATAGCAAAGTTGGAAGATATGAAGGGAACTTAAGAAAATCTGAAACCTTGTGAAACTAATTAGAAGTAAAATTTATTGAATTTAAATTCCAGGTCCACATGTTTGTATAGTATGATCACTGCTCACATTTATTTACTTAATATTGAAACTAAACTAACATTGTTAAGTTGCGGCTGTTTAGATTTTGATAAATGACAAACAGAATTTTCTTCTTACAAACAGTGCAAGAGATCAGATCCATACTTTAGCGGAAAAAAAAAGGGAGATTGAGAGAGACTAACAGGAAGTGGGTTTGTTCACTTTGGAATTCTATTTATAAATGGACCAAATCAGATGGACCCTAAGCCAGAGGGTGGCCACATCTTGTTTCCATAAACACACACATTCTAATCACCTTTAGACAAGATCGTTTTGGCCTTTGTTTGGCTTTATGCATAGTAAAGTGCATCAGCTATTTATATTCCTGCCAGTAGGAAATGATGGGCCACGTTTGTGGGGCTTTTTATTTTTAACAAAAATGTTAAAGTCTATTTATCTCACACTGATCCTGCTGTCAAAAAGCTATAACTACTGGAAAGACAGAGTGTCTGAGGAGACAACTGCCTTAGATTGTCAGTGAGCCAATGACTGTGCTGCCTAAAAATATTTAAAAGTATTTTAATTCCTTTATTAAAAGCATTTATAAAAAAACATAATTTTCAAGGAAGTGTGGGTGGAATAATACAGAATATAAAATGTGCTGACTTTCCATGTTTGGGCTATTTAACTTTTGTTAAGAAAAACAAAGACAATTACTTTTTCCATTTATTCTAGGAGATAACAGACACATTTTTTAAACATCTCAGGATTGTTCCTTCTTCTAGAAATACCTCTTTTTCATACTGCAACTTGCAGTTCAGAGGTAGCCTCCATTTTTAAATATGAGTTCATCTCCTGCCCTCAGAGCATGAGGCTTGAAAGGTTACATTACCTGCCCTAGTGCTCCCATCTGAAACTGATAAATCAGAGTCTTCATCAGGATTTCTTAAACCTGAGAGTGAGCTTGGGTTGGCTCCCTCCAGGTGGTGAAAGTTATAAACTATACAACATGGGTGCAGATGGTAGCCATATCTCCTGCCCTCTGTAGGAAAGTGAACTCTTTTAAGAGATATTAAAGCCAGAATATTGTGACAGGATGAACCCATACTTTGTGTTGAGACCAACTGTGTTTTGAATGGTGTGTGATAAAATCACATTATGTCAAAATTTGGGGGCTAATATTTTACAGTTATGGTGTATCAGATTGCATAAGTATATTTTCAAATCACTTCCACTTACTATTATTCAAACTACTATGAGTCAGTCATACAAGCATAAATGTGGAGCAGCTATAAAGGGCATTGTTCCTTTAGTTGATATTTATTGGCCAGTTATTAGTATGTCAGCTTTGCGTGAACATCAAAGATAAGCACACAGAACGGTTTCTTCATTCAATGTACTTATAATCTAATAGGAAGATAAGTAAAATAAAATTTTCACCCCAACCAAATATGCATATGTGGTTACAATTTTAGATGAATAAATGGATTTATCATAAAGACCAAAGGATTATGACCTCTTCTCCTCCAGATAAAATAGCATTATGAGTTCACAGTATAAAACTCTCCCTTCCATTTCAAAAACATAAACAGTGTTAAGTGGAGGTGACCTACTGGATCCACTAATTGCAGTGAGGCAGAGGCAACTGGGAAATTACAAGCAGAATATTCACCCAGGTCTGTCTTATGGTAGACTCACTGAGTCTATACATTCACTTGGCAGTTATTTCCCCAGTTCCCAAATTCATTATCAGGATGGACATGCTTAGCAACTGTCAGAAGCCTCACATTTATTGCTTGATCTGTGAAGAATAGGATAGACCAAGGTTTTTTCCTGGAAGACCCTGAAAATGTCCCCCTTCCCAGCTAAGATTGCAAATTGGAAAAAAAAAACAAAACTGCATCCTTGGTGGAATGGCAGAGATTATTGCAATTTTCAAAGACTTAAATGATACTGGGCTGGTGATTCTCATTACACCCCCATTTAATTCACTAGTATTGCTCCTACACAGAGAAGATGACAATGGACTATCACAAACTCAATTCAGAGGTTGTATCAATCACAATTGCTGTGCCAGAAGTAGTACCTTTAACAGAACAGGTTAACATAGCCTCTGGTACACAGTATATGACTTCTAACCCAGTGAATGTTTGTATTTTAAAATCCATCAGGATGAAACAAGACTGTAAAATTGGAGATAAGGAAGTCTAGGGGAGAGGCATGTAATCAGATCTACAAAAGTGGGTCCTAAAAAGATGAGAATCTTTGTATATCAAAATAATAATTACTAGAAAACACCTTCTTTAGAAGAAGCACAAAACAAATGTATGGAAAGAGCAAGTACAATCGGCTGATGGAAGGAATAGGTATGCTAAAGAAATAGAAGTTACACATGGGCCCAAGAGCATGGACCTTCTTGTACCAAGCATAGTCTAGTTACTGTTGTTGAGGAATGTCCAATCTATTGGCAGCTGGGAGTAATTCATGCCTCAAGGAGACTAACACAGAATGTCTAATTTACTGACATTGCCTCAGCTCAAGAGAGCCATTTTATAGTGAAGGAGATAGGACAAAGGACACATGATCACATGATAATAATCCATTCATGATAATAAAGGCATTCATTAATCTAAAAATTATAATGACATTTGCATATTTGTTTGGTGAGGTTGTTTTTACTTATCCTCTATTAGATTATAAGTTCCTTGAATAAAGACACTGTCCTGTGTGTTTATCTTTGATGTTCACACAAAGGCTACATACTAATAATTGGTCAATTAATATTAGCTAAAGTGCCAAATTAGGGATAACACTTCATGAAACTGGAATGTTATATAAATACTAAAGGCCATTAAATGGAACTGTGTCTTCAATAGGTAGAATATAAAAGCCTGGAGCAGTGCTGTCCAATAGGATTTTCTGCAGTAATGGAAATATTCCTCTATACTTTCCAATATGGTAACCACTAACCACATGTGTCTATACAACACTTGCAATGTGGCTAATGTGACTGAGGAACAAAAATTTTAATTTAATTCAAAATTAAATATCATACATGACTAGTGGCTTCCATATTAGAGCATAGGTCTAGAGGCTTTTTTTTTTTTTCCTAGAGGGGCGATACTTCTACCATGAGCTGTAGTATTAATATCACTAAACATAAAAGTACAAATACTGACTGGTCACCTCCCCACCATTTGGGTAATTTGGGGTTGCTCATTCTGGTGAATCACAGGCAAAAAAAGGAATTACCATACTGACATGGGTAATTGATCCTGATCATCAAGAGGAGGTGAATTTTACTGTTGCATAATGGTTCAGGGACTCCAGTTTGGGACCAAGGAGATTCACTGAGTCATCTCATTTACCTCCCATGCTCATTTTACTTATGAGTAGGAAGTTGCATCAGCAATAGACTGACACACATGGTAACCAGGGGTTCCTTAGCCAGCACATCTGTCAGTCTGAGTGACTGGTCTTATAAAGTGACCTTTGAGACCAGTCATTCAGACTGACAGATGTTCTGGCTGAGAAAGAAGAGAATCTGGACTGTGTGGTAGAGCCAGGAGATGATGATCTCAGTACACTATTGGGACCAACTGAAGTAGTAAGACTGTTTGTCCCACCAACTGTTCCTCTTATAAGAGTTTTTTTCCACAGATTCTATGTCTAACCACTGTTTTGAAGAAGCTTGTATGGTATAAAGGAAACAATGTAATTGCCAATGAATTACTAGTAATGTTTAGTAAATAAAACTAAATTTAGTAAATAAAACATTACTAGTAATTCATTGGCAATTATATTGTCAATTGAACAGTGGTTACATTGGCATGTTCACTCTACAAACGTTTATTGAGCTATGTACTTTAGATATTTGAATTTTACAGCATGTATATTATAGTTCAATAAAAATATTTTTAAAATAAGAGAGTCCACACAACCTTGCCATTACCACATCCAGCAATGCATACACATCTGTCCTCATTCACTTTGTTTTCTGGAACTCACACAGAACATTAACCAAGATAGACCACATTTTGGGTCACAAAACACACGCTAGAAAATTTTAAATAATGGAAGTCATAGAAAATATTGTTTCAGACCACAATGGAATTAAAGTAGAAATCAATAATTAAAAAAATCTGAGAAACCCCTAAATTAGTGGAGATGAAACAACACACTTTTGAATAGCATATGTGTCAAAGAAAAATCTCGAGAAATTTTAAAATATTTTAAACTAAATGGAAATTAAAATATAACATCAAAATTCATGGGACGCATTGAAACAGTGCTTAGAGGGAAACTTACCATATTGAATGAATATATTAGAGAAGAAAAAAGATTAAAAATTAATAATTTAAGCATATATTTTAGGAAACTATAAAAAGGAGAGCAAATTATATTCAACATAAGCAAGAGAAAAGAAATAATGATAGAGCCAAAATAAATAAAATTCAAAATACAAAATCCATAGGGAATATCAATGAAACCAGAGTTGATTCTTTGAAAGGATCAATAAAATTAATAAACCTCTAGCCAGGCTAACTAAGAAAAAGAAGAAAAGACATAAATTACTAATATCAGAAATGAAAGAAGGTCATTACTATTGATTCCACAGACAATAAAAGATTATAATATTATGATTAACTCCATTCCCACAAATTTAATAATCTAGGTGAAGTGGATCAATTCCTTCAAACCAAGCTACACAAACTGACACAGGAAGAAATAATGTGAATAGGCTTATATCTATTAAAGAAATTGAATCAATAAGTAATAACTCTTCAACTTAGAAGGCACCCAGCTTAGATGAGTTCACTAGTAAATTATACCAAATATTTAAGGAAGAAAATATATGAATACTCTACAATTTCTCCCAAAATATAAAAGTAGAATGACTTTTTCCTAATTCATTCTGACATTAACCTGATACTAAAATCAGATAAAGACATTAAAAAAGGGGAAACTATATAGCGTATATCTTATTAGATGAAAACATCCTCAAGAATATATTAGTAAATCAGATTCAACAATGTATAAAAATAAGTACACACAATGAGCAAGTGGGGTTTATTTCAGGTATGCAGTATGCAAGACTGGTTCAACATTCAAGAAACAATGTAATTCATTATATCAATAGGCTAAAGAAAAAAATTATATGATTATATTAATAACACAGAAAAAGCATTTGACAAAATTCAATACCCATTTATGAAAACCAACAAAAACCCTCAGCAAACTAGGAAGAGAGGGAATTTTTTTTTTTTTTTGAGACAGAGTTTTGCTCTTGTTGCCCAGGCTGGAGGGCAATGCAGCGATCTTGGCTCACTGCAACCTCTGCCCCCCGGGGTTCAAGTGACCTTCCTGCTTCAGCCTCCCCAGTAGCTGGGATTACAGGCATGCACCACCACGCCTGGCTAATTTTGTATTTTCAGTAGAGATGGGGTTTCTTTATGTTGGTCAGGCTGGTCTCGAACTCCTCACTTCAGGTGATCTGTTTGTCTCGGCCTCCCAAAGTGCTGGGATTATAGGTGTGAGCCACCACGCCTGGCTTTTTTTTTAGATGGAGTTTTGCTCTTGTTGCCCAGGCTGGAATGCAATGGCCTGATCTTGGCTCACTGCAACCTCTGCCTCCTGGGTTCAAGCAGTTCTCTTGCCTCAGCCATCTGAGTAGCTGGGATTACAGGTGTGCATCCCCACACCCAGCTAATTTTTGTATTTTTAGTAGAGACGGGGTTCACCCCGTAAATGTTAGATGCTTTCTTGCTAAGATCAGGTACAACCCAAGGAAGCTACTCTTCCCACTCCTATTCAACACTATATTGGAAGTGATAGCTAAGTAAAAAAGACATCAAAAGGAATAAAAACAATACAGATTGGGAAGGAAGAAATAAAGTTGTCTTAGTTTGCACGTGACCTAATTGTCTATGTAGAAATCCCAAATAATCAGTTAAAAAACTCCTAGAATTAATAAATGATTATAACAATGTTGTAGGATGCAAGGTTAATATGCAAAACTCAACTGCTTTTTTATATACCAGCAATGAACAATGAGAATTTGAAATAAAAGTATATAATTCCATTTACATTAGCAACAAAAAAATTAAATACTTAACTGTTAATTTAACAAAATATATGTTAGAAAGCTACAAAACTCTGATGAACAAAATCAAAGATTTAGATAAATGGAGAGATATTCTATGTTCATGGATAGGAAAACTCAATATTATCAAAATGTCAGTTTTTTCCAAATTGAACTTACATCTGACAAGATATCAATCAGCATCTCAGCATGTTAGTTTGTGGATGGCATCAAATTGATTGTAAGGTTTATATGAAAAATCAGCCAGGCATGGTGGCTCACACCTGTAATCACAGCACTTTGGGAAGGCAAGGTGGGAGTTCAAGACCAGTATGAACAACATAGTGAGACCCTCTGTGTACAAGAAATACAAAATTTAGCTGGGCATGGTGGCACAAGCCTGTAGTCCCAGCTACTTGGGAGACTGAGATAGGAGGATCACTTGAGCCCGGAAGGCTGAGGTTGTAGTGAGTCAAGATCAGGTCACTGTACTCTAGCCTGGGCAATAATGAGACTCTATCTCAAAAGAAAAAAAAAATAAAGTTTATATGAAAAGGCAAAAGACCCAGAATATCCAACTCATTATTGAAATAGTACAAAATCTGAAGACTGATGTTACCTGACTTCAAAACTTACTATAAAGCTACAGTTTTCAAGATAGTGTGATATTGGCAAAACCATAGACAATATATCAATGAAACAGAATAGAGACCCAGAAATGAACTCATACAAAGTCAACTGATCCTTGAAAAAGAGCAAAGGCAATTCAAGGGATAAATAATACAAAACAACAACTGGACATCCACATAAAAAATTAATCTAGACAGAAAACTTACATATTTCACAAATATTAACTCAAAAGGGAATATAGGCCTAACTGTAACATGTAAAACTATAAAACTCTTAGAAATAACACAGTAGAAAACCCAGGTGTGCTGGGTTTGATGATGGCTTTTAAGTAACAAGACCAAAAGCACAATCCAGAAAAAAAATTGGTAAGTTGGACTTCATCAAAATTCATACCTTCTGCTCTGCAAAAAAAATACAGAAACTGCAAAAGACAGTGTTGATGAAACTGCACTGTGAAAGACAGTGTTTATGAAATAATGAAAAAGTCAAGTTACAAAATGGGAGAAAACCTTTGCAAAATACAGATCTGATAAAAGGCTTGTTTTCAAATTATACAAAGAACTCTTGAACTCAATAATAAGAAAACAAACAACCTGACTAAAAAATGGACCAAAGACTTAACAGACACCAAAGAAGATAACAAGATGGCAAATAAGTATATGAAAAAATACTCAGCATCATATATCATTAGAGACTTGGGAATTAAAACAATGAGAAACCACTACAAACCTATTAGTGTTGTTAAATCTAAAACATTGACAACAACCATGGCTGGTGAGGGTGTAGAGCAACAGAAACTCTCATTCATTGCTGATGGTAGTGCACAATGGGATAGCCATTTTGGAAGACATTTTGGCATTTTCTCACAAAACTAATACGCTCTTACCTTATGATCCAGTATTTATGCTCCGTTATTTACTCAAATGAATTGAACACTTACATCTCCACAAAACCCACACAGAAATGTTTAAAACAGCTTTATTCATGATTGATAAAACTTGGAAGCAACCAAGAAGTCCTTTAATAGGTGAATGAATAAACAAACTGTGGTTCATCTGTACAGTGAAACAGTACTCAGCAAAATGAAAAAAAAAAAAAATGAGCTATCAAGCTGTGAAAACACATGGAGGAAACTAAAAGGTGTATTGCTAAGTGAAAGAAGCCAGTATGTGAAGGCTACAAACTGTATAATTCCAACTATATGGCATTTTGGATAAAGCAAAACTATGGAGACAGTAAAAAAAAAAAATCTATGATTCCCAGGTGTTCAGAAGGAGGAAGGGATGAATAGATGGAGCATAGAGGATTTTTAGGGTAGGACAATTGTTCTGTATAATACTGTAATGTTGTATATATCATTATATATGTATAAACACCTACAGAATGTACAACACAGAGTGAACCCTAAAATAAACTATGGACTATAGTTAACAATAATGTATCAATATTGGTTCATCAATCGTAACAAATATACCACACTAATGCAAGATGTTCATAAAAAGGAAACTGGGATGGTGCTGGTGGTAAGGGGGTATACAGGAAATCACTTTATACTCAGTTTTTCTGTAAACGTAAAACTGCTCTTAAAAAAAAAAACTCTTTTAAAAAGGCAAAATCTTCCCCAATAAAAAAGAAATTTAAAAATACATTAATGACATGCAAATTAAAACCATAATGAAATATCACTATTTAACAACAGAATGGCTGAAATTTAAAAGCCTGAAAATACTGAGTGCTGGCAAGAAGCTTTAGAAATATCTCATACATTCATAAATTATTGGTGGGGATGCAAAATGGTACAGCTACTTTAAAAATCAGTTTGTTTCTTGTAAAGGCCATCATGTACTTACCATATGATACAGTATTTTACTCCTAGGTATTTACCTAAAAGAAATTAAAACATGTATACAAATACAGAATTGTACAAAAGTATTTATAGTAGCTTTATTCATAATTGCCCCAAACAGGAAGCAACCCAAATGCTCATCAAATGGTAAATGGATAAAAAGATTATGGTATATTCATACAATGGAATATTACTCAATAACAAACAGTAATGCAACAACATGAAGGAATTTTCAAAGGATTATACTCACATATGTGAAAGAAGCCAGGCAAAAGGCTATGAAGAAAAACCCATTTACAAAATGAACAAAACATTTGAATGGATATCCAAAGGACATTTACAAATAGCTAATAAGGACATAAAAAGATGCTCAACATCATTAATCATTAGAAAAATGCAAATAAAATCCACAAAATATTTTTATACTTATTAGGATGACCATAATAAAAAAGATGGGAGCAACAACTGTTGGAGAGGATATGGAGAAATCAGAACTCTCATGAATTCCTGGTAGAAATGTAAAATGGTAAAGCATTTTGATAAGTTTGATGGTTACTCAAGAAGTTAAACATAGAGTTAGCATATGAACCAGCAATTCCACTCCTCGGTGTATACTCAAAAAAGAAGTTTTTTAACTTTTATTTTAGGTTCAGAGGTACATGTGCAGGTTGGTTATATGGGCAAATTTCATGTCTTGGGGCTTTGATGTACAGATTATTTTATCACCCAGGCAATAAGCATAGTGGGAGGGAGAGGATCAAAAGAATTTAAAACATATGCCCACTCAAATACTTGTACAAGAGTGTTCATAGAGGCATTATTTAAGCCAAAAAGTAGAAACAAGCTAAATGTTCATCAACTGATGAATAGGTAAACAAAATATGGCATATTCATATGATGGACTATTAAATAGCCATAAAAAGGAATGAAGTACTGATACATGCTACAACATGGATGAAACTTGGTAACATTACGCTAAATGAAAAAAGCAAGACACAAAGGCCGCATATTGTGTGATTCCACTTATACAAAACATCTAGGATAGGCAAATCCGTAATGGTAGATAGAATGATAGTGTTTTCTAAGGGATGGGGTAGAGGGGAATGGGGAGTGACTGTTAATGGGCATGGGGCTTCTTTTGGGATTGATGAAAATATTCTGGAATTAGCTAGTAGTGATTGTTGCAAAACCTTGTGAATGGGCTAAACACCACTGAACTCTATACTTTAAAGGGGTGAACTTAATGGTATGTGAGTGATATCTCAATTTTTTAAGGCTGTGTATAGTATGATAACATTTATTTGACATTATGGAAAAGGTGATCATAAGAACAGAATCAAATCACATAGGCTGAGGGTTGGGGAAGAGGATTCACAGAAAAGGGGAAGGCAGAGGCTCTGGGATGATGACAAGTTTTATATTTTGATTAAGACGCTGCCTATACAAATGTATGGATTTGTCAAACTCATATACATAATAGGACTCAATTTTACTGTATATAACTTATAACTCAACAACCCTATCTAAAACAAAGAGGAAGATAAAGATACTATGTGAGAGAGAATAGGAATGATGGAGAGACTATATGAATCATATATCCATGTATGAGAGGGAAACTAAACTTTTGGTTACATTTTTGTGTCCCATAAAAAGAGTAGGAGCTTAGGCTTCTCACAGTTCCAGGTTCATCTCTTAGAGCCAGTAGTTTTTGACTGTGACTTTGGCAAGATTTTTAACCTTTATGAGCTTCAGTTTCTTCATCTGTAAATTGCAGGAAGGAAAAAAGGAGAAAAGTGATTAATAGTGATTGGGCACCCACTATATACCAGAAACTATGCTGAACATTAAATGATATTGTCATTCTAAATGTATATATATTTAGGGCAAAAAAAGCAAAGGTCTCATACAATTTTAAATTTGGAATATGCCAAAAGACTTAATAAATATTATCTCCCCAAGTGTTTGAAAGTATTATACAAAAGCAGCTGTCTCGAAGGAATGTGGTTGGTGGTGAGAAATATGTGGTTTCCAGGAAAACATTTTTCTGAATATAGAGATGATCAATCCTGGGTTGTACAGTGTGGGCAATAGTTAAAGCCTGATATCTGCTTGTTTTGTTTTGACTATAAATGGCAAACAAAACTCATCCCAAGTAGAACTGATAGCACCGTAACACCAAATATCTAGTCAATTAATGAGAACTGAGCTTGAATTAGCAGCAGACAAGGGAGGCCACCATCTCAGCTGACCACTTGACTTGGAGGAGCTGCTGAGAGCAGCCTGGGTTAGCTCCTCAAGTTTACACTGCATAAGTGAGGGCAAGTCAAGGGATGCTCTTTGGAGCCCTACTGCCATTGGACAGAAATGCAGAAGGCTAGGGTTCAATTAAGCAGCAACTGGTTGAAATTTGATCTGAAAAGCCTTTTGCTTTCTTCTCCATGGAAATCACAATGAGTTTTATGGCCCACCTCACTTCCTCTTCCTTCCTGAAATTGTAATCATTTCTATGGCTCTCTTTAACACCTTTTGTCTACCGTAGAGTTTTGCACTTTATGAGTAGTCTTCATCTGTCATATCTGACTCTCTTTATCTCAGGATAATCTTGCCTGGCAGATGAAATATATATTCTTGGGGGCAAGAGAATGTCATTAGCTATTTGTCCTTTGTTCCTCTCAGCACCTGAGATGTTAGGATTTAAACTAACTCTGCTCTGATGGATTGACCAGATTTACTTGAACTCTTGAAATGAATAATCAAGTCTCTCTCCTCAGGTGTTTATGTTCCTAGAACTCTTGGCAGGTCCCAAGTTCTGACCTTCTTACCATTTTTATTGAGACAAAAGTTCTCAGGAAAAGAAATAGTTGGTCTTTGGGCAATCACAATTTCTCTGAGCCTCAGTTCCCCACCATAAGATAGGCCAGAAATATACTTTTTCTCAGGTTGTTGTAAAAAAAAAATAGATAATGTAGAATAGCACCTTACAGTACATGCTCAGTAAGTGGTAGCAATTATTGTCATTACCTTTTTTAGCAACTCTCATTCATAAATGGCTCTAATAAGTTCACAGGAGAAGTAAGTAGAAGCAGCAAGATTCTTCTTCTGTGAAGATGCTGCTATGAAGACCTCACAGGATGGCCATCTGGCATAAATCAGATGAAGCATATCGCTGAAGCACTATCCAATATTTCCAAGCAAGAGGAGTCACTGAGTCAGGGATGGTGTCAATACATGCAATATTTGAGGAACACCCTTAGGGTGAGATGTGGAAAAGGGAAAGATTAACCGAAGCTTCTCAATTTGTATTTGACATTTCTATGTAAGGAAATGAAGTGTTTCTTCCAAATAAATTACAGCACTGAAGGAGGTACTGATTAAAGATTTCTGCTTGTGAAGTTACTTTAAAAGTACAATCCATTTTCAGAATTCTCTTTCCTTCATGCATTACTTAATTTGCTGGTTTCGAGTTGGTATGGCCCCTTGAAGCAAAAACAAGTGCTTTTGAGAAGTGGTAAGAATTCAGAATTAATGGCATGCAGAGATGTATTCTATGTCTGAAAACAGGCTATGTATCTAAAACCTTCTCTATGTCTGTGCTACTTAAGTGCTAGAATAATAAAACACAGGATGAAGCAGAACAATTGTGCGATTGTTTTTAACATCCTCAAAAAGGATTTCAGGGCACCATAAGCTGCTAACGAATTTCAGGAGGCAGGTGCAAGACATGCAATTACTTTTCCCTTTTCATCCCTTTTTATCATTTGAGAGCACTTACAGATTATTCACTGGTTTTCATGGTAGAGGCTTTTTGTGAGAAATATTCTATCAGAAAACAGCTATTAAACATTGTTCAAGATGTCTCTAATTGGGAGGAAAATAATAAAGACAATGAAAAATGACAATTTCTCAAATTTAAGGAATTTTAAGTGGTTCTCATTAAAAGTTTTAAATGGCTACTTTACTTTACTAATATGCTTGGTTACAAAGGCTTATAATTCAGGCTCCATTTAGTCTTTCTCCAAAGAAATCAAATATATGTCACTTCCCCAAGCTCATCTCAGTGAGCTTTGCCTTTAGTTATCATTGGACTGCTCACATCTGCCCCCTCTCCTTTGCTCCTTCTACAGTCTTCCTGGATGCCAACTTCTTGGCATATCAAGTTCAGGCTTCCATGGCCAACAGTAGACTAGGTTTGGAGCACAATCCTGAGATGAACTGGGACCTAAGAAACATAATCTTCTTATTTCATGTCATTGCAGTACAGCTTTTATACTCCAACCCTCAACCCTACCACTTTCCCCTCTACCATCAAGAAGCCCTTTAACTTTATAGCATTATGAAGAATGTAAAAGGTATCATTGTTCAAATTATAATCAGCTACGGAAAGGCGTTTTCTTATGCTGTCAGGATTGTTGCTAAGGTTGAAGTGGAAACCAAAATCACCAAGAACTTAACTTTTGAACTCCAGAGAGTTTCCAGCATTTAGAGCTATCTCCCCACCCTAAAAGGCTAATCAAGAGTACCCCAGAATCTGTTCCATGAATCCAGTCACCTTTCCTGTTCCCAGCCCAATCATATGGCCGGAGGACTGGGTGGAGAGAAGATGACCAGTTTTGGGAAGCATAGTGCTCTTGGAGAGAAGCTCTACTCTATCTTCACATGGTGGCAGTAAGGTGGGGGCTGTGGCTTCCCTGAAGCCAATGCAGGAAGGTCTCAAGAGAATCACCAGTCACATCGAGGTGTTTGCCCCTTCACTACCCTGTTAGACAACTGCATAGCTAGTAGGACTGCTTATCCATCCCTAGTTCGCTGAATATGGAGAAAGAGAATTGAAGAGTGACTGGGGGCCTAGGGAAGAGGTAAAGACCAAGAGGCTTGTGCTCCTACCACTTAGCATGGAAATAACAAGTGGATGTTTTTCTGATTGAATGGACCCAACCTAAGATAGCTGGGCTTGCTGGTGTCCCCCCAAAGAGAGCAGCCCAAGTGGCAGGAATGGATCTTTGATGGGTGGAGGACCGCCAAGGTGGGAGCTGAAGGGGCGGGGGTTGGCAAAAAAATGTTAAGTCACAGCTGAATTTTCTCATCAGAAACCATGCATTGAGGAGACCCCAGCTGTTTCCTCCAAGGCAGACATGTGTTTGGCGTGGGAGACAGGCAGCCCTTGGATGTCTGCCACACTAAGGCATTGTTGAATGGTTAGTGCTGGCAGAAGAGGCAGCAGCAGTCAACCCAGGAGATGCCTGCAGCTTTACCATAGCACTTCCTTAAGGAAAATTGCCTCTCCCAGATCTTCTCCTAAACCCTACACTGAAGGGAAAGGTCTGGGAAGAACAGACTTTATTCATCTTCCCCAGACAGGCCTAGTCAATGCTGGCAGAGACAGAGAATGGGTCTACGTGGAGTGTGATGCTTTTGCTTTATAATGAAGATGACTGAATATTAAATATGAAAGCCAGTCATTCTTTCTTTCTTTCTTTTTTTTTTTTTTTTTTGAGATGGAGTTTTGCTCTTGTTGCCCAGGCTGGAGTGCAAAGACGCAATCTTGGCTCACTGCAACCTCTGCCTCCTGGGTTCAAGCGATTCTCCTGCCTCAGCCTCTCGAGTAGCTGGAATTACCCTACTGGAATTAGTAGGGTGCCCGCCACCACACCCTACTAATTTTTGTATTTTTAGTAGAGACAGCATTTCACCATGTTGGCCAGGCTGGTCTTAAACTCCTGATCTCAGGTGATCCACCTGCCTTGGCCTCCCAAAGTGCTGGGATTACAGGCATGAGCCACTGCGCCCGGCCCAGTTATTCATTCTTTTCACACATATTTATTTCTTTTCTTTCACTCCCCTAGCTAGTTAAATCACCAAACTCTGTGGCTTCTACTGACCATCTCCCTTCAATCTACCTACCATTCCTTTTCTTACTGTCACCACCTTAGCTCATGCACCATCATCTGATGCCCCATAGGGATCTGCTGTATGGGATCCTACATGGGTACTTGCCCTTCCCAAACATTCTCCACCTTGCATGCAAGGTGAATTTATGGAACACAGATCTGATCATGTCACTCCCTAGTTTAAAGTATTTGTTTTCACTTGCCCTTGGGATAAAGCCCAAAATCTATAGCACGGTGGTATAAGGCTCTGGGTGACAAGGACTTTGCCTATGTCTCCAAATTTGCTTCAGAGCCCACCCTCCCTGCCTACACTCCCTTCACACTGATGTCCTTTCGGCTTTTTGAAAGCCTGTCATTCTTTTTCTGGAAGCTAGGCCTTTGGCATACAGCCAAGAACATTCTTTTTCTTCACCCTTTGCTCATATAACCTTTGCCAATCTTTCAAGTCTTAGCTTAGAAGTCTTTCCTCAAGGAAATTTTCACTGACCCTGGATTAGGTTAAATGAGCTTGTTATATATGACATGGCACCTATGCTCCTTCTATTAATGTCCTAGTCAATATGAAATTACTGTTTATGTGTATGGACTTCCAACTAGGGTTTATGGTCTCTGAAGAGAGAGAGACTGTTTGTCTAGTACACCACCATATCCCCAGTACTTAGCACTGGGCTCATTGCATGATAGGACCTCAATATTTGTTGAGTTGTAGACCTTCTGTATTGCTTTCTCCCTGTATCTTCTTTCCCTCTTTTGAAAACTGTAGAATGTATTAGTAGTTTCTTACTTAATATTTATTTCCCAGCTTTCTTCTATGCTAAGAGGATCTTGATTTTGTTCAAGTTTCTGCCTACAATATGGCCAGAGATGGTGAGACCCTTTTGAAGATATTCAATGAGGAGAAGGTTATTTTGTTTCAAGTACTGACACAGAATTTGTTTGGAAAGCAGAAACGAAAAGAAAAAAGCTGAAAGTGACAAACCTATTAACTGTCTGGTATGAAAGAAACTCATCCATTCATCCATCCACTCACACAAAAAATACTACTATATGGGAAACATTATACTATACATTGAATACCAACGGTGAGTAAAACAGAATGATCCCTTCCCTTATGGAACAAGTAGGAGTTGCCCAGATGTATGTTGTGTTATCTGTGTGTGTATGTTATGTGTGTTGTGTATGTGTTGTGTGTATTGTGTGTGTGTTCAGGGTGGGCAGTGGTGGTCCAGAGGGAGCATCATGTGTAAAAACCCAGATCTGAGAATCTGTGTGACATTTGGGGGAAACTGAAAACAGTTGAGTTTGGTCAGAGCAGAGAATGAGGTAGGAAATGGTAGAGATACGCGGCCCAAAATGTACATGGGCAAGTGATGAAGGGCATTGTTAGCCATGTTAAAGAATTTGTGCTGCCAGGTGCAGTGGCTCACGCCTGTAATCCCAGCCCTTTGGGAGGCCAAGGAGGGAGGATCACTTGAGGTCAGGAGGTCAAGACCAGCCTGGCCAACATGGTGAAACCCCGTCTCTATACTAACAATACAAAAATTAGCCAAGTGTGGTGGCGCATGCCTGTAGTCCCAGCTACTCAGGAGGCTGAGGCAGGAGAATCGCTTGAACCCAGGAGGCAGACATTGCAGTGAACTGAGATCCTGCCACTGCACTCCAGTCTGGGCAACAGAGTGAGACTCCATCTCAAGAAAAAAAAAAAAAAAAAAAAAAAAAAGAATTTATGCTAAGAACAATGAGCAATTTTGGAAGGAACTGAACCAAGGCAGGGAGTTTTAGCAGGATCAACCTGGATGTTGTGCAGAGATTAATCTGCAAGGGTAACAGGGGAAGCAATAAAAATAAAAGAAGCTGTGGAAGGTCATTTAATACAGTTCCTAAATTTTTTTCCATCATGGAATTGAAATGATGATTTTTCTTTTTTTTGCATATCCCTTAAACTAGAGGGAATCTGAACTCCCTGAAAAGCCTCCCACCTACTGGAGGGGATGGTCCTGGGAACAAGATCCCCGGGGCCAGTAGACATCCCTAAGGGCTGAAGGGAATTAGTATGTAGGCATTTCACCACACTTGTAAGCCACTTTCTGCACACATGTTGGAAAGCTGATTTAATCTCATCTCTGGTGCTCACATTCCCTCTTTTAAGGACATCAATGTGAACACAAATAACATCAAAGATAAGGAGGGCGCTTGAATAAATTGCCAGTGAGCCTCACCCTTCCAACTTCCTACTACCTCTCTCTCTGCCTGGCCTTTTCGTGGTTTCTAGGTAATGCAAGTCTTCTTGATAATTATGACTTCTGGATAACTTTCCCCACTTTCTGTCAACTGCGCAAGTCAACTTCCTTGTACATTCCCTCAGGGCTCTACTCCCAGAAGATAACAGTAGTCAAAACAATAATAAAGCCAATTAGTTCACTAATGTTTAAGTCAACACAGTATTATTCCATCAGAATAATAACACACAAGTGTCAAGGATGTCATTAATGTGAAATTATACTAGTCAGATTTTCTGACAAGAATGCACAGAAGCAATTGAGGTGAAGAAAGAAGAGAGGAATTAGGAGGAAGAGGCAGGATGCCCACAGAGTCCTTAACTATACCCTATTGACCTTTTAGTGACTCCCCAAGTTGATGAAGTTGGTGCTTAAATTGCATAAAAAGGGAGCTAGGCCTCATTGGAGCCTGTAGGGCCTCCAGTCTATACTTCCATATTAAACATTCTTTGTGGGCAGAGAATTTGCTTCTTCAAAAAACTTTATGGAAAGCTTCAACAAGTATCTAGTAATTAAATTTCAAAACAACCCCATAGAGCAAGCAGTGCACTGTTTTCCTACCTTGTTCAGGAGACAGGGAGAGGCATGAGGGGGTCAAATGATTTGTGACAGGGACTGCCTCAGGAAAGGCTGCCTCTTCAACTCTGTGTTTTAGTCAGCACATGACATGATGTGAAGGGTCAGGAAATGTCTGTGTGAAAGTAAATAACACATCCGAAAAGATGAAGGGAGAGCAACAGGCCCGATGTTGCTCATCAGTGTTTCACTAAATTCTGTAGACTTAGTGGACCTCAGATGAAACACTAACCTGCTTTAAAATTTTTTATTTGGCCTGCGCCCTAATGCCAGGAGATTTTCATTCACTTTGGGCCATTATGACTAGGCCTAGGTATCGTTTGAAAAGTGCTTCCAAGTGAGTTGATGTACACTGTATTAGTTTGCTAGGGCTGCCATAAAAAAGTACCACAGACTTATTTGTTATATGACAATAAAACTAATACCACTGGTGTCCTCTTAGAGTGAGGGGAATGGTGTGGGTGGTGGAACATGATAGAACATAGCAGGATGATGTGGTTGGTGGATTAAGTGAGGGAATGGGAAGAAAAAAGGAAGGAGGTTCTCAGGCCCAATTCCCAGCTGTTTCCCTGGAGGCCAACTACCTGCCTTCAGTCATAGCTAGATTCCCTCCACTTTATTCCCTTGATTGTTTTTCAGGAAAAAAACCCATGTGAAAATACCTATTTCTTAGTTTAAATAATTTAACAAAGGCCCATGACTTCAATTATTCTCCCTGTGGTATTGGACTCTGGCTCTCACTCAGGGAGGGACAACCCCTGAGGGCTTTGCTCTTAAATAAAATGTATCACTATTATGTGATTTAAACAAACAAACAAACAAACAAACAAAACCCAGAAAAACCAAGTACCACAGACTATGTGGCTTGAACACCAGAAACTTATGTTCTCAAAGGCTAAAAGTTCAAGATCAAGGTGTTGGCAGGGTTGGTTCCTTCTGAAAACTGACCCTGACTTGCAGATGATGATCTTTTTTCTGTCTTCACATCATCTATCTTTTGTACTTGTCTGTGTCCAAATTTCTTCTTATTCTAAGGACACCTGTCATAATGCATTAGGGCCCCGCCTAATGACCTTATTTTTACATAATCAGTCCTCTAAAGACCCTATGTCCCAATACTATCACATTCTCAGATATTAGGGAGTTAGGACTTCAATATATAATTTGTGTAAAAATAATTACAGTTTTACCATTTAAAGTAATGGCAAAAACTGAGTGGCCAGGCATGGTGGCTCACGCCCGTAATCCCAGCACTTTGGGAGGCCAAGGTGGGCGAATCATGAGGTCACGAGATCAGCACCATTCTGGCTAACACGGTGAAACCCTGTCTCTACTAAAAATACAAAAAATTAGCCGGGCATGGTGGCGGGCGCCTGTAGTCCCAGCTACTTGGAAGGCTGAGGCAGGAGAATGGCGTGAACCTGGGAGGCAGAGCTTGCAGTGAGCCGAGATTGTGCTGCTGCACTCCAGCCTGGAAGGCAGAGTGAGACTCTGTCTCAAAAAAGAAAGAAAGAAAGAAAGAGAGAGAGAGGGAGAGAGAAAGAGAAAAGAAAGAAAGAAAGAAAGAAGGAAAGAAAGAAAGAAAAGAAAGAAAGAAAGAAAGAAAGAAAGAAAGAAAGAAAGAAAGAAAGAAAGAAAGGAAAAGAAAAGAAAGAAAGAGAGAGAGAAATGGCAAAAACCACAATTACTTTTGCACCAACCTAAAACATTTTTGGGGGAAGGGACACAATTCAGTCCCTAGAATAAACCCAATGTTTAGAGCCACTGCTGTGGCAACATGGATGCAGCTGGAAACCATTATCCTAAGCAAACTAATGAAGATACAGAAAAGCAAATAGCACATGTTCGCACTTACCAGTGGGAGCTAAACACTGGGTATACATAGACATAAAGATAGGAACAACAGACACTGAGGAATATAAGAACAGGAAGGGAGAGAAGGGGGTAAGAGCTGAAAAACCATCTATTGGGTACTGTGCTCACTGCCTGGGTGACGAGATCATTTATACCTCAACCCTCAGTGACATACAATATACCCATGCAACAAACGTGCACTTGTACCCCCTGAAACTAAAATAAAAGTTGGAAAAAATAAAAATATAAATATGAAAATGTAGACCGACTCACCAAATGGTGAATGCTAAAGATAGAATAGGCCTTAAGATTAGAAGTTCTTGCTTTTCGTTTTATGGATTTAAAAAAGGCCTAAAGTCCAACAGCTTTTCACAGCAGAATGATGAGTAGCACTACACTTTCCTGTCACAATCCGGGAGGGCAGAACATTCCAGATCTTCTTCATTGTTCATCCTGAGAGCTGAAAACAGTGATGGATGCTCTATCAGTATAGGTCATCAAATGAATGAATGAATGAATCCAGTGTTATTTTCCCCAAAGTACCCTTCCTCATGTCATCAGAAGAGATTATTTTCAAGTTGTGAGAGTGATTATGCAATGAGGATTCTGAAAAAATAAACTCTTCTCGTGAGTGGCAGGATGGGCTTAGTGGAAGGTAGGAGGTATTTCTTCTTGGGAACTCTATTTCATTTTCTTAGAGATGTGTTCCTCTGTAAAGATAGACAAGAAAAGTTCCCTTGATCAGAATCACCAGAAGGGAATTTTTGCTCTTCTCCCCAAATTTCTCAGTCCATGTCTGCCATCTCGTGCCTCTGGCTTGATAAACAATGTGTAACCATATATCTAACTAAACAATAATATAACGTGCATGGCTTTGTCCAGGGCCTGGGGAAGGCTCCTAATCCTATCTTCTCTATTACTGAGGTGGGGGAACAATTTGTAGCTTAGCTACTGAACATGCCTAATAGGTGAAGAAATGAATTTCCAGTAGTCCCTGCCACTAATCATTTTGAGGCAGCTGAGGATGGAGATTAGGAGCGACTGGGGAAAGGGATATAGAATAAGAGCTCCTTGCCACACAGTGGCTTGTATCACTACGCTTACACCTGAAAAGGGTGAACTTACTATTCTTACCAGTTTGATTCAGAAGGGACGGGTTCTCCAATCTTTTCTTTTTAATATAATAAATTGAATTTCTTTCTTTTTTTTTTATTATACTTCAAGTTCTAGGGTACATGTGCACAACGTGCAGGTTTGTTACATACGTGTACATGTGCCATGTTGGTGTGCTGCACCCATTAACTCGTCATTTACATTAGGTATATCTCCTAATGCTATCCCTCCCCCCACCCCAACCCCACAACAGGCCCCATTGTGTGATGTTTCCTTCCTGTGTCCAAGTGGTCTCATTGTTCAATTCCCACCTGTGAGCGAGAACGTGCGGTGTTTGGTTTTTTGTCCTTGCGATAGTTTGCTGAGAATAATGGTTTCCAGCTTCATCCATGTCCCTACAAAGGACATGAACTCATCATTTTTTATGGCTGCATAGTATTCCATGGTGTATATGTGCCACATTTTCTTAATCCAGTCTATCATTGATGGATATTTGGGTTGCTTCCATGTCTTTGCTATTGTGAATAGTGTCGCAATAAACATACGTGTGCATGTGTCTTTATAGCAGCATGATTTATAAACCTTTGGGTATATACCCAGTAAAGGGATGGCTGGGTCAAATGGTATTTCTAGTTCTAGATCCTTGAGGAATTGCCACACTGTTTTGTACAATGGTTGAACTAGTTTACATTCCCACCAACAGTGGAAAAGTGTTCCTGTTTCTCCACATCCACTCCAGCATCTGTTGTTTCCTGACTTTTTAATGATCATTCTAACTGGTGTGAGATGGTATCTCATTGTGGTTTTGATTTGCATTTCTCTGATGGCCATTGTTGATGAACATTTGCTCATGTGTCTTTTGGCTGCATCAGTGTCTTCTTTTGAGAAGCATCTGCTCATATCCTTTGCCCACTTGTTGATGGGGTTGTTTTTTTCTTGTAAATTTGTTTGAGATCTTTGTAGATTCTGGATATTAGCCCTTTGTCAGATGAGTAGATTGCAAAAATTTTCTCCCATTCTGTAGGTTGCCTGTTCACTCTGATGGTAGTTTCTTTTGCTGTGCAGAAGCTCTTTAGTTTAATTAGATCCCATTTGTCAATTTTGGCTTCTGTTGCCACTGCTTTTGGTGTTTTAGACATGAAGTCCTTGCCCATGCCTATGTCCTGAATGATGTTACCTAGGTTTTCTTCTAGGGTTTTTATGGTTTTAGGTCGAATATTTAAGTCTTTAATCCATCTTGAATTAATTTTTGTATAAGGTGTAAGGAAGGGATCTAGTTTCAGCTTTCTACATATGGCTAGCCAGTTTTCCCAGCACCATTTATTAAATAGGGAATCCTTTCCCCATTTCTTGTTTTTGTCAGGTTTGTCAAAGATCAGATGGTTGTAAATGTGTGATAATATTTCTGAGTGCTCTGTTCTGTTCCATTGGTCTATATCTTTGTTTCAGTACCAGTACCATGCTGTTTTGGTTACTGTAGCCTTGTAGTATAGTTTGAAGTCAGGTAGCGTGATGCCTCCAGCTTTGGTCTTTTGGCTTAGGATTGACTTGGCAATGCGGGCTCTTTTTTGGTTCCATATGAACTTTAAAGTAGTGTTTGCCAATTCTGTGAAGAAAGACATTCGTAGCTTGATGGGGATGGCATTGAATCTATAAATTACCTTGGGAATTATGGCCATTTTCATGATATTGATTCTTCCTATCCATGAGCATGGAATATTCCTCCATTTGTTTGTGTCCTCTTTTATTTCGTTGAGAAGTGGTTTGTAGTTATCCTTGAGAAGGTCCTTCACATCCCTTGTAAGTTGGATTCCTAGGTATTTTATTCTCTTTGAAGCAATTGTGAATGGGAATTCACTCATGATTTGGCTGTTTGTCTGTTATTGGTGTATAAGAATGCTCATGATTTTTACACATTGATTTTGTATCCTAACACTTTGCTGAAGTTACTTATCAGCTTAAGGAGATTTTGGGCTGAGACAATGGGGTTTTCTAGATATACAATCATGTCATCTACAAACAGGGACAATTTGACTTCCTCTTTTCCTAATTCAGTACCCTTTATTTCTTTCTCCTGCCTAATTGCCCTGGCCAGAACTTCCAACACTATGTTGAATAGGAGTGGAGACAGAGGGAATCCCTGTCTTGTGCCAGTTTTCAAAGGGAATGCTTCCAGTTTTTACCCATTCAGTATGATATTGGCTGTGGGTTTGTCATAAATAGCTCTTATCATTTTGAGATACGTCCCATCAATACCTAATTTATTGAGAGCTTTTAGCATGAAGGGCTGTTGAATTTTGTCAAAGGCCTTTTCTGCATCTATTGAGATAATCATGTGGTTTTTGTCTTTGGTTCTGTTTATATGCTGGGTTACGTTTATTGATTTTCATATGTTGAACCAGCCTTGCATCCCAGGGATGAAGCCCACTTGATCATGGTGGATAAGCTTTTTGATGTGCTGCTGGATTTGGTTTGCCAGTATTTTATTGAGGATTTTTGCATCAATGTTCATCAGGGATATTGTTCTAAAATTCTCTTTTTTTGTTGTGTCTCTTCCAGGCTTAGGTATCAGGATGATGCTGGCCTCATAAAATGAGTTAGGGAGGATTCCCTCTTTTTCTATTGATTGGAACAGTTTCAGAAGGAATGGTACCAGCTCCTCCTCGTACCTCTGATAGAATTCGGTTGTGAATCCATCTGGTCCTGGACTTTTTTTGGTTGGTAGGCTATTAATTATTGCCTCAATTTCAGAGCCTGTTATTGGTCTATTCAGAGATTTAACTTCTTCCTGGTTTAGTATTAAGAGGGTGTATGTGTCCAGGAATTTATCCATTTCTTCTAGATTTTCTAGTTTATTTGCGTAGAAGTGTTTATAGTATTCTCTGATGGTAGTTTGTATTTCTGTGGGATCAGTTGGTGATACCCCATTTATCTTTTTTTATTGCATCTATTTGATTCATCTCTCTTTTCTTCTTTATTAGTCTTGCTAGTGGTCTATCAATTTTGTTGATCTTTTCAAAAAACCACCTCCTGGATTCATTGATTTTTCGAAGGGTTTTTTGTGTCTCTATCTCCTTCAGTTCTGCTCTGATCTTAGTTATTTCTTGCCTTCTGCTAGCTTTTGAATGTGTTTACTCTTGCTTCTCTAGTTCTTTTAATTGTGATGTTAGGGTGTCAATTTTAGATCTTTCCTGCTTTCTCTTGTGGGCACTTAGTGCAATAAATTTCCCTCTACACACTGCTTTGAATGTGTCCCAGAGAATCTGGTATGTTGTGTCTTTGTTCTCGTTGGTTTCAAAGAACATCTTTATTTCTGCCTTCATTTTGTTATGTGCCTAGTAGTCATTCAGGAGCAGGTTGTTCAGTTTCCATGTAGTTGAGTGGTTTTGAGTGAGTTTCTTAATCTGAGTTCTAGTTTGATTGTACTGTGGTCTGAGAGATAGTTTGTTGTAATTTCTATTCTTTTACATTTGCTGAGGAGTGCTTTACTTCCAAGCATGTGGTCAATTTTGGAATAAGTGGGATGTGGTGCTGACAAGAATATATATTCTGTTGCTTTGGTGGGGAGAGTTCTGTAGAAGTCTATTAGGTCCGCTTGGTGCAGAGCTGAGTTCAATTCCTGGATATCCTTGTTAACCTTCTGACTCATTGATCTGTGTAATGTTGACAGTGGGGTGTTAAAGTCTCCCATGATTACTGTGTTGGAGTCTAAGTCTCCTTGTATGTCTGTAAGGACTTGCTTTATGAATCTGGGTGCTCCTGTATTGGGTGCATATATATTTAGGATAGTTAGCTCTTCTTGTTGAATTGATCCTTTACCAGTATGTGATGGCCTTCTTTGTCTCTTTTGATCTTTGTTGGTTTAAAGTCTGCTTTATCAGAGACTAGGATTGCAACCCCTGCCTTTTTTAGTTTCCATTTTCTTGGTAGATCTTCCTCCATCCCTTTATTTTGAGCCTATGTGTGTCTCTGCACGTGAGATAGGTCTCCTGAATACAGCACACTGATGGGTCTTCACTCTTTATCCCATTTGCCAGTCTGTGTCTTTTATTGGAGGATTTAGCCCATTTACATTTAAGGTTAATATTGTTATGTGTGAATTTGATCCTGTCATTATGATGTTAGCTGGTTATTTTGCTCGTTAGTTGATGCGGTTTCTTCTTAGCATCCATGGTCTTTACAATTTGGCATGTTTTTGCTGTGGCTGGTACTGGTTGTTCCTTTCCATGTTTAGTGCTTCCTTCAGGAGCTCTTTTAGGGCAGGCCTGGTGGTGACAAAATCTCTCAGCATTTGCTTGTCTGTAAAGGATATTATTTCTCCTTTATTTATGAAGCTTAGTTTGGCTGGATATGAAATTCTGGGTTGAAAATTCTTTTCTTTAAGAATGTTGAATATTGGCCCCCACTCTCTTCTGGCTTGCAGATTTTCTGCTGAGAGATCAGCTGTTAGTCTGATGGGCTTCCCTTTGACGGTAACCCGACCTTTCTCTCTGGCTGCTCTTAACATTTTTTCCTTCATTTCAACTTTGGTGAATCTGACAATTATATGTCTTGGAATTGCTCTTCTCGAGGAGTATCTTTGTGGCATTCTCTGTATTTCCTGAATTTGAATGTTGGCCTGCCTTGCTAGGTTTGGGAAGTTCTCTTGGATAATAACCTTCAGAGTGTTTTCTAACTTGGTTCCATTCTCCCTGTCACTTTCAGGTACACCAATCAGACGTAAATTTGGTCTTTTCACATAGTCTTATATTTCTTGGAGGCTTTGTTCATTTCTTTTTACTCTTTTTTCTCTAAACTTCTCTTCTCACTTCATTTCATTCATCTGATCTTCCGTCGCTGAAACCCTTTCTTCCAGTTGATCGAATCGGCTACTGAGGATTGTGCATTCATCACATAGTTCTCGTGCCATGGTTTTCAGCTCCATCAGGTCATTTAAGGACTTCTCTACATTGATTATTCTAGTTAGCCATTCATCTAATCTTTTTTCAATGTTTTGAACTTCTTTGCCGTGGGTTCAAACTTCCTCCTTTAGCTCGGAGAAGTTTGATCGTCTGAAGCCTTCTTCTCTCAACTCGTCAAAGTCATTCTCCGTCCAGCTTTGTTCCGTTGCTGGCGAGGAGCTGCGTTCCTTTGCAGGGGGAGAGGCGCTCTGATTTTTAGAATTTTCAGCTTTTCTACTCTTTTTTTCCCCCATCTTTGTGGTTTTATCTACCTTTGGTCTTTGATAATGATGACGTATAAATGGGGTTTTGGTGTTGATGTCCTTTCTGTTTGTTAGTTTTCCTTCTAACAGTCAGGACCCTCAGCTGCAGTCTATTTGAGTTTGCTGGAGGTCCACTCCAGACCCTGTTTGCCTGGGTATCAGCAGCGGAGGCTGCAGAACAGCAAAAATTGCTGAACAGCAAATGTTGCTGCCTAATTGTTCCTCTGGAAGTTTCGTCTCAGAGTGGTACCTGGCCGTGTGAAGTGTCAGTCTGCCCCTACTTGGGGATGCCTCCCAGTTAGGCTACTCAGGTGTCAGAGACCCAGTGGAGGAGGCAGTCTTTCTCTTCTCAGATCTCAAACTCCATGCTGGGAGAACGACTACTCTATTCAAAGCTGTCAGACAGGGACATTTAAGTCTGCAGAGGTTTCTGCTGCCTATTGTTCAGCTATGCCCTGCCCCCAGAGGTGGAGTCTACAGAGGCAGGCAGGCCTCCTTGAGCTGCTGTGGTCTCCAACCAGTTTGAGCTTCCCAGCCGCTTTGTTTACCTACTCAAGCCTCAGCAATGGCAGGCGCTCCTCCCCCAGCCTCGCTGCCACCTTGCAGTTTGATCTCAGACTGCCGTGCTAGCAATGACCGAGGCTCTGTGGGTGTAGGACCCTCTGAGCCAGGCGCATGATATAATCTCCTGGTGTGCCATTTGCTAAGACCATTGGAAAAGTGCAGTATTTGGATGGGAGTGACCCGATTTTCTAGGTGCCACCTGTTACAGCTTTGCTTGGCTAGGAAAGGGAATTCCCTGACCCCTTGCACTTCCTGGGTGAGGCGATGCCTTGCCCTGCTTCAGCTCATGCTCAGTGCACTGCACCCACTGTCCTGCACCCACTGTCCGACAAGCCCGAGTGAGATGAACCCAGTACCTCAGTTGGAAATGCAGAAATCACCCATCTTCTGTGTCACTTATGCTGGGAGCTGTAGACTGGAGCTGTTCCTATTTGGCCATCTTGGAACTGCCCCGGTTTCCCCAATCTTGTAATTTAGGTCTTCCCATCTCTATCCCACTGAATTTCACCAAGAACATGGAGACTAACCATACTCACACAGAGACATCTGTCTTGGCCTGGTGGCCACAGTTACCATCCAGGGCATGTAACAGGCAGGTGGCCTTGGGGCTCTGAGGAGGTTGTAAGAACTCACTTTGTGGCAGTATGTGCCTTCCTCTTGCCCCTTCATGTGCAATTTTAAATGTCAGAAGCAGCAATAATTTGCTGTCAACAAACATCCCACACAGCTTTTGAACATAAGAAATAGATTACAGAGTTTTACAAAAGCAGGGATGTGTCAGCTGTAAATCTCAGCTACCACAGCATATGTACCAGAGTCGAGGATTTTGCAAGACACATGGCTACCTTTCTGAGAAGTTAGTGAATGGCTCTAACCAGGCACTGTGACCTTGCTGCATCAAGACCACAGCAGAGTGAGGGAGCTTTTCCTAGAGGGTTTAAAGCCCTTTTCATTTTTAATAAACCACACCTCAGTTTTCATCCCAGTGTCCTGCACACACACATTTTCCTTTGCCCTGTATGAACTTACCCCTTGGAGGCTTGAGGCCCTCTGGGATATGGGAGCAGCTTCCTTACTCGGGTGCCTCCCATCCATCTCTTTAACTTAGTGGTTCCCAACCAAGGGTAATTTTGCACCTGCGTTCCCCAGAAGATACTTGGTAATGTCTGGAGACTTGGTAATGTCTGGAGCAAACCCACAGCTGGAGGTTTGCTACTGGCATTAAGAGGGTAGAGATCAAGGATGCTGCTAAACACCCTGCACAGGACAGCCCCACAACAAAGAATTGTCTGGCCCAATGCATTAATAGTGCCAAGCTTATGAAACTGTGCCATCAGCAAGGACAGCCTCTTGGTCCACTGTTCATGGTCTATAATTCCATTCTGTTCTCCTCCACATCTGCTGTTTTGGAAGAGGAGTTCCCCTCCCTCATTATCCACCTTCTTGAACAACCACTTTCTGCCTCCAGAGCTTTGTTCCCTCCAACATTTCCCTTTCTCTTACATCCTGTATCATTCCTCCTCCAAGTCCTTGTTTTTTCTTTGTCTGTACATACGAACAAGGTTTTCCTAACTTAGAAACCCACAAAATTGATGTTAAGTTACTGGTGATTTTAAAAACCTTCTCTGAACCCTTTGAATACACCCTCTTTCTTTTCAACTGGAAAATTCCTCCTGTTAGTGGAAGTGTCATTGTTCCCTCTGTCCCTCCACTCCCACCCACCCGTTTTTTGTGCTGCTGCTTGTCCCTCGATCTCTTAAGTGGCCTTAGCTTACACTGCAGGCTTCTTGAGACATTCAGCGTGGTTGACCACTTGCTCTTTCATAAAGCTCTCCCCTTCCTTGGCTGCTATGTGTGCATTCAACTACTTTAAAGCTGTTCTGCTGTCTCTCTTTGATAATCATTAACTGACAATACAATGATAACATTTAGAAGGTTTTTTTTTTTTAACGAAGTTTTCTTGCCACATGGTGTTGATAACACAACTCCTAGCATCTGATGTGTGAATAGTGAATTGGCAATAGAGTTCGGGTATCACTAAAAATCTCTTTGAACATCTTTACAAATCACAAACTGCCATCCATCCTGCCTTTGAGCTTCAATTTCTACAACAAAATGCTGAGGTGAAAGTTGACTGTGGCAGCCTCTCTGTCTTTGACAGCTCCACTCCTTCCTCCCATGTGGTTGGCTCAGACTACACTGCCCCTGAGTTTTTGTTGACTAGCGTAGCTCCAATTTTTACTTTTGTATTTTTGCTTAACCTGTATCTATATACCCAACCATGTCTTTTCTCTTAGGATCATAGAACACATCTATATTCTCCTCTGAACTTACCGGTTTGATAAAGAAGGGAGGGATTCTCCCTTGAAATTATCTCATCTGACTAAACATTTGGCGTGAACTTTGGATTGTCACTGGCCTTTACAGCAGGGGTGGCCAGAGAGGTCTGCCCATTTGATCGATTCCTGCTGAGGTATGACTGCCAGGCTTTATGGAGTGCTCTTCAATCCCTCCAGGTGCTTTTCATTTTCAAAGATCTTCAGAAGCACCTTCCCTTCCTTTCTGATCCTTTGCTATTTGACAGTTTCTCTCAGAACTTCTGCATCTCCTTGCAGACTCCGTAGACTACATCTTGGGCTCCTTTGCACCTCTTGCAAGGTGTGGTGGACTGAAATATTCTTGCACCGTCTTTCTTTCTGCTGTCTTCTCCAGTGCTGTCACTGCTGTACTATGTTTGTGTTGGTGTTTGTGTGGACAGGCTGAGGTTTCTCTGAAGGGTCACAGTTTACTCTTCACTGGGACTAGAAAGGCAGATCAGTGTCTTTCAATGTCACTCTTCTAATGTTTCTAAAGCTTCCTTTCTGTCTACCTCCCTGTTGTATGCCCCTCTCTTCAAGTTTCCAGCACAGAATGGAGATGGGGAGGTTGAAATCTAGGCATCTTACTTCATTCTTGATTTTACTCTCTTCCCCACCCCCAACATCGCTCAGATTAGAAAAAGTGAGCTTCAGGGTTTTCTTTCTTTGTGTTTGTGCCTAACCTGGCATGGAGTAAGTGCAATAACCTTCACAGCCACCCTGGAGGTTGGGTTGATCCAGGCTATTCTAGCCCTTGGTGATTGAATACTTTCTTTTATGAATGCCTATAACACTTTGGGTCCATAATACTCAAAGATAATACATCATTGTATTGTTAATTATATCATTATGTCCACATCCTACCTCTAAACTTAGTCGCAAGAACTTTAAAGGTTGTAGCCTCTGTCTATAGTGTCATGGAAAGATATTTGGTCTTCGTCCTTAGTTTCTAGCATAGAGCTCCTAAAGTGCTTGGAATTTCCTGAGTGGTAAGTGTGGTAAGAGTGTCTCTTGTTCTAATGAAGTGACTCTTGGTAGGCCCCTAGATAGTTTCAGGATGAAGACTGGTTGCCAGAAAGACCAAAACGTGATTAGAGGGTTGGGACTTTCAGACCCACCTCCAATCTCCCAGAAGGGGAGAGGAGCTGGAGACTGAGTTAATTGCCCATAGCTAATGATTTAATTAGTCATACCTAGGTAATGAAGTCCCTATAAAAAGTCCTAAATGCTGGGGGTTCAGGAGCTTTCAGGTTGGTGAACACATCGATGTGCTAGAGGGTTGCATACCCGGAAAGAGCATGGAAGCTCACCTACAGCTCCCCACCCCCTATACCTTGTCCTATGCATCTCCTCCATTTGGCTATTCCTGTATTGTATCCTTTTTCATAAACTGGTAGATGTAAGTAAAGTGTGTTCCTGAGTTCTGTGATCCTTTCTAGTAAATTATTGAACCTGAGGAGGGGGCCATGGAAATGCCTGATTTATAGCTGGGTGCTCAGGGGTTCAAGAGACCTGGAACTTGAGGCTGGCATCCGAAATGGGGGAGGGAAGTCATGTGGGACTGAGCCAGTAACCTGGTAACCTGTGGTGTCTGCACCGACTCTAGGTAGGTAGTGTCAGAATGGGATAGAATTTTTGAATACCCGGTTTGTGCCTGGAGAATCAGAGAATCGGTTCCTCTGAGGAAAAAAATAACCAAAACCAAAACCAAAAGATCTCTCTCATTTGGTATTAAGAGGGCAGGAAGGTTGTGAGTAAAAACAGCTCACTGTCATATAGGTTTTACATTCCCAAGGCCTAGAAGTATGCCATGCCTTTCAGTAGTTTGAATAGACTCTCTGCTAGTGTGAGAGAACATGCTTTGAATCGCTGAGGGCAAGTTAGGGGAAGAACATTGTAGTCATTTTGAGTTGAAACTGAAGAAAAGAATCAGAAACTACTGGTCAAACGTTCTTCCCACATGGCATTCTTTCCCCCATGTTACTGAAGCCTCCTGCATTTCAAGTCAACATGCCTACCTATCTCAATTCCTCAGTAAATGGAGACCATGGAGCCTCAGATCATCATAGTATTCTCAGGTTCATTTGGCTTATGCAGACCATAGATGAGAGACTGGACCTCGATTTTGGGGGTCTCTAAATGTGATGTAGAAGAGGGGAAAAAGGGGAGGTAGTAGATGTCCTACTAAAGGGTAAGTAATGATCCCAAGCCATGATTATGAGTAAAACTCTATCTGATCTTTTCAGCCGGACCCACCGTCTTCTAGTAATTCACCAAAATGATGAACACAAAGGGAAAGAGGAGGCACGCAGTATGTGTGCTCTAGGCCTTTTAGAAAACACGGAGTTGCTCCTTTGGGCATGTATATGTGAATCTATGAGAAAGATGATATTGCAGACATCAAAGGAATGGGTACTTTTTGAAAAGGAATGCCCCACGAGTGTTATTACGGCAGAACTGGAAGGGTCTACAGTGTTCCCCAGCATGCTGTTGGCATTGTTGTAAACAAGTTAAGGGCAAGATTCTTGCCCAGAGAATAAATGGGTGTACTGAACACATTAAGCACTCTAAGAGCTGAGATAACTTCTTGAAATGTGTGAAGGAAAATGAGCATAAAAAGGAAGAAGCCAAAGAGAAAGGGACCTGGGTTCCACTGAAGGACCAGCCAGCTCCACCCAGAGAAGCACACTCTGTGAGAACCAATGGGAAGGAGCCTGAGCTGCTGGAACCTATTCCCTATGAGTTCATGGCATAATCGGAGTTAAAAAAAATAAAAGACCTCTGGACCGTAAAAATGTTACTCTTCATTGAGTAGAAGTGAAGTGTCCTCTCCCCCAAAGAAATATTTAAAGCAAATTTTAATTGTGTCCTAATTCATTATGTAATGTATTTACTATTCAAATTTAATATATTTCTTGCTGAAAGATGTGAGGTGTTTTACTGTGCAACAAATTACCCAATTGGTTAGAAAATGGCCAGATAGGCCGGGCGTGGTGGCTCACGCCTGTAATCCAGCACTTTGGGAGGCTGAGGCAGGTGGATCACAAGGTCAGGAGCTGGAGACCAGCCTGACCAACATGGTGAAACTCAGTCTCTACTAAAAATACAAAAATTAACCAGGTGTGGTGGTGCGTGCCTGTAATCCCACCTACTCAGGAGACCGAGGCAGGAGAATCGTTTGAACCCCGGAGGCGGAGGTTGCAGTGAGCCGAGATCATGCCACTGCACTCTAGCCTGGGACAGAGTGAGACTCCGTCTCAAAAAAAAAAAAAAAAAAAAGGGGGAAAACGGCCAGATATTATTTATGAAATATTTCTACTGGCTTGAAGATAGTCCCACTAAATCATCATGGAAGAAATAAAATAATTTACAAAAAAACTCAATCTGATATGGTAATTTACAATGAAACGCATCATTTGAAGATGATTACTG